>NC_000008.11:72802265-73427265 GCF_000001405.40 Homo sapiens | reverse complement strand
TCCAAGGGTGGATAGAGAGCTCATATTAACATCTTTAAGGCTGGGCACAGTGGCTCACGCATGTAATCCTAGCACTTTGGGAGGCTGAGGCAGGCGGGTCACCTGAGGTCGGGAGTTCGAGACCAGCCTGACCAACATGGAGAAACCCCATCTCTACTAAAAACACAAAAGTAATCTGGCGTGGTGGTGCATGCCTGTAATCCCAGCTACTCGGGAGGCTGAGGCAGGAGAATCGCTTGAACCCGGGAGGCAGAGGTTGTGGTGGGCCGAGTTCACGCCATTGCACTCCAGCCTGGGCAACAAGAGCAAAACTCTGTCTCAAAAAAAAAAAAAAAAAAATCTTTAAAAATGGACATCATCTTTGGCTCAGAAATGCAATTTTAGGAATTTATCATAAGGAAAGTATTGAGATGATGCATAAAGATTGAACCAATAGGAAATTTGATGCAGTGTTGGTATCACACAGGATATCGATAGGATACTGTGCAGTCATGAGAAATGATGCTACCGAAATGTTTCTGTTGATACTGCACACATTCAATGAAAAGAGCACACAACAGATGAACGGACAAAAAACCATGGTATATGTATACAATGGAATACTACTCGGCCGTAAAAAAAGAATGAAATCCTGTCATTTATGGCCATGTGGATGAAACTGGGCGAATGTGAAGTGAAATGAGCAGGGCACAGAAAGTTAAACACCACTTGTTCTTGCTCATGTGTGGAAGCTAAAAAGGTTGATCTTACAGAAGTAAAAAGTAGAACAGAGGATATTAGAGGTTGGGAAGGGTAGGGGGAAGAGAGGGATAGGGAGAAATTTATTAAAGGATACAAAATTATAGCTAGATATGAGGAATAAGTTCTATTGCTCTATACCACTGTAGAAAGACTATAGTTAACAGTAATATGTTCTATAGTTTCAAGCAGCTAGAAGGAGAATATTGTATGAACCCAACAAAAAGAAATGATAAATGTTTGAGATGATTGATGTACTAATTACCTTGATCTGATCACTATGCATTATGTGTATTGCAACATTGTTACCCACCCCATGAATGTGTACAATTATTATTTATCATTGAAAAAAAAAAAAGCAGGTTACCTACAGTGTTAAGACATGATCCAGGCTACAGTTTGTAGACATGGGGAGAGGATACTAAGTGATATGGAGGCTGGGGGCAGAGGCGCATGCCTGTAATCCCAATACTTTGGGAGGCTGGGGCAGGTGGATCACTTGAGGCTAGGAGTTCAAGACCAGCCTGGCCAACATGGTGCAACCCTGTCTCTACTAAAAGTACAAACATTAGCTGGGTGTGGTGGCTCATGCCTGTAATCCCAACTACTCAGGAGGCTGAGGTGCAAGAATTGCTTGAACCCAGGAAGTGGAGGTTGCAGTGAGTCAAGATCACACCACTGCACTCCAGCCTGGGTGACAGAGTAAGACTCCATCTCAAAAAAAAAGAGAGAAAAAAAACAAGTGATATGGAAAGACGTGCGCCAAGATGTGAATGGTGAGCAGGATTGTGGATACTTTTTACATTCTTTTTGCTTGTCTATATATTCTGACTTTTCTGTAACAAAAAACTATTTTTATAACAAAAAATAATACAGGGAGAGAGAGAGAAGAGAGAGAGAGAGAGAGATTTTGCTATCCTTAAAGAGAAGCTATGAGGTCCCTGTACAGTTTGCTGGAGCTGCTGTAGTAAAGTACTACCAACTGAGTGGCTTCATCAACAGGAGTGTATTGTCTCACAGTTCTGGAGGCTAGAAGTTCAAGATCAAGGTGCTGGCAGGGCTGGTTCCTTCTGAAGGCTGTGAGGGAGAATCTGTCCCAGGCCCCTCTCCTCACTTCGAGTGCTTTGCTGGCAATCTTTGGTGTTCCTTGGCTGCTGCGGCATCACTCCAGCCCCTACCACCATCTTCACGTGGCGTTCTCCCTGTGTGGGTCTGTGTTCCAGTTTCCTCTTTTTATAAGGATACCAGTTATATTGGATCAGGGACCTACCCTACTCCAGTATGACCTCATCTTAACTAATTACATCTGTACTAATCCTATTTTTAAATAAGGCCACATTCTATAAGGCCCCATTCTGAGATACTGGGGGTTAGGACTTCAACATATGAATTTGGGGGAAGAGCACAATTCGACCTATAACAGTATCCAGGGAGATGGCCACACAGCTCCCACCCCACTGAAGTTAGCGCCTACCTCCCATCAAAACCCACCTGGCTGTTGTCCAGCATGAGCATGGGCCAGGATCAGGAGCTATGGGGTGGCATCACTGACCTTCTCCCTGCAGCACTCCAGGTCCAAAGAGATTATGATGATAACTGAGACTTGAGCACCACATCCTCCCTGCTTCGGGATGCCCGGGCCAGGGCTGCAGATCTGCATGGGCACTCACATTAGCACCTCTGATCTAGGAAGCCTGATTTAAAGATTTGAAAGGAAGGAGTAATCTAAAGAAAAAGAAAGGACGCATGCCGACTTTTGCTTGGATATAGGATTTGTGATTAAAAAGCAACAATAGAAAAGCAAGAGAGAAGAAAGAAAAAAGTATTATGAATATTACACATTAAATTCCACATATGGATGTTTATAGCAGTTTTATTCATAGTTGCCAAAAACTGGAAACAATCAAGATGTCCTTCAATAAGTGAACGGACAAACTGTGGTGCATCCATGCGATGGGACATTATTCAGCAATAAAAAGGAGCTACGAAGCTCATTTATGAAAAGCCATATCGTTCACAAAAAGAGGGGCCGGGTGCAGTGGCTCACACCTGTAATCCCAGCAGTTTGGGAGGCCAAGGTGGGTGGATCACCCGAGGTCAGGAGTTCGAGACCAGCCTGGCCAACATGGTGAAACCCCGTCTCTACTAAAAATACAAAAATTAGCTGGGTGTGGTGGTGCAGGCCTGCAGTCCCAGCTACTTGGGAGGCTGAGGCAGTAGAATCACTTGAACCCAGGAGGCAGAGGTTGCAGTGAGCCCAGATCGTGCCACTGCACTCCAGCCTGGGCGACAGAGTAAGACTCAGTCAAAAAAAAAAAAAAAAAAAGACATAGAGGAGCTTCAAATATACATTGCTAAGTGAAAAAGCCAATCTGAAAAGGTGACATATTGTATGATCCCAACTGCTATATGGCAAAACTGTAGCGATGGTAAAAAGATTGGTGGTTGCCAGGGGGCTGGTGGGGGTGGGGGGAGGTGAATAGGTGGGGCACAGAGGATTTGTAGGGCTGTGGAACTATTTTATATGATACTCTAATGGTGGATAAATGCCATTAGGCATTTGTTGAAACCCACAGAATGTACCACACAGAGTGAACCCTTATGTAAACCATGGACTTCAGTTAATGATAAGCTATCAATATTTGTTCATCAGCTATAACAAATGTACCATACCAATGCAAGATGTTAATGATTGGGGAAACCGTATTTAGGGGAGGGAAGAATATGGGAACTCTGTGTACTACCTGCCCAAGTTTTCTGTAAACCTCACAAGACTATTAACTAAAAAAGAATCACACCTCCAAAATATATTCTGAATAAAGAAACTTAAAGGAAATCATGCACTTAGTCAGCTACCCTAAAGGAGCTCTTGGCAGATAAAAGTTTGGGAAACCGCCAAGAGCTAGCTCGTTTTCAAAGGCAGCTGAGAAGACACAGATGCCCCAAGTGTGACCCAGCGGGATGCCCCAGGATGAAAACAGCCCTGCCTGCTCATGCCCATCTCAGACTCAGCAGAGCCCTTCCAATCTCACTCAGCAGTGTCGGGCTTGGGGGAGGGGAGGAAGACCCAAATTCTTACTCAAAGAAATAACAGTTTGGAACATGCACAAGAGTGTCAACAAGTTATGTAGATCTTATCAGCATGGCATTTTTGGTGCCTCCCAGCTATACAGCAAGGCTCCACCAGCCTGTTCACACCCTGCGGCTTCCCACGCACCCCGAGCCTATCAACACCTCGGGAGGCTCTGCCCGGCAGGCCTGCCTCCCCAGAACATGACCAGCCCAAACTTTCTCTCTTTCCTCATCCTCTCAGGATCCCATCTTACCATCCATCCCCTCAGTCTGCATGAGGACCTACTGTCCATTCCTCTGCTGACATTCTGTACCTTGACTGGGGCTAAGTGTCTATCAATTTGAACAATACCTTTATGCTTACTTTGGAAAGAATACTCAAGGTGGAAAATTTGGATGTCACACCTGAGAGAAGAGAATGTGTAGTTTCAGTAACGTGAGAAATTATGCAATGTCACCATGGAAGTATTTTAAGCTTATATGAGGTGTTGCCATGTTTGCAGATAAAACATCACAATTTTGCAAAACTGTGGAGAAGGGATAAGGCAGGAGACTTAAAGCCCTTCTAGTTCCGGTTATGTATATACACTGCTGCCTGATCATGCAGACTTTCTAGTGTACTTTTGTTAAACAATGCAAAAAAAAATTATGTAGACTAATGAAAATGAGTCTTTCTATCTCAGCTTTCTTTCAGTTACTTGTTCATTACACTAGAGTCAGTGAATGGCTCTCTCTGTTTGTTTTCATTTTTAGGCAGCCTTAAGTGCCTTGAAACAATTTTCTGAACAAGGACTGGATCCAATCGATGGAGCAATGAATATCGAAAAAGGTTCTCTTGAAAAGTGAGTAAATCCCCTGTCAGTATTCTTACACTTTTAATTGTAACTGTACAAAAGATAAGACATAGATAATAATGTTTTAAAAAGTCGACAATAGTATCTACATCTTACACAATTATTAATAATACAATTAAATGTAAAGAAATGAAAACCAGTATATATGGCCATATACATCTCCTGTAATATTTCTGTGAAAGTTTTAACCTACTAATTGGTCACTGATTTTGCATTTCATTGCTTTGTTGGAAATATTTGTGCATTGTCCTGACTGTAGAGACTTGTAAAACTTACAAAACATTGTTTTTCACTTCATACTGTAGAGCATTGTCTGGCTAAGCCATTTTCAGCGGTGAAAGTTTTCACTCACATTCCTGCTAAGTTGTGGGCAAAGCGGAGAGAAAAGAAAAAGAAGTTGAGAGGAGGCGCCCCTCCCCTCGGCTGCATTCGGTTTTCCGTGTTGTTTTCTATGAAACACCAGCACACATTGCCACAAAGTGTGGCTCCCAAGGGCTACACGGGCAAAAGATGCAGCTGTCGTAATTATTTCTGAAATCCAGCTCATAGCTTTGCTTTAATGAGATGTGAACAGAAGGTCTCACCAAAGAGACTGAATTTGGGGTCTCTCCAGAGACTCAATTTATACTAAAAAAAAAAAAAAAATGGAAAGGGGTTATATTTATATAGTAGAATTCAACCTCTTTCCAAGCAGTAATAATAGCAGGTAGGATCTCAGAACACATGCAGGAGATAACATTTTTAGGTTTAAAAGAAAATAAAAATAGTCAACCCAGGAAGTAAAAACCAGATACACTGATCTTACAGTTAAATGAGCATTCCAAAAAATTTTTAATAAGAAAAAACAGCATTTGGTTGTTAATATTTAGAAGGTGAGAGCGTGAGAAGAAAACATTTGGTAAACAGACATGGCATTTTAAGTTGTCTATAGATTGTCAACCATTTATAAGCTAATTTAATCAAAAACATTTCCACATGATCTCATCAGTAGACTATCTGAACATAAATATTGTTGTTTCACTTTAAAATGTCACTTTTGTGGTGACCTTTGAATCCTCTGTGCCATCTGCTAATAAACATGTCTGAAGATGTGCAACCCCAGGCCTTCAGCTCTTGTTAATGTATTAATCTTTCAGACAAGCCAAGCATCTGAGAGAGAAAGCGGACAATAACCAGGCACCCCCGGGCTCCATCGCTCAGGACTGCAAGAAATCAAACTCGGCCGTCTAGCAGCTCCCAGAACCCGCGGCTGCCACCGCATCCTTATAAACCTGTCAGCACGCATGAGGGTGTCTGTGTTCAGGGAAATGAATGACTAATACCATTATTTGAGTCTTATGTGAAGACAACACTATTCTAACACGAGAGATAATATACATGGTACTGTTTATTCAACTGGGGAAAAATAAAACTTTGAGCATTTCCCTTGGAACTCGAGATCAGATCATAACTCATTTGCCTAGAGGCAGCAGAAATCTGATCCTGCTACTGGAGCTTAAAATAACAAGTAAAGAAAAGTGTTAGAAACAAAGCTAAAATTTTAACATGATTAATAATAGAGAAGTTGGGTTTGGTTCTGTTGTTATGATTGTTTTGTCGTGGTGCTTGTGTTCAGTTATATTCTCTCTCTCTCTCATTTCAAATACTGCTTGACAATTCGAAAATGAACCAATGATGTGCTGTGGAATGTGATGGTTGTCTTCATATAGAGTCACATGGTTTCTCTTTTTATGCAGATATTTATAATCTTCATCCTATATCAGTAGGAATAACTATAAGGTGCACTACAAAAAGATGTATGCAAACAAACATGTTTTAAATCAGGTCAGATATCTGATGAAAAATACGAACTAATGTTAAGAGCAAGTAGTTTCAACATACTCCAGGAACTGAGAAACAAAACAAAGCAATTGTGGGTTTTGAGCTCCATATACTCTTAGCAAGTAAGGGGGCGTCTTGCCCCTATATATCATCTTCCCGGATTCCACTCCCTGTTGTGGGAATCGCGCCCACCCCCATCCGTGTGTTGTAGCCACTCACGGTTTGCATCAAGAGTGTTTTTTGTAACTGCCTCTGGACTTGGGACAGTGAGTAGGATCAAAAATAAATAATGTACATGACGGGGAAGGGAAAAACCTGTTGGAGTTGCTTCCAGCCAGCCACGCTCCGGGCCAGCATGTTGGAATCCAGCGTGGAGCAGATGCAGTAAAAATGTGGTTGGTTTCTGTGTGAAGCGCTGTTGTTGTTCTTTTGTTCTCTCACTCTCATCTTTTAAATATCACCTCCGTGAAACCCATCCGAAAGGCCACCACCCGGCCTAGTCACTGCCCAGCAGTGGGATTAGAGAATGGATAGGCTGTACCTGAGAAACTGCAGAGCCGCCTCCTGGGTGACTCGGGCCGGGTTCCTGGCCAACGTCATCGCATTGTTCAGGCTTTCTCCTTATTGATTTGCAAACATTGTGCAATGAGAAAACACTACATGGTCTAACTGCTCGACCCAACATGACAATAGGAATATAATTATGTAAGATTTCACAAGCAAAACCACCACAAATCATGATCTGGCTGACTCACACGCGACTGGAGAATAAACAAACAGCAACATAAGGAAATAACTCTAGGGTTGTTTTTAATGATTCCCATGTGGGGAAGTCCGTCAGTATTGGGAGGGCTGGGTGCCCTTGGAGGAAATAGGTTATGTTACATAAAGCTGAGTCCTTGCGAAAAAAAGCAGCACATTTGTAAAGTTGGGGCTCACAAAGGTAAACTGGATGGAAACCCAGTCCTGCTGCCTGACACCAGGGCGCAGATGGCCCTAAATCATTCCCTTTGAAGGGCGCAGGCCCTTCCTTCTGCTAGGCCTTCGCCACCTGAGGTTTAGACCCTCAAATGGGGCGAGGGACTGCTTCAGGCAGGATCATTGAAGTGGATCTTCAGTTTACCCAATGCAATAAACACAGGCTCCCTCCGGCAGCCCACATCAAACTACACCAAGGCTGTCAGGTCTATAGGAGAGCAATGAGCTCCGGGAACAAACCCAGCTAATCAGTTCTCACGACGCACGTATCTGAAGGATTTAACTCTTGAGCTGTCTGACACAGCTTATCCTTAGATAAGTCACCCTTAGACCCGATATATCCATGAATACAGCAATGGTGGTGGGGGCGAGGGAATGGAAATTTGCATAGGAGCTCAAGCTTAGTGATAGCTTATTTATTCAAATCCCATCCTCTCTACCTGCTCACAGAGTCCAGGAAGGCCTTCGGGTATTTTCTCCTGCACAGCAGCACTTCCTGGGAACCGCCTGGGTTTTCTTTGGGTTGAATTACCAATGCAGATGATGGGTGGCCTGCAGTTGTTGGCAGGGACCCGCTGCAACGCTCGGTTCCAAAGAGCAATGTTATATATCATTAGAGGGAAACCATTAAGTAGATTTATTGAAAGTATGTTTCTTCGGCACAAGGAGATCTTTTTGATGAAAAATGGAACTCATTATTCTCTAAAGGACACAGATTGACTTATCTCCGTTATCAATTACAGTGTCTGCTTTCAGCTTGTCTCAATCAAAGCACTGGGCTTTGTAGTCGCTTTCCAGAGCCGAGGCCAATGTGTTTTATGAAAAAGGTTTATTTTTACATTTTAATTGGAAATATAATATTGTACTTTGGAACTCTGACCATCCTTTCCAGGACAACTTGCCAGAGATCAATGGTGAGACACCACCCATCAGGCTGTGACAGACATCTCTCCCCTTTCCTGGGGTGACCCCTCTGATAAGCTGTCCTAGAATTCTTCTCCCCAGAAAACATGCTTAATAGTGATTCTTTTTGACAGCTTCAACCAATTTCCTGTACCATAAAATAAAAATAGCTTAATGAAAAACTTACCTTATTATACAGAGGTTTTCAGGGCTCCTAGTGACTTTGGAAACGTGGCCCAGACCAACTGACTGGTACTTAAATCCTGCTGCAGGTGGGTTATCACTGCAATTGCCTAAAGTTTGTTTCGTACCTTTTAATTTCCAAAGGCTACCTCTTACCACTATGGCCAAGAATGATAGAGAATCTAACAGTTTTGTACACAGAGCTGACAAGCTGTTAATTGCATAGTCCTCTGTAAATTTATCTTTGAGCTGCCCATAGCCTGACCCACCATAATATAGGCACCAGATAAATGTAGAAATCATACATTGAATAAATGGACGAATGGATGATTTATCACTCAACACCCATTGAAGAAATACATGTTAAATCTCACTGTTTTTTTACATGACACAGAGGCAGGCACCCATGACAATGGTTTTGCTGTTGGTCAGATATTATATTTGCAATCCAAGGGGAACCGTGACATTTTTAAATCAAGAACATGGCAAGTCCAAAAAGCCCTCACTTCAAAGGACTTCGGACCCATGGAACCATCCTTCCCCCATGTTCCCATTTCTGTATTTATATTCCTTCCATCAGCTGGCAGATTTCATTCTAATCCCAGATACATTCCACTGTTTCCACAATCACATGTGCATATCTTCGTGAGGAGGGACTTTGTAATATCTGGGTCAAAACAGAGACTGCCTTAGACCTGATCAAACCCAACTGTCCATTTCTGGCAGACACTACCCAAGTTCCATCTCACCTTGCCAAGACTTGTTTAAAAGTTACCATGTTGAGGAAGCTTGCTTCTTATGTCCCAATTAAGAGCTTCCTTGACTGTATCCCCAGCGCACTCTGATGTGTGCTGGAAATTCAGAAAATAAATAAACAAACAAAACAACTTCACTCCAAAGAAGTCACACTCTAGCAACTGGGAAAAACAGACAGATAAGGAGATGAGCCTGGATAATTGAGCCTTCTGTACTCAGAGTCACTGTGCTGTAGTAGTTGTTCACCTCCTTGGCTCTCTGGGTCGGTCACATTCATTCCCTCACTCACTCTACCATGCTTTGGGCACCATGCTATTTATTCTGGTGACACTGTCAAATAAGCCAGTTCTGCTTTCGTGGAACTTACACTTGAGTGGGGATCTCTCACTGCCACCCAGAACCCAAACATCTGTGGACCCCCCCTCCCACATATACATATATTAGGTTTAAAGCTCTTTAAGCTCACAAACACTCAGAAGACCAATCAACCTAATTTATTCCTCACCATATCTCCTGACCCAGGAACAATGCCCACCTTAATTCAGTAAGTACTCAATAAATGTTTGTTGAATAGATGAATCACCCCAAAAACTCTACCTGATAGATCTGCTCATCTAACCGCATCAATGTCGACCTGCATGCATGGACGGAGAAATCTGGCCTCCTGGGGCAAACCTTCTGCCTGGGGGAAAGCTTCTAGTTCTAGTTCTGTTAGTGTGTAGCCTTGTTGATGTCATTTAGCATCTTCAAGTTTCAGCTTTTCAAGCAAAAATTGGAGATAAGAATATGCAGGACTATATCGACTATTTTTAAAAGTGCACAAGTTGTGAATGTAAATACAATACTTCAATCAAAGTGAATGAGTATTAGGGGAAGAGTAATGGTCTTGGAGTCAAGTCTAGGGGCCTGGTTCGGACACAGACTTGACCTTGGCAAGGGATGTGGCCTTCCTGGGCCTCAGTTTCCACGTGTGTTAAATGATGGCCCCTAAAAGCACTGCATCTCTAGACCAATCTTCCTGTTAGTGATTCTGTTAGTACCTCTATAGTGATAGGCTTATATTTAAATTTTGTCTCTAATACATGTGATTTTTAATCAAATACCTGGAAGGAAAATATCACTCTTATACCAATTAGGATTCTTTTGATTGCAAGTGATAAAAACCGATTCAAACCAGCAAGGGGAAGTTTATTATAAAGCCAGAGGGATGCTTCACAGAACCTCCTGGCAAAAATGTAGAAAGGAACTGGGGCCAGGAAGTGGAAGGCTGTGGGGAAACCTGGAAGTTCTCTCTCAGTTCCACATGCTCTCTCCCTCTCCCTCTCTATCTCTCTGTAAACTAGCCCTGCTTCTCAAGTACACACATCAGAGAACAGGGTTACCAATAGAACCCAAGTTTGCAGCCACCTGAAGAAACACTGAATGTCCCTCTTGATTTCATTCCCATTGTCTTAGGAAGGAGCCACTGACTGACCCATCTTGAACCAGGCATTCACTCCAGCCCACATTGCATAAATATGGCTGCCCCAAGCTTACCCTTATGGGGCACGGTGGAGTAATCATCGGAGAAGAGATAATCACTGTTTTGGGAGACAACCCAATAAATATCTGCCTCAGCCACTTCCCACAGTTTTCAGAGGGCAAAGCTTATTATAACCACGTGCTACTTCTTATTTTCAACATTAACAGTGAAGCTTAAATAACTGAGTTACTTCTCTCAAATGTCATAGATTGCTCTCAGGTTTGCGAAGTCTGTAGTATTTTGTTTGGTTTTGTTTAATTCTTTCAGTCTTTAGTTTCAAAGGTCTGATGAACCACATAACTATCCTGAATGAGTCATAAAATTACCTGGAATAAAAACCGAGATTTTTCCAGAGATCTCAAATTAGTATATTTTTAAAAAGCCTCATTTCCTCAGGCACACAGGGATAATGAGAAGCATAGGCAGTGGAGTGGTTGTTCATCCTCAGCGATGTCTACAGACCCAAAGACCAAAGGCCACTTCCCTGCTTTGTTAGCCTGAGTGGATTTTAACTATAAGGGACTTTGTGATTCTTACAACTGAGGTTGGGAGAGACAGAGGCAAACTTGATCTAATTCTCTTTCAAATTTTGCTCATAAGTTTTCAGAAGAGCCCAAAGAAGAAGGGAGACTTGGTTATTTGAGGTGATGGAAGGAGGCAGATGATAGAAAGAATCAGAAATTTGGATGGAAAACTGAAATGGATGAGGAAGCCAAGATGCACTGGAGCCAGGCGCGGTGGCTCAAGCCTGTAATCCCAGCAATTTGGGAGGCTGAGACAGACAGATCACCTGAGGTCAGGAGTCAAGTCCACCCTGACATGGTGAAACCTCGTCTCTACTAAAAATACAAAAATTAGCCCAGCATGGTGGCTCATGCCTGTAATCCCAGCTACTCTAGAGGCTGGGGCAGGAGAATTGCTTGAACCTGGGAGGTAGAGGTTGCAGTGAACCGAGATCACACCATTGCACTCTAGCCTGGGCAACAAGAGTGAAACTCCGTCTCAAAAAAAAAAAAAAAAAAAAAAAAAAAAAGCACTGGAGAAGAATGAGGAAAAAGGAAGCTCTGGAGAAGGCATCTGTGATGGGAGCAGACTAAGTGTTCCCTACAGGTAAGTCATTAAATGCCTTCTCCTTAGCTCAGGAATGAGCAGTCAAAATCTTCCATTTCCTCTTGAGCCTGCCACAAAATCTCCTTCATGGGTAGTAATTTTCCAGAGTGGTGTTTGGCCACTAGTCCTTCCATATTTTCTGAGTACAGGGGAGGGAACTAGATCCCACTTCACCAACTCAAGGTAATTAATAAACTTCCATCTTTGGCAAAGACCAGGCCTGGATATGAAGTCTGAGGAGAGAATCTAGCCAATGGGTCATCTCTGACATCAGGGAAAGTCAGCACCTTTAAATTTTTTTTTTTTTTTGGTCTGGAACTGGAGTTGCTTTCACAGTCATCACAACATAATGTGCAACAGCTGTGTGCCTTCAGCTCCACTGCAGCTACTCCCTCTGTCATAGGAAGAGAAGAGACGACTAGCCTGGCTAGTCTGGCTAAGCATATCTTACCTTCTAGGTTCCAAACTTAACCAAATTCTAATCTATCAGTGAGCCAGCAAATATGGATTGAGTCTTCATCCTTGAGTTAGTCACTGTGAGGAACCAAATGAAACCTGAAATAAGGTCTCTACCCTCAAAGGCTTCCGGTTCAACTGGGAGATGAAAGAGGAACCAGATATGGAGAGAAAATGCAAGAAGGTAGAAATAGATGCACTTCAATAGGAATTGATTTCAGCATCTCCTGCTTCTCATAAGCCTCATGGGGACACTTGGGCCAATCACCCGGGCTTTAATATAGAAAAGAGTGTCCAGGCCGGGCATAGTGACACATGCCTGTAATCCCAACACTTTGGGAGACCAAGGTGGGGATGATTGCTTGAGCCCAGGAGTTCAAGACCAGCCTGGGCCACATGGAGAAACCCCGTCTCTACAAAAAATACAAAAATTATCCAGGCATGGTGGTGCACACCTGTAGGCCCAGCTACTCGAGAGGCTAAGGTGGGAGGCCTGCTTGAGCCCAGGAGACGGAGGTTGCAGTGAGCTGAGATCGCACCTCTGCACTCCAGCTTCCATGACAGAGTGAGACCCTGTCTAAAATATAATAATAGAATGTTTACCCAGACTCCTGCTTTTTCAAATCTGTGACCTGACCAACCTAATACAACCAAAGTGCTATAGGAATCCAGTTCGCAGGTTTCCTTTTTCTGGGGTAAATCCCTGTGACAGTTGAGGTTTTATGAGCCAACATCCCCCCTACCACACCACTTTCACCACCAACAACCTTTCCAACTACTGATGCATAATCCTTATTCACCTTGTACCACAAAAGCAGTGTTGGGTATGGTTAAGAGTTGGATTCCAGGATCAGACTGCCTAGATTCAGCTCCTGGCTTTCCCTCTAATTCACTCTACGTGTTTAGTAAGTTACCTTCACTTCTCCAAGCCTCACTCCCCTCAGCTTTAAAATGAGGATAGCAGTGTTGTTACATGGACTCAATCAGTTAATTTTATGAGTTAATATATCTAAAGTATTTTGAACTGTATGTGGCACAGGTAAGTACTCAATAAACATAAGTTATGATTGACCAAAAGCCAATCAATGAATGTCAATAATTATTGATCAATGACTGTGTGCCAGAAACTAGAACCAGGTGCTAAGAAGAGAAAGGGGCAGAGAGGAATAAGGCACAGCTGCTTTGCATCATGAAATTTTGGTTTCTTAAAGACATCATAAAACATGCATACAAGTAATGGCCAGGCACGGTGGCTCACGCCTGTAATCCCAGAACTTTGGGAGGCCGGGGTGGGTGGATTACCTGAGGTCAGGAGTTCAAGACCAGCCTGGCCAACATGGTGAAACCCTGTCTCTACTAAAAATACAAAAAATTAGCTGGGCATGGTGGCGGGCGCCTATAATCCCAGCTGCTCGGGTGGCTGAGGCAGAATCACTTGAACCCGGGAAGTAGAGGTTGCAGTGAGCCGTGATCGCATCATTGCACTCCAGCCTGGGTGACAAGAGCAAAACTCCATCTCAAGAATAATAATAATAATAATAATAATAATAATAATAATAATAAACCATGCATACAAGCAAGTATTACCCCAAACTGAATGATTTCAGACCCAGAATAGGGAGCAACTGCAGGAGAGTCCTGTGAGCCACCCAGACCCTAGGATCATCTTTGAGATGCCTTCTCCATACCTGTGGCCCCAAATGCCTCTTGGGCCTGGTTTGGTGAGAAAGATGCATGAGTCAGACAATATTTCTGAAAAAGGGATTACACATTCCCCACACACCTCCTGCTGCACTTCCTGACCTAGGCTCCCTGGGGAGCCAGGGGAAGCTGGGAGAAGAAGGCTATCAATGACCTAGGAAGGCACACACAGCCCCAGAGTCAGAGAAACCAAGGCTGTTGAGGTGGTTCTGAAATATCAGGCCCAAGCAGGGCTTAGTGTCTGTTGGTATGTTTCTTAGAGGTAAAGAGAAGGAACTGTAAATAGCCCATCCCTCCTGGCCAGTATGGGAAACGCACTCTTTGTAACTCTATCTGGTTACAAACAGTGCCATTGCACTGTCCTTCTACATTGTTTCTTGGTGCATTGATAAAAGAAGATTAGAGACCCATGAAGCACTGCATAGTGGGTGATAAAATATCATTTCCAAAGGGTTTGAGGTAATAAGGGTCTGAATGAGGGCATTAGTAGCAGAGAGGGAGAACAGAGAGAGTTGGAAGCACAAAGAAGGCAGACTCAACAGGCTCTGATCACCAAATGGCTGTGGGGGTGTAGATGGGAAGGTCCCCCAGGCTGGCTCCAGTGCCCTGGTGTGGGGACCTGGCCGAGTGGCAATGCCAGTCATGGAGACAGGAAATCCAGGGAAGAGCACGTTGGCAAGGAGTTCAGGTCTGGACTTGTTGAGTCTGACATGCCTGTGAGACATCCCAAGAAAGATCTTCACTGGTAACTGAGGATGTAGAATCAAACATTGAGAGAGGCACTGTGGCTCATGCCTATAATCCCAGCACTTTGGGAAGCCAAGGCAAGTGGATGGCTTGAGGCTAGGAGTTCAAGACCAGCCTGGGCAACATGATGAAACCTCATCTCTCCAAAAAAATACAAAAATTAGCCGGGGGTAATGGCGGGCACCTGTAGTTCCAGCTGGGAGGCAGGAGAATTGCTTGAGCCTTGGAGGTTGAGACTGCAGTGAGTTGTGGTGGCACCACTGCACTCCAGCCTGGGTGACAGAGCGAGACCCTGCCTCCAAAAACAAACAGGCAAACAAACAAACCCTCCAAAAAAAACACAAAACAATATGGAAAGAGACATCTAAGTTGAAGAGAAGGTGTCTGAGCAGTAAGCCCCCGGGTGGTAATGAGTGACATGAGAATTAACAGCATTCCCCCCTTGGAATAAGAAAAGAGCAAAAGGCCAAGGGCAAAGCCTTGGGAAGCATCTATGTTATGTTCAAGGGGTAGGCAAAAGAGAGGAGCTCATGAAGGAACTGGAGTAAAGAGAAAAGGCCAGCCATGGGGATGGGGTGGACAGGAGCATCAATCGCCACAATGAGGAGGTAAGTGAACGAGCAAAGATGGAAGGGAGCCCGTCAGGACTGGCACCAGCAGGTCACGGGTGACTTTGACAGGAGGAGGAGGATGCAAGGAAGGGAGCCTGACACTCCTTTGGGGTGCTAGACAGCTCCTCTAGCTAAGTCCTAAGCCCACTGTTGTCCAGGTCCTAGCTATACCAGTACACCAGATATAAGGACTAGCAATTGGCACAGCTTTTCTAGAGGACAACTTGGCAGTGTGCATCCAAATATTGAGTGAAGAAACGATGCTGCTGTCAGCGATCTCTGCCCACTCGCCACCCAGCGCTGACACCTGTTTGGGCTGTCAGTGCTGTAGCAGGAGTCAGTGCCCACAGGAACTTGAAAACAAGTGACTCCTTCAGAGAGTGGCCTGTGACTGGGGAGTGTGGTGACTGCCCTCGGAGATGGCAACTGCTGCTGCCCAGCCCTCAGGTGCTGCCCCACGCAGGTGTCCTGAGGGGGAGTCTTCTTCCCACCTTGACAATGAGCTGTCCTTTGCTCTGGTGGCTGTGGTCTTAACTCCACCAGTTTTGATTCACCTTCTAAGGACAGTGCTTCTACTTCAAGGGAAGAGCCATGAGCGGAGTATTGGTTTTATTTTATTTTGAGACAGGGTCTCATCCTATTGCCCAGGCTGGAGTGCAGTGGGGTGATCACAGCTCACTGCATCACTGCAGCCTTAATTTCCCAGGCTCAAGTGATCCTTCCTCTCTAGCCTCCCAAGTAGCTGGGACTACAGGTGTGCACCACCATGCCCAGCTAGTTTTTGATCTTTTGTAGAGACTGGGTTTCGCCATGTTGCCCAGGCTGGGAATACTGGTTTTAAACTCCATGGGAAGTCAGCCTGGCTTCGGGACCCTTCGCAAGGGCTGTGTAGGTTGAGAGGATGGGTTTGTATGGGCACAGACTAGCATACATTGTCTTCTCTGGAAAGGCTACACTTTAGGTTATGGTGCTGGGTTAAAGGTGGCTGTAAATTGTCAATCCCTTCACTAAGAAGTGGAGTTTATTTCCCTCCTCTTGAAGCTGGGCTGGCCCTGGACTTGCTAAATCAGTAGGACCCAGGGGAAGTGGCACTGTGCCCGTCTCAGGACCTGCCTTCTGAGTCCAGCCTCCTGCCTCCTCCTTCTTTGGGCCACTCCCTCTTCTGACTCTCACTCTTGGAACCCAGTGACCATGAGAAGCCTAAGGCACACGAAGAGGCCACACGTAGGCACTGTGGTCAGCAGCCTCAGCTCAGCTCCAAACTCACCGCCGGGACCCACTGCCAGTCAAGTGAGTGGTCACCTGGGATGTGCCAACCCAATGAAGCCTCACATGACCTCAGCCCCAGCCGACATCACATGGGGCAGAAATGCCCTCCATCAGAGCCCAGTCAGCACCCAGCCTTTTGAGAAACAACAGAAGAGTTGCTGGTTTGGGTCACTAAGTGGGGGGATAGTTTGTAGATAACCAGAACTGTTTTAATTCGTATTTTCCATACAGCTGTTTCCCAATTGCAGGAGTAAACTGACAAAAGCAAACTTTAAATTACCCATTAGCATCCATCTGTGTGGCACACAATCCTGCCCACAATGTCTTTCAAGTAGCTCAAGAGGGCTGGCGTTCCTTTGGCCTCTCTGTCTCCTTGTTGTAGGAGCATCCAGTGCAGTGAATGTCACAGGTGTGGGGTGGAGGCCCAGAGGGACTGGGAAAAGCCACCTGGAGAAGAGAGGACCTTCTACAAATGGGTTAGCGGAGCCGCTGGGGGCGGGGCCGCTTTTACACAGAAGGCTGAAAGCAGCAGCCTTTTTTTTGTCTCAGTCTCCATAGGAGAGGGCCCAATGCCCAGACTAGGTGGGCCCAGATGACTACGTTCCCTTTCTTTCTTGCACTGAGGGTTATTTTAGTGACATGATGTGACACCTGATCCCAGTAACTATGGGGTTGTGGCTTAATTCAGCACCATGGATTTGAGTCTCTGCAGCCTCTGGAGCCCTGTGAACCCTGTTCAGCCCTGTGGCCTGCTCCAAACCCCTCAAAATCTCAGCCCTGAGCTCTTCCAGGGTGGGACCAGGACTCGTTTTGGCTCCTGGACCGTGTGGCAGGTTAGGAAGGAATGACAAAAGGCTGACGCGCTTTCCTTTTTGTCTCATGGGAGCCCAGAGAACATGCCAGTTCACCAGTAGAGACCAGTAGAGTGGGGTCCTGAGGACCAGGGCTTCGAGCTTTAAACAAGTGACTTGGAAAGTTCTGGTTCAACTACCCTGACCAAAGTTGCACTTTTCTTCCTGGGTTTTGATAATGGTTAACACACACACTTAGTCTCTTCAACTAAAGTGAATTCATTTACAACAGACAAAATTTGCTTCAAGCTCAGGCTACTGCCATAACTCTTCGCACTTCAGACTTACAGGAATTTCTAGCAAGAGGGTTGTGTTGTTTTTATAATGTCTGAAACATAAATGATAGCAGGAGGAAGACCCTATTCCTAGGAAAAAAATAAAATCAAACAAGGTGGTCTGTGGTGAGTTATCCCGTGTGGTATTAATTTCACATCCAGGTTTGAATGATCTCATAAATTGTTCTTTTGATTCGCAATCTCACCCCAGCCTGCAAGACTGAATTATTTCCTTGTTCTTCAGACCCCCTGTCTAGTCTGTAACGCAGAACACATTGTGTGTCTTGGCTGGCATGAGTGGGAGAGGACATGTGCCCACAATTGTCCGAGAGCTGTAGGCACTGAGCTCAGCTTTGCATCCTCGAGGGACAATTGGTGATGTTGTTAATGGTGCATTGTCACAATATCAGGTGTGTGTGTGTGGTAGAGGGCAGGATAGAGGATGGGAGGAAGCTCCTGGAACACTTTATACTTTATCTGTGTTTAGACTATGACATCTGCTTCAGACTAGTTGGCCCAATACCCGTGGAACGATGGGATTCCCTAAACTTCTACCATACCTCAAATGCGGTTTAGGAGAGGGATCACTCAGAGCTCTGATCTGCACTGGCTTCTGAGGTTGCTGCCTGAGGAGCAACACTGACATATCTGGAGGACAAAAGTGGCTTCCTTGGCAGCAAGAATCTCAGACCCTTTAAGTCTAGTGGAGAGGAACAGGCATACAAGAGAATGACCTTCCAGAAATAAAAGCTACATAGATGAATTGTCTCCTTTTCACCCTGCAGGATGCAACAAATCACCCTCCAAAGCTGTGTCATCTTTATTCTAGGTGGAAGAGGGGACACATTCTCCTAACCCAGCACAGAGTGAAGGCCTCCAAAGGGCTGCAATGACCTGACCTCCTACCCGCAGGTCAGAGTCAGGCTCACTGGTTGTAGATCATTTGCTTCCTCTGAAATCTGCAAATAAAACAGCCATGTAAGATCTATTGCCTCATCAAAGACTGTGGAAACTGATCCAGAAACCGTCTTTGCAGCCGAAACCATGGCCCTGACTCTTCTCCCGTGACCACCAGCGCATCCTCCAGGGCCCAGGGCCCAAGTTACTGACAGCCTGGCTGCAGGAGGGCCATGGCTGTGCCTCACTCAGCCACCCCCGCTGGGTGGTGAGGTGGCTCTGGATTTGGGGTGGTAGCTGTCAGCACATCCCCCTGAGAAGACTTCTTTTAACCGATGCTTTAGAAAGCCCAAGTTTTATTTAGAGAAAAGTGCTTTTTAGGATTACTGCTGTTTACAGGATGACCAAACCATTCCAGTTTGCCCAAGACTGAAGGGTTTCCTGGGATATGGGACTTTTAGTGCCGAAACCACAAACACCAAGCAAACTGGGACAGTCTACTCGATAGGAGCAGGGGAGAGGAAATCGCAAAGGCGCTACTATTCCGTACAAGCTGCCCTCTAGCCGTGGGCTGTCTGGCCACCCCAGGAAATTTAGGCAATTATTCCCTGTACTCTCCAGCGTGATGAAATCTGAGATTTGGACCCAGGGAACCTATCTGAGTTATTTTGGTGAGCTTTGTCTTCTAAATAGAATAAATGGTGTGTGAAGGCCTGCAGGAAAGTCGGTTATTCACATGGCGGTCCTCCATTTCTTCTTTGAGGGTGCACCTCCCAAGGCGGCCCACTTTCTACAACCTGGCCAATCACATCAGAAGGCCACTTTGGAGCCTTGCCAACCCAAGTGTGTTGTAAGATCGCAAGAGCTGGTCAACAGATTTTTCTCCTGCCCAAGGCCATCTAAGTGTCTTTATAGGATTCTGAGTCAGAGACCCAGCTAGGCTTAGTTGCTGGTAGTTTCTTTGCTAAGTCTGGAAAAGATACACAGACTTTAAGGAGTGGAGCCATTTGTTTTTGCCCAGAGATGATTTGTCCTACCGGGAAAGAATGCAAAAATCCTCGAGCACAATCTCTTTCTTGTCATGTAGAAGCCTCAAGACAATGCCAGCCAGTTTGGAGCATGTTGTTCTGTGGCCCAGGCTGCTGAGGATGGAACATGAGCACTAGAGATGTTCTCACTTAACTACTGTGGCCAAAATCCTGCTTTTCCAGCCTTCAGAACTGTAGGCAGCACAGAGCAGAGAGCAGGGCATGAAGTCCCAAAGTGGGGGTGATTGAGAAGCAATTGTAGTAACCACTTGATCCTAGGACAAGAGACTCCCAGCTCTATGCAATTCTTGTGAAGCTTAACCACTTAACTGAAAAACTAAAAAGTAAAACCAAGATGTCACTGGAGCAGTGTTGGAATGACAGATTCATTTTTCTGCAACTGGAAATTCTAAGAAACTTAAACATTTCACGGCTGTGTCCAGATGTTTTGAGTATTGTTTTGGGGGCTAAAATGACTGATAACCCAGTTTACTGTGCTCTACAAGGGAAGAAGAGTCTTTCAAAACCCGAAACTCCTTACTCTGAAATTCAAAGATCTGTGCCCTGAACATCCTGCAGCCTGATTTTACGGTACTCCACTCCCCAGGCCCTTCTAGGCCAGGCCAGTTGTCTTTGGGACATGCCTGGCCCTGTCCTGCCCCCAAGTTTTCCTCGCCTCCCCAGCCTAGCATGACTCTCCTCCCCCTGCCCAGTTCTTGCCCTCCTTTCCAGGTGCAGCTTAAGTACTGCTTCCTGCAAGAAGCCCTCCTGGAGGCTGGGACCTCTCCCTGCTCAGAACATGAGGCTCAGCAGGGCATCCTCATTCATTCTCTCTTTAACAGATGAAGAGCCCCATGTCCCAGGTGTTGTCATTTAAGTAGTCACATGTGCTCATCAGTCCCCCTCACTAGACTGCAAGCTCCTTGAGGCCAAGTGCTTTGTCTTTCGTTTGCTGGAAATATCCAACCAGGTCTGGCCCATAGAAGAAACTGAGTTGTGATTGCTGATATCATTTGATCAAACAGAAACTCCCATCACAGCCAGGTGACACATGCATCTACTGACTCTGTGACCCAGCAATTCCACACCTAAGTATTTACCCAAGAGAAATGAACACCAAAATGCCTGCACAAGAATGCTCATAATAGCTTTATTCACAATAGCCAACAACGGGAAACAGTCCACATGCCCATAGATAGGAAAACGGAGAAACATACAATGGCACACTTGTCAATAAACAGGAGCAACTTACAGATACACAAGATACCACAGATGAGTTTCAAGTGCATAACACTGCGTGAAGCCTTGCACGAGATAGTGTATGTTGCATGATTTCATTTATATGAAGTCTTGGAGTCATCAAAACTCATTATGGTGAAAAATAGAACAGTGCTTGCTTCTTGGGGGACGGGGTGGGGACAGTGAGTGGGAAAGGGGCATTCAGGAACTCCCTGAGATGATGGTAATGTTCTGTATATCAACAAGAGTTTGGGTTTCCCAGTTGTATGCATTTGTCAAACCTTAGCAACTATCTGCTTAAGGTTTGTGCATTTCATTGGAGGCAAATTTTATCTCAAATAAAAAGAAATCACTAACAAATATTGAATATTAGTAACATGCATGGCGAAGGGTACTGATGTCTGCAATTTGCTTTGAAATGCCTCAGAAAGGAAAGCTTACTGATGGATGGAGAGAGGGATGGATGGATAGATAAGTGATGGAGGAATCATAGTAAAATGAAGCAAACAAAACAAAGTCACTGTGCTGGCCACCCCCTACCCCAAACTACTGCATTTACCTTAAGGGTTGCCACTGTTGGGGAAGGGGAAGCTGGAAGGATGAACGTCTCCTCTGACAAGGATGTGGGGGAGGAGGTGGTGTCCTTGAGGGCAAGCAGGTTTCTAAGGGGCCAGGAAGGGGATAGGTGAGGTGGGAGCCATGAGTTTTGCTGTTGGTGAGAAGGATCAGGTCAGGAGTAAAGTTTGGGCTTCAGTGGGGGCCACAGTGGGGAAGGGGTGCACTGGGGGCCTGGCTGGAGGCAGCATGGCTTAAGGCTTTGATCAGCCATTACCCAAAGGGCTGCCTGGTCCCGGCACATACCAGGGATGAAGGAATGTTGATCGAATGACAGGCTGGCCGAGCTCGCCCCATCACAGAGTCTACAGCCCTTGAAGTTCATAGTCAAATTCATGGTTCAAAGAACTGTCCTTTCTTAGGAAACACTGATAATCTGAACCACATCTAACCTCATTCCTCCTTTGATAGGGTAACTGAGCTGGTAGATCACAAGAGAAATTCGGTCCATCTGGATTTCAGCAGAAGTTGCAAACTGGCCGCCCTTGGGCTGAATGCAGCCCACAGATGTGTTGTGTGTTTTGTTTGGCCTCCCAATGGTGTTTTTTTTTTTTTTAAGTTTAGTTTAGTTGCCAAGATTTTAAGATCACATAAAAATCTGGATCTGGCAACCATGGGCCTACCTGACCACAGTTGGCAGGAATGAGGGCAGCAGCCCCCTCGGAGCCTGAGCCTCACTCACTCCTGCCTCCCCACCACGGGCATGGACGCTGCACCCTTGCATATCATGTCCCTTGGTGACAAGATGGAGAAGTCAAGGGTGGTTGATAAAAACACTAAATTAACCTTAATGCAATAAATATTGACTGAGCAGTGTTTTGTTTTAGGGGCAGGATGGAGAACAAAGTTTCTCGGTTCCTTTTCTGAAGGAATTTTGATTCTGGAGTGGCAGACAGTCCAAAAAGGAAAGAAAGAAAAAGAAAAGGAAAAAAAAATGATTACAAACTGTGATCATTGTTATAAAGGAAAGGGACAGGGTGAAAGAGGAGCTGCGATGGAGTGTAATGTAGGTGGGGAGAGCCTGACTGCCTTTGCTAAGGTGGTGGGAAGTGCTCGCGGGCCAGTATTTTTCAGCTGAGTCCTGAAGGATGCAGAGATGTGGGGAAAAGTGCTGGGGTGAGGAAAGGTCTTGGGTGGGGCTGCACTTGGGTTGTTTGAGGAGCTGGGCGAAGCCCTGTGTCAAGGGCATTTCAGTGAGAGTGAATCAAGACACGGGTGTGGAGGTGGGCTGTGGGTGGAAGCTATAAACCAGGTGAGGAGTTTAGATTTTATTCTGTGTAAATGGGAAAGAGCTGTCAGTTTTGGGGCAAGGGAGAGACATACTAGCTCTACGTTTCATAAAACTGCTCTTGTTGTCAGTAGGCAATGTAGGGAAGAGCGGCCAGAAGTCTCATTAATAGGCCATTGCAGGATACAGGTGAGAAGTGATGGTGGCTTGGATGGTGGAGGAGAGAAATAGATGCAAGTGCACTTCGGAGGAAGTTGATTTAGCTGGATGCAAGAGAAGGTAGCCCTAGGATGCTATCAGTGGCTGCATTGGATACACATTTGTGTAGGAATTTAGACAAAGATTGCTCAGGATAAGGCAGCGCAACCTCAGCTTCTTTCAAAATGCAAGATACTTTTTGGTAGCAGGATGTAACCTAAGCAGTTCATTGCAAACAGAAAATGCCTGAAAATTCATGCATATTTTGCATTTTATTCCATAATGTATCTGTATTCAATCTGATTTTTTAAAAGTATAAATCTTATAGCATCAATAAATAAACAAGAAAAAGACCCAGATATTCCTCCCAGTGTCACTAGCTAATACACTGTCAGTTGTTTTTAACCTTGGCTGTGCACTGAAATCACTGGAAGAGCTTCAGAAAATGCTAATGCCTGGGCCCCTCTCCCAGAGGTTCTGATTTAATTGTCCTGAGCTGTGACCTGGGCATCTGGATTTTTTAAGCTTTTGTTTTAACTTAAAGGGTCCAAGTGCAGGTTTGTTACATGGGTAAACTTGCTTCATATGGGTTTGTTGTGCAGATTATTTTGTCACCCAGGTATTAAGCCTAGTACCCATTAGTTATTTTCCTTGATCTTCTTCCTCCTCCCACCCCCAATAGGCCACAGTGTGAGTTGTTTCCCTCTATGTATCCATGTGTTCTCATTATTTAGCTCCCACTTATAAGTGAGAACATGTATTTGGTTTTCTATTCCTGCGTTAGTTTGCTAAGGATAATGGCTTCCACCTCCATTCATGTTCCTGCAAAGGACATGATCTTGTTCTTTTTTATGGCTGCATAGTATTCCATGATGTATACATAACAAATATTCTTTATCCAGTCTACCACTGATAGGCATTTAGGTTGATTCCATGTCTTTGCTATTGTGGATAATTTGCTGCAATGAACATACACAATGCATGTGTCTTTATGATAAAATGATTTACATTCCTTTGGGTATATACCCAGTAGTGGGATTGCTGGGTCAAATGTTATTTCTGTTTTTAGGTCTTTGAGGAATCGTCACAATGTCTTCCACAATAGTTGAAATAATTTACCTTCCACCAACAGTGCATAAGCATTCCTTTTTCTCCACTATTGGCATCTGTTATTTTTTGACTTTTTAATAGTAACCATTCTGACTGGTATGAGATGGTATCTCATTGTGGTTTTGATTTGCGTTTCTCTAATGATCAGTGATGCTGAGCTTTTTTTCATATGATTGTTGGCTGCACATATGTCTTCTTTTGGAAAATATCAGAATATATATGTATGTCCTTTGCCCACTTTTTTTTTTTTTTTTTTTGGTTAGGCTGAAGTGCAGTGGCATGATCTTGGCTCACTGCAACCTCTGCCTCCAGGGTTCAAGCAATTCTCATGCCTCAGCCCCCTGAGCAGCTGGGACTAAAGATACCCACCACCATGCCTGGCTAATTTTTTTTTTTTTTTTTGTATTTTTTAGTAGAGACGGGGTTTCACCATGTTGACCAGGCTGATCTTGAACTCCTGAGCTCAAGTGATCTGCCTGCCTTGGCCTCCCAAAGTGCTGGGATTACAGGCATGAGCCACCGTGCCTGACCCCTTTGCCCACTTTTTAATAGGTTGTTTGGTTTTCTTTTCTTGTAAATTTAAGTTCCTTATAGATGGTGGATATTAGACCTTTGTCAGATGCATAGTTTGCAAATATTTTCTCCCATTCTGCAAGTTGTCTGTTTACTCTGTTGATAGTTTCTTTTACTGTGCAGAAGCTCTTTAGTTTAATTAGATCTCATTTGTCAATTTTTGCTTTTGTGTCAATTGCTTTTGGCATCTTTGTCATGAAATCATTGCTTGTCCTGAATGGTATTGCCTAGCTTGTCTTCCAGGAGTTTTATAGTTTTGGGTTTTACATTTAAGTCTTTAATCCATCTTGAGTTGATTTTTGTATGTGGTGTAAAGAAGGGGTCCAGTTTCAATCTTCTGCAGATGGCTAGCCAGTTATCCCAGCACCATTTATTAAATAGGGAGTCTATTCCACATTGTTTGTTTTTGTCAGATTTGTCAAAGATTTTATAGTTGTAGATGTGCAGCCTTATTCCTGGGTTCTCTATTTTGTTCCATTGGTCTATATGTTTGTTTCTGTACTGGTATCATGCTGTTTTGATTACTGTAGCCCTACAGTATAGTTTGAAGTCGGGTAACACAATGCCTCCAGGCTTGTTCATTTTACTTAGGATTGCCTTGGCTATTCAGGCTCTTTTTTGGTTCCATATAAATTTTAAAGTAGTTTTTTCTAGTTCTGTGAAGAATGTCATTGGTAGGTTAATGGGAATAGCATTGAATCTATAAATTGCTTTGGGTGGTATGCCCATTTTCACGATATTGATTCTCCCTATTTATGAGCATGGAGTATTTTTCCATTTGTTTGTGTTATCTCTGATTTCTCTGAGCAGTGTTTTGTTAGTTCTCCTTGTAGAGATCTTTCACTTCTCTGGTTAGCTGTATTCCTAGGTATTTTATTTCTTTGTGGATTTTTAAAGCTCTCTTGTAACTCTAATGTGCAGCCATGGTGAAGAACCACTCACTAGGGCAGAGATTCTCAAAGAAGCACAACTTTCTCTGGCCCTACCCTAGACTTACTGAATCCAAAATTCAGGGGGCAGAGCCCCCAAGCTACAGTTTAACAAGCCCTCCAGGTGATTCTGATGCCTGCTGAGGTTGGAGAGCTGCTGCTCTTGACTCTGTGCTTCTCAGCTTGAGAAGCTCAGACAGATAGTATTTCATCTGATCCTCACAGGGAAAGGCAGAGTGACTGGTATTGTCACAGGGATTGTCTTTTCCATCTATCAGATGGGTAGATGAAGCAGAGAGAAATTCAGTGATTCGCCAGTCAGTGGCAGATTAGGGACCCAAACCCAGGTCTTCTGAAGGCTGAGGTGAGGACAGTCACTCACAACTACCCTCACCCCACATGCTACTTCTCGCTTTTGTCAGCTAATAGGTCTGATACAGGGGGCTCCCTGTCAAGGGGTAAACAGAGTCCTGGGCATTGCAGAATGGTGGAGAGGTTAGCAAAGTGGCTTGGTAAAAGGGCCAGATAGTAAATAGCTCTGTGGGCCTCAGGGCCTCTCAGAATTCCTCAACTATGCCATTACAGCAAGAATGCAGCCATGGGCAATGCATGCATGAGTGCAGCTGTGTGCCAATTAAACTTTATTTACAAAAGTAGTGGAGGACCAGATTTAGGCATGGGACTAGGATTCTGCTCTGGAGTAAGGTCGGCCTAGGTCACACATCTGAGTCAGGCCTCCATTAAGTGCCACCCCTTCTCCGTGTGCAGTGGTTGTGTGGAGAGCCCAGGAGGCCCTGCTGTGTAGTTGCCCAAGGCTAGAAAGTGGTGATGGCTGAAGTTCAGCTACAGGAGGCAGAGATGGCTTTGTGGCTTCCCCTCTTTACCAAGACATTGGGAGATGAGGCTAGTGAGCTCCAAGGCCTGGGCAGGTCATGTAGGTGGTGAGAATAGCCAGACCATTCCCTGGTAGTCCTGCAGAGGCAATGAGTGAGCCAATGAGTTTGCTGTCCAAACCCCATGGCTCATTCATCTGGAAATTATCTTCATGGAAAATTCTGGAACATTATAAAGCCACTGAATGCAGACTGATTGAGATGAATAGTGAGAAGGAACCAGGAGGGGTGCCAGAGGGTGGGCTCTTGGCCTGGTAAAACACGCTCTGTTTCAAACCCACAGAATAATTGCAGGAGTCAGGATCCTGTGCACTTAACCCTGTGATTTCTAAGAAATGCAGCACAGCTTCACCAAGAGAGGGCAGTCCCACGGGAGCGGCCAATCAAAACGTCGTGGGATTTTTTTTTTATTTGAAAAAAATTATCTTAAAAATATTTGTTTATATATAGATATACATATATATCACATGTGTTTACTGTATACAGATTACTTATATAATGAAAATCTGTGGCCCCATCACCCAAAGAACTAGGGCATTGCCAATAAGGCATAAGCCTGATGCTCTTTCCCCATCCAGGAGCCCCAGGTCTCCTCCACAGAGGTCATTGTTATCCTAAATTTGGGAGTGTATCTCTGTATCACTGTATCACTGCTTTGCATGTATAAAATCATTTGATCCAGCAATCTTATTACTGGGTATCTAACCAGAGAAAAATAAGTCATTATACAAAAAGATACTTGTACACGCATGTTTATAGCAGCACAATTTGCAATTGCAAAAATATGGAACCAACCCAAATGCCCATCAATCAATGAGTGGATAAAGAAACTGTGATATATATATATATATACACACACACACACACACACACACACACACACACACACAAATGGAAGCATATGGCTTACTTTTGCTTATTCTTGAGTTTTATAAAAATGATATCACACTATTTTATGTAGTCTTCTGATTCTTTTTTTTCTCTTAACATTTTTAAGATACTTCCACATTGAATGTAGCTGTAGTACATTTATGTTCACTTACGGGTATACCATTCCATCAATGTATCCACTTTTTTGTCAGTGTGCATATGTGCAAAGAATAGAATTGCTGATTAGTAGGACCTGCAGATGTGCAAATTCTCAAACAATTGGAGATAGTTTTCAAAAATGTTTGGACTTACTTTTACACACCTATCAGTAATGTATAAAGAGCTCCCCCACTCAGCTGGGCACAGTGGCTCACGCATATAATCCCAGCGCTTGAGGAGGCTGAAGGGGGTGGGTCACTTGAGCCCAGGAGTTTGAGACCAGCCTGGCCAACATGGCAAAACCCTATTTCTACAAAAAAATACAAAAATTAGCCAGGCGTGGTGGCACGCGCCTGTAGCCCCAGCTACTCAGGAGGCTGAAGAGAGAGGATTGTTTGAGCCTTGGAGGTTGAGAGTGCAGTGAGCTGTGATAGCACGACATCACTCCAGCCTGAGTGGCAGAGCAAGATGCTGTCTCAAAAAAAAAAAAGAAAAAAAAAAGAATTCCCCATTACCCCACTTCCTCTCTGACACCAGGTGTGTGTGTGTGCGTGCATGTATATGTATATATATGAAAGTTACAGGTATGGATGTAGGAATGTTTCTATATGTAAGTATTATTATAAAATATTTCAATCATGTAAAAAAGTAGAGCAAATGAAATATTGAACCCCATATATACCTGTCACCCATCTTCAGTAATGATCCAATCATGACCAATCTTTTGTCACCAATAATCCCAATTCCCTCCCCACTGAAGTATGTTGATGTCATATCATTTCATTTACAAATATTTCAGGATGTATTTCTTAAATATAAGGACATCTAGAATATAACCAAAATATAATTATCATACCAAAAGTAACAATAATTCCTTATATTGTTAAATATCTAGTCAGTGTTCAAATTTCCTCAATTATTCATACATATTTTACAATTTTATTGTTTGAATCAAGATTCAAATAAGGTCTATACATTCCATTTGGGGTTTGGTTGCTGTGTTAGTTAAAATTTCTATGTTCTCTCATTCTGTCTCTCCC
Organism: Homo sapiens; assembly: GCF_000001405.40. Classification (NCBI taxonomy): domain Eukaryota; kingdom Metazoa; phylum Chordata; class Mammalia; order Primates; family Hominidae; genus Homo; species Homo sapiens. The sequence goes on along the minus strand of NC_000008.11, from coordinate 73,398,639 downwards.
TTATAATTTATGTGCTGAACGACTGGGGGCGGTGGCTCATGCCTGTAATTGCAGCACTTTGGGAGGCCGAGGCAGCCGGATCACTTGAAGTTAGGAGTTTGAGACCAGCCTGGACAACATGGTGAAACTCCACCTCTATGAAAAATACAAAAATTAGCCAAGTGTGGTGGCACGAGCCTGTAGTCCCAGCTACTCGGGAGGCAGAGGCAGGAGAATCGCTTGAACCTGGGAAGCAGAGGTTGCAGTGAGCCGATATTTCTCTACTGCACTCCACCCTGGGCCACAAAGCAAGACCCTGTCTCAAAATAATGATAATAATAATAATTATTTATTTATTGAAGAAATCAAATGTGGGAAAATTTTAGCTGTTGATTCAGTTCCTAGATTGGCTTTAGGGCTCTTCACAGTTTCTAATTTTTCTTGGGTCATTATTTTTGGTTTCCTATTAATTTGGCCATTTATCCTGGCTTCAATTAGTTTCCATATGTTCACAATATTTTCTGATTATGTTTTTAATTTTTTGTTCCATTTTTATGTCCCCTTTTCATTTCTGACATCTTTTCTGTTTGCTTTTTCTTCTTGACAAATGACACCTCTAGACAAGTGACAAGAAGTTTGTCCCTGTCTTAGTCTGTTCAGGCTGCTGTAACAAAATACCATAAGCTCATAAACAACAGAAATTCATTGCTCCTAATACCATTACCATGGGGGCTGGGATTTCAACATCGAGTGCAGGCTGGGGAGGGGTGGATAAACATTCAGAACACAGCAGTCACTTTAGCTTCTTGATCTTCTCTACTGTAGGTTTGCTTTGTATTTGTTTTTACTTTTATCATCCTTCTATTTTATTTGGATTTATTTTGTTCTTTTTCCCACCTCTTAAGTTAGACACTTAACTTCCAGCTTTTCTGGTTTTCTTTTCAAGTTTCCACATGCAGCACTGATTTTTGTTGTTGTTATTTTTGGCTAAGGTTTTTCTTTTTTTTGATATGGGGATCATGCTATGTTGCCCAGGCTGGTCTCTAACCCCTGGGCTGAAGCAATCCTTCCGCCTCGACCTCCCAAAGTGCTGAGATTACAGGCACAAGCCACCATGTCTGGCTGATTCTGCTTTGCTAATACAAATATTTAAGGCCTAAATATCTCTCTAAGTAAAGCTTCGACCGCATCCCACAAGATCTGCCATGTACTACTATTTTTACTAATTTGTTTAGATCTAAAAGTATTTTTCTCTTTATTATTTATATTTTTCTTATTGATTTCTAACTAATTGCAATGAGGAAAAATAAGCAGAAATTCTTTGACATTCATTGAGACTTCCATTACATGATCCATTTGTGCAAATGTTTCGTATTCTTCAGAGGAATCTGTGTTCCCTAATTGGCATAGTGTCCTATATATGTCAGTTAGAGCATCGTTATTTCAGTTGTTCCTATTTTTTACATATATATAGTCTGCTTGATCTATCAATAATTGAGAAATATGTTGAAATCTGCCACTCTCAAGATGAACTCATAAATTTCTTATAGCTCTATAGGTTTTTTGCTTTATATATTTTGAGACTCTAATTTTTATGTTTAAAATTGCTATGTCATCTTGTTGAACTGAGTCATTATTACCATATACACTTTTTTTTGTTTGTTTTGCAACAGTCTCACTCTGTCTTCCAGGCTGGAGTGCAGTGGCGCCATCTTGGTTCACTGCAACCTCCACCTCCCAACCAGCGATTCTTCTGCCTCAACCTCCTGAGTAGCTGGGATTACAGGCGCCCGCCACCATACCCAGCTAATTTTTGTATTTTTAGTACAGACGGGGTTTCACTGTGTTGGCCAGGCTGGTCTCGAACTCCTGACCTCAGGTGATCCGCCCGGCTCACCCTTCCCAAGTGCTGGGAATACAGGTGTGAGTCATCGTACCCGTCCTCATATATACTTTAAAATGATTTTTGTCCTGATACTATTTTTTTCTGAAATTAATATGGCTATGCCAGCTTTCCTTTGGTTAGCATCTACCTCGCATATGTTTTTCCATTCATTTCCTTTGACATTTTCCATGTTCTTTTATTTTAGGTGCATCTCTTGTGAACAACATACAGCTGAATTATTTTTAATTCAATCTGACAATCTCTGTTTTTGTAACTGATGAATGTAATACATTTCCAGTTACTTTGGTTGGCAGTACATTTGGATTTGTTTCTCCATCTTGCTTTTTAAATGTCTATAATTCCTGGGGTTTCTATACTTCCTTGTTCTGTTTTATTGAACTTGATATATTTTTTGGTTTAATTAGGTATTTTGGTTCTTTCTCTTTTTTCCCCCTACTTTTATTCTTTCTACTAGTTTGGAATTTATATTTTCCTTTAGTATTTTAGTGGTTTCTCTTGGAATATCACAATGCCCATCTATCTTAACAAAGTCTAAAGTTAAACTATATTTTACCCTCCCAAATGAATGCAACCATCTTAGAATGTTTTCCCTCTGATCATCCCTTCCCAATTTATTTGTGGTCCAGGGTCTTAATCTGTCCTTTTATCAACCATACAAATGTGATATCACATGACCATTTTTACTATTATTTTTACACATATGTTTTCTGCTTTTCTTTCCCAGCATTCCATCTCAAACTCCTTATGGGTAAACCTTCCTTCTTGCGGAAGCATAGTCCTTTAGATTCAGATGTTTCTTATTAAATGTCCTGTGCAGTCCACTCTCTTGGGAAAGACCGTTTTGCTGGGTACTCAAATGTAGATTTTAAGTTATTTTCTCTCAAATCTTAAAAAATATCAAGGCCAGGTGCGGCTCACACACACGTGTGTGTGTGTGTGTGTGTGTGTGTGTATGTATGTATGTATATTAGCCAGGTGTGGTGGCATGCACCTGTGGCCCCAGCTACTCAGGAGGCTGAGGTGGGAGGATGCCTTGAGCCCAGGAGGTGAAGACTGCAGGGATCACACCACTGCACTCCAGCCTGGGCAACAGAGTAAGGCCCTGTATCTTAAAAACATTAATTAAATCATTAAAAAAATTGTTGCTCTTATCTGCTGTTATTCTAAATGTCATTCCTTTGTAGATAATCTGTCTTTTTTTTTCCTCTGTCTGCTCTTAATATCTCCTACTTTTCTTTGGTATTCTAGTTTCATTATTGTGAATAAGCATGTGTTTCTTGTTCTTTTCTCAAATATTATTTGGAAAAAAATTAAATCTAAAGAAAGCTTGAATATTAATACAATAAACATCTATTTTCCCTTCATTTATATTCACATCAAATTTTGCTGCATTTGTTTTATCGCTTCTCTTTTTTTTTTTGTCATTTGAAAACAAGTTGTAGAACCCTGAGACTGCATCCCTAAGGACTTCAGCAGACATCTTTTAAGCCAGACTTTCTCTTACATAACCTACTACTACAAAAATTACCATTCCATCTAATTTAGAGCCCACATTCATATTTCCAAAAATGTCCCTGAATTTCCTTGAATAAGTTTTGGTTTTGGATCCAGGATTTAATCAAAGATCATTTGTATTTGGTTGTTACATCTCTTTAATCTATTTATTTATTTAATTTTATTTTTTTAGACGGAGTCTCAGTCTGTCTCCCAGGCTGGAGTGCAGTGGCGCAATCTCAGCTTACTGCAACCTCTGCCCCCTGGGTTCAAGCGATTCTCCTGCCTCAGCCTCCCAAGTAGCTGGGATTTCAGGCGCCTGCCACTGCGCCCGGACAATTTTTGTATTTTTAGTAGAGAGGGGTTTCACCGTCTTGGCCAGGCTGGTCTTGAACTCTTGACCTCGTGATCCTGCCTCAGCCTCCCAAAGTGCTGGGATTACAGGCGTGAGCCACCGTGCCCGGCCAATCTATTTACTTTTTTAACAGTTTTCTTATGTAATTTACATACCATAAAGTTCATCCATTGCAAGTGTACAGTTTGGTGCATGTAAATATTTGCAGTTGTGCAACCACACATTTTCACTACCCCTAAAAGTCCCCTCATGACCTGCTTTAGCCAATACGTACTCTCACTCCCAGCCCCAGGCAACCACTGATCTCCATGAATTTGCCTTTTCTAGAAATTTCATACAAATGCAATACACAGTCTTTTGTGTTTGGTTTTTTAAAAAATCTATTCTAGTGGTTTTAAGGTCCATCCATGTTGTTTCATGCATCAATAGTGCATTTGTTTTTATTGCTATTATTCCATTGTATGGCTATATCAGATGTCATTTATTCACCTGTTGATGAACATTTGGGTTGTTTCTAGTTTTTGGTTATGATTAATGATGCTAGTTATGCAAGTCTGTGTGGACAACTTTTTCATAGTAAAATTGCTGTGTTATATAGTTAAGTATATGTTATTTTTAAAAATTGTCAAATTTTTAAAAATTGTTAGTTTTAAAAATTGTCAAACTGTTTTCTAAAGTGGCTGTATAATTCTATATTCCCATCAGCAATATATGAAAATTTCAGTTTCTCCACGTACTCACCGACACTTGGTAGCATTAATTTTTAAAATTACAGACATCACAGTGTCTGTGTACTAGTATCTCATTGTGGTTTTGATTTGCATATCCATAATGGCTAATCAAAGTCAGCATCTTTTCCTGTGCTTACTGGTCACTTATATACCTCTCTGGTCAATGTCTACTTAACTGCTTTGACTATTTGAAAATCAGGTTGTTCTCTTACTACTGAAGTTTTTTTTTTTCACTTTTTGAAAATGTTGGTAAAATGTTTATAATATAAAAGTCACAATTGGCCAGGCACAGTAGCTCATGCCTGTGATTCCAGCCCTTGGGGAAGCTGAGGCAGGAGGATCACTTGAGCCCAGGTGTTCAAGACCAGCCTGGGCAACATTAGCCTGGCTAATTTTTAATTTTTTTTTGTAGAAATGGGGTCCTACTATGTTGTGCAAACTGTTCTTGAACTCCTGGGCTCAAGTGATCCTCCTGCCTCAGCCTCCCCAAGTGCTGGGATCACAGGCACAAACCACTGTGCCCAGCCTATTCTTGCATTTTTAATCCAGTCTGACAATCTTTCTTTGCCTTGCATTCTGCATAATTTCTTCCAACATAGCATTCATTTAACAAATTCTCTCTTCAGGTGTGTCTAGTCTGATATTTAACTCTTCCATTAGGCTTTATATTTAAAATTTTATATTTTTAATTTTTAGAAGTTATATATTTATTTCAAAATCTGTCTTGTCCTGATATCGATTATTACTTATCTTTGTGACTGCAGTCTTTATTTTAAAAAACATTTTATACATATTTCACAATTCCAATATTTTTAGTCCTTGTGGTCCAAAAATCTGTTGTTTATAGTTTCTGTTTACTCCACTGAGAGTGGTTTATCTTCTCACGTACTTACTGGTTTTTGATTGTGAGCTCATTGTTCTTATTCTCTGGGAATCTGGCAGGTCTAAACTGAGCAATATTTCTTCAAGAAAGGATTTTGCTTCATGAAGAGAAAGATCGTAATGGGGAGGCTGAGGGGACTGAAACAGTGCTGACATTGCCATTTTGACCCAAGTTGCTTCTGGCACCAGCACCACCAGCAAAACCTGGGTTTCTGGTGCTCAGGTTCGAGTCCTGCTTCTACCAGGCACTATGGTACATAAAGAGTCTCAGCTCAGCACTGAAATCCAAGGTTCAGCTTCCCTACATATCTTCGGGCCCAAAACTCAGGAATCTACACTCATGGCAATCTACCATTAAGATCTGCCTACTCTTCTGGTCCCAGCTCCTAGCATCCATAGCTTGAGCTAGGGTAGATGGGGCCTGGGAAGCTTCACTTACTTCTTGGGAGCAACAATAATCAAAGGGTGTGTTTAATGCAGAATATAGTTGCCCTGTAGTAGGAGGGCCTCAAAGGACTCCTAGTTAGCCATAGAATTATAAAAGGAAGGTATATAATAGGATCTTAAATGGGGAATGAGACAAAGTATGTGCCATACTCAAGGTCATGTAGCCAGTTGGCAGCAGAGCTGGGACTAGAACCTGAACTCCGGAAGTTCAGGCTTTACTGGCAGTGCTAGCGCCAGGGCCGACTTAGGACAAAATGATGACGGCAGCATTGTTGCCACTCCCTCAGCCTCCCCATTCTGTGGCTGTTCTCTTCATGGATCCACTCAGGCTATTAGGGTCCTTGGGACCTCTCTCTAACTTCTTCCCAACTCTCCATTTCCAAGTGTGGCAGGCCATCTGTGCTTCCAAAATAGCCTGCACATACATACCAAAAACTATTGTCCCAAAAAAACCCTGAAACTTGAATTTTTGTATTTGAAGAGTAACCAAAGACTTAGGCTAAAGAATGAAAGTAAATGGTAGAATATTGGCCCTCAGGAGGCTGATGGAAGCTACTTCTTTTTTTTTTTTTTTTTTTTGTGACAGAGTTTCACTCTTGTTGCCCAGGCTGGAGTGCAATGGAGCGATCTCAGCTCACTGCAACCTCTGCCTCCCGGGTTCGAGTGATTCTCCTGCCTCAGCCTCCCAAGTAGCTGGGATTACAGGCATGAGTCACCACACCCGGCTAATTTTGTAGTTTTAGTAGAGACAGGGTTTCTCCATGTTGGTCAGGCTGATCTCGAACTCCCGACCTCAGGTGATCCGCCTGCCTCTGCCTCCCAAAGTGCTGGGATTACAGGCATGAGCCACCATGCCCGGCCTTCATTACCTCATTGTTTTTCCCAGTCCCTAGAGTATAAATCCACATAGGAAGTACCTACTTCACTTATGCATAACATCAAGGCAGGCCTTCATCTATTAGACTTTGATCTTCTCAAAGATAAGCCCCTTCTTTGAAGGTTTCTACCACTACAATTGATAATATAACCTCCTTTTAGTAATAACTTTTATCAATATATAATTTAAGAGTTTACAAAGCACTGCCACAAACATTATCACATTTGATTCTTACAAGTCTATAAAGTTGACATTCTGAGCCCCATTTAACAAATGGAAAACTGAGACTTACCCCAAGTCACGAAGTACTCTTGAGAGGTATCAAAACCAAATATAGAAAGGATATTGATTAGGCTATGAGGAAAGTCATTTTTAAGGGAGAAGAGCCCCAGATTTTCCTAGAGGATACTTGTTTCTTGAGGTAGGCAGAGAATGATTAGAGTAAGAAAACCCGTAGATGTAAAAGGGAGACTCTTAGAGATGGGACACCCTAGGGACTCAACATTAATGTTCAAGGAAAATTTGTAGCTCTTATCATACAAGTAAGAAGAACGAATGTGTAGGAATAAGATCATATAGCTAAAGATTACAGAAATGAAAACAACCATCGTAATTACCCCTGTGGCTACATAGACCTTGTCTTATGCTGTTTGGACTGCTATAACAAAACACCACAAATTGGGTGGCTTGTAAACAACGGAAATGTATTTCTCAGAGTTTTGGAGGCTGGAAGTCCGAGATCAGGGTGCCAGCACCTTTGGGTTCTGGTGAGGGCCGTCTCCTGGCTTGCACACTCCTAGCTATGTTCTCACATGGTGAAAGGGGCAAGGGATCTCGCTGGGCTCTCTTTTTTTTTTTTTGAGACAGAGTCTTGCTCTGTCACCCAGCCTGGAGTGCAGTGATGCAATCTCGGCTCACTGCAGCCTCCACCTCCCAGATTCAAGCGATTCTCCTGCCTCAGCCTCCCAAGTAGCTAGAATTACAGATGTGCACCACCACGCCCAGCTAATTTTTGTATTTTTAGTAGAGATAGGGTTTCACCATGTTGGTCAAGCTGGTCTCAAACTCCTGACCTCAAGCAATCCACCCACTTCGGCCTCCCAAAATGCTGGGATTACCGGCACGAGCTGCTGCGCCCAGCCCGTGGGGTCTCTCTTTTTTTTTTTTTGAGACGGAGTCTTGCTCTGTTGCCCAGGCTGGAGTGCAGTGGCGCGATCTCGGCTCACTGCAAGCTCCACCTCCCAGGTTCACGCCATTCTCCTGCCTCGGCCTCCAGAGTAGCTGGGACTACAGGTCCCCGCCACCACGCCCGGCTAATTTTTTTTTTTTTTGTATTTTTAGTAGAGACGAGATTTCACCGTGTTAGCCAGGATGGTCTCGATCTCCTGATCTCGTGATCCGCCTGCCTCAGCCTCCCAAAGTGCTGGGATTACAGGTGAGAGCCACCGCGCCCGGCCGGGGTCTCCTTTATAAGGGCACTAGTCCCAGTCATGAGGGCTCCACCCCCATGACTTAATCACCCCCCAAGGCCCCACCTCCTAATACCCTCTCCTTGAGGGATTAGAATTTCAACATGTGAATTTTTGGGGGGTAATATGGTCTGAATGTGCTTCCCAAAATTTGTATGTTGAAACTTAATGGCCAATGTGAGAGCATTAAGTGGGGCCTTTAGGAGGTAATGATGGGATGAGGGCAAAGCCCTCATGAATAGGGTTAGGATTCGAGCCCTTGTCAAAGGGCTTGAGTGAGTGGGTTTACTCTCTTCTGCTCTTCTGTCATGGGAGGACACAGAGTTTGTACCTATTTGTCATTTCCATCCCTTTTGCTGTATGAAATTCTGTCCTCTTTGCCAATGATGGTTCAGGACCCACACAGAAACCAATTCTGTCTCATAAGACATAAGAGAATCTGCTAGGAGGCTTCTGAGGAAATCACCCATCTCCTCTAAGAAAACTAAGGACACGACACTGTGTTCCTTCCTATGCACATCGTCTTATCTGGATCCACTACCGGGAACAGCCACATCAGCAGCATGGGGATGAAGCTAAGAAACAGAAAGAACCTCAAGCCTGTAATCCCAGCACTTTGGGAGGCCGAGGCAGGCGGATCACCTGAGGTCGGGAGTTGGAGACCAGCCTGACCAACATGGAGAAATCCCATCTCTACTAAAAATACAAAATTAGCCAGGTGTGGGGATGCATGCCTGTAATCCCAGCTATTCGGGAGGCTGAGGCAGGAGAATCACTTGAACCCGGGAGGCGGAGGTTGTGGTGAGCTGAGATTGCACCATTGCACTCCAGCCTGGGCAACAAGAGCGAAACTCTGTCTCAAAAAAAAAAAAAAAAAAAAAAAGAACTGTGCAAGCTGTTTGCTGCTTTTAAGCAGTTAAATCAAACACCCTGAATCCAGCCCTACCCAGCCTTCCTCTTTCGTGAGATAGTAAATTTTCTAATTGTTGAAGCCAGTTTAAGTCAGCGTTTGGTGAACCTCAGACAAAAGCACCCTTAAACAATAGGAAAGATTATCCAATCATAGATTGTTATTGCTGGAAAGGAACTTGAGATAATTCAGTTTAAAGCTCTTTCATTTTGCAATGAGGAAATTGGGGCCCAGAAAAAGTTGAGTGACATCTATAGAGTGAAAAACAGAACCAGAACTGATGCCAGCCTCTGGGCTTCTAGTTATCACTCTTTCTCTGAAACGTGACCATCCGTAATTTCATGGTCAAAGGAAGGGGTAAGCAGAGAATAGATGTGTTTTGAACACATTTACCTAAAACTGCGTCACAGAGGTTTATGGGACCGCTTTTGCTTTTCTAAACAGGTGTTGCCCCATCTTTCTTCTTCTATCTTCCTCCCTCCTAGAAATAAGATCTGATGTCTGGGAGTGCTGTAGCCACTTTGCATCTGCGGGCAAAAAGCCAGTTCACTAAAAATGGCACAGTGAAAAGACAGGAGCCTAGAAGTCTCCTCCCCAGCTCCAGAATAGCTAGTGTGGGAAAGATAGATTCCTATTTGCTCAAGCTGGGTTGTATAAAACTTGAAGTCAAAAGCATTTTTATTTTTGAGATGGACTCTCACTCTGTCACCCAGGCTGGAGTGCAGTGGTGCAATCTCGTCTCACTGCAACCTCTGCCTCCCACGTTCAAGCAATTCTCCTGCTTCAGCCTCCAGAGTAGCTGGGATTACAGGTGCACACAACCATGCCCGCCTAATTTTTGTATTTTTAGTACAGGCAAGGTTTTGCCAAGCTGGCCAGGCTGATCTCGAACTCCTGGCCTCAGGTGATTCGCCCACCTCGGCCTCTCAAAGCGCTGGGATTACAGGCATAAGCCACCATGTCCAGCCCAAAAGCATTCTTAATGGATACTTTTTGAAGCATTTCTTTCATGCTACACTCTTTCCCTGGTGGACTGTGACTGCAACAACCAGAACTCAGCTAGACATTTTGCTGTTTTAAGATTCTATGCATTTACTGCATTTTTGCTGTTTGAATATTCTGTGCATTTACACTGCATTTACTGTTCTTAAATATACCTGGCTCCATTTTTTGCTTTTTATTTTGAACACATTTTAAACCTACACAAAAGTTGGAAAATAGTACAATAAACTCCTGGATACCTTTCATCTAGATTCACCAATTGTCAGTTAATGTTTTGCTGTATCTCTCTCTCATCTTCTCTACATATATGAAAACAATTTTCTGAACCTTTTGAAAGTCAGTTGCAGATACCATGAACTTTAACCCCAAAATATTTCCATGTGTATCCCTTAGAAACAAGGATAGTCTGTTACATAACCACTATACAATTATGAAAGTCAGGAATTTAACATTGATATAGCAGTATCATCTAAAGCATGGGTCATATGCACATTTCAGTAATGGTCTCAATGCTGTTTTACGGGAATACTTTTTTGTCTTGACAAGAATCCAACCCAGGTTGACACCTTGCATTTTAGTCATCCTATCTCTTTCACCTGGAATGGTTCCTCAGACTTTCTTTGTCTTTTATGAAATTGGCATTTTAAAAAAGAGAACAGACCTGTTGTTTAGTAGAATTTACCTGAACCTGGTTTATCTGGTAGTTTCCTCATGATGAGATTTAGGTTACACAGTTTTGGCAGGAAGAGGACATTGGTGATGTGTCCCTCTCAGTGCACCCCACAGAGGGTCATGATGTCAGCCATTACTGGTGGAGTAAACTTGATCACTTGATTACGGGGGAGACCATCTCTGGTTCATTCTTATGGCTCTCAGGGAGACAGAGAATCATCTTTCTTATCTAGTCCATGGGCTGCGTGGAGTCATTCCCATGGTTTCCTGGATAGACTTTGAATTACAGGGCCCTTTAGTAAGGGATGGGTTCAGGATGTATTTTGAAAGCTGCATTTGGAATAAGTGGAGATCACTCCCTCAAATATTTAATTAGCCAGTTGCCAGATATTCTGGAAGCCAATAGGAAGGTGTTAATGACACAGGACATCTGCTTTTCCTTAAGGAGAGCAGAGCTTCCCCAAGTATCACCCCTTTACACCTGAAGAAGTCAAACAATCCTGTTCCCATGGAATCCTCAACCAATGTAGCCCTGATCTGTGATTTATATAAAAAGTAGCTGTTCCTTAATCTTCCCCACAATGGCTTCATTCTTACCTTATGAACCTGCTTTGTCAGTGTTCCCTTTGATTTATGGAAGATTTCAAACTCCCCAAATAACTATCCTTTTTCTTTTCATTAAAGTTAATCCCCACAAAGACACTTTCATCTACTGATTAGTCATGCCCCAGTGAGCCTTGCTAACCAGAGGCTAAGTTATTGATGTGTTAAAGATGTAATCTCTAAGTCTTGGGACCACTGAAGAAACCCCAACATGTTATTTGACAGTCAGAATCTCACAATGTATTGCCTCCTCTGAGCAACCTTGGTCGCACGAGTTCCTTGGGGTCTATAAATCTCTCTGGCCCAACTGCCCATGGGGGCTGAGTTATTGTGGGGCTGAGTTCAGGCTGCCAACACACTGCCCTGCACCCCAGGACATTGTGGTGCCTTCTCCAGACTCCAGTTTCCATTCCCAGTAACGCATATTCAGCAGCAAATCTATTACACCACAAGCAGCAGCTCATTGTTTCACGCCCTGCCTGTGGCCTTCCTCATAAATTCACACCGACCCACAAGTAAACAGGACTGTAATTTGGGTGTGCTATCGGCTGCCAATGGCACTAACCCTTCCTCCTTCCCGTTGATTTTGAGCGATGTGTAAGCTTGGCTCAGCCACTATTAAGTCTTATTAGATGATGATAAGGCCCCAACTGCACAGAGGAGCAGCCTGTGTGGAAATGTTTCATAGGCCCTCTCCAACCAATTTTACATTTGTGGATTTGAAAAAAGAAAAAAAGAAAATCCCAGACCTTTTTACATATGTGAGTTTCAGTTTGGTTCACCTAAAGCCAACGTTTTTCATAAATGGCAAGACCGTTCATGGGGCAGCATAGTGCCTGCATTACGAGATGTTTAGGGTTTAGCTTCTTCAATGCTCACAGTAAGTGGCAGAAGCGACCTCCCCCAGTCATTGTGACAATCTCAAATGCCTACAATTTTTTTTTTCCTAAAAGCATGTTTAACCATCCCCTGGGAAGGGAGCACTCCCCACCTCTTCTCCATACCAGTTAAGAACCACAGGCTTAAACAAAAGAAAACAGAGCTGAAGGAGGGCCTATGTGGGTACCAACTTCCTAATATTTGGGAAAGATCCATCCCAGGAAAACATATTCTTGATCATGGTGTTTTACTCTAGTTTTTTTGCTTTGTTTTGCTTTTTTTCCAAATAACACTCATTTACTAGCACACTGTTCCATAGGTCAGAAGGCCAGGTGGGCTCCACTGGGTATCACAAGGCTGAAATCAAGATGCCAGCTGGGCTTATCTCAAGGCTCAGGGAGAGAATTGCTTTCAGGCTCATTCAGGCCGTTGGCAGAGTTCTGCTCCTTGTGGTTGCAGGACTGAAGTTTCTGTTTTGTTGCTGGCCATCATCCAGGACCTTCTCTCAGCCACTAAAGGCCATTCACATTCTTTCTCACGTGCCCACTCCATCTTCACATGAACAATGCGTTGAATCCTGCTCTCACTTGGAATCTCTTGACCTTTCTCTTGTGTCCCCAGCTGGGGAAAACTCTTGCTGAGCTTAACGGCTGGTCTAAGCTCTCCAGATGAGCCCACTGATCATGAGATTGAATGTTGAGGCAATGTCAAATCACAATACAATTTTCTAATGGGTTACTCTCAATTTATGTACCCAGCTCATGGAGGACTAGTTTATTTTCTTAAATACAAAGTATTTTTTACTAAACATTTCAATTACACAAGAGATAGATGAATACATTCTTCTACACATAGCACTGCACATTACTAAGATCATAATGATAATTTCTACATTTTCTAATAATTTTTTCTCTTAATAATAATTTTAATGTTTTATTTTTTACACTTAGCTCTTAAGGTGCTCTTCAAGCACCTTGCCACAATCTTACCACACTCCTCCTCTCTCCAGGAGAAACCATGGTCATGAACTGGTGGGTATACAGCCAGACCACTTTCACCACTTTGCATGCATTTATATGCACCCCAGAAAATGCATAGTATTGTTTCATGTGGGCGTCTTTGTATAAATGATTACCACACTGTATACATAATTTGAAAGTTGTTTTTATCACCTAGTAATAGGTTTTGAGGGTTATCTATATTAATCCCTATAGACCTGATTCATTTCTCTTAATGTACTGTGTATTTTCTTATTTAGACATTTGCCTTCATGATATACATTTACAATTTTCACATTAACAAGCAATGCTGCATTGACAGTCTTCCATGTACCTCTTTGTGCTCAGGTCTCTTTAAAGAAGATGCCTAGAAGTGTAATTGCTGGGTGGTGGAGTAGGAACTCTAATTATAACAGATACAGTTAAATTGCTGTCCCCAAAGAGCAGAGTGTGCTAACCTACAATTGAAACATTTCAATTGAAGATCTCTCTTTGCCCACATCTTCACCAGCACTACATAATATCAGACTTAAATGTTGCCAGTCCCATAGGTGTGAACTAGCATCTCATTGTTTTATTTGCATTTCCCTGTTTGCTAAGGAGACTGAGTAACTTATGTCTCTATTGGTCATTTACATTTCCATCTTAAAACTATATATATTATATGATCATTTTTAAATTTGATGGTCTCTTTCTTATTAATTTACATTCCTACTTTTTTCCTAGTCCTTTGTTTCATAAAATGTAAAAAAAAAAAAATTCTCACCAAGTTGCAATTTTTTTTTTTTTGAGACAGGCTTGCTCTGTCACCCAGGCTGAAGTGCAGTGGCGCGATCTTGGTTCATGGCAACCTCTGCCTTCCAGGCTCAACTGAGCCTCCCAACTCAGCCACCCAAGTCGCTGGGACTACAGGCACATGTCACCATGCCCAGCTAATTTTTTTATTTTTTGTAGAGATGGGGTTTCTCATGTGGCCCAAGCTGATCTTGAACTCCTGGGCTCAAGTGATTGCCCGCCTCAGCCTCTTAAAGTGGTAGGATTACAGGCGTGAGCCACCGTGCCAGGTCATGTTGCTAAAATTTTGACATTTTTTATGATGCCTTTTGTTGGAGAGAAGACTTAATTTTGATGTAGTCAAAATCATTTTTTTCTCTATAGTTTGCATTTTTGGGGCCTTAGATTAGTAAGGCTTCCCTAATATTACTTCCAGAGTATTGCTAAGATCATAATGATAATTTCTATATTTTCTAATAATTTTTTCTCTTAGTAATAATTTTAATGTTTTATTTTTTACACTCAGCTCTTAAGCCATCTGAAGTTTGTGTGTGTGTGTGTGTGTGTGTGTGTGTGTGTGTGTGAGATGCAAGATGATTTTTGTTTCTTTCACACAGCTAGTCAACTGTCCCAGCTCCACTTATTGAATAATCTGCTCTTTCCCTACTGATTTGAAACATCAACTCTACCATGCACCAACGTCCCATGTCCATACTCCTGATCTATGTTTTTTATTTGTTCCTGTGCCAATCCCATGCTGTTTTAATTACCTTAGCTTTGTAATGTGTCTTGATCTCTCATGCAGTAAATCTTTACTCCACTTCCCTTTGGGACAATTATCTTGGTTATTCTTAAACATTTACTCTTCTTTGTGAATTTTACAATTGGTTTGTCAAGGGCTATGAAAAACTATGTTGGGATTTTGATTAAAACTGTTTTAAACTTACAGACTAATTTGGGAAACATCACACAGATATTTTCAAAGACTTACAAAAATGAGACAAAATAAAACGTAAGGGCAAAGGTGTGGAATTTCAGCTAAGAGTTTTTGAATGCCTAATATGTGCCCAACATTATTCTAGTCAAAACCTATCAGAAGAAAAGCAAACACAGTTTCTAACTTTAGGGAATTTGCATTCTAGTGGGGCGGACAAAAGAGAGACAATTAAACCAACACGGAAACAAGATATTTCGATTGTCATAAATGCTACAAGGGAAGAAAACCGAGAGTGCTGAGAGACTGAGCACTTCCGGACAGCCTCTCCAGGAGTCCAGCTGGAGCCAAGACCCAGAGAATGAAGAGCAAGAGAGAGTGTTTCAGACAGAGGTCCGAGGGTCAGAGGCTTGAGGTGGAGAAGACACAGCCTTGAGGATCCCACAGAAGCCAATGTGGAGACCAGGGCCAGATCGTTAGGGGATCGAAGGCCACAGTATGGAATTCAAATTTCATTTTATTTGCAGTGAGAAGCCAGGAAGGGATGAGATTAGGGGAGGAGTCAGCGATTGGGGCAGGCTCTTAACAGTAACAAATTTGGAAGTGGATATCTTCTAGAACTATCATTTACTGTGTTATTTAAACAAATATTATTTACTGTTTTTCCTGTTACGACCTTCTCCTTTATTTTCAGTCTTGATCTTTTGTAGGAAAGTAATCCCAGGTTATCGAGAGATTTTTCTATGGCCTTTCTTGAAGTAACCTGGCAAATAAATCCAGTTCTTTTCATTATTTTACTGCTTGGTAGCAGCTTTGCAGTGCTGTTTAGCTAAGGTGGAAAAGAAATGGAGTATCTGAGTAATATTTCTTTTTTCTTCCTCTTGGCTGGGAAATAAACTCAGGCTTTAATGTGATGAAAGTGGAGTTTGTGCTGAAACTCAGTGGGACCATCACCAGCTTGGGGGGCATTTCATCTCCTTTATAAAGTGCTTGCCCCGATGCTGCTGTGGGGGGCACCGAGGATTAGACCTTGATGGCAGAACTTTCCCTTGCTCTGAGGCTCATCCCCTACTCCAGCTTTGAAGGAATCAATGAGAGGGAATAAATCACCAATGGATGTAGTCTATTTTATTTAGCTTATCAAAAGCCTTGGCGAGGCTCCACAACAACTAGTAATAAAAATATTCCGTTACTGTAGATGGGATTAAGTGTAATGTTTTGGTATGGATCAGAAACTGACTTAGAAACAGGAAGCAAAGGGTACAGGCAAACTCTGGACAGAAACACACCAACAACAGAATCCTCCATTACCTGTACTCAGCAGTGGCCTTTTAAAAATTGCTTTTGTAAACCATACAAAGTATGCGGATCTTCGGGTTTACAAAAGGCGGTGTTAAGAACTCTAGAGTCTGACAGATCTGTCCTTGGGCAAGTCATTTAACCAATAAACCTCATGTTTCTGGTCTGTAAAATGGAAATGACTGTACCTTTTCATTAGGGTGATGAGGATGAATGAGATAACACATTTTCTCTTAGTGCCTAGGGTTCCTCTGCTATAGCTATTAGTCTTATTTCTGAAAGTAAATACCAAGCCAATAGGGACAAAGTAGAGAAAATCTCAATGAAGCTGTACATTAAGCCAGGAGAATATATGGAACATGTGTTCCCAAACATACTTACCATCCTCACTCAACTCTGGGCTTCTTCCTGCAAAAACATGTATCTCATCTGCTGCTGTCACCTTCCCCCGTGGGCTGAGCTGGAAAGTCAGGACCCATCCTCAGGGGCTCAGCTCCCTTCCCACCCCCACTGCATCCCACCCACTCCTCTAATCCTGTCTCTAAATACTGGTCACTTTTTCTCCCTGCCTTCCAGCTCTTGCTTTAGACTGGAGGTCAGCAAACTCTTTCTGGAAAGTGTCAGGTAATTATTTCTTGCTTTGCCAACCTCACACTCTCTGTTGTAACTACAGTAGTTCCCCTCTTCTCCATGGTTTTGCTTTCTGCGATTAACTGGCCTCAATCCAAAAATAGGTGAGTATAGTACGATAAAATATTTTATCACAGTATATTGCTATAATTCTTCTATTTTATTATTGTTGTTGTTCATCTCGTACTATTGTTTTTGTGCCTAATTTATAAGTTAAACTTTATCATAGGTACATACGTATAGGAAAAAACATAGTATATATCTAGCCTCAATTTCAGGCATCCACTGGGGGTCTTGGAACATATCTCCCTTGGATAAGGGGGGAGACTACTCGATGCAACCCTGCGATTCTAGTACAAAAGCAGCCATAGACAATTACAGTATATAAAAGAACGGGTGTGGTTGTGTGTTCCAATAAAACTTTATTACAAAAGCAGGTAGCAGGCAGGGTTTCACCTTCCAGGGTGTAGTTTTCTGGCACCTGATTTAGATTCCTCGGATCTTTCTCTGGGATTAAGACCCTTAGGGCTCCCTGTAGGCCTGATTTAATTTTGTCACTCCCACTTTAAAAGCCTTTCAATGGCTTCCCATTATTGTTGCAAAATGTGGCCTTGGATCATATCGTTAGCCATTAGAATCACTTGAGCTGCTTTATATATGTATTTATTTTTTATTTTGAGACAGGGTCTCACTCTGTCTCTGAGGCTGGAGTACAGAGGTGTGATCATGGCTCACTGCAGTCTTGAACTCCTGGCCTGAAACTGATCCTCCCGCCTCAGCCTCCCAAGTTGCGAGGACTACAGGCACACACTACCACGCCCCGCTAATTTTTTTGTAGAGACAGGATCTCACTGTGTTGCCCAGGCTGGCCTTGAGCTCCTGGCTTCAAGTGATTTTTCTGCCTCAGCCTCCGAAAGTGCCAGGATTATAAGTGGAACCACCGTGCCTGGCTCTGAGCTGCTTGTTAAAATGCAGAGTTCCAGGCTCCTCTTCAGAGCCACTAAAACAGCATCTCTAAGGGGCAGGCAGTGGAGTTGGATTTAAACAAGTCTCCTCGAGAGAATTGCAGTTCAGTGGTTCTCAAAAAGTGGGGTCCATGGGCCCCTGAGGGTCCCCCAAATGCTTTTGGGGGGTTTGTGATGCAGGAAGGAATAATGCAGTATGTTGGGGTGGGAGGAGAGCCTCACAGGGAGGTGATGGCCGAACAAAGGCCTGAAGGGGGTTAGGAAGCCATCCTGAGCCGTCCCTGGGAGAGTGTTCCAGCAGGAACAGCAAGTTTAAAGCCTCTGAGGCTGCTGTGTCTGGCAGAAGGCCACTGTGGCTGGCTTGCTGGAGGGAAGAAGGGGAAAAAGAGAGCAGTGAGAGAGGAGGAGATGAGGCCTGAGAGGAAAAGAGCCAGGCAGGTGGAGCAGGGCCTTGGAGGCCATTGAAGCAGGGCCTTGGAGGCCATCTCAGTAAAAGGCCATTGGCTTTTACTCAGAACAAGATGGGAGCCACTGGAGAGTTTTGAGTATGCAAGCTATTCCAAGAATGTAACCACCTCTTCCTCCTTCTTCACACACTTCTTTCCTTCCTCATTGAGTATTTATCTTCCCCTTCCTGTTGGCTGTTAAGTTCCTTGAGGACCCAGGCTCTGTCTTACCCATCTTTATCCCAGTATCTAGCAATGCCCAGGGCCACACAACCAACACTGACAAATACAAGAATGCCGCTGTGTTCCTCTGGCATGATTCTCATTGGAGCTGGTAAGAACTGCTTGAGAAAAATGCAGACTTCCTCAAATAAATATTTTACACATTTCTTTTTCTTTTTTTTAGACGGTGTCTCACTCTGTCACCCAGGCTGGAGTGCAGTGGCGCGATCTCCACCCACCACAAACTCCGCCTCCCAGGTTCAAGTGATTCTTCTGCCTCAGCCTCCCGAGTAGCTGGGATTACTGGTGCACACCACTGCACCCAGCTAATTTTGGTATTTTTAGCAGAGACAGGGGTTCGCCATGTTGGCCAGGCTGGTCTCGAACTCCTGACCTCAGGTGCCCACCTCAGCATCCCAAAGTGCTGGGATTACAGGCTCCAGCCACCGTGCCTGGCCTACAAATTTATTTTTCTGTTAATAATTTAATGTGTGATATACAGTTGACCCTTGAACAATGCAGGGGTTAAGGGCACTAGTCTCCACTTCCTGCACAGTCAAAAATATGTGTATAACTTTGTACTCCCCCAAAACTTAACTACTCACGGCCTACTGTTGACTAGAAGCCTTCCCCATATGTAAACAGCTGATTAACACGAATTTTGTATGTTACATGTATTATATACTGTATTCTTACAATAAAATAAGCTGGAGAAAAATGTTATTAAGAAAGTCATGAGGAAGAAAAATATATATATTTAGTATTCCTTAAGTGGAAGTAGATCATCATAAATGTCTTCATCCTCATCTTCTTTACACTGAGCGAGCTGAGGAGGAGGAGGGGTTGGCTCTGCTGTCTCAGGGATGGCAGAGGCGGAAGAAAACCTGAATATTTAAGTAGACTTACGCAGTTCAAACCCATGTTGCTCAAGGGTCAATTGTATTGTCTCAAAAAAAAGTTCCATCAACAAAAGCACATCACAGAGAGCCGGAAATCAACATGCCTTTCCTTCGCAATCATAAATAAATCAGAGTAAAAAATTAGTATTTTCTGGATGCATTTCTGTGGCATTAGAGAAGCAAATCCCCGTTTTCCGTATTGGGCCATCAGGGAGTTTCATAATCTCTTTTCCGCTCTTCTCAGAATGTAGCTGGTGTCCTGTGTTGCTTTGTCCCCTGCCCCTCCGTGAGGATCCTTCTGGGCAGTGTTATCCTCAGGGCCATGCTGGCCCGACACCCTGAGGCCGGAGCCCGGGCACTGCAGGACTTGGTTTCCTCTCTTCATTCTAGTTCAACTTTCTCTTCCCCTAGTTGACACCCTTGGTCTCCCTGGCTACCCCCATTGCCGGAGGCCTTGGGAGCTGAAACACACCTGCCCGTGAGAGGACCCCGATCCTCCATTCCTTTATTTTCAAAAAAGGGATCAGGGAAGCAGCAGCACCCACACACATTTCCCCACCTCCAAGCATCTTAATCCTAATGGAGGAGAGTTTAAGGAAGTGGGATGCCGTTGCTCAGAGAGATGGGTATTTTATTCACCACGTATTTGTGTGTGTGCATTTTGTAAGCACACAAGTGTGGCCCATACAATGCTTTAGTTCTTCTCAGGGGCTGTCTTTTCTTTTAATTCTTATTTATAATAAAAGTTGAATGGCAGGGTGGTCATGGTGGCTCATGCCTGTAATCCCAGCACTTTGGGAGGCTGAGGCGGGTGGATCACTCAAGGTCAGGAGGTTGAGACCAGCCTGGCCAACATGGCAAAACCCCATCTCTACTAAAAAAAAAAAAAAAAAAAAAAAAAAAAAAAAAAAAAAAATATTAGCCAGCTATGGTGGCGCATGCCTGTAATTTCAGCTACTTGGGAGGCTGAGGCCTAAAGATCCCTTGAGGCTGGGCGCAGTGGCTCACACCTGTAATCCCAGCACTTTGGGAGGCCTAGGCGGACAAATCACGAGGTCAGGAGATCGAGACCATCCTGGCTAACATGGTGAAACCCCGTCTCTACTAAAAATACAAAAAAATTAGCTGGGCATGGTGGCAGGCACCTGTAGTCCCAGCTACTCGGGAGGCTGAGGCAGGAGAATGGCATGAACCCAGGAGGCGGAGTTTGCAGTGAGCCAAGATCGTGCCACTGTACTCCAGCCTGGGTGACTCCGTCTCAAAAAAAAAAAAAAAAAAAATATCCCTTGAACCAGGGAAGCAGAGGCTGCAGTGAGCCCAGAATGTACTGCACTTCAGCCTGGGTGACAGAGTAAAACTCTGTCCAAAAAAAACATAAAATAAAAAATTGAATGGATTCTCTTGCCCTCTGTCTAAGAAGTCATTTTTAAATCCTTTGAGATTGCAGTTTTCTGCTAAGAGTTTCCTCTGCATAGGAGGGATCCATAGCTCTTTGCCTCCAGACTGGAAGCTCTGCACTGTGCTGTCGGCTCCATAGAGCAGTGATGTCCCCATTTTTCTTTCTGTGGTCTGTCCAGCACTAGCACCGTGCCCGTCATGTGGAAAGCATGCTCGATTAATATTTGTCAGATGGATGAGTGTGAGACATTTCATAATTTAAAAATATTAACATCTTCTCTCCCCAACACTTCCTTCTACCCCATAACCCTTGCTATACCCCATTTAGGCAGCCACAGAATAGAGCTGATTGTCTTGGCAAACAAGTGACTGGGAAGGAAGGACTTTTGAGGAAACTCAGGGCAGAAACCATTGATTAGGACAAGTATTGTTCTAATCAGAACTAGATGTCCTGCAGAGAAGTGAGAAGCCAGGAGAGCGTGGATGAATCCCCTGCCCTCTCTCCCGCATCATTCCTACAAGCCACATCCCAGGTGAACACATGACAAGAGAAACCCCAGGTGTGTCTGAGGAACCTGACAGAGATGAGAGCTGAGCCCCAGCCTCTGCTTAAGCCCAGGAGGAGGTGGAATCAAGGCCCCAGAGCAGACATGGCTGTGCAGGCCTCACCTGGGAGCCATAGGATGTTCTCTGTGAGCCCGAGGGTGGCATAAATGGTGGACAGCCTGCTCTGTGGGCCCAGCTGCAGAACATCCCTCGGGCTGGCTGTGGCACCCTAAGAGCACAGGGAACTGACAGTCACTTGGAGGCCTTGAGGTTGAGAAAGTGGGTGGATACAGCTGTGACCAGCCATAGAAGCCGGGAATGTTTCAGCAAGTCCTTCACAGAGGTTAGATCACACCTAGGACCAGGCCTCCATCTCCAGCTCCCCTCCCCAGCTATAGAGCAATGGAAGCCTCTCCAGCTCTTAGATCCAACCTGGGGAGATGGAAGGAAAACTCTAGATTGACTGCAAGTAAGTTTCTCCTACACCCAGGGAGCCTTGCTGGAAACTCAGAACAGCTATAAGAAAATACATTTATTTTCTTTCATAACAGGGTATATGGGAAAAGAATCATGCTCACTACTAATGAATGAACAAATGAGCTGCGGGAAGACTGTGTATGACAGATGCTCACCTTTCCTTTCATCCCTTTTCACCTTATTCTGATAAGCCACAAATGCAGAACTGAATTCAGAGGATCTACTGGATGACACTTGTTTCGTTATTGGTGACAATGGACCCAGCACTGCCAAACTCTGTACAGAGATGCGTGGATTGGTCTCTGTCCTCAAAAACCTGCAGCCAACCTGAGTGGACAGGACTAACATGCTGAAACAAGTAGAGGATGACAGAGATGCTACAGACTTGACTACTGCACTGCATAGGTCAGCAGTTGTATTAGTCTGTTCTCACACTGCTAATAAAGACATACTTGAGACTGGGAAATTTATAAAGGAAAGAGGTTTAATGGACTCACAGTTCTACATGGCTGGGGAGACCTCACAATCATGGCGGAAGGCGAATGAGGAACAAAGTCATGTCTTACAGGATGGCAGGCAAGAGAGTGTGTGCAGGGGAACTCTCCTTTATAAAGCCATCAGATCTCATGAGACTTATTCACTCTCAAGAGAACAGCTAGGGAAAGACCCACCCCCATGATTCAATTACCTCCCACTGGGTCCCTCCCACAACACGTGGGAATTATGGGAGCTACAATTCAAGAGGAGATTTGGGTGGGGATACAGCCAAACCATATCAGAGGTGCAGAGAAAAGTGGGACCTACATGGACTGGAGGGGGAAAAAAAAAAGGAAATTATCTTGTGATTGCAGGGTTTAGGCAGCAGCATGGCTCAGTTTGGGGAAATAATACCTAGAATTAAATCAATTGGTCTTACCCTTGCACCTACTTATTTAACCAAACTTTGTACGTGCCAGGCATTCTTCTAAGTGCTTTACAAATAATATTTTATTCAATCCTTAAAACAACCTGTGTAGTAGACTATTATTATCCATGCTTTTTAAATTGTGGTAAAATATACATCACATACAATTTACCATTGTAACCATTTTTAGGTTTATTATTCAGTGGCATTAAACACATTCAGTGTTGTGTGACCATCATCACTACCCATTTCCAGTCTTTTTTACTATCTCAAACAGAAACTTCATATTTATTAAACAATAACTGCCCATCTGTCCTCCCCCTAGACTCTGGCAACCACAATTGTACTTTCTGTCTCTATGAATTTGCCTATTCTGGGTACCTCACATAAGTGGAATCATATTTGTCCTTTTGTGACTGGTTTATTTCACTTAGCATGAAGGTTCATCCATGTTGTAGCATGTATCAGAACTTCATTCTTTTTTCTTCCTTCAGAGTAGAGGAGGGAAAAATAATTTGATTCCTTTTTTAGACTGAGTAATATTCGTATATGTATGTATGTGTGTAAATATATGATATATGTATGTATACACATTTTATTTATCCAATTCATTCATTGATGGGCATTTGGATTGCTTCTACCTTTTGGCTATTGTGAATGAATACTGCTACTAGCATGAGCAGGTAGTCTGAGTCCTTGCTTTGGGTTCTTTTGGGTATATACCCAGAAGTGGGATTGCTGGATCATATGGTAATTCTACGTTTAACTTTTTAAGGACTTATGATGCTGTTTTCTACAGTGGGAACAATATTTTACATTCCCATCAGCAAAGCACAAGGGCTCTGCTTTCTCCACTTCCTCACCAATACCTGTTATTTTCCACCATTTTTTTCAACTTTGATTTTAGTTTTGGGAGTACATATGCAGGTTTGTTACATGAGTATACTGCATGATGCTGAGGTTTGGGATACTAATGATCCTGTCACCCAGGTAGTGACCATAGTGTCCAAAAGGTAGTTTTTCAACCCTCACTTCTCTCCCTTCCTCCTCCCTCTACTAGTCCCCAGTGTCTATTGTTCCCATCTTTATATCCATGTGTACTCAATGTTTAGCTCCCACTTGTAAGTGAGGACATGGAGTATTTGGTTTTCTGTTCCTGTGTTAATTTGCTTAGGATAATGGCCTCCAGCTGCATCTATGTTGCTGCAAAGGACATCATTTCTTTCTTATGGCTGTGTAGTATTTCATGGTGTTTATGTACCACAGTTTCTTTACCCAGTCCACCATTGATGGGCATCTAGGTTGATTCCATGTCTTTGCTATTGTTTTCCACCATTTTGATGATAGCCATCCTAATGGGTGAGATGTGTTATCTGATTGTGGTTTGATTTTCATTTCCTTAATGACTAGTAGTGTTGAGCATATTTTCCTGTGTTTATTCACCCAGGCTAGAGTGCAGCTCTAGCCTGCACTAAATCATAGCTCACTAAAGCCTCAAACTCCTAGATTCAAGAGATTCTTCCTGCTTCACACGGCCTCCCAAGTAGCTAGGACTACAGGCGTGTGCCACCACACCTGGCTGTTTATTTTTATTTTTAGAAACAGCATCCTGCTATGTTGCCTAGCCTGGTCTTAAACTCCTGGTCTCAAGCAGTTCTCCTGTCTCTGCCTCCCAAAATGTTGGGATTATAGGCGTGAGTCACTGCACCTGGCCTCTTTGTCCATCTTGAGTTGGGTTATTTGTGGTTTTGTTGTTGAGTTATAGGAGTTTGTTATATATTCTGAATATTAATCCCTTATCAGATACATGATTTGCAAATGTTTTCTCCCATTTTGTGGGTTGTCCTTTCACTCAACAGTGTCTTTTGATGTACAGTTTTTAATTTGGATGAAATCCTATTTATCAATTTTTTCTTTTCTTGCCTGTGCTTTTGGTATTATTATCCCCATTTTTCAGATGGAAAAATTTGGCACACAGAAGTTAAGTTTCTCGTACAAGACCATACTGCTCTTGGGCAATGGGGCTGGAGTTGTGACCCCAGCACTTTGCTGTAGATCTAATGAGAGTGGCCACTCTGCAACTGCCTTCCTGTTGCTGAGCATGGGACAGCACCTGACACAAAGCAGGCATTCAATACATACTTATGGAAATAATATAGAGAGCTGCTCCATGACTATTTCCAGTTTTCTACGCTTTGCCTGAGCAAATTTTAACCTGTGTTATGCCTGTTACTTGTATGTAAAGTGGAAACTACCTAAAACCCTCACTGCCGACAGAGGAGAAATAGCTCATCAATCGACTATCAACCATGCACACTGTAAGGCATTATTTGTCAGGCATGGCACTGACAAATAAAACATGCTCTTTGAACCCAAATATTTACTGGTTGGGAGAATAAGACTCATGAAATAAAGGAAGAAACTGATAGAAAAATTAGCATAAAAGCCAAATGAGGCTGACCATCATTGCAGGAGGAAAAGACCATCATTGCAGGGAGAGATGATGGGAGAGAAGGATCTTCAAATATGAGTAGTGTGTTAGTCTGCTCTCATGCTGCTAATAAAGACATACCTGAGACTGAGTAATTTATAAAGAAAAGAGGTTTAATTGACTTACAGTTCAGCATGGCTAGGGAGGCCTCAGGAAACCTACAATAATGGCAGAAGGGGAAGCAAACACGTCCTTCTTCACATGGCGGCAGTGAGGAGAAATGCAGAGCAAAGTGGGGGAAAAGCCCTTTATAAAACCGTCAGGTCTTATGAGAACTCACTCACTATCACGAGAATGGCAAGGAGTTAACTGCCTTCATGATTCAATTACCTCTCACTGGGTCCCTTCCACGACACATGGGGATTATGGGAACTACAATTCAAGATGAGATTTGGGTGAGGACACAGCCAAACCATATCATTCTTCCCCTGGCCACTCCAAAAATCTCATGTCCTCACATTTTAAAACATAATCATGCCCTTCCAACAGTCCTCCAAAGTCTTAACTCATTCCAGCATTAACCCAAAAGTCCAAGTCCACAGTCTCATCTGAGACAAGGCAAGTCCCTTCCGCCTATGAGCCTGTAAAATCAAAAGCAAGTTAGTTATTCCTGGATACAATGGGGGTACAGGCATTGGGTAAATACGCGTATTCCAAATGGGAGTAATTGGCCAAAACAAAGGGGCTACAAGCCCGACACAAGTCTGAAATCCAAATGGTGTAGTCATTAAACCTTAAAGTTCCAAAGTGATCCCCTTTGACTCCATGTCTCACATCCAGATCATGCTGATGCAAGAGGTGGGCTCCTACAGCCTTCGGCAGGTAGGATAGAAATGAGAGAGAAAGAGAGATAAAGCAGGGATGGTATGGTGGGAGAGAGGAATTGGATGAATAAAGAGCTGGAAGCAGAAATAAGCATGAAATATCTCAGTTACAGTAAATTATCAATATGAATGGCTGGACTGGAGGTCTGAGTCAAGATGTACTCATTAGACTATAAAGCAGAGCCAGCCAAATTGCAACAGTTCTGAATGCCAAGCTAAGGGTTCTGGACTCAGCATGTAAGCAGGACCCATTACCTCATTCACAGGGTCCAGTGAAAAATGAAAACATAAGGCCCCTTGTTCAAAAATGATTAAGAATTTCAAGACAGTGCAACAGAGATCAAACCAAATGCAGAGCCCTCCCAAGCATGGGGCCCTGTGCGACTGGCCAGGTCCTACACCCATGAAGCCCACCTTGTGTGCAAGCCTTATGCTAAGAATGCATTGAAAGATTTTGAGCAGGAAAATGCTGGATTAGAGTGGTCTATTAGATGGGTTAGCTGTCAGGTGCTGCCTGGATGGATGGGGACAGAAAGTGGAAGAGGGACACGTGTTAGGAAATCACTGGACTTGTCAAGGTTGGTGGCTGTTGTAGGAATGGAAAGAAAGGTCACATGTGATGTGATAGGATGGATCCCTGTGTATATGGGCTGGGAGGGGAAGAGCCCAGGCCTCCATGATATCACCATAGGTTGAGCCTGGATCTTGGAGAAAGCTGTTATCATTGAGAGAAAGAGGAAGTGTGGAGAGGGGAGCCGGCTTTGGGAGGCTGGTGCAGAGTAACCAGCCTTAGTCATGCTGAATGGGAGATAAGGGTAGGGCCTCCAAGAAGAAATGTCCAGCTGGCAGCTGAAGATGAGGAAGAAAATCCAGGCTTCGAAACGCAGCTTTGAAAAATAATGGGGTTGTGTAACTGTTGAAGTTGTGAGACCATATGCCATTTCTTAGGAATTAGGTGGATAGATAAGCAGAGTGCTAAAAAACAGATGAGGACTTTAAAATAATATTTTCTACCACCACTTCAAGAAATTGGGCAATTAGCTGTGATGTTGGATCTAGCAGCCTGGAAGGTTTATCCAATTGCGATTTCCACAAGGTGGTTGTGCAGAATAACAAATCTGTTTTCATCTATCAGTGTTAAAACATGGTTTTTTAAATAAATGCCGGAATATTGCTAAAAACTTATCAACATTGACTGTCAGAGGCGCTCCTGGCAGGTTCCCAACCCCCCTCTTCTCCCTTTTCTTCACTTTTTAATGATCCATTTATTTTTCGGGCAATTATTTCAGGAATTTGAAAGTTTAAGCAGGGGTTACATGGAGCACTAACAGGAAATGTCTCATCTTTCCAAGTTTATTGTTGAGAGTGGCCAGATGTCATTTGTTTGTGAGTGGGAAATGGGAAGTTAGATCACAGAACGTGAAATTTAAAACTCCATGTTTTTTTAAATAACGGGGAGTGCAATGGAGAAACACACGGGGAAGCCACTTTTGACTCCTCTGACTGTGTTAGCAGTGTAGGGGGCAGTGCTCGTGAGAAAGATGTTAATACGAGAACATGTTTCACTGTCTGCAAGCCCTGCTCGCTTCGAGGTCTGTGTGCAAACAGCTGGTCTCTGCCTGGCCGGGCCAGGGTGTTTGCGAGCTCTCCGTGGATCTGCTGTAATTATAAACCCCAAGAAGGGCCAGGAATGGAGGCCAGCATGCTTATTGGTCACTATGCCCCAGAATAAAGAATCAGAAAGTAACTTATAAAGAGTTCTGCAGTATTTAGCACTTACAAAAGCAATTATATTGATTTTTAAAAATTATATTTTCAGCCTCTGTGGTTTAAATTCTGGGTCAAACACTTCCCGACTGCTCGGGCTGGCTCGCTCGCTCTAGCCCCCGGTCTCTAATTGCTCACTAACTGTCCCGGAAATACCCTCTTCGTCCCTTGCTCTTGCTGCAGTGGGCTTTGGCAGGCTTCCGCTGGCCAGGTGTTGTCCCCAGCAGTCGCCATGGCAGCGATGTACAACAAAGACTCTGAGGGGCTTGGAATTGACAGGCCGGAGGTGGGGCCCGAGTTCCTGTCTCCAGCCCACGATTTGCCGATCCATCTGTCTTCCTCAGAGAGAGAGGGCGGATAATGCAGACTGCGCTTCCTTGGAAGACGGCAGGCTCCAGGCCAGACAAACGAATGTAAACTTGAAATTGGGCCAAATATGGGACATTTAGTTGAATGGGAGGATACAGAGCAAAGGGATCCAAGAGCAGCCCCAAGGTTCAGAAGGTTCTTGGCTGCTTTTGCAAAGGAAAAGAAAAAGTCTCCACCTACCTGCTGGACTTTCTTCTTCTTTTTTAAAAAAAATATTTATTTATTTATTTATTTTTTATAGAGACAGGGTCTCCATTGTTGCCCAGGCTGGTCTCAAACTCCTAGCTTCAAGTGAAGCTTGGCCTCCCAAAATGCTGGGATTACAGGTGTGAGGCACTCTGCCTGGCCCCTGCTGGACTTTCAAGAGCACAGGAAGGATTTCTCTTCAACCCTTACCCCGCTCCTCCACTCAAAGTTATTTAGCACGTTTTTCTTTCCTGGGCCCTGCCTAAGATCCTGAAATCCCACGTTAGTCTCTTCTTGGGGTTAAATCATTAAGGTTCCATTTATACAAATACTGAGCTGGTGCAGCCAGCCTATTGGCCAGCCTTGCCCACCATACTGGCTACCTGGTCATCTACTGCCACAATGCCCTGGGATGGGAAACACAGCTAACATGCTTTTTAAAATTCTAGTAAACTATACATAACATAAAAATGACCATTTTAACCATTTCAAATGTACAATTTAGTCTCATTACGTACATTTGCTGTCTTGTGCAACCATCACCACTATCAGTTTCCAGAACTTTTTCATCATCCCAAACAGAAACCCCATACCTGTTAAACAATAACTCCCCATCCCTCACCCCCCCTCCCCTGATAACCTCTATTTTACTTTCTGTCTCTATGAATTTACCTATTCTAGGTATCAACCATACAGATGAAGAGCTGAGGCTCAGGGAAGGAATTTGCCAAGGTCACGAAGCTGTAAGACACAGAACCTGGGGTGTCTGCCTGTAGAGCTCACACTGACTCTACAGCCACTGATCCAAAGCTTCAGTAAGGGGGTCTTTCTAGCAGGGCTCCCCCAGGGTGAGAGTAATGGTGGGGACTCAGCCAACCCTTTATGTTGACATTGTGCATTCCTGCAATTTATCTAATTTGCTCTTCTTCATAATATTCCTATCTGACAGATGAGCAAGAGATGAAGTGACCCCTCCAACCCCACAGCTCAGCGTCTTTCTTGAAGCTCCAACTCCAGGGCCATTGTTTTCCTGTTCTCCCCGCTCCAAGGCCTCTCCTCTCTCCTTGGCCCAACTCTCTGACAGTGATGCAGGTACTTGGCAAATTTAAATGGGAGGGACTGCCTTTAAAAACCAATGAACCCCTTCCGAATGAACATATTCTATTGAATGCCATATGAAGAAAAATCTAGGGGTTTGTACTGGTTTCCTGAGGCTGCCAGTAACAAATTGCCACAAACTAGGTGGTTTACAACAACAGAAATGTGTTCTCACAGTTCTGAAGGCCAGACGTCCAAAATCAGAATGGCATTTGCTTGAAGGATCCAGGGGAGAATCCCTCCTTGCTTCTTCCAGCTTCTGGTGGCTCATGGCAATACCTTGACTTGTAGACATATCCCTCCAATCTCTACTTATGCCTTCATATCACCTTCTCTTCTCTTATGAGAACAGTTGTCATTGGATTTAGGACCCACCCTAATCGAAGATGATCTCACATGTAGTTTAATTACATCTATAAAATATGCTTTTCAGTAAGGTCACTTCCGTGGTTTGAATGCCCCCTCCAAAACTTAATGTTGAAACTTAATCCCCAACGTGGCAGTACTGAGAGGTGGGGCCTTTTAGAGCTGGTTGGATTGTGAAGGTTCTGTCCTCATGAATGGATTAGTTCCATTCATGAATTAATAAATTAATAGGCTCATGGATTAGTGGGTTACCATGGGAGGGGAACTGGTGGCTTTATAAGAGGAGGAAGAGAGACCTGGGCTAGTACATTAAGATTCTCAGCCCCCTTACCATGTGGCGACCTGTGCCACCTGGGGACACTGCAGAGTCCCCACCAGCAAGAAGGCTCTCACCAGACTTAGCCCCTCAACATTGGACTTAGCCTCCATAACTGTAAGAAATAAACTCCTTTTCTTCATAAATTACCGAGTTTCAGCTATTCTGTTATAAATGACAGAAAACGACTAAGACAGTCACATTCACAGGTTCTGGGCAGGACGTGTCTTTTGGGGGCCATTCACCCCCAGGCTTCGTGGTGAATGACTGACTAGAAGCAGTGCCCTCCAAGTTGGTCCTTCTGAACCCATCAATGACAGTGGACAGAAAAGTTGGCCACTGATTGAACTTCAGATCTGTCTCGAACAGGGAGCCACTGATACCTGTGTAGGAACCAGCTCCATCACCCGGCATCCCAGCCAGACCCACCACTGCAAATGTTCCTACATTTTGCTATTGCATAGAATTTCCCTTTGGGGATTATAAATATACCTTCTTGCTTAGGTTTTTACTAGAAAAAAGAGAGAGAAGCAAAACAGCAAAGCAAAGCTCAAACCCCACCAGGCTGTGTCACAAATCTGTGTATAATGTTCTCCTGTTGCTCAAGGAAACACCCCCACAAAGGAGTTTTGTTGAATGCTTTGAACTGTCCCTCAGTGTAGAGGACATATTATGGGGTTGGAACATCCAACAATTTCTTTTTGGAAAATAAACTGGGTCCTGGTCCGGAACATACCCTTTGTCTGATTTTGTGCCACAAGAGCATAATGATGTAAAGCCTGAGGTTCCCAGCTTCCCAGGAAGATGTTGCATTGATAGATTCTGGTTCCACTCTGGCCAAGAGACCTTGCCCACTAACTCTTTGCCATATGAATTGCTTTCTAAGCTACAATTCTCCTTTCATCTTGCTTTTCTAGCCCATCTCATACTGAATTTAAAGAAGCTTACAATGGACCTTTTTTTGGTACCAAATATCTTTCCCTAGGAGGATGCCTCATTTCTTGTCATTCTGTCTGACTCAGAGTCCATGCTCTCCTTGAATCTTTTCCTCCTCACTCCTGGCCTCACAACTCAGGCCCTCCTCTAAAGTCCCAAAGGATACATTGCTGCCCCCCTCCCCAGCATGTGGCATCCCCCTCACCATGGAGGCCAATTTCCTGCCTCCCTGTATTCCCCTTCTATGTCCAGGACCAACATAATTGTATGTGACATAGTCAGAGCTATTTGAGTGACACTGGAAGCCCCCAGTATTCCTGTTACACGGGTTACCCCATGATCCCCGCCAGATAGGCAGCAGTTTCTCAGAATTCAATAGCTTCATAAATTTAATTCATTTTAAAATAGCTTTATTTTACTGATTTTTATTTATCCTGAAAAATTGTTGTGAAAGTTCCTAGCTTTGCTTCTTTTTAAATGGCCTATTGCTCATTTTATTATTCAGACCTCATCCTTGCTTTAAGAAAGAAAGGGAAGCATCGAATCCTGAGATCTGACCACTTTTATCTGTGACTAATTCATTTTAGCCTTAGAGAGTCAGCGTGATAGGAACCACTAGTCATGCATTGCTTCTGCATGGCTCGATCCTGCTAGGAAATGAAGCAGGATTCTCCGACACCGGGGTGCTTGGGCAGCCCCCCACAGGTTCGTCATCGTTGAGTGCATGGCTGTACAGTCAGGGGTAGAGAGTGGCTTCTTCACCCCTCTTCAGAGGTCCCTGCCAGGAACCCACACAGGGCCAACCGAGTCAAGCACTGCTCACTTGCTTTTACAAGTGTTTAATCCTCCCAGTGGGCCTGTGTAGACAGTCTTATTGTTATCTCCAGTTTAAAATAGAAAAACGGGGTCCTGAGAGGTTAAAGTCTCAGAGGTGGACCCCAGCTGCCTGGCCTCAGAGTCTGTGCATTTGACCACTGTGGCCCTTGCTGTGTCACAGGCCCCCTAAGGCAGAAGGCGCACCAGCCACCAGGCCACACTGCCGCCTCAGGGAGGAGAGAGTAGACATTTGAATCATGTTCATTAGGTACAGTGCGACGTGGAAAGTAAACTCCAGCATATCTCAGTTAGTATGATAAGAATCCCATAGGTTAGGATGAAGGCACTATTTATTTATTTAGTTAGTTAGTTAGTTATGTTTTGAGATAGAGTCTCTCTCTGTTACCCAGGCTGGAGTGCAGTGGCGCGATCTCGGCTCACTGCAACCTCCACCTCCCAGGTTGAAGCAATTTTCCTGCTTGAGCCTCCCAAGTAGCTGGGATTACAGGTGCCCACCACCACACCCAGCTAACTTTTGTATTTTTAGTGGAGACAGTGTTTCACCCTGTTGGCCAGGTTGGTCTCAAACTCCTGACCTCAGGTGATCCACCCACCTTGGCCTCCCAAAGTGCTGGGATTACAGATGTGAGCCACCACGCCCAGCACTATTTTTTTTTAACTTTTAATTTTTCCTTTCTTTCCATTTTCAGGTTAAGGTCACACAAAGGCACTGTTTTTATCACTATTTTACACATGAGGAATTGACAGTTCCTTGACTGGATTTGCCTAGGTTTGTTTGTGGGTAGAGGGAGGAGACAAGATTGGAACCCAGCCTAGTTCTTCCATCCCTAAGTCCAGGCTTTCTGGTTCCCAGGAGCACGCCTTCCCACAAGTGCGGAGGCAGTGCCTGCTGGGTCTGCTTTGATCACGTGGAGGAAACTCACTTCCCCCAAGACCTCTTTTGCACCTGCCTGCCCTTTTGTCTGAAGTCCCCCAAAGCCCCACCTCTGTTGGCCTCCGCCACGGGAGGTGCCCCCACTGGGTGGGCTCACTGTTTATTCCCAAACCTGACCTGGATGAAGTGGGCGCTCCTTACCTTGTTCCTCGTAAGGAGTTTTCCCCCAGAAAATCCCAGTTAAAATGCAAATGTGTTGCCTGGCAGAGACGCCTGGAGTTCGTGCATTGGTTCCTTCTCAGAGAGCAGGATTCTGAGGGTTGAGACTTGATAGGACTGAAGAACACAGTCGGGGGAACTGCAGGGAGGACAACGGGCCCTGGGGAGTTCAAGTGTGGGATGGAGGACCCCAACCACCATGGAAGAGGGAAGAGGAAGCGGTCCCGCTCTCAGGGAGAGACAGAGATAGAATGGGCACTATCCTCTTCAGCAGCACCCTGGGGTGTCTGGCCCTCAGGACACAGTGAGCCTGGCCACCTCATAGACAATGAGTGAAGCCCACTGGTGGAGTCCAAGGCTGGATTCTCCCCAGTCCTGGAAAAATGCAAAAGGAGCAGGTTTCCCCGAGAGGGCCCTGGGAGCAAGCTTAGCTACCCACTGCTCCTCTCCTACTCAGGCAAGTATCCCCCTGCCCCTTATAGGACAGTAAGTCAGGAAAGGATCCATCTCTCACCCCACCCACCCCAAGTTCATCAAGCAGCCCTGCACCCCATCTGGAGGCAAGGAGTGCCTCTTAGACCCTTTCCTAGGCCATACATACAGATGCACTGTACACGGCAATGGAATCACTCTACAGATCATTTTCTGCCCCACCATGCCCATTTAAATCTATCAGACCTGACACTGTCAATGACAGCAGTGTGCTGTCATCGTTTGAAAATAGCCGCATTATATTTCATCACGTCACATCGCATCACATAAGCCAGTTGCCCACTCATGAATTATAGACTCGTTTCCAACCTTTTGCTGCTGCAAATACTGCCACAACCGGCATTTGGGTACCAGTTTCTTGCATACATGGAGCAACTTGTTTTCTAAAGACATTCCATGAACCACTGAGCTTGCTGACCACAGCCTGTCCTTAGGAAAGGAGAGAACAGAAATGAGTTTTCCTAGGCAAAGGGCTCAGCTTTGGAAACTCAGCTTCAAGCTGCCCTCCAAGCCATGCCAACGCAGCAGGTGAATCATTTCACCCAGATTTCTGAGCCAACCTCAGTGAGAATGACCACGAGTGAGAATCTCACGCCAGCCAGGCCAGCCTCTCACCTCTTGTTCCGGGGAACAGAGGCAAAACCTGCATCATTTTCTGTAATGCCAGAGGAAATCCCCAGATAAGGCAGACACCCTGATGCCTCACAGAAGGCACTCCCACAGAGATATAAACGGATGAATGCTTTCTTCATCACAGTTCACAGTTCTCAATGGCCCTTCAGGGCTGCCAAAAAACCTCTCTTAGCTCATTGCTGCTTCTGCCGCAGCCAGACACAGCACTTCCTAGAAAATCGTCATTCCATTTACTGTTTATTCTTGGGGTGGATTACTATTTCCCATAAACTCTTGCAGCGTTAAAGGTAGAGTTTCAGTAAATCTCATCAGATGTCCACATGAAAGGAAAAAGATGTCCTTTATTTTTAATGTGCCAGAGAAAAGGAAACCATGACCGCATTTTTCAGTTAGTGACAAAAGCCAGTAATGGACGATTCTAGCTAGGGGACCCAGTGCTGCTTTACAATTGCTATCCCTACCTCTCTAAAAGGCCAGGGTGCTACCTGGCATGTAAAGATGTCAGGAGGACTGTTCCTTCATTACCCTTTGGAGTATATTAATTCTCATATTTGTCATTGACAGTTTGCATTTTAGTCAAATCTGTAAATCACTCACAAGAAGCTCATTATTTTTAATGACTTTTTTGTTAACATATTTTTATCCTGATCAATATTTGAAATAATGAGTTTAGTGTGCTAGTTGTATTTTTTTTTTCTAATGCCCATGTCAAAATGTCAAATGTTACATAGCACCTAGAATGCTCTGGAGCCTGGAGCAGCGGCACACTCTGCTAAATGCTGGACCGCATTGGATCCCAGATTCCAGCCTCCTAGCAGGGTGCCTCCAGAGGCTAACACACGTAGGCTACCTTTCAGACATGGAGATACTGTCATCTGTCTTTGCATTTATATGCATTTAATGTGCCACAGATTCAGAAAATGGGGGCTAGGAGAGATGGAGAAATTACCTACTTTTCAAAAGGCAGAGGTGCTTAATGGAAACTGCATAGGCTTTGGAATCAGGTCCGGTACACATCTTAGTGACATTAGATAAGGTGGCTCATTTGTAGAGGGGGCATATTAAGAGCCACTTTATAAAGCAGAACAAAGATTAAATGAGATAATAGACACAAAGTGCCTGATTGAGGAAAGGTATTCACAGCCCATGGCAGCCAGCATGACCTTCAGTGCAAGTCTGGATGTGATAATCACCCACGTGCAGACAGATCCAAGCCTTCGAGACGTTCATACCTGACCCAAGGATGGGTCTTGCCTCTGTCACTTGCCATCCATGTGATCTGGGGGAATGACTTAACCACCAGGGATTCTCAACTTCAGCTATACCATAGGGCTAACAATGTCTATCCATAGGACTTCTGAAAGGACCACACAAAACACACAGGGAAGCGCCCCAAGCATGCAGTAGGCCCATCATTAATGTAACTGAACTTTGAGCTGCGTGCCAGGATCAGTAGGCATCTGGGTGCTGGGAAACTGGGTTCCTTCTTTCCTTGCCTTCTGGGAATGGAGGGCAAAGCGAGGGAGTTGTGATAACATTTCTGGCTGATGGTCTCAGGGGACTGTGGCATTGATATG
Source organism: Homo sapiens (assembly GCF_000001405.40). Lineage (NCBI taxonomy): Eukaryota > Metazoa > Chordata > Mammalia > Primates > Hominidae > Homo > Homo sapiens. The sequence goes on along the minus strand of NC_000008.11, from coordinate 73,362,956 downwards.
AAATGTCCATTCTAGATTCATGATCACAGCAGTGGAGGATGGTGGGCATTTGCGGGGTCTCTTATGATGATCTAAGTTTAAGTGTAGTCAGATTTATTGTGAGTAGGAGTTGGGGAGACAAAGAACACTCAGGAAAACCAGGAAGGGTATCAGACATCCCCCCTACCTGGCTCCATTTTCCTTAACAGTTACCACGTGGCATGGGGTCCTGCCCTGCCTGTCGGATCCAGGCGTGGTGGTAGTGGACAGGGTGGGGAATGGGAGGGCTGCATCCCGGCTGAGCTCCTGCAGCTCCCACACAGTCGGCCACCCTTAGAAGATGCGCTCAGATGTGGTGCTGAGAAAATAACTCTACTTCCTGCAGAGACTTCAAAAACCCACGCCCTGTCTACTGCTGCACATTTTTGCAGCTGAAGGAGAAACTGCTGGAAATAGGAGTTTCCCTGATGTTATCACGATGATGCCGACTGTGTTCTTCTGGAGACATCGGGGAGTTGGCTCAGGAAGGGCTGGGTGGGAAGTGATGCAGCTTTGGACAAAGGCTCTGGGCTCTTCACAAAGGGAGGTAAGGTGGGGCCTCCGGGTTCCGAGTTGGCTGAACTTTCACCTGCCCTCAGTGGCAATAGTTCTAGTCCTAAGAGTAAAGGGAGAGGAGAGCAGAGATTTAGAGAAAGAGATGAGCAGAGCAGGTAAGGCCATGCAAGACCCTCTTCAAACTTGCTGTCTTCCTTCACCCTACCCATCTTCTTCCAAAAAGGTAACATCTTTGTCCTATTGATCATCTTGGTGTTTCTAATTCCCTTTCTTTAGATCTTTTTGTATCGTTCAGAGATGCCCAGAGCAGTAAAATGAGCAATGACTCCTTTGGAGAAATAGCTGATTCCTGCTGGGATAGGAAATGTCCAAGATGAGCTTTATACATGTGATTTTACCAGAAAGCAGAAAAGCTCTTAAAAACTGGTCCAGAAGCCAGCTGGAGAGTCCTACTGGCCAAAGATGGGTTCATTTTTAACATTGCAAAAGAATAATGACTGCAATATATGGAAAGGTAATAAATATAGAAATCCATGAGCTCGCGATGATAAAAAGAGACCCCTCATTGATCACCACTAGAGGTTGTTTGGGTATCAACTCATTTCTCTAAAAATTGACAGAGAACAAGCATCGATCCCATCTTTCCTGTGTGAACTATATTTCAGAGTAACTAAAGAGCCAACAAGGTAAAGGTCATTTTTATGTAAGAATTTACCCCTAATAAATGCAGAAGGAATAACAGAATTAGAAAATTATGAGTTTGCAGTCCCTAATGAAATAATGAATTCAGAAATGATCATCAGTTGATACTGATGGCATGGTGGCAGGTGCCTGTAATCCCAGCTACTTGGGAGGCTGAGGCAGGAGAATCGCCTGAACCCAGGATGCAGAAGCTGCAGTTAGCTGAGATCATGCCACTGCACTCCAGCCTGGGCAACAGAGTGAGACTGTTTCAAAAAAAAAAAACCACTCTTACATAGTATTTAACATACTTGGCCAAGGTTCAAATCCTGCTTTTGGTGCCTACCTACCCATGCATTTATATTTTTTATTATTTATTATTTATTTATTTAGAGACAGAGTCTCACTCTGTTGCCCAGGCTGTAGTGCAGTGGCAGTGCAATCTCGGCTCACTGCCACCTCCACCTCCCAGGTTCAAGTGATTTTCCTGCCTCAGCCTTCCAAATAGCTGGAACTACAGGCGCCCACCATCACGCTCAGCTAATTTTTGTATTTTTAGTAAAGACTGTGTTTCGCCATGTTGGCCAGGCTGTTCTTGAACTCCTGATCTCAGGTGATTTGCCTCCCAAAGTGCTGGGATTACAGGTGTGAGCCTCCACACCCGGCTGACAGAGAACTTTAAAGCAGGAACTACACAGCAACACCCATGAAGTATTCGTTGCACATTAAAACTTTAAAATGGAATCTATTGAAACTCCTAGATCTGCCCTATCCTATCCGGTAGCCACAGGTGGCCTTTGAACACTTGAGATGTGGCTATTCTGAACTGAGATGTGCTTTAAGTGCACAATACATACCTGATTTTGAAGAATATAAAAGAAAAAGAATATAAAATATCTCATCTATAATTTTTTATGTTAATCACACTTTGAAATGATAATATTTTGGCTATTTTACATTAAATAAGTTATTAAAATAATTTCACCTATTTTTTTAAGTTTTAAAAGAGAAAGTTTAAAATTAAATATGTGGTTCAAATTATATTTCCACTGGACAGCACTGCTCTAAATATAACTTCACAGTTTATAGAAAATACTGGTGGTAATGGAACTAGTTAACACCAAAAGGAAATAAATCCAGAATGTGGGGCAATTTACTTCCTACAACAAATAAATGGTATTAGAACAAATTGGGAAGAGGGGTGGTCTCAGAATAAAATAGATATAACAACCAAATGCAGTATTTGAATCTTGTTTGCTTCCAGAACGACTATTTATAAAAAGATACTTTTGAAACAATCTGGGAAATTTGAACATTGAGACTGGGTATTAGATCATCTTAAAGGCTTATTGTTTATTTTGTTAGAGGTAATAACAGTATTACGGCTATGTTTTTAAAGATGTGCTTATCTGTTAGGAGTGCATAGCCAAGTATTTGTGGGTGGAATCATGTGTCCTCTGGGATTTGCTTTAAAATGTTCAGAGTAGGAAGGTGTGGTGGTTGGGTAAAACCAGGCTGACTAGATGTTGATTAATATTGAAACAAGGTGATGAGGCTATGGGAGTTCATTATATTTTTCTTTCTACTTTTTACACATTGAAAAATTCTAAAATTTAATTATAAATATTTAATACATATCTATATTTATACTATATAATGCTATATTTAATAATAAAAGTATGTATTTTATATAATAAGTTATAATGAATTTCGATGCCGCCAAAGCTATTTTTTATTTTTAACACCTGGCAAAGGTAAAAGCATGATTGGTTTGTCCGGCAAAGAGTCATGAGCCCTTAGAAGGCAGAGTCCAAAGGGACTGGGGAGGCAGGCTGAAAAGACCAGTGCCCCACTCTGGCCCTGCAGTAGCAGGTCATACCTGTTTCCCATGAGATGTGCAGGCCAACCAGGGCCAGTTCAAAAACACAGGATTCCCGAGGAGGGAGAGGGTTGGCAGGGCCCATGACCATCTAAAGGCCTGAGACGCACTTACAGGTCTGCCTGGGCAGGCCAGCTCAGTGCCTGGATGGGCCTCACGGGTGGGCACTGGGTCCCAGGGCCTGGCATATTCATGGTGTACCTGGAGGTGACTAGGCCTGAAATTCACGAGAGTGGATGAATAATCCCAATTTCTGTTTGCTAATTTACTGTGAGCTGTAACTGCCAAGGATCAGATATCCATGAACAGCATGTTGTGGAGAACCAACACTGGGTGGGAGAAGAACTTAGAAAGTAGCAGCGGCTGGAATCACCGGGCTGTGATAATTCCCAGTACATCTCTCCCCACCAGAGAGAAAACTGCCCTAGTGATGGCGCAGGACTTTCTTTTTGGTAGTAAGAGGATGTGGTTAAAAATGTAGTCCTGATTTTAAAGAATATAAAATATCTTATTTAAATTTTTTACATTAATCACATTTTGAAATGATAGTAGTGTGTCCCTAATTTTATCTGTTGTGGGAGACTGTGACCGACCACTGAACCCTCCTCCTCCCTCCAGACCTTTAATCAAGTTACCCTTGAGGTAGTCCATCTCTTTAAAGTAATTCTTCATTTTTATTCTGTGTTAAGAATCAGCTCTCAGAGGGCAAAAGTATTCTTTTGGTCCCAAGTTCTGATGGTGTCTTAGTCCCATTATGCTGTTTTAAAAAAATACCACAGATTGGGTAATTTATAAACAATAAACATTGATTTCTCACGGTTCTGGAGGCTGGAAAGCGCAAGGTCAAGGTGCCAGAAGGTCTGGTGTCTGGTGAAGGCTGCTGTTTGTTTCCAAGATGGCACCTTGTTCACTGTGTCCTTACGTGGAGGAAGGTTAAAGGCCAAAAAGGAGCAGACGCAGTGTGAAGCCTCTTTATAAGGCATTAATGCCATTCATGAGGGCAGAGCACTCAACCCCACCACCAGAAGGCCCTACCTTCCGATACAGTTGCGCTGGGGATTAAGTTTCAGCATGAATTTTGGAGCGGGCACGCACATTCAAACCATAGCAGATGGGATCCCTCATGTTACACCTTCAGGGTGTAGACAAGGGACTAAAGGTGAACTTTATCTGGTTCATGATTTCCGCAGCATAATAGTCATGAATATGGGTCCTGGAGTTGCACAAGTGGGGACTGTGTTTACTCTTACCTCATCTGTTGACTAATTGTGTGATCTTGAGCAAATATCCCCTCGAAGCGTTGGGTTCTTAAAAGTATATGCCCTTGACATGATTGCAAAACACCAATCACACAGAGCATCCACTACTGCACCTGGCATCTAGTGGGTACTTGGTAAATGAGAGCACTAGCTGTTGTGTTATTATTATGGGTGCAACTTAGAGTTGGTCCTGGCTAAATAGGTTTTGCTCACAGAGGCTAAACTATATGCCAAACCTAGGAAGCTTAGATCTGCACACCCCACTTGCAGATCTAAAGCATTTCTTAAGAGAATTAAAAATGGGACCAGGGCCAGGCACGGTGGCTCATACCTGTAATCCCAGCACTTTGGGAGGCCAAGGCAGGTGGATCACTTGAGGTCAGGAGTTCAAGACCAGCCTGGCCAATAGGTGAAACCCCATCTGTACTAAAAATACAAAAATTAGTCGAGCGTGGTGGTGCACGCCTGTAGTCCCAGCTACTCAGGAGGCTGAGGTAGGAGAATCACTTGAACTCAGGAGGCAGAGGTTGCAGTGAGTTGAGATCACGCTACTGCACTCCAGCCTGGGTGATAGAGCGAGACTCCATCTTAAAAAAAAAAGCGGGGGGGGGATACCAGGTTGAGGAATATAGGCGAATCTGATAAACGAGGTGTATTTGACATGCCCACCCTGCTTGTTTCTCTGCAATTTCATGAGGCTGCAGGGGTGGGGAAATGGAAGTTGCCTTTGACCTGACCCATGGCAGCCACTCATGACACAGGGAGTTAGCCTGTGTTCCACAGGATTCACTCCTCTTCTTTTCCCCAGCAACTTGTATCCATATGAGTCCTAAGACCCTCCCCATACAGCTGCCACCTTCCTTAGTGGTGTCCTGGGAAGGATGGTATTTGATGACTTGATAATGCTCAGTGGGTTATCCTCCAAGAGATATTTGCTTTTGAGCTCAGGATAAAGCCTCAGTTAGCTCAAAATAACAAACCTATAAGGATTCCTGTCAGAATCCCTAAGTGCCTGGCACCTAGTAGGTGCTCAAGAAATACTTATTAAGTGATAAATGGAGGGGATTTCAAGCACTGTTGTGAATTCCTGAGGGGCATCCTTAGGCCTGGGGACTTTCCTGGGACCATTCCAATCACCCCACAGAGGGTGCTTTCCTGTTGCAGTTATTCAGAAGGCCCGCCCTGAGCAAGGGCTCCAAACCAGGATTTCCTTCAGGGTTGAGGCCGACTCTAGTGGCAGCTTTAGGCGCTTCCTCGCTTCACAGTGCTTTAGCGCCATTAAAGCTCTGCTTTGGAGGACTGGGGTCCCAGGGGGAGTGAGAGAAAGCTCACCACTTAAGTCATTTATACTTTGGCTGCCCAGGCCTGAAAAAATGCCCTTGGGACTGATCCTGAAGTGCGGAAGGATAAGTTAAATGGCTTAATAGATCCTGGCAGCTTCGGAAAGGACTAATGGCTCAGCATTAATTGGGTACATAGAGTGCAGATGAATCTCTGAAAAGGTATTTCAGATTTGCCCGTTCAGCTTTCACTGGCTTCAAAGCATCACATCAGTTGACTCCCAAACAATGTGGATTATTAAAGAAATATGAATACTCGATATTTGCATCGACCTTCATATTTCTGGTGCTCTTGTTTATCCCCTGAGCAACAAACTGAATACCACTATGTGGCAGGGATTGTGCAGGGGGCTAGAGATAGATGAAGTTCCTGTCCCTGTCCCCACATGCCTTTATTCTGGAAGGCAGAGGTTGGGAATTTGAAAACAATGAGACAGCTGCTGGGTTGGAGGTCGATCCCAGGAAGACACAGAGGAAGGAGGAGGCCGGGGCTCCGCCTGGGTGGTAGGTGGCAGTGGAGGCTTCCTGGGTGGGTGGGGACTGGGGCATATGCCAGGCCTCCAAGGCAGGCAAACAAAGGCTCTGGCCGAGGGAGCAGCATGTGACTCACGCAGGGGGTTGGATGGGGAGCACACATGAGCTGGAGGGAGGAGGAGGGGGCTGGGCGAGGTAGGCAGGAGTCAGATAACGAAGAGCCAATGGGCTGTCAGGGGAGCGTCTGCCTGCACTGTGATGTGACTGTGAGTCACCGCAGGACCGGAACACGGACAGGACATGTGCGGCTCTGGGCTGTAAAAAAGACACCACTGAGAGTACAGAAAACACCTGTGAGAGAGGCTGGCATCCAGGGCGGGAAACCTCTTTTGAGGGCGTGAACCAGGATGTGAAGCAGCATTTGAATTCTTGCTGCTCTCTTCTGGAGCAGTGGGATATTGGGCAGTTCACTTAACCTCTCTGAGCTCCTTCCTCAAGGTGAGGAGAAAATGAAAAGATGTCTGAAAAAGAATATCTCAGGCACTTTGGTTGTAAGTGACACAGAGAAAACCATCTTTTATTTTTATTTATTTATTTATTTATTTTTTGAGACAGAGTCTCACTCTATCCCCCAGGTTGGATTGCAGTGGTGCCATCTTGGCTCACTGCAACCTCCACCTCCCTGGTTCAAGTGATTCTCCTGCCTCAGCCTCCTGAGTAGCTGGGACCACAGGTGCACCACCTTCACCCTTGGCTAATTTTTGTATTTTTAGTAGAGATGGGGTTTCTCCATGTTGGCGAGGCTGGTCTCAAACTCCTGAACTCAAGTGATCTGCCCACGTCAGCCTCCCAAAGTGCTGGGATTACAGGTGTGAGCCACTGCGTCTGGCCCAGAAAACCATTTTGAACCAGCTCAGTCAAAAGGAAGAATTTATGGGTAATCTCCTATTGCCCTGGAAGAGGCAGCGGTATGGAGGCCCTCAGGGTGGCAGAAACAGCTGCTGCAGGAGGCTCTCTCTCCATCCTTCACACTCCTGCTGCCCTCTGAGCACTGGTGCCATATTCCTCCCTGGAAACATGGCCAGCTACTGTTCACACGCCACAGATCACAGAGCTTCAGCACTTTCTGTAGTCTCTTTCTGTAGTTTCTGGTGGACAAATCCTGGAAAGAACTTTGATTGGCCAGGTTGGGGCTGGGTACTCTTCCATTGACCGGTCAGTTTGGACAGTGGGCAAAAATTATCATGACTGACCCAACTCAAGCCTTGTGGCCCCACTTCAGTCAATTAAATATGACCAGGGGAGCCACAGTTTAGAAACTGTGATGGCTCCCACTGAGAACACAGGATTGCAGTGTGGGAAAGAGTATTTCCTAAAGGTATGGGTGCTACGGGGTTGCTACGGGCTGAATGTTTGTAGGCCCCTAAGTTTGATACATTGAAGCCCTAAATCCCAAAGTGCTGGTGTTAGGAGTTGGTGCCTTTGGTGGTGATTAGGATTCGATGAGATCTTGGCTGGTATCCTCAAAATGGGATTTGCACCTTTTTAAGAAGAGGAAGACAGAGATTTCCTCACATACACCAATGAAAGGTCATAAGAGAACACAGTGAAAAGTCATCTATAAACCAGAAAGAGGATCTTCCAAGAACCAAATCTGCCAGTACCTTGATCTTGGACCTCCCAGCTCCAGAATTGGGAAATGAACATCCGTTGTTTAAGCCACCCAGTCTATGGTATTTTTATAGTAGCTCAAGCTAAGACAGAGGTGCAATCCCAGAAAATGAGAGATGCTGGGTAGATAAAACTGGATCAGCATTACAAAACACTTTGTAGATGTAAAACATTATACAAATATTAGATATTGAAGATATTGTTCCCTCTTTGAGAGTGGTACTTCTTTGGATCCATCTCTCTAGTTTCGGTGTGTAGAATAGTTACTGACACATAGTAGGGACTTTGTAACACACGGTACTGAGTTAGTGAATGCCACAGATTGAATTAGTGGATAGTCAGTGGACAGCATAACAGGCAGAGGAGTCCAACTTTATTAGAGATTAGGTTCTAAAGTCCACACAGGCTGGGCACAGTGGCTCACGTCTGTAATCCCAACACTTTGGGAGGCTGAGGCAGGAGGATTGCTTGAGCCGAGGAGTTCAAGATCAGCCTGAGGAACATAGCAAGACTCTGTATCTATTAAAAAAAAATGTGAAAATTATTTTAAAATTAGCCGAGTATGGTGGTGCACACCTGAAAAGTTCCAGCTGCTAGAGAGGCTGAGGCAGGAGGATTGCTTGAGCCTAGGAGGTCAAGGCTGCAGTGAGCCATGATAGTGCCACTGCACTCCAGCCTGGGCAACAGAGCAAGACCCTGTCTCAAAATAATAAATAAATAAGATGTGGAAATCACATGTAATCAACATAACCCTTGAAAATTCCCTAGAGAGGTGACCATGTTGAAAAACACATACCATCACTCAGTAAGTTTGATAGAACCATTTTTTCCTCCAAATTGGAACACATTGATGTTTCCTGTGGTCAAACACCAGAGGAAGCCGTTGGCTTTTATTTAAGCATGATGTTTTATAAGAAAATACATTAACAGCTGAATCTCATTTAGCATGGGGAGATGCTCAGGAGGAAACAGCAGATTCACTTCTCCCATCTCAGGCTCTCTCTGGACTGGGCTCATTGAGTCGAATGGCAGGTGGACTTCCTTGCGTTCAGTTTCATATTCTCTTGTTTACTTATTTGTACAGTGTATGGTGCTCATCTTCTAGAATGTGCATACATTGAGTTAGGAGGCCCATCTGTCCTGGTCACTACAGACTCTCCAATGCCTATCATGGTGCCTGGCATAGCAGGCTCTCAATAACCACATATCAAAGGAATGATCTACTGCACAAGGCACCATACTTGGTACTGAAGAGGTGGGATGAGATTTGTGAAACTAGCCTTTCCTCGGGGCATGGCCAGCCTAATAATAAGGGAGGTAAAATATGAAATGCCTGAAGAGACATGCAATGACAATAGCACCCAGCTGGAAGTGTCAGTAAATAACAGAAGAAAAAGTTCTGGTGGACTGTCAGATAAAGTAGGACCTACTTCTAGGGACCATCCTGACTTTTGCTTGAACTCCCTCCTGTTTGCTTCTCCATTCATCCAGAGACGTTTTTGCTTTTCTGTAGCCTGGGCCACGCTCAAGCCCAAGTGTTTACTTCAAATATGTGCTGGTGCCTGGAGCTAGCTGCTTTGTGACCCATTTGCTCAGGGATGTGCCTCAGTAAGGAGGCATGACAATTAGGTCTGGACTTGGTGACCCCTTGGGGGAAAGGGTCTTACATTCCTCCTCCCCACTGCCCGTTTACCACTGCTTTGTGGAGTAGGACTTCAGTCAGGCTGTCCCAGCTCTCACCTGAGTGTCCTAATTCCACAGCAGAGCTACTGAGGACGGTCACCACCTTTGTCCTCATGAACCTGCCCATCTGAGGAGCAGTTTCTTCCTCTTCTGCTCTTGCAGGCAAGAGAAAAAAAGGCCACCCACCCTGTCTGACCTGCTCTGGTCTGGGAAGAGTTTCTCTGCTAGTGGCTTTAGACTCATGTCCTGATGGGGATCATGTAACTGGAATCTCCGGTCATGGCCAATGTGGACAGGTAGTCAGTGCATGAAGGGAGGCAGCTAACTCATTCACCTGACTGCCAGGTCATGGATAGTTCACATGGAATATAAAATTTATTTTGTTTTACTGAGGAAAAGTTAAAGCATGCATACATAACCACCATACGTAGCAGACATTCCTCCAGACTTTTGAAAATTCTCTATGTATTTATCAATATACATGCATCTTAGTCCATTTTGGTTGCTATAACAAAACTACTATGGCTTATAAACAACTGAAATTTATTTCTCACAGTTCTGGAAGCTGGAAAGCCCAAGATCAAGGTGCCGACAAATTCACTGTCTGGCGAGAGCCCTGTTTCCACACAGACTGTTGTAACCTCACATGGCAGAAAAGGCAAAAAATCTCTCTGGCGTCACTTTTATAAGGACACTAATCCTATTCATGAGGGTTCTACCCATATGACCTAATCACCTTCCAAGGCCCCACATCCTCATATCATCACATTGGAGGTTAGGATTTCAACATATGAATTTTGAAGGTATGCAAACATTCAGCCTATAACAACACACAAATACAAGAATGGGATTATATGATAATTTTGTCACCTGATTTTTTTCACTTTTACTATATCATAAACATCTTTCAATGTCAAAAATACAGAATTGTCACTTTTTTTTATGTCTACATAATATTCTATTGCGTGGGTGTACCATAATTTATTTAATAGCAGCCTATCATTAACCAGTTAGTTGTTTACCATTTATTATTATTATTATAGGCAATGCTGCAATAAAATCTTGTACATACTAGCATACATTTGTTTGACAATTTTCTTTTTTTTTTTAAGACAGGGTCTCACTCTGTTGCCTAGTCTGGAGTGCTCACTGCAGCCTTGAACTTTTGGGCTCAAGTGATTCTTCTGCCTCAGCTTCCAGAGTAGCTGTAAGTACAAGTGCATGCCACCACATATGGCTAATTATTTTTATTTTTTGTAGAGACAGGGGTCATCCTATGTTGCCCAGGCTGGTCTTAAAGTCCTGGCTTCAAGTGATCCTCCCAAAGTGTTATGATTACAGTGCCAGGACTTGATAACTTCCTTAAGAGAATTTCCTGGAAGATTATCGAATTGAAGGGTATGCACATTTTAATATTGCATCAATTTACATTTTTTTATTCACTTAAAAAAAAAAAAAGAGATGGGGGTCTCTCTATTTTGCCCAGGCTGGTCTCGAACTCCTGGGCTCAAGCAATTCTCCCATCTCAGCCTCCTAAGTAGCTGGAACTACAGGTGCATGCCACTGGGCCCAGCTATAATCTACATCTTGCCAACGATGGACAGGAGAACCACCAATGGGGTACACACATTCTTTTTTGTCTTTAGTACTCTGAGCTCTTGTATCTTTTTCTAAGTGTCATTTTTGACTTCTATTAAGTTTTTTCATATGTTTAAGGTCCCTAGATTTCTTTTTTGGGTATTGCCTATTTGTGGATGATATTTTTTAATGTAAAACAAAATGACTCGAATTTACGAGGTCAGACTGTTTGAAGCATGTCAGTTTTATTCATTTCCATTTTCTCTTTTCTGTTTTTTCTCACTTTCTGAACATGACCTGTGTCATTTTCCCTCCGTTGCACCTATTTAGCCTGGTCTGGGCCCCTGGCCTGTCCCTGCCATAGCCCAAGGCCAGGATGATCCTCCCCTCCACACCCCCGATTGCCTCAGACACTCCTCAGGATAGGATTTGATTCATATTTCAACCTTATAAACAGTGGCCGAGAACCTCAGTGAGCTAGGGACTAGGCTGAATACTGAAGTGGTTAAAAATGAATAAAACAGCTGGGTGTGGTGGCTCATGCCTTTAATTCCAGCACTTTGGGAGGCTGAGGCAGGCAGATAATTTGAGCCTAGGAGTTGAAGACCAGCCTAGGTGACATGGCAAAACCTTGTCTTTCCAAATAAACAAAAAAATTAGCTGTGCGTGGTGGCGGCGCGTGCTGTAGTCCTAGTTACTCAGGAGGCTGAGGTGGGAGAATCACTTAAGCCCATGAAGCAGACGTTAGAGTGAGCCGAGATTGTGCCACTGCACTCCAGCCTGGGCAACAGAGTGACACCTCGTCTAAAAAAAAAAAAAAAAAAAAAAAAAAAGAATAAAACACAATCGTTCTCAGGAGCTGAGCATCTAGTAGGAGATTCAGACACGCCCCTCGTCACCAATGCTCTCAGATGTCCTCTAATAGAAGTGAGATGGGAATGGAGGAGGAGATAGGAATTTCAACTCTTGGATCTCAGATGATTTCTTTAAAAAAAAGTAGAGATGGCTGGGCATGGTCGCTCACGCCTGTAATCCCAGCACTTTTGAGAGGTTGAGGCGGGCAGATCACGAGGTCAGGAGATCAAGACCATCCTGACCAACATGGTGAAACCCCGTCTCTACTAAAATACAAAAAGTAGCTGGGTAGGCCTGGCGTGGTGGCTCACGCCTGTAATCCCAGCACTTTGGGAGGCCGAGGCGGGCGGATCACGAGGTCAGGAGATCGAGACCATCCTGGCTAACACGGTGAAACCCTGTCTCTACTAAAAATTCAAAAAATTAGCCGGGAGAGGTGGCGGGCGCCTGTAGTCCCAGCTACTCAGGAGGCTGAGGCAGGAGAATGGCGTGAACCCCGGGGGGCGGAGCCTGCAGTGAGCCGAGATCGCGCCACTGCACTCCAGCCTGGGCGACAGCGAGACTCCGTCTCAAAAAAAAAAAAAAAAAAAAAAAAAAAAAAAAAAAAAAAAAAAAATTTAGCCGGGTGTGGTGACACATGCCTGTAGTCCCAGTTACTTGGGAGGCTGAGGCAGGGGAATTGCTTGAACCTGGGAGGCGGAGGTTGCAGTAAGCCAAGTTCGTGCCACTGCACTCTAGCCTGGGCGACAGAGTGAGACTCTGTCTCAAAAAAAAAAAAAAAAAAAAAAAAAAAAAATTAGAGATTTGAGGGGAAAAGGTATTTCAGGCAGCACAAACAGTGTAACATTAAGAGCAACTGCTGATTAAATAATTGTCATGTGCCAGGTTAATTGGTGTTGTTGCTAATTCTGCCAACAGAGCTACACATGGTAATTTCTATTCTCATTCTTCTACAGCTGAGGAAAGGAAGGCTTAGAGAGGCTGAACAACTAGCCCAAGACTGCTAACTAGTGCCACAATGGAGGTTTGAACCCAGGTCTGGCAAAATAAAAGCGTGTGTTTCGTGCTCATCCAATTACTGCTTGAACGAAAGTTGGAGGGCAGAGAGTGTGCAGGGTACAGGATTCTTTGGAGATCAGGACTGCAGAGGGCTGTGAATGAGGTGGAAGCACCTGTTGTCTCTTACTAGTGTCTATTGTCCCTTCTGTCCTGCAAGTCTCAGTTCAGGTATCACCTCCTCCAGGAAGCCTTCCCCGACTTCCTCAGTTTTTCTGGATGACTATCCTCCGCCACCACCATTCAGGTGTAACCCTGTGCCTTCCTTTCCCGTGGAGTTATTCACTGTCTATTAATTGTCTACTCATCTCTTTCTGCCCACTGGACAGTAAGCTCTTTGAGGGTGGAGCCACATCTGATCATCTTTGCATTCCTACTTTGTGAGTGAAAGAATGAAGGAGTGAATGGGGCACTGGGTGTGGAGAAGAGGGAATGGATAGGTTCCAGGCAGCCTGGCAGGATCTGGCAACAGGCAACGGCAGGGGCAGGGTGGAAAGAAAGCTCTGAGGGTTCAGCCTGCCCTGAGAAGAGGGATGCAGGGAGAGAAGCAGGGTGGTGGGAGGGTCAGGGATCCATAATAAAGGTCATGGGGTCCTGAGGATAAACACCTTGGGTCTGGTTGCAGGCTGTCTGGGTTCATTTCCAGTTCTGCCACCTGACTCCCTTAGGACTTCTGGGAACTTTAAGACTGTGTCTCAGTTTTCCTCATTGGTAAAACGGGCCTATTAATCATACCAGCTCACAGGTTGTCATGAGGATTAAGCTGAGCTCATGTGTGCCCAGAGCTAGCATCACTTTCCTGCTTTTTCTCTGGGCATCTCCCGGTTTCCCAAGGCTCTGCTTCCCATGCAGGGTGTAGGCAGCGTTGGGGTGCTACTGCGGGGAGCTTGAACTGGTGCAGCCCAAGGCTGAGATGTCTTTGGTAAGGGATCTGTAGCAGTTTTGTTTTTTGTTTAAGGCAGTGGGCTCTGAGGTCACAGGACCAGGGACAAGTCCCAGCTCCAAACTTACTAGCCGTGGAATCCTGAATTTGTTACCTAACCACTCTGACCTTCAGATTCAGAGGATAACAAAACAGGGATAATAATAGCACATGCCTCGTCAGGTTGTTGGTGAGTGTTAATTAAGATAGTAGATGGCTTCTTCTTAGAATAACTTCAAATTTCTCATGGTAGCCTGGTGAGTCTCCATGTACTCTGACCTTAGATGGCCGCCCACCTGCCCCCGGCTACCCCCTGTCCTCCTCTCAGGCCCCTAGGACTCTGCTATTCCTGCAAACTTATTGTCATCTCAGAGCTCGCGCCTTGGAGCTGTTCTTGCCCAGGTCGTTGCAAATCTTTCTCCCTCACATCATTCAGGTCTTTGTTCAATGTTACCTCCTCAGAGTGGCCTCCAGGATCTCCCTTGTAAACTAGCTTCCTCCTGCCCTCCTATCCCCTCCCTACCCGCTTACCTTGCATTCTGGATGAGCCCTTCCATGCACATGATGTGCTATTCACAACTATTTGTGTATCGTTTCTCCCTTCTGGAATGTAAGCTTCCCGAGCACAGGCACCTGGTCTGTCTCCTTCACTGGTGTGACCCAGTGTCTGAAAAAGCAACTGGCACATATGAGGTCTCAATAATATTTATGAAATGAGTGTGTGAATAAACGAACTGCTTAGCACACACCTGACACACAGTCGGTACCCACTAAACGGTGGCGGTTGAGACTCTTAACATTATCATATCACCACGGCAAAGCAGAGTCATTTGGGTTGGAGCATGAGCTCCAGAGCACGGTGCCTATGTTCGAGTCCCAGTTCTGCCCTTTTCTACCTGCACAGTCCATGGCACAGCCTCTAGGCCTGGCCTTTGTGGTGTTGCAAGAGTCAGTGGGTGAATCCTCGTGAAGTCCATGCATCAGGGCCCAGGCAGAGGAAACCCTGCACGTGTCAGAGTTGGCTGATGGCACTTGTGGACTATACCAAGGCACACTCAGTAAAAGTGCTCGAGTTTTCAAAAGAGCAGATAACAAAATAACATTTCTACTCTCTTCTGCCACTTCTGTCTTGTTTTTAGCTTAAAAAACAAAACAAAACAAAACAAAGAGGCCAGGCACAGTGGCTCATGCCTATAATCCTAGCACTTTGGGAGGCCGAGGTGGGAGACTGCTTGAGGCCAAGAGTTCAAGACCAACCTGGTCAACATAGTGAGACCCTGTCTCTATTTTTTTAATTTTATCACAAAAAATTTTTTAAAATAAAAATTAAAAACCAGGCTGGGCATGGTGGCTCACAGCTATTATCCCAGCACTTTGGGATGCCGAGGCAGGAGAACTGCTTGAGCCCAGGAGTTTGAGACCAGCCTAAGCAACATAGCGAGACCTGTCTCTACAAAAAAATGTTTTAAAAATTAGCCAGGTGTGGTGGTGCTTGCTTGTGGTTCTATTATAGCTACTTGGGGGGCTGAGGCAAGAGGATCACTTGAGCCGGGGAGGTCAAGCTTGCCATGATCTGTGATTGTGCCACTGCACCCCCAGCTTGAGTCACAAAGCAAGACTCTGACTCAAATAAACAAACAAATAAATAAGTTTTTAAAATCAGGGCAAAATTTACATAACATAAAATAAACCTTTTTCAAGTGTACAGTTCAGTGGCATTGAGTACATTCACAATATTGTGCAACTCCACTTGTATCTAGTTCGAAAACCTTTCCTCACTCCAAAAGGAAACCCCACGCCTATTAACTACCTGTTAAGTAGCCAATCCCCAGTCTCCCTTCCCCCAGCCCCTGGAAATCCAGTCATCTATTTTCTGTCTCTATAGAGTTACCTATTCTGGCTATTTCATATAAATGGGATTATACAAATACGTGACCATTTGTGTCTGGCATTTTTCACTTAGCATAATGCTTTCAAGGTTCGTCTGCATTGTAGCATGCGTCAATACTTTTTCTTTTTAGGGCTAAGTCATTTTCCATGGTAGGTGGACACCGTATCTTGTTTATTCATTTATCCTTTGATGGAACATTTGGGTTGTTTCCACTTTGGGACGGTCACAGAAATGCTGCTGTGAACATTTGCATACAAAGTTTTGCTGGAATACCTGTTTTCAGTTCTTTTGGGTATATCTCTAGGAGTGGAATTGCTGAGTCATATGGTAACTCTATATTTAACTTTTTGAGGCACTGGCAGACTGTTTTTCCGTGTGGCTGCACCATTTTACATTCCCACCAGCAACGTATGAGGGTTCCAATTTCTCCACATCCTGACCAACATTTGTTATTTTCTGGTTTTATGATTCTAACCATCCTCGTGGGTGTGAAGACGTAGCTCATTGTGGTTTTGATGTTTATTTCTCTGATGACTAATGATGTTAAGCATCTTTTCATATACTGTGTGTTGTTGAACCAGGGGCAGGACTTAGTTTGATGGCCTTGTCTGAGGTTGTACAGTACAGGGAAATGTATTTGGAGAGTTCCATGTTTCCTCCCTGGTTTTCCCTTCATACCAGGGCGTGGGATTGGCTTCCTGGGTCCTATTTTACCTCCAAGTGGGCCCAGGAATTGGAGACCGCCCCGGTCTGTTATACAGGGACAGTGGTACCTGGCTCAGAGGGATAGCACATGAGATATGGGAGTAACTAAGGGAACAGACTGAAACCAGACTACTGGCATCCCAGTCCTGGCTCTACCTTATCTAACTATGACCTTGGGCTACATGAGTCAATGTCTCTGCCTCAGTTTCATGTCTGTAACTGAGTTTAATAATAGTAACTGCCTCGCAGGGTTGTCATGAAGATTAGATGAGTTAATATCTAAAAGCCAACACTCAGTCAGGGTCGGCTATCATTATCCCCAGCATTTCGTATTTCAGCTTCGGATGGACATGGGCTATCAAGTTCATGTTTGTTCTTCTGCCCAAAAGCCTCCTCGGAGTTCTTTATGGACCGTCTTCCATTTGAACTACATAGGAACTCTCTTATCTGCTATTTGTCTGTACCAATCTTCAAAGCAAAAAGAGCATGGTCTCATTTAATAGCTCATCTTGTGTCCAAGCAAGACTTTGATAAAACCTTTTAAAAACTGTGCACCTCTGATCATCAGACATAGGCCTGGAACGCAGAATGGGAGAAGTCAAATATGAAAGGCCAGTGTAACCCCCCAGACCACAGCTGCCTGGGCACTGCAGGACAGAGGGGAAAATCTGTTTCTTCCTCCAGCACAGGCCTCCCTGCCTTATCTCTGAATCCCACCCCAGTCCCTTCAGCATGCGGCTTAGCCAACCTAATCCAAACATCCCAGGAACCTCTTCTAGAGAAATGTGCCATGAGCCTCTCCTAAGGATGGCTTCCTCTGCCGCATCCGTGATTCCTTCAGCTCCCTTGATTCCTCACACCCTCATTTCAGGCCTCAAAATTCTTAGGCATGTGTTAGGGGTGGGAGGAGGGAGAGGATCAGGAAGAATAGTGGACGCTGGGCTTAATACCTGGGTGGTGGGATGATCTGTGCAGCTAATCGCCAAGGCACACATTTATCTATGTAACAAATCTGCACCTCCTGCATACGTACCCCCGAACTTAAAAGCTGCAAAAAAAAACTTAGGCAGGAAAATTCTTACTTTGTAGGAAGAGAAGAAAATCACTTTGAACTACTTTATCCCTTTTGTAGCCTTTTTTTCCTGACTACAGCGAGCAACAGCTGTTTGAGATGGTGGAGCACATTCTTGCTGGTGAAAGGAAGCAAGGTACTGAATGGAGTGGGAGATGGAGGGCGGGGGGAGTTGCCCATGGCTGTGTCACCAGGTCTGGTCTAAAAAAGTGTCTGGGTGCCCTTCATGCTCACAGCAGAGTAGGTTAACCACCTAGGGATCCCTTTCAGCCAGCTCCTGGAGCTAGGCAGGCCGTGAAAGCAAGGGCTCTGGTCCAAATCCCGGCTACCTACTTGTAGCTTTGTCCTTGTTTGTAATAGTGGGGTCTAATGAACTCACTGGCCTTTAATCTGACTTTTCCAATGATTGACCCGAGAGAGTCTAGTCCACACTCTCAGTTCCACAGATACGTGTAGAAATCCATCCTGAAAACCCAGACCCAACACAGGAAGATTCCTGGGCACTTCCAGGGCAGGCTGAAGACACACATAGGCTCCCTACTCTCCTCTGAGGAGTTCCAGAGCTGCCTCCCAGTATGTGCTACGGAATCTACCAGGTTCCAGTGTGGCAAATTAGGGGTGCAGGTCTGCAGTGACTGGAAACTCAATTTTCCCACAGCTTCAAATCCAAGTTCCTCTACGAGGATTCACCTCTAATCTACCTACTTATCGATTTAAACTAGTGGATCATTCAGCCTGCTAGTCACTGCACTCCTCGTGTTATCTCTCAAGAATTACAGTGGCTCACGCCTGTAATCCCAGCATTTTGGGAGGCCAAGGTGGGTGGATCACTTTAGGCCAGGAGTTTGAGACCAGCCTGACCATCATGGTGAAACCCCATCTCTACTAAAAATACAAAAATTAGCCAAGCGTGGTGGCATTCACCTGTAGCCTCAGCTGTTTGGGAGGCTGAGGCATGAGAATCACTTGAACCCAGGAAGTGGAGGCCGCAGTGAGCCAACATCACGCCACTGCACTCCAGCCTGGGTGACAGAATGAGACTCCAACTCAAAAAAAAAAAAAAAAGAATTACCAATAAGAGGTTGCAGGCTGAGCTGGGGCAAATTGATGCCATCACCTGGGGTGGGGACTTCGGGGAAGCCTGAAAGCCTCAGGGAGGGAAAGGGAGGAGGTGATGCTCCAGCTCCTATACATGGCATTGGCCTCAAACTCCGACACAAATGCTTGCAGCCTCCAAATCTGTGCACATCTCCTTTGTACTCCTGTGACATGCTGCTCTTCCCTCATCTTCTCTTTGTAGAGGTACAAAGAATCCCACCCCATGTGATTGGGCCTTGGGAGGATCCTTTGGACAGGTTGGCAAGAGGGAAGCACAAATGCGCCTGTGCATGTGTGAGTAGGGACCCATCCATGGACTCTAAAGAAGCAAAGGAATATGTCCCTGTGTCTTCATATCTGTGATCAGCTGTGAGGGGACTCTTCTGTTGGATAAACTCAGGGCTGGGGGCTGGAGGGACTACTCCTCAAAGTTCCTCAAATATGGCTGCTATGCTCCTGCCTCAGGGCCTTTGCACTGGCGGTTTCCTTTGCTTAGAACACTCTCCCCCAGACTTCTCTGTGGCTCACACTGTCACCTCACGCAAGCCTTTGCTTTGAAATTACCTTTTCAGTGACACCCATTCCATCCCCTGACCCTGCTGTATTTCCCTCCAAGTCATGTAACATCTTCTATAATTGTCTTATTTCTTGTGTTTGCTGCCCTTCTCCATCTACTACAGCATAGTTCCCTGGGGACTTGATTTGTCACCACTGTACCCCCAGTGCCTGAGATGGTGCCTAACCATTTATCTCATAGTAGACTTTCATTAAATATTTGCTAGATGAACTAATAAGTGAATGAATGACTTGTAAGGTATCCATTAGCTTTAAGAAGCTGTAATTTTGGGTCATGAATCTGAGGGCTCAGGTCTGAGTTCCAGCTTTGTCACTTGAAAACCAGGTTACCTGAAGAAAGTTAGCTGAAAGTGTGGGAGTCTCAGTTTTCCCATCTGTGGAGTGGGGTTAATAATAGATCATATTTATTTTGCGTTTGCTGTGTTCCAGGCACTTACCAAGCGCATCGCCTGAGCTTAACTCAGTTGTAGTGAGGCAACCTGTTATTAGGTGTCTCCTGATGTGATTCAATATTCAGTACACACCATTACTTAGGAAGTATTCTTGCCAAAAATATTTAACCTGAACCTAAACAAGCCTTTTGTTAGTTTACAAGAAAACCAGAAACAGAGAAACATGTTAAAACAATGCTATGAAGGAAAAGCTGACAAATTCAGAATTTAGGACATTTTTCATGACAACTGTCCTAGCCACTGAACACACATTAGTTTCAGAAAAATAATTATAAAGGTGAAAGCTTGTTTTAGATTAAAACGATATAAAGATACATGTGATGCATAATGATTTGCTTGGAATGTTGTTAGAAAAAATCATCTGAGTAGGCAGAAACTAGAAACAATAATAATATAGATAACCAGCTGAATGGATCTATAAACATGTATATAATATAATGAAATATTATACAGCTATAAAGCAGAATGTACTATATGACATAAATGTATCTCAAAAACATAACATGAATTAAATAAACCAGACTCAAAAGAAGAAGAAACCCATCATTTGGACATGTCTGAATTGGAACTGGGATTTAGATGACAATAGGAAATTGTTAGCATTGTCAGGTGTGATGTAACATTATGATTATAAAATAAAACATCCAGGAGATTTATACTAAAGCACTTTGAGATAAAATGTCATGAGATAACCTGAGGTAAGGAGTTCGAGACCAGCCTGGTCAACATGGTGAAACCCCGTCTCTACTAAAAATACAAAAATTATCTGGGTATGGTGGCGCACGCCTACAGTCCCAGCTACTCGGGGGGGCTGAGGCAGGAGAATTGCTTGAACCTAAGAGGCCGAGGTTGCCGTGAGCCGAGATCGCACCATTGCACTCCAGCCTGGATGACGGAATGAGACTCCATCTAAAAAAAAAAAAAAAAAAAGTCATAATATCTGCCAATGATTGAAATAGTTCTATATGTAGATAGATAGATGATAGATAGATAGATAGATAGATAGATAGATAGATAGATAGATAGATAGACAGACCGATAGATCTAGTTAGAAGTAAATAAACCACTGTGACAAAAAGTTTGCCACTGTTGAATCTGGGTGGTGGATAAATGGATGTTCATTGTACTATGTTTTCAAGATTTTGCATATTTGGAAATATTCATAAGAAGGTGGGGAAAAAAATCCAGGGAGTTTCTGTGCCTGTGCACTGCAGGGATTATGGACAGGAACACCTGCCCTTGATGTCAGCTTGTCCCCAGGTGTCCCTCTTTCTCACATGCATGCCCCCTCAGCAGCTCCTGTGCCACTTCTGTAAGGTGCTGTGGGCACCACAAGTTGATTGTTTAAATCTCCTTGAGGGGAGCTTTGTGTGTGAAAGGAGAGATTCTATTTGTAGTTATTTTTCAAAAATTATATTCAATTTATTTAATACATTGAAAAGAACTCTCATTTTCTATAAGCTTTTCATGTCAACGGACAACTCTCATTATTTTATTTATAAATCTAATAAATTTTAACAATCACTTTTAAGGGGGCTTTTTACATCTTAGTTAATTAAATCCCCTTATATATTTTAAACTGGACTTATAAATTTAGTATATTTGAATTCATTTACAAACACTCAAAATCCCTAACGATCAGAACATTCCCAAACACTTAAACAATTCTAGTAAGTATAATAAATTAAACTTTAAAATACAGTGCATCTCAAGTTCTCATGAACATTCCAATATTGTTTACAAACCTAGTAAAATCACAAATCTAAACAATTACTCAATAACACTTTTAAAATTGGAATCATGAGGCTAATATATTAGATTATTTAATGCCACTCCTCTTAAACATTACAAACCCTCAAAATGCCTAATATAAACAGATTGTTGCTAAACCTAACAGAAAAGCATTAATACTCAATCTGAACCCTTCCCAAGGTCAACAGAGACTCATAGAGGAAACATTCAACAACTTGAACAGTAAGCAAGTTGCAGTTTCCGTCTCAGTGGACTGAGGTGATACAGCAGATTTTGCTGTGGACCAAGATCCAGTTTTCCTCATAACACTCACAGGCAAGTTGAACAATCATAACGGAACTCCTTGCCTGCAGAGAGGGGCTGGAGTCTCTAGAGTTCACGTGATTCTATTGCCTAAGTCTCCCACCCGGTTTGAGTTTCTAACTCCTTATATCTAGGTTGCTTTGCATTATTTATTGCCTGATTCTGTTCAGAATTCCCTGCAAGTGTATCCCATCCCCATATATCCTTCCTGTCTAATGGGACGACAACTCTCAGCTATTTAATGACACCCAGTTGGATTCTGCACTTCTCTAGTGGCTTTGTCTAGCTCCACACTCAGAACACAAATCATGCTGGAGAACTGACTGGGGGCCCAGGAGCTGTTTACCGCCTCTGTGTCCTCTAAGGCAGCAGGTAGCCCAAACAGTGTCCCTGGGAGAGGGGTATGGGTCTCTTCTATGCTCAAATTCCAAATAATTGCCTTGGTTATTGCCACTTCCCCAGGGCTCTGCACAGGGCAAGGGCAGGGGCAGGGGTTCTTTATTTAGAGACCACAAAATCCATAGTTTTTTTTGACTACTCCTCTCTGAGTTTCTTCTCTTCATCTGCTAGCCCTGTGTGTATTTGAATATTTTCACAGTGTCAGGGGTGAGTGGGATCACTTCATCTTCCTTAAACCCCCTGAACCCAAGAAATTTGTCTGTGTGTCCCCTTTCTCTAAGGAGTCAAGTTCTCAGGATTTAGAAAGCAAACACCAGGAAGAGATTCGTTTCTCTTTCTTTCCTTCCTTTCTTCATCTCTTCCTTTATTTTCTCTCTCTTTCTTCCTCTCCTTCCTTTCTTCATCTCTTCCTTTATTTTCTTTCTCTCTCTTTCTTCCTCTCCTTCCTTCCTTCCTTGTCTTCTCTTACTTCCTCTCTCTCTCTCTTCTTCCTCTTTCTCTCTCTTCTTCCTCTCCCTTCCTTTTCCCTTCTTTTTATCTTTTTACTTCTAGAAAACTATGAAGTATTTCAAGCATGCAAGAAAGAATAAAGGATAATATAAAGAAAACCCAATTATCCATCACCCAGTCTGTTTGAGCTTAGCATTTTGCCATATTTGCTTTTGCTATATATACTTTAAAAAGGAAACACAAAGCATTATACGGCGGAAGCCCTGTATACTTGTCTCTCATCTGATCTTATTCTTTTTCCTCTAAGGAGATAAGCACTACCTGAAACTTGGTGCTTAGCATTTTGGGTATGCTTTTCTACTCTTATTTAATATGTGCATCCATAAATCAACATAAAATAGTTTTGCATCTTTTTTTTTTTTTTGAGACAGTCTTGCTGTGTCGCCCGGGCTGGAGTGCAGTGGTGCCATCTTGGCTCACTGCAACCTCTGCCTCCTGGCTTCAAGCAATTCTCGTGCCTCAGTCTCCCAAGTAGCTGGAATTACAGGCAGGTGCCACCACGCCCTATTAATTTTTATTTATTTATTTTTATTTTATTTTTTTGAGACGGAGTTTCGCTCTTGTTGCCCAGGCTGGCGTGCAATGGCGCAATCTTGGCTCATTGCAACCTCTGCCTCCCGGGTTCAAGCGATTCTCCTGCCTCAGCCTCCAGAGTAGCTGGGATTACAGGCATGTGCCACCATGCCCAGCTAATTTTGTATTTTTAGTAGAGACAGGGTTTCTCCATGTTGGTCAGGCTGGTCTCAAATTCCCGACCTCAGGTGATCCGCCTGCCTTGGTCTCCCAAAGTGCTGGGATTACAGGCATGAGCCACTGTACCTGGCCAGTTTTGCATCTTTTAAACTGTAAATACATGGCATTGTATAATGTGTCCTTCTGCAGTTTACTTTTTGTATCCAATAATAGGTTTTGTAAAACAACAACAGTACCTTTTTTTTTTTTTTTTTTTTTTTGAGACAGAGTCTCGCTCTTTCTCCCAGGCCGGATTGCAGTGGCGCCATCTCGGCTAGCTGCAAGCTCCACCTCCTGGGTTCACGCCATTCTCCTGCTTCAGCCTCCCGAGTAGCTGGGACTACAGGCGCCCGCCACCGCGCCCAGCTGATTTTTTGTATTTTTAGTAGAGAAGGGGTTTCACCATGTTAGCCAGGATGGTCTCAATCTCCTGACCTCGTGATCTGCCCGTTTCGGCCTCCCAAAGTGCTGGGATTACAGGCGTGAGACACTGCGCCCGGCACAACAGTACCTTTTGAGGTGTATCCATGTTGGTGCATATAACAATAATTCAATCCTTTTTTCATTGTTTCGTAACAATTAATTGAATGAACATATCACAATGTATTCATTCTCCTGTTAATAGACATTTAGGTTGTTTCAATTTATTTATGCAAAGATGCTACAATGACATTCTTGCTGACATCTCCTGTGCCCACGTGTGAGGATTTCTCTAGGCTTTCCCTCTAGGGGTGTGCTGTTGGATAATTCAGCATGTGCTGTCTTCAGTTTTGTTGGGTGTCAGAGGTTATATGCTCTCTCCAGCAATTATGAGAGTTCCTGTTGCTCTGCACCCCGGACGACTATTTGTATTGCTGGGGTTCACTTTTGCAATCTGATAGCCATGAAACGGTATCTCTTTGTGTTTGTTTTTAATTTTTTAAATTTATTTTTTCTTCAAACAATTTTTTTTTCTTTGTAGTGACAAGGTCTCACTATATTGTCTAGGCTGGTCTTGAACTCCTGGCCTCAAGTGATCCTCTTGCCTCGGCTTCCCATACTTTTGTGATTACAGGCATGAGCCCCTGCACCCAGCCTCTTTTGTGGTTTTAAACTGCATTCCCCTGATTACTCCAATTTCTAATGAGGGTGAACATTTGTTTATTGATCCTTTACTGCAGTTTTCTAGTCTGTGGCCTCTCACCCAGCTGTTTTAAAGAGATGGGGGATGTGAAACAGGTTTGGGAAAGAACTAATAGTTTCAGCAACCATACCAAGAAAGAATAATTAGTTTTGTTATTCCATAAATATGCAGTGGTTGGCTATAAGTGCAAGAGAATCAATGTGCCATTGCTGTCATATTTCCTTGTCTACCAATCTTACTTTATCAATTCAGCACGGCCTTCACCAGCAAAGTCTCATTCCCCAATTTGTTCCTAACCAACTCCAGTGCCAAAGGTGAGGTTCAGTTGCCTAGGATTGGCTATCCTTGGCCCCAAAGGCTTGCTACCTGCCTGGAAAAGTCTTTATCTCCAGCTAGTGTGCTTTGTTGGTGTTCTAATACTAACTTGGAGTTACTTTCCTGGGATGAGCACAGCAAATCTAGACATTCTGCCTCTAGATTCATGATGACTTCCTCCCTTCTCTAAAAGCCAGGGTTCTAAATGTTAGAATCTCTATATTTCACATGAAAACTCAAAGACTTTCATGAAACTCTAAAATAGTGAACAGCATCATCTGTTTATACTTACTGACTTTATGGCTATCTTCTTCCCACCCCAATCAGGGCCATTTTTTCCCCAAAAAGAAAGTGGTATTAGAGGCTGGGCCTGGTGGCTCACGCCTGTAATCCCAGCACTCTGGGAGGCCGAGATGGGTGGATCACCTGAGGTCAGGAGTTTGAGATCATCCTGGCCAACATGGTGAAATCCCATCTCTACTAAAAATACAAAAATCAGCCGAGCATGGTGGCGCATGCTTGTAATCCTAGCTACTTGGAAGGCTGAGGCTGGAGGATCGCTTAAACCTGGGAGGCAGAGGTTGCAGTGAGCCAAGACGGCACCACTGCCCTCCAGCTTGGACGACATAGTGAGACTCCATCTCAAAAAAAAAAAAAAAAAAAAAAGGAAAAAAAAGGTAGTATTAGAGTTTGTATCTCTGCTCTTTTACCTTAATTTATAAAGCACACTGATGTTGCATGGGTGAAGGAATATGGCTGGCATCCAGTCTCCCCACTTGGCCCAGGGACTCCCTAGAGTATGGCAGCCTCTTGGCTTACGGAATTCAAATTGGACCTCAGCAATTTTAAATGATGGCATATCATAGAACTCTGGGGTATTACATGCATATTCTTAGACACGAATGCTAAAACTTGAATGTTGAAAGTTTATTAAATATGTTCATTCATTCTGCCTTTAAGAAAATGCTCTATTGGAATATAATTTACATACTATACAATTTACCCATTTAAGAAGTGTGATTCAATGATTTTTAGTATAGTCACATATACATGCAACCATCACCACAGTCAATTTCAGAACAATTTTATCACCCCAAAGAGGAACCCCATACCCTTTAGCTGTCACACTCCCATCTTCCCACATCTGGTCCTGCATAACCACTGATCTTTCTGTCTCTATAGGTTTTGCCTATTCTGAACATTTCATATAAATGGAATTGTATATAATATAAGGTCTTTTTTGTCTGGCTTCTTTTATTAAGCATAATGTTTTCAAGGCTCATTCATGCTATAACAGGTATAGTACTTCATTCCTTTTTATGGCCGAATAATATCCCATTATATGGATGTACCACATTTTCTTTATCTCTTCATACACTGACAGACATTTGGATTGTTTCCACCTTTTAACTATTGTGAATAGTGCTGCTACAAACATTTGTTTACAAACTTTTATTTGAATATGTATTTTTAATTCTTTTGGGTATATAGCTAGGAGTGGAATTGCTGGATCATTTGATAATTCTGTGTTTAACTTTTTGAGGCACCACCAAACAGATTTCCACAGCAGATACACCATTTTACATTCCCATCACCAATGAACAAGTGTTCAAATTTCTCCACATCCTTGCCAACACCTATTTTCTGTTTTTCAAAAAATATTATTATAACCACCTTAGTGGGTGTGAAGTGGTATCTCATTGTGGTTTTGATTTGTATTTTTCTAATGACTAATGATGTTGAGTGTCTTTTCAAGTGCTTTTTAGCCATTTATATATCTCCTTTGGAGAAATATATATTCAAGTCTTCTGCCAACCTTCTAATTGGGCGTTTGAATTTTTGTTGTTGAGTGGCATGCATTCTTCAGTTAACATTTTCTGAGCACAAATTGTGTGCCAGGCATGGGGCTGTGGCACTTGGGAGGAGGAATGCAAAGATGAATAAGGTACAGCCCCTGTCTCGCAGCTGCCTTCAGCTGTCATGTGCACAGTGAGTGAGTCTAGCAAGGGACCCTGCATGCCGAGAGTTCAGTGGAGGGAAAGAGATGACACTTCCACCTGGCCAATTCTGGGACTCTGTGGAAGGAGTAAGGCCTGAGCTAGGCCCAGGGAAATGGGAGCTGAGTGAACTTGGGAGCCAATGTTGGAGTTGGGAAAGCAGTAGGAATGCATGGCCAGAGCCCAGGGATCCCCAGGGAGACAGTGAATCCAAGAGGATGTCAAGTGTAGAGGTGGAGGAAGGCACATGGGTAGAGGAAAATGCATAAATGAGATGATACACAGTTAAAAATTGACAGGGAGGCCAGGTGCGGTGGCTCACGCCTGTAATCCCAGCACTTTGGGAGGGCGAGGTGGGCGGATCACCTGAGGTCAGGAGTTCGAGACCAGCCTGGCCAACATGGTGAAACTGTGACTCTACTAAAAAATAGCTGGGCATGGTGATACACTCCTGTAATCCCAGCTACTCTGGAGGCTGAAGCAGGAGGATCACTTGAACCTGGGAGGTGGAGGTTGCAGTGAGCTGAGGTCGTGTCGCTGCACTCCATCCTGGGTGACAGAGCGAGACTCTGTCTAAAAAAAAAAAAAAAAATGGACAGGGAGCTGGGTGCAGCTGTAGCCTGTAGCTCCAGCTACTCAGGAGGCTGAGGTGAGCAGATTGCTTGAGAACAGGAGTTTGAGGCTGCAGTGTGCACTGTGGTGGGGCCTATGAATGACCACTGCACTCCAGCCTGGGCAAAAAAGGGAGACCCTGTTTGTAAATAAATAAATAAATAAAAGACAAGGTAAAGCTACCAAAAAGAAAGAAAATGAACGGAAAGTTTTGCCTGATGACTGTAAGTGCCTGGATCATGAATAACAAAGTGCCAAGAATTGCCTGTAGATGTAGCAACAGGTGGGTTGTACTGACGTGTGGTTGGGCTGTTATAGTCAAGGATACGAGTATGCCCAAGAAAACGTGGCCCAAATACCTTGGAGCCCAGAGGTGTTCTGTTTCTTACTAGGGAGTGTCTGCATTAACAGCTGGGCTGGTTTGGAAGGCCTAGAATTGTTGGTGTGGCCTCACTCCCTGTCCCCAGGATCTCTGCTCAGCTTCTCTGGAGCCACAGCTGGCTCTGCTGGCTGCCTTTGCACTGTTGGTTCCCCAGCAGTGCCTCAGCCTCACCGCTCCTTGTCAAATCTCAGGTCATCTACACATCTTCACCTACAGAGGTGAAGAACCAGAAGACTTGTGAGAAAAGTCAGCCTGGCTTCATTACTTTCCACCCTAGGCCAGTCAGAGAGCTAATTTCCAACTGGGTAAACTCCTTCCTTATCTTGGCAGGAAGACAGGTGTGAAGGACAGTAGCTCATGTGCCCTGAATACCTACTGGGTACCAACCACTCCAAGGGGAGGAAGGAAAGCAAGATTCCACCCTAACTCCAAGAGGCAACCCAGTCCAGCCAGGATCAAACACACCAGGAAGCATAAAAGCTGCATTCCCAGGGTTGCTCAGCGCGGAGTTGTTTCAGTGGGCAGGTCTATGCAAACCTACCTCAAACTCTGAGGAAACTGAGAGGCTCAAGAAAGAGGCTGACATATCCATTTCTCAGAAGGAAACCTTTAATAAGGACTTAGAAACAGAAACCATGACTGTGACAAGATGGTGGATCTGCTGAGCATTACCTCTCAAACTCAAAACCTATATACCATAGAAAAAGAAGCTGAAGCTGACACCTCAGGGAAAAGCAAGAATGCTATGGGAATCTGCCCAAGGGCAGGATTTATGGTTGAGGTTGTTTTGACCTAAGGGCAGGATTTACAGTAAGTACGTGCTCTTACACAAGGAACCCTAGACACAATAGAAACCTTAGAGGCATTCCTGGAACTGGGGTTAATTAGAAGTCAACATGGCGGATCAGCATCCAAGATGCAGTTACTTTAGCCTCTACACGAGTGCCCCTCAGCACTGAGGGGTGTTCACAGTGCGACTGGGAACAGTCTTTGGCCATGGAGTGCTTGTCTTCTCTTTTTTTGAGACAGAGTCTCACTCTGTCGCCCAGGCTGGAATGCAATGGTGCGATCTTGGCTCTTTGCGAACTCCGCCTCCCAGGTTCAAATGATTCTCCTACCTCAGCTTCCAAGAAGCTGGGATTACAGGTGTGCACCACCAGGCCTGGCTAATTTTTGTATTTTTAGTAGAGATAGGGTTTCACCATGTTGGCCAGGTTGGTCTCGAACTCCTGACCTCAGGTGACCCACCCACCTGGGCTTCCCAAAGTGCTGGGATTACAGGCGTGAGCCACTGCGCCTGGCCCATGGAGTGCTTTTCTAGCAGCATCTCGTGAGACCAATGCTCCAAGTGACACACTTGGGAAATTGTATCTTATGGCATCTTGTACATGCTTGACCTTATTTCTGGGTGTGTTACCAGTGGAAGGTATCTGAGTTACCAGCAGTGAATCTGTACAGGTCTGTGGCAACCTCAATTCTTAGCTCCTCAGAAGAAAGAATTCGACTGAGGGGATAAGGCAGAAAAGGAGACTGAGGCAAGTTTCAGAGCAGGAGTGAAAGTTTATTTAAAATGGATTTAGAACAAGAAACAAAGGAAAATACACTCGGAAGAGACCCAAGTGGGACACAGAGGTCAAGTGCGATATTTAACCTTGATCCTAGGACTTTATAGGCTGGCTCCTTTCCCATGCTTCTTCCCTTTGTGTGGGCTGCCCACATGTGCAGTGCCCTCCTTACCCTTGGAAAGTGAGCATGCACAGTGTGTTTAGGAAGTTGCACGCATGCCCATCTGAGACTTTCTTCCCGTTTCCAGTGGAGTGCCCTAGAAGGTCATGCTCTGCCATTTTGTCCCTTAATGCACATGCCCAGGAAGTTGCTTCTCCCTGGCAGCTGCATTCAGTTAAGACTTTAGTGCAATA
Organism: Homo sapiens; assembly: GCF_000001405.40. Lineage (NCBI taxonomy): Eukaryota > Metazoa > Chordata > Mammalia > Primates > Hominidae > Homo > Homo sapiens. Next base: position 73,333,186 of record NC_000008.11, on the reverse strand, counting down.
GGTGTGGACCATCAGGGAATGACCTCTCCCTAGCCCTGGCTGCCAGTTTATCACTTTTAGAGAGGCAAAACAATAATTCCAAAACCGTCACTCGCCATTCCTAGTGGGTGGGGGAAGGTCCTCTCCTGTTCTGCTCATGCCTGTCTAACTACCTGTAACAGGTGCAACCTAGGAGTGGTCAGGGGAGCTGGAGAAACCATGGAAGCCAGGAAAGACATTGCTACATGGCTTAGAATATACACATCGCAAAAGTCTTTGTACTGTTCATAGAGAAATTATTTCATCTAAATATTTTGGCCTTTGGTGCCCTGAGAACAGGGGACTTCTGTATCCTGGCCCCCTTTGGGTTTTCAGTCCCCAGCATGTGGCATCAGCTAATAGTGTTTGTTCTGTGATCTGTCCTGTCTTGTCATAGAGAAGCATGACATAGGGTTGAGAGACCATCTGCTGCAGCTACTTACAGATGGAAAGCTGTCTTCTCAATAGTGGCTCCAAAGGCCAGGTCATTCTAGTCTTTTCTTAAAAAAAGAAAAACTGCAGTAAAATACACATAACATAAAACATACCATCTGGATCATTTTAAAGTGTAGAGTTCAGCAGAGTTAAGTATATTCACACTGTTGTGCAACCAATCTCCAGAATTTTTTTTCATCTTGCAAAGCTGAAACTTTGTACCCATTAAACGATAACTCCCCATTCCCGCTTTCCCACCAGTTCTTGGCAACAACCATTCTACTTTCTGTGTCTATGATTTTGACTACTCCAAGTACTTCATATAAGTGGAATCTCATGATACTCACCCTTTTATGACTGGTTTATTTCACTCAGTATAATCTCCTCAAGGTGCATCCTTGTTGTGGTATGTGTAGGAATGTCCTTCTTTTTTAAGGGTGAATAATATTTCACAGTAAGTATATGACACATCTTCTTTAAGCCATTCATGCACCAATGGATCTATGTGGTGGTTCCATCTTTTTGTTACTGTGAATAGTGTTGCTATAAATATGGGTGTTTGAATGATCTCTTCAAGACTCTGCTTGTAATCCCTTGGATATATACACAGACATAGAATTGCTAAATCATATGGCACTTCCAAGGTTTAATTTTTTGAGGAACTGCCATACTATTTTTTATAGTGGCGGCACCATCTTACATTCCCTCCAAAAGTACAGAGGGGTTCTAGTCTTTTAAATAGCTCTTCTAAGAGCAGAGTGTGTTCTCTAAATAGGTTTCACTTGAAGTTGGAAATATAGACCATTTTCTTCTCTGAGTCTCTTACAACTTTCTGCTTCCCAAAATTCCCAGTATGTCAATAATTTTGATGGCAAATGGATCTAATTTTAGGGGCCTGATACGATGAGAAAACACTAGAAACCCCAAGGCTGATAAAGAAATCAACTTCAGCCTGCAAGCCTCCACTGCCAGGGAGAGCAAAGCAAACTGGTCTGGTGAACCCTGCAATTTTGTGCATTTTTCTCTCTAGTCCACCAGAACCTCTCCTTTTCCTTTTAAGCTGACATTTAACTGATCTCTGAAGTTACTTAAATTCTTATTCTCATACATAAAATACTTCTTCCCTTCTAAGATAAATCATTTCAAACTGACATTTCCTCATGAAGAATAAGCCAGAAGCACCCACATTGCACAAATTTCTTATTCGTGGCTCACTGAGCTAAAATCTTGAGGTGCAAGTGAAACTCATTCCCAAAAGCCCAGTCCCGGAGAGGGAAATCTGGCGGATCCCTCTTCACCAGAATGTTCTCAGTTCCCTATGGCCTCTGTAGCAGGTAAGGAGAAATGGTTCCTGGGCTTTCAGCTGGCTGTGGGAAGGTCTTCAGGGACAGACTCCAGGCGGTGGTGGAGCAGGAAGTTGGAGCAGCTGGAGGAACTGTGGTTAGGGAATCTCCCCCGGGGCTGCAGTTTTGCTCCATCTACTTCCTTCCCTGACAGCAGTATTCATTTCTTCACTCCCTGGCCAGGTTCTGCATTTCCCGGCTCTCAGTCCTCAAGGGCCTCCGCTTCAGGAGCACTCAGGGCAGTGGATTGGGCTCCCAGAGTGGTCATGAGAAAAGCATCTCAGGTCCACTTCTGGGGGTGTTTCAAAGACCCCCTCAGCATACTGCAGTGAGTCCCAGGAAATCTGACAATGCCAAACCATCGCCAAAGTCAGAGAAAAGGGTAGAAAATAAAGGTGGCTTCTGGAGAACAGAGAACACTGTTTATTCTTTTTTTTTTTTTTTTTTCCCTGAAAGGATAAGCTTTCCATTGTCACTGCAAGCCAGAAGAAAATGGTGTTTATAGGGGTCAGATGGAAGTTCTCTCTGTTTGCATCTGTCTCAATGTTTGTCCTATTCAGAACCTGGCTAACTTGTTTTACTCTCTGAACTATCCAAGACTGGCCAGATATTCTGAGGGCTTGGGAGGACTCTCCTTGTTTAATTTTGGTAGAAGCAACATCTGTGCGGTTGCCTTACAAACTTTTCTGGCCTTCGGTAACCTCTTGCATACAGGTGACGTTGATCAGAGCAAAGGCTCAAAGAGCACATAAGTAGTAAACTCCTATGTCCTCACAGTTCGTTTAGGAGCAACAGGGCAGGGAAAAAAAATTCTCTGGTGCACAGACTTGGGAAAGCCCCATGCTTGGGTATTCCTATTTCACAGACCACCAAGTATTTGAAGAGCACAAAGGGCCATGAAGATCAACATTTATTGAGCATCTACTGTGTGCTTGGGTCTACGTGAGATGTTGGAACTAAGACTACCGAGATCACTAGAACAGGACACTTGTCTTCAGATGTACCAATAACTAATTGCAACACACTAGGTACTTGCAGTAGAGTGAAGACTATATTTGGTCTTTGTCCCTAGCTTCTGGCACAGAGCTCCTAAAACCCTTGGAATTTCCACAGTGACACGAGTGTCTCTTGTTATTCATAACCGGCCTCTTTACATCCTACTTGAGTCTATGCTAATGATGTGGACAGGGTGGGCCCTTAGAGAGTTTCAAGGGAGGAGTTGAAGTTTCAAACCCCGTCACTTCTGGGGAGAGAAAAAGGGGTGGAGACTGAATTGATTCACCTGTGGCCGATGGTTTGGTCAATCATGTCCACATAATAAAACTTAAGTAAAAACTCTTTAATGAGGAGATTTGGAGAACTTCTGGGTTGGTGAACATATGGAGGTGCTGGGAGGGTGGCTCCTGGGGAGGGCATGGGAAGCCCGCGCCCTTCCCACAGGGCTTGCTCTGTGCATCCCTTCCATCTGGCTGTGCCTGTGCAGCCCTTCTAATAAACGGTAATCAAGGACTGCATAGTGTTTTCCTGAGTTCTGGATCATTCTAGTGAATTATCAAACCTGAGCAGGGGTCTTGTGAACCCTGAATTTGTAGTCAGCTGGGCAGAAGCATGGGTAGCCTGGGGACCCCATTTGCGATTCTCTGGCCGGTATCTGAAGTGGAGGCAGTCTTGTGGGATCAAAACCTTAACCTGTGGGGCCTGCACTAACTCTGGGAAGTGTCAGAATTGGACCGAACTGTAGGACATCCAGTGGGTGTCAGGAAGTAAGAATTGTTGGAAACACAAAACAGTACCATAAATAGAGATTCTGATCTAGGTACTGTCACTATCCATCCCCCATCATCACTGTTATGTTGAACGAGATAAAAGTGCCTTTTTTGTAGGTCAAAAGAATTCAGTCACAGCAATTTCATATGATTCAACCTAATGCAATCTATTGCACACCTCCAAGGTGTGGTAGGCACAGTCCTAAGTGCTTATCTGTGTCCTCCCACATTCCTCACGATGCTCTTGATATAGGTACTGCAGTTATTCCCAGTGTACCCATGAGGAGATTGAGACTTACGAAGGTTAAGAAAAAGACCTGGGATCCATGGCTAGGGAGATGCAGAGCTGGACTTGCACTCAGGCTGTCTGACAACAGACCCTGAGTGTATTCATTTGCTAGGGCTGCTGTACCAAAGCATCACCAACTGGGTGATACTTAAAATAACAGAAATCTATGCTTTCACAGTTCTAGAGGCTATGCATCTGAAATCCAGGTGTCAGCAGGCTTGGTTCCTTTTTGGAGGCACTGAGGGAGGGCCTGCTCCATGCCTCTTTTCTAGCTGTTGGTCCTTGATACAATTCCTTGGCATTCCACGGCTTGCAGCTACGTCAGTCCGATCTCTGCCTATTGTTACATGGCATCTTCTCTCTGTGTGTGTCTGTGTCTCTTTGTATAAGAACACCAGTGATGGGATTTATGGCTTATTCTAATCCAAAATTACCTCATCTTTCTTCGTTGTTGAGACAGGGCCTCCCTCTGTCGCCCATGCTGGAGTGCAGTGGCACGATCACGACTCACTGCAACCTCAAACTCCTGGGCTTAAGCGATTCTTCGGACTACAGGTGTGCACCACCACACCCAGCTGATTTTCTCATTTGTTGTAGACATGGGGTCTCACTATGTCATCCAGGCTGGTCTTGAACTCCTGGACTCAAGTGATCCTCCCACCTCAGCCTCCCAAAGTGCTGGGATTACAGGCATGAGCCACTGAGCCTGACCAAAATGATCTCATCTTGATTACATCTGCAAAGACCCTATTTCCAAGTAAGGACACATTTGCAGGGACTAGGGGTCAGGATTTCAACACATCTCTTGAGGGGACATGATCCAATCCACAACACTGAGCTCTTAAGCAGGAACTCTGTGGCTGCCGGATACTGTGCTGTCAACATACGTAAGTATGCCTGTGTCCAGGCAGGACTCCCATCTGCTCATTAGCCTCCTGGACCACTCAGGCCCTGGATAAGCTGGGCTGGCCGGGAGATGGCCACCTGCTAGCAGAGGGCTGGAGGAGCTGGGCTCAGGTTCCTCCCTAGGGGGAGGGGATGCCTGCTGAGTGGCATTCAGGTGGACCACCCATGAGGTATGGACAAGGAGAGGGGCATTCTTCATGGCTGCTATGCACACACGTTTCTCCCTGCAGCATGGTTTCAATCACCTTGACAGGAAAACCTCAAACTTAGAATCTGGGCTGAAGATGCTTTGTTTTTCTTGCTAATCAATTCTCTTGCGTTTTGCTAGTGGTAGAAATGTTTCAACAGTCACAGCTCAAAAGCCTGTGAGGAGCTCCTGGAAGACATTAAGTTCTCTACAGCAACGGAGCACGTTAAATGAGAAATAATTACTCAATGAGCAGGATTCTCTGGACTGTGTGGCTGTGTGTTGTCAATGCTTTCCCCCAAATAATAGATGAGTTGTGAAATGTGTAGGTGCTTTGGTATAGCTATTGTAATGTAGGAACTGCAATCCCCAGAAAGCGTCATAATAAACAGTAGCAAGACTGTGGTTCCACACTGCTCTGCCGTGACATTTCCTGGGAAAGCTGGGAGTCACTGCATGTCCACCTTGACCCAGGACCTGCCTGAGAGGTTCTTGGCCCGCTGTGAGTTTAGTGCTTCAAGGACCAGATAGGAACCCGTCTTTTTGAGCACCCTGATAGAAGCAGGTCCTGTCTCATCTTTTTGGCACATAAAAATAGTTCATTTGCACTAACATGTATCCATTTGGTGATACTCAAAGTGCATTTTGTTTTTCCCCAGGGTTCTGATGAAACATTGCTTGCACATCTAAGCAAGTCATGCTTCTGAGGCCAAGCAAAGAAAATTGCCAAAGAACAACAGTTTCCAGGATTCACTCAGGAAGAAATTTTCCTTTGGTCCTTTTAACAATGGATTCAGTTACTAGAAACCCGAGTGCATGGTCGAAGCCTCCATGTGCTGTCTGTTAACACTGCCCTTCACCTTTTGGGCCTCTGCCCCAGGGCTGGCCACACAGACTCTTTTTCTTGGGCCAGACTGAGGTTTCTTAAGTGTGACTCAGCCTGGGGACTAGGTCCAAGCAGAGGAGATAATTATTTCTAGTCTGGTTTCTCCTTGGGAGGAGAAAGTTCCCTTCTTAACTTTACTCTGTCACCTTTTACACCTTCTGCTGCTGCTCCCCCACATTCCCCAAGCTGGGTCCTTGGATCTCCACTCATTCTGTGCTTTCCCCCTCCCAGGTTTGTTCACTTCACAGCCTCTATGTGGATGACTTCAGGATCCCAGCACCAACCTGTTTCCCGAGGGCCAGGATTATTCGCCTGTCTGCCAGCTATTGTCACCCGGCATCTCAAATGCAACATTTCTAAATCAGATTCACTGTTGGTGAATTCTGTTCTTCCCACTTAAAACCACTTGGCTCGAGGGATAAGCTATCTTCAGTCACCTAGGCTTGCAAGTTCAACCTCCTGCGGTATCGGTTGCTCAGCCTGGGTTTCTCCCTCCATTCCCTATCCCCCTCTCTTGCTGGCCCATTCTTAGCACCTCCCCGTGGACTACTGCAATAACTTCCTTCCTCACTGCTCCCTACTTCTTGTGCCTTGAAATTCTTCACAGCGGCTTCATTGATCCTATTAACTTACAACTCTGCTTCTGTTACTTTCCTGCTAAAAAAAACTTTCTAGGGCTTCTCTCTTCTGTATCAAATGAAGGGCCCATTCCTCAGCCTGGAATGAAGGCCATTCTCAAGATGGGATCTCCTTAGGGAACGCATGTCATTCTCTTCCCATGTTCTATGCTTCAGTCATAATGAGTATAATCTACTTTTTTTGATCTCTGGGCCTTTCCTGAGAATCTGTTCCCCGGAATCTGCAAACTCCCATTCCCAAATCCATCCATTGCATCACCAACCTTCCAGGCCACCTTTCCTTCCCTTACTGAGATGTCATCATACTCTGAGGCTTCATTTGTGGCATGTGCACATAGGTACTTACATGTGTACTTGTGAGTTACCTGCACGCTCGAGTCCCTGGGATGGGCGCTTCGGCAGATGCCTGGTGTGCAAATGCTGACTACATGTGCCCAGGGCCCACATCTCACCACTTCCGAACCATTACATCCTTGCTTTCCCTACTCTTCTGACTCAGGCACAGGCAATACATTTGGCATAGAAAGAATGACCCTGTTCCCCCAACCCCTACTGATCTTATATTTTGCTGGAGGCAAAAGCAAATTTCCAAGATTCAGGTCAATGTCAATTTAGAATTATTTCTGCCAGTTGGAAAAGAAAACATTTTCTTTTAACTTGAGAAAATTTGAAAGCTACAGCCTTCTAAGGAAACAGGATACCTAACACACACACACACACACACACACACACACACACACACACACACACACACACACACACACACCCCAGCCTGGCTTTACGTAGCTCAATCCTGTCAGGCTAATCTAATCTTTTGTGACAGAGCAGCAGACCTGGTAGATCAAGGGGGAAAACAATAGTTGGAATTTATGTTTGTTGGCTTCAAAACTTTTGATTCCTGGGTCCCACTCAATATAATTATCATTAAATTGGTTGAAAGGTTAGAGAAAGGGAGAGTGCCAGTATGAGCTGGGGGTGGTGCTCACAGACAGAGGTGGTGCTCCTTAGGGGATCAGCCTTGAGTGCAGTGGCCCTGAACATTCACATGAATGGGCCAGATGACAAAAAAGAGAACATATTCAAAGTCAGCATTCATGTTAAGGGGTGGGGGCAGGTGTAGATAAATAACCAGCCAGAAAAGCAACCTTGGCAATTACATAAGTGATCAACACAAACAGGCAGACTTGTCTAGAAGAGATTTCATGTTTAGAAACAATAATGCACACAATCAGCAATGTAGCATTAATAAGAACGTGACATTGGGATGAAGAAATGCAACTTGTAGGAATTCCATAGTTCTAAACCTGCATTAACTGTATCCCTTTCCAAACTCCACAGCTAAAGATGGGAGGGAGAATATGGACAACATTCAAGGAAGAGCCACAGAAGTGATTGAACTGGGCTGGGACATGGGAATGAAAGACTTCTACAAAAAAGTTAAATGAATTAGTTTATTGAACTTGGAGATGGACACCCTTATAAGGGCAATAACAAACAAAAATAGAAATAGGTTTAAGTTATAACACACAAGAATAAAATTAGATGTAAAGACGACTTTCCTCAGTTTTAAGGTGGATAAGTGGGTTGTTAAATTATAACAGATTTCTCTAGGAGGGTCTGGTGTACTCCAGGCTCGCTGGGAGGCAGACCTGGATAATCTCTGAGTATATCTGTCCCCACCTGGCATTGTTGAGACCCTTCAGAGTACTTCTTTAGGTCCATGATTGAAAATTAAGAGGCAGCCAGTGCCTCCATTGTTATAAGGGCCATAAGGTTTGGTTATCTTTGATAAAGAGAAATGGAAACATATAACAGAGCTCTTCCTCAAGTCCTGCATTGGGAACATTAGCACACACCAGGACCTTTCCTATATGTAGACACAGTGCAGATTTGATCTGTGGTGCAGCCAAACTAAAACACAGGTCATGGCATTGTTTCCCCACTTTTGGTACAAACAAGCCCTTAATCAAGTCTCTAATCTAGGGACAGTAACATCGGCTATTTGAGTGCAGGCACCCTAGGTTGTTAATGTCTGTTTCCCAACACTATTCCATTCCAATATTTTTCTTTACCTAAAGTGGGATAATGATCATAAAAAAAAACACAATAATTTTCCTTACAACACTGCTGATAACTAATAATCACACAATTGCATGTAAGTTAATTCTTTAAATTTAATCAGTCATTTATAAAACTCCCCAATTAGTAAAAGTTGGCTTATTTTAACAGCCTTAAACATTGGCCACTATTTAAACAAGACATTCTAAAAAAAAAAGCAATCACATAATAGTTTATAGTCATTTACAAGTGGATGGTATACATTTAGATACAGAGGTAGAAGTTCACCTTTACAATGTTTCACTAATACACATATACCAAATTCAAGGCACAAAATAGTTTGCTTTACAAAAAAATACTGTAAAAATGTCATTTGCTGTTCTACAATGTGAATAAACCTTTCAAAAGAATCTTTACACCCTTCCATACATATGCCATAGAATAAGATTTCTTCCTCTCACTAATCATAGTTGGCACAAAAATGGGGACTTTTCAATGTAGAAGTTCCCATTTTTAAAAACTGTTCCTTTGCAGAGCTGCTATGTATTCTAGATAAGAGTCCATCCAAAGAAATGAAACACAGCAACTTCCTGAGGAAAGGGCACTTTCTGTATGCAGCAAAATTCATAGGTAGAAAATGTATGATCTTTTAGGATAATTAGGTCTCCAGACACTTAATGAAGTATATCAGAGATAAAATTAAAAATTCAAGGCTGGGTGCAGTGGCTCATGCCTGTAATCCCAGCACTTTGGGAGGCCGAGGCAGGTGGATCACAATGTCAAGAGATGGAGACCATCCTGACCAACATGGTGAAACCCCGTCTCTACTAAAAATACAAAAATTAGCTGGGCGTGGTGGCGCATGCCTGTAGTCCCAGCTACTTGGGAGGCTGAGACAGCAGAATCACTTGAAACTGGGAGGCAGAGATTGCAGTGAGCCGTGATTGTGCTACTGCACTCCAGCCTGGTGACAGAGCGAGACTCCATCAAAAAAAAAAAAAAAAAAATTCAACTAATACTTTAGTCATTGTGACTTTAAGAAAGAGACTTGGTCACCTTTACTGTAACACTCAGACATCATTTACTTCAGTTGATGGAGATTTCAAAATTCCTTTTCAAAAGAGCTAAACATACAAACACCATGAAAAAGTCACCTAGGCCTTGCAAAACGGAAACTTAGAAAACGTGAGAAAATACAGCACTATCAGTCCTTGAAATTGCGAAGATGTCAACTGGCTAGAGTTTAATAACAAGAATGAGTAAACTCTGGGAATTCTGAAAAATCACACACATGAAACATACAGTCTAGTTATCATTTCTAGACTTCCTGCTCATTAAAAAATAATGGTAACCTGAAGATGTCACACTGCTTCTCTACAGATTTGACTGGTTTCTGGGTTCTGCCTAAAAGGACCCTGTTGGCAACAACCTAAGTTCACTTGTACTGATCACATTTTCCAAGTACTCTAGTCGGTTAATTTACACTTTATTTTTTTAAAAAGTTGATTTAAAAAAGAAACAACACAAGTTTAGAATCCATAAAATGTCAGCAATGCTGATGTGCACTGGACTGAAACATCTTGATCATCTTCTGATAGAAGTAATATTCCATACAAAAAGATTCTTAGATTCCATTTTTTGCTTCATTATTGTTTGTGGCTTGCTTTCTTTGAGCAATAAAGGGGTACATACACTTGTCCGCTCCTAGGAACCGATACATGCACACAACTGCTTCAAATGGTAGGATGCTGAAAAAGGGAAGTCACAGCTGTTAGCAAACTTGAAGTTTCAATTAAGACATCGGGCAGGCATGGAGAGACCCAGTCAGTGAGGGAACCCCTCCCAGTTACCTCTTCATGAAGGTCACGATGTACATGAGGCGGGGAGTGCAGATCATGGGCTGGTCAGTGAGGATGGCCTTCATGGCCTGCTTCACACAGTAATCAGGCTTCAGAGGTGGCAGAAAAGGCTCAATTTCTTTCCTGAAAGTTATTTATTCAAAAACAAAATGAAAAATTAACACAATAGAAAAGACTGGAAATACATATCAAAACATTAACAGTGATGTTATCTGAGTGATGGGATTTTGGGTACATTTTGTTTTCTTCATAGTGCTTTTCTGTATTTTCCAAATTTTCCTGCTATGAACACATTTTATTGGCACAGTCTGGAGAACAAGTTGGGAAAAAAAAGCAAAATTGGTCTGCTTTTCCATAAGATGAAAAAGTCATGTTTTTAAGATGCCTTAAAAGTATTTCAAATTATTTTCCTATGTTTTGCTTTCAATAGAAAGAGGAGAAGGTGTTTGGCATAGCAAACACTAATCTCAAGCAAGATGCCAAGCTTTTAGTATTAGTTGTAGTCAAAATGAGGGTGTAAGCTTTCAAAGTGAAAGGAAGGCCACAGGTATCCACTTTCCAGGATGCCGGAAGAGGGAAAGCTAAGGTATATTCTCTAGGGGCCCCTGAAATGAAGGGTATATAGACATCCTACCTTCAGTTTGATTCACTGGGTTACATGTTGAAATGATAGTGTGCAATTTATTCCTTTCATTCTTCATTTTGCCACCATAGCTTTGGACCCCTGCACCTGCTGCTATGCTACACTGGAGGAAACAGAGCTCCGCAAGACCCTCAGCAACTGCTTCCCAAGTACATAAGAGGAAAACAAAACAAAACAAACCACCAACACACACACATGTTCACACAGACACACACATGTGTGGGATAAGAGGCAGAGCTAGAGTCCATTTTCCAGGTCAGACTTGGGACTCCAAGCCTGACTTTGGAGTGATTCAAATCACCTTCCACCTATTTTGCTGCTTGTTCAGTTCAGTACACGTTAAGAATGGCCCCCAACCAACAGGGAACTGGTTTGGTTATCTTCCTTTGCCTTTCAAACTCACCCAAGCAAAGATAAAAGTAAGCATGTCTTCACAAGCATCCTCTTAATGATTCACAGTTTTGTTTATTCTGCTGAGCTCAAGTCAGATGTAACTTGACATTTATATTCCCATATACCTCCTTTCTATGTGTGTGGGTATTTTATTTCATTTTTCAGTATATCTAAATGGTTCTTCTCATTCTGCCAGAGTGAATCTAGTTACATACGCTTGCTGCAAAAAGGAAGTTTCCAAATCTGGAGTGTAATATTCAATGGTCTTTTCAGAAGAAAGGCACGTTACTCTCTGTGACAGTAACATTGCTTCATATCCAGACCCAAGTCACATGAAGGAATTTTCTTCTAGAATCCTTATTTACCAATACCAATTTTAAAGAAACAAAATAACTCCAAAAGATGAGCTTCTAAGGAAAAGACTGGATACTTATGTTTTCTCTTTACAGAGAAGCCATTTCCTATCTAATGATTCTGGATTAATTTCTGCAAATTAGTATCAGTGTGTAGCACCAGTCTCTCCTTTGCAAATCTTATACACCAATTTTACAAACTTTACAAATCTTGACCAATAAAAGCCACAGATTGTCAAATGATAGTTAAAATACAAGGTTATGTTTGAAAGTCCAGTTCCACATATTCTCCCAACATATTCTTTTTATCAGTAATAATATAGGTTCTCACTGACCTGATTCGGCAGCCTCTGAACATGCCAGTGTCTACAAGATAAGGGCAAACCAAGGTTGTTTTAATTCCATCCTTTTCAGCAGCCTTTAGTTCATGGCTCAGGGATTCATGAAAACCCACAACTCCAAATTTACTGGCACAGTAATCCTGAGTTAAAGAGGGGAGAAAGCAGAAATACTAAGCATATGCCCCTATCTCCAACCAAACTAAAGCTTCCCTGGTCCTATTACCATGTTTAGATGTCTAATACATAAGGTTACAGGTGACTACACAAAGAAAAGGAAATCATTTTAAAAGACAGATACCTGGCTGGGCATAGTGGCTCATGCCTGTAATCCTAGCACTTTGGGAGGCCGAGGTGGCTGGATCACTTAAGGTCAGGAGCTCGAGACCAGCCTGGCCAAAATGGTGAAACCCCGCCTCTACTAAAAATACAAAAATTAGCTGGGCATGGTGGGCCTGTGCCTGTAGTCCCAGCTACTCAGGAGGCTGAGGCAGGAGAATTGCTTGAACCTGGGAGGTGGAGGTTGCAGTGAGCCAAGATCACACCACTGCACTCCAGCCTGGGTGACAGAGTGAGACTCTGTCTCAAAAAAAAAAAAACAAAAACAAAAACAAAAACAAAAACAAAAAAAAAACACAAACCAGATACCTGATGTGGTTCAGTGCAGAAATAATATTTTCAAAGCAACAGCAGAAACAGATGAATACTTTTTGTCACATCAACTAAGTATCATATTACTTTGGGGAAGTTACCATAAAGGATTCTATGAAAGCTCACAAGCTGAAGTTAAAATGGAGAGAGGTTCACTTTGAAGTGTCTGGAAAATTTACAAATGGTCTCTTGTTCAGTAAAGGAGAAAGAAAAACCAGTTTGTTTAAATTAATGCAAGAAGAATAAAGGCAAATCTAGCTTAGGCTATAAATTGTTATGATTTGACTTTCTTTGTAAGGCGAAGTTAAAATGAAAATGATAATCATGCCTTGTAATCTTAAACTAGAACTTAACCTAAAGGCACAGAATATAGAAAAAAAGTTATTGTCCATGGCCCAACTTCAGAAATGGAATCCCTTGATATAGGTGCTATTTAAATAATGTGTCCTTTTGCATATTTGCATGGAGTGATGTTTTCAGTTTTACAGGCATGCAGAGGACAAACAGGATAGAACAACATATATACTCATACTTTATAATCTGAATATCGTGAAGAACAGGGTTTGATGAAATCCAGTTCTACAATTCTACAAACTTACAATGCAGGATACCTGACCGCCTCATCTGATGGGCTAATTAATACAAGATAGCTCAGTTTTGGCAAGGTGACCACAACCGAATGTGAACCTCTGGCCTCATTCTTCTGTTCCCCACAGCTTTCCATGGTTCCATTCTTGGCCCTGTGCCTCCTGCCATCGTCAAGTGAAGCTGCTAATGAAAATGGGCACACTGAGGGCTGGCCCATCTACTTTTCTTGTCGCTGCTGCTTTGTCAAACTAGTGTAAGAGATTTTATGGCAGAAGAGGCAGAAGTCCATTCCCTTTCTTTGTTTTGTTTTAGAGACAGGGTCTTGCTCTATCTCCCAGGCTGAAGTGCAGTGGTGCCACCATAGCTCACTGCAGTCTTGAACACCTGGGCTCGCACGATTCTCCCACCTCAGCCTCTCAAGTAGCTAGGACTACAGGTGTGCGCCACCACACCTGACATAGAATTCCATTCCAGTGGCTGGCCCTGGGTTCCTGTGGAACATTCTACATGCAGCACACATGCAGAGTGCCTTCGTGCAGCTTTCATGAATGGAGGGGCAGCAGGTGCTCTCCTGGAGGTTCTGGTGTACTTATCACAGGATAAACAGATTGAACGAAAGAAATGCTATATATCTGACAAACCTCAACTCCGGCAGTACTGAACAATCCCAAGGAACTTGCAACTGTCACAATATGACCATGATTAATCTCCAGCATCGTAGGAAGAAAAGCCTTAGTGGTCTGAAACAAAGTAAGATTCAAGTTTTAGAACTGATTTCATGAATTTCATCTAAAACCCAGTCCAGGATCACAAAACAAACTTTTATTCACATGATGTTTTGTTTCCCAATTCCTTTAAAAATATTTTATATTTATCAAAAAGATCTTTTAAGTGTCTGGCTAACTTAGCACTGTATCATCGGCATGGCAGGCCTATTATAAGTCGTGACCAACAAGACTGTAACTTAAAAGCTTTTGGGGACAGTGTCTAGAGATAAAAAGAGAGCCATTGGCAGAAGCTTCTTAATTACCTTTCAAGTGACAGTTATCTGCTAATTTAAAGTACTCCCAAGCCAGGTATTTGTTTCTGCTCGTGACACTTCAATGCAGCTATCTCATGGTTTAGGAGGGACCACAGCCTACTACAAACATTGCCTTGTATTAATGTGTGCCTTACGGCGATGTCTACGTAGTAATAGACCTATCAATGAAGAGATACTCCAGCAGCATGCTCTGGGATCCCAAGGCTTATTACCAAAATGTACTAGCAGGAGACAAAGTATTTTAGGATGTAAAAAACAGGCTAAATTATAGAACTATTTTTGTGAAAAACATATCATAATGCCAACTATGCACTGACAAGAACGTGTATCATTCTGAACAGTCACATTCCAACATGGGTTTCACCGCAGGGACTCTGCCACAGATGCAAGTGACTGGCCACACAGTGAGGCAGAGAGTGTGGCACAAGTTCCAGGCTGGGGGACCCAGAGGCCCTGAAACTTGTGCCAGAGGTGGCACAAAATCAGAGGTGGCGCCGATTTCTTACTCACTAAACTCTTTTCTCTCTAGCTCGCTTGCCTTCAAAATGCAAGGCTGTATCAAAAAAAAAAAAATTACTTCAAATTGCTTACGATGATCTATTAACTACTCCACCAGGCTCCCAACAGTTTTATAACCTGCTTCTTAAAAGAAAGCAGCGAAGAGCAATCTGTCTACTGCTGAGTTATCTCCTACTGCCAGCACAGCTTCCCATGATTTATGAAGTTAAAAAAACCCACACAACCAAACACTACAAAGCAGACTTAAGGAAGAGCTGCATTCCCTTCTCAGAGGATTTGCTGGCTACGGTATCACTGAGTTTTTGCATGAATACCTAATATGGGTTTGTGGTTTTTTTTTTTTGGGCGGGGGTGGGGGACAGGGTTTTGCGGTGTTGCCCAGGTTGGAGTGCAATGGCATAATCATAGCTCACTGCAGCCTCGAACTCCTGGGCTCAAGTGATCCTTCTGCCTCAGCCTGCCGAGTAGCTGGGACTACAGGCGCACGTCACCATGCCCAGCTAATTTTTAATTTTTTGTAGAGAAGGGGTCTCATTATGTTGCCCAGGCCAGTCTTGAACTCCTGGGCTCAAGTGATCCTCCCATCTCGGCCTCCTAAAGTGCTGGGATTACAGGCGTGAGCCACTGCCCTTGGCCTTATCTAATTTGTTATAATTTTTGTGTGTAAAGATTGAAAACAGCAATTCCCTTAATTCTGATGTTTTTCTGTGCTCCCACCAATTATTCATACAGGTGCCACATGAATTTTTGTGAAGTATCCCAAGGTCTTCCCCAGTCATCATGTAGTACCCCACTCCCAACTCACACCCTGTTTGAGTTTCCTCATCAGTACCCATGAAATGCTTATTCTCACCTGTGGCATTTGACCCATGAACTCTTCTGATAATCTATCCCAGACCCTTCGTGTGTAAATCAAAGTGTAATATTCATCACATATTTATATAGTCTCTCATGCTTTTCAAAGCGCTTTATGTCACTGGAGCCCCCTAATAATTCTTTACTGAAGGTAGTTAGGGTGTTAAACCTTTATCTAATATTATTCTAGGCCAGCCTGACTTTGTCTACATTTCTCTAAGACCTATAGTCAGTACCATTTACCTTAATGCGATTATGTGTTTTATAGTGCTTTGATTTTGATTGTCTTATACTTATTTGTCTGACTGTCCCAGACTAAGCTGGAAGACCCAGATCAATCTTCCAAATATTAAGGGAGAATTACCTTGCTACACTGAGACAGGCACTGTGGAGGAGAGCTAGTGATACGGTTTGGATCTGTGCCCCCACCCAAATCTCAGGTCAACTATAATCCTCAATGTCAGAGGTATGGCCTGGTGGGAGGTGACTGGATCATGGGAGTGATTTTTCATGTATGGTTCAGCACCATCTCCTGGTGCTGCTCTAGTGATGAGTGAGTTCTTGCGAGATCGGGTTGTTTAAACGTGTGCAGCCCCCACCCCCTCGCTTCCTCCTGCTTCTGCCGTGTTTATTGCTGCACCCTCTTTGCCTTCTACCATGACTGAAAGCTCCCTGAGTCTTCCCCAGAAATGGAGTAGAAGCCTCTATGCTTCCTGTACAGCCTGCAGAACCGTGAGCCAATTAGACTTCTTTTCTTTGTAAATTACCCAGTCTCACGTATTTCTGTATGGCAGTATGAGAACAGACTAATACAGCAAGTGAACACACTTCTCATTACTGCATTGCCCAAGTACACTGCTGAGGAAGAGAGACACATGTTTCAGCTTGATTGTATTTCTTTGTAGTAGTAAAAACAGAAAGAGTAATTATGACAGTAATTATTATTTTGATCTGTTACCAGAAAAAGTCAAAAACTGGTACTTCAGGTTATTATGGGTTCAACTTTAGGCTCTATAATTTATACATGGGTATTATATCACAGAATTGAAATAAAGTAACATCACAATGGAATTTATATATTCCAATCTAAACTAGAAAACAGCTGGGCACAGTGGCTCACACTTGTAATCCCCAAGCTTTGGGGGAGGTTAAGGCGGGAGGATCACTTGAGCCCAGGAGTTCAAGACCACCCTAGGAAACACTGTGAAACGCTGCCTCTACAAAAAATACAAAAAATTAGCCGGGCATAGTGGTGTGTGCCTGTAGTCTCAACTACTTGGGAGGCTGGGGTAGACAGATCGCTTGAGCCCAGGAGGTCGAGGCTACAGTGAGCCGTGATTGTGTTATGGCACCCCAGCCTAGGCGACAGAGCGAGACCCTGCCTCAAACAACTAGAAAACATATCCCTAAGTAATCAAGCCTATATGTCTTTTAAAAGTATCTAGTTATGATTAATTGTTCCCAGATTAGCCAAAAAGTATAAAACATATTATTGACGTTAACCAGAGATCATTTTTAAGTTTTGAAAATTTGCCTAGTCTTGGAAGACAGCAATAAACTTAACATAAAGGGTCTTAGTTATCTTTCTGTATAAAAGTTAAAGTATAAGGACTCAATATTAAATCCTAAGAAATTACATCCAATATCAAATTCCTATCAGAACCTGCTACTTGGTTACCTGACAAATCTGAATCACTCACTCACGTGTCCACTCTAACTCCAGCCAGCGGCTGGCTCTGACTAGAAACTCAGACACCATAGCAGGTTGGCTGTAATGACTTCCCTGTATTCACGTGCTCTGGTCTTGCCTGCAGGTATTAAATGACTAATCCAGATCCCCAGCACCACATCAAGGTAGGTGACAGAAGATTAACAAGTTCCTAACTGTTCTTTAAGTGTAATTTGTTGCAACGTTCTGAAACTGATTAATATCCCCTCCCCTTCTTGCCCTGAAATGAATCTGGTGGTATTAAATTAAATAAAATAGTTCCAGTTTGTCCATAAGGAGGGTAGTATGGCTGCATATTCTAAAAAATGTGACGTGGGGACACACTTCCACCTGTGGGACCCTCCCCCCACCCCCAAATTGTCTGAAGAGGAGTTAAGCTAGTGGTTTAAAGGAAAAGGAAGCAAAAAAGGGCGAGGGGGAGAGAGAGAGGAGGCCGGTGGGGGGAGAGAGAGAGAGAGGAGGCCGGTGGGGGGAGAGAGAGAGAGAGGAGGCCGGTGGGGGGAGAGAGAGAGAGAGGAGGCCGGTGGGGGGAGAGAGAGAGAGAGGAGGCCGGTGGGGAGAGGAAGGGAGAGAGAAAGAGAAACCAAACAATCCAGATATGGCTATGTGAAAAAAATCTTTTCCAACTGTGGGCTATAAACATTTGGAGAAATATATTCCAATTTTAAAGAGTAAAGTACGACACATGCTGGCTGGTTGTAATATGAAGCTTTCTTTTGAGAGGGAGATTATTTGTTTTGTTCTGTAAAGCACAGGTGAGTCAATGTTCAGTTTAAAACATGTGATTTCTTTGCCTAATCAAGGACAAATCTGGCCTTCTGTATAAATTAAATCCAATGTATCTTTGCATTTTCCACATTTTTAAGACAAAGATCCATATTTTTTATTTGAAAGGCTCATTAATTACAGGCAACACTGCAATTACTATAACAATCACTCACAGCGTCAACAACCACCAAAGAGCTGCGCGGAGGGAACTGAGAGGTGAAGAAAGCTATCCAGGGCCGCTAATCAGCCTGAGATCCCAGACGGCTTGTTTCTAAAGCTGGTGTCAAACATTTACTCAGCTCTGCTCTGTGTCGGGCAAAGGCAGGCTTGGGGTAGGAGCACCCACATCAGGACCACTCGGGTTTCTTTTAAGCCTGTGCTCAGGTTCCCGCTGGAGCCCAGTACACGTGACTGAGCACGAAGGCTGTTAATCATTTCCTTTGCTGCCTGAATAGAGGCGAGCAATTACTCCAAACTCCTGCCTTATGTCTGGGGCGCATTATTAAATAAACTTTGATCAACATGAATTCTATTCCATACTTTGCAAGAAAAATGCTATAGTTGGGTGACTAGAAAGCATCACATTTTCAGGAATTTTCCCAAGTAACCTGACTAGTTTTCTTTTCTAATTACTCTTGCCCTCAACAGTCTGGTAGATGACATTTGAGATAGCACAGCATATTCTGTCCTTGACACTGCTTGACAGCACAAAGAAATCTGGCACTTTGCAATGAATTATTAATGTGCACAAATATTGTAGCATGTATGAGATAGAGACCAGCAAAAGGTGAAGTGCTAGTTGCCATGACACCAGTCAGTTCAAGCTAAGGTTCATAATCTTTAACTTTGTCTCAAAGAGTCGTCAGAAGAACATAAAGGGCAAATCTGAAACACACAGCCAAACGGCTTTGGTATAGATTAATGCCTGTGACGCATGGGTGGATCTGAGAGGGCAGCACAGATAATTTGCTGACCAATAGGACTGCTGTGTTACATCAAGTATAAGGATGGATAGATCAGGAGTTATCATCTAGTAAAGGGGTCTCTAAATGCAGTACATGTGCTCAGTCTCCAGAGTGAGCTGGTGCCCATGCTGGTTGGCAAGGTTTGCTAGATGCTAAATGTAAGTCAGAGAATTGCACTCTATTGCAGTGTCCTCTTTACTGTCTAAAAAACAGAAGAGGACATCAAGTTCTTCAGCAGGAAAATATGGTTGACTCTTGATCTAGGGGGTCTCAAAGTCAGTAACCAATATATGAAACAGGAAGTTTACAGAATTTAGAGTTGGAAGGGGCCTAGGGATTTTCTTATTTGCAAAAGAGAAAACTTTTAATAACTGACTTTGGCTATTAAATGTAGAGCTAGAACTTTGACTACCATGATTAATTTGATCACAAGATTCCAATACCATATTCTGCTACCAGCTGACAGGGTTGCTGTGTGATTAAAAAAAAAAAGGGAAGGACATTCAAATGGACACTGACATTCCTATGAAACATGCTTAACAAGTCTAATATCTCCTTAGCTCCTCAGGGTTCCTCTTCAAAGCACTGGGCACTTTGAAAGATAACTGTAAAGGTCACATTTGTAATATAAGCAAGAACTTCTTAAACAGACATGTAAGTAACTGCACATAGACGTGACATGTCATAGCTCGAGAAATCTTTTAAAGTAAAGTTTACGCCAAATTAACTTCCAACAGCTCCGACTCTCCAGACCATTCTTGGTACTCTTAATGACAGACTGTGCAGCCCAAAGCCTGCAGCTGCAGTGTCAGGACAAATTAGCCTAAAGTGGAACAAAAGTCAATGTGAAGAAATGTGGTATCCGGCAAGGTCTGACTTTTGAAATTCTGAGATTGATGACATTTTAAAGGTGTAGGTACAACAGAATGTGTTTTCCATATTTGTAAGCAATTCTAGGTTCCTGAGCACTGAGAGAAAAGCAAAGTTAATTTCTCACCGTAGGAGAAGGCCTTATTATTTTTGTGCACATACACGACTGTCCTGTGATCAAGAAAAGGCATCTTTTAAAAGAATCGTTTTGAAATGTTTATCTCTTATTTGAAATCCAAGAAAGAGTAGACATTCATTTCCAAACAGGACCATAAATCATATAACGCTGGGAGAAAGGTCAACACCACCAGCACAGCACAGTTTTCTCACATATGCTTAAGGATTTTCAGAATCTCCAAATAATAGCATGATGTAAACTTTGAATAAAAAAGAACACCATCAAGACTCCACTGAACAAAGAACGTCTGACTGGAAATGCTTACGGCACCCTTCACATGGTTGGGCAACTTTCCTCTACTGTTCCACCCCTTCTGCCTGTGCAGCTGCCAGAGTTAACTTATCTTTATCAGAATCACAAAGGAACACTCTCCTGCTTATTTACAAGGCTAAAATGACATCTGGTGGCGCTCTTCTCTGAGAACTCAGTCACTGTTCCTGGAAAATGATGCAAAAGCACAAACTTTTGCAGGGCAACTGTAGGAGTATTCTTGTGCGTGTGTGTTAAGTACTAACTGCTGATGTTGCTCAAATGTTCCGCTAGTCCCTGTAGCCTCACAATGTTTTATTCATTGTCCTGTGATCAATTCAAAAAAGCCATCTTTTATAAGAATGGTTTTGAAGTGTTTATCTTTTATTTGAACATCCAAGAAAGAGTAGACATTGACTTCCACAGGGGACCATACCTCCTATAATGCCTGAAGGTGCTTAAAATATAGTGAACTGTGTTAAAGTTAATAGGATACATCATTAGTGTGTTAAAAAATGTAAAATGGTGACATACTATCAGCTCACCTGGGTAAGGAAAATATGGCTAAAGTACCTCTAAAGGTATCTACTTATTAAGTATACTGACCAAACTTTAGACATTTTACTTCGACCACAGAAAGTATTATTTGAAAAAAAAATCTTCATTACAAAATTACATATTTAATTAGGAAGTAAAACCTAAATCTGTATTTACTAGCAATGCCAACTTTAAATATTCTAGTTGCAGCTGACAACAGAAATTCTAACATGCATATGTTGTTGCATAATAGCCTCTTTTTCCTAGTTGGGTATGTTTGTAGAGACAGAAAGGTCCCCTGACCAATTGTGCAATAGAGCCCCAAGATACTTAAGCCTGGAACTACTCTCTCAGACTTAACAAAATGTTCATCTTAATTTCTATCAGATTGGGACAAAACATTCACTCTTTAGATAATAGAGGAGAGACTAAAGAACATGTCATAATAGTCAAATTTGTGCCAATGTTAAATCTATCCCTTTAAAAACATGTATTATTGTGAGGCCGCAGGGATTAGTGCAACATTTGAACAGAATCAGCAGTTAGTACTTAACACACATGCACAAGAATACTCCTACAGTTGCCCTGCAACCAAGAAGCTAATAAAAGAGCCAGGCTTTTCAAATGAACACCTCGATGATGACACCATTAGTTATTCAGCAAAAATAAATGCTTCATTAACTTGTCTTCCCACTGTTAAAGGATAGGATGAATTTACCTCAAGGCAGCAACTCAGATATTAACGTTCCCTTACATTTTAGAGCTCACTATGCAGAAATACCAGAAATAAGGTGACTTAAAACTCAATTTGTCTGTAAAATACACTGGCCTTTGGAATCCAGAAACCCACTTGGTCCTGACTGCCAATTACTTGACCTTCCTTTTGTTACTTGACCTCTCTGGATCTTGACTAAACTCATTTGTGAGACAAGAGGAGATGTCCAAAGTTTTTTCATCTCAAATATGTTACGATTTAGATTCAACAATTATTTTTCCAATTCCTACCACACACCCCGAATACTGAGGTCACGCTGAGGTATTATTTGCCTAAGACTCTCGTAAATGACTCAATAAGGGATCAACTCCATTAGTGCAGTGGCCAGCATTGAGTGATCAGCAAAAATATCTCATTGAGTATTTCTATGATGTCACGGCTGTGCCTTTTAACATAATGTAACTTGAATGTATGCCTCTTATCTATTAAAAAAATTACAAATTATTTGAAACAATCATCCTTCTTCCGTTTTACTTGAGTCCATGGAGGCTCAATGTGTTAAACAATGAATGCTGAACAGTGTTTCTGAAATGCTGTTTTCCCTCATCTTTCCCCTGCCGGGCCCTAGATGATCAAACGAGTGTTTGATGATCTCCTTCAGCCTCAGGCCCCTCCCCCTATTTAATAACTCTTTATGGAATAATGAAAATAACCCACAAAATTGCAGCCAAATAGCTTGCCAAACAACAGGCTGTCATTGATCTCTTTGCTTTGCCCCAAACTCAAACTGCTTCTCAGAAATTGTAATAAAGACAGATCTTCCAAAGGGCAGAGGCTTCGGTTCTGCTCTAGTGACCAGTAACTACTTCCATGACGCATAAACACATGCATGCGAGCTTAGCCACTGCTCCGGCCATCTGCAGTGGCAGACTTCTTAGCCCCTGTTCCAACAGCACAGCTCTCAATGTCCCCATCATCAACCCCTGTAATTCCTAAGTGTAAATAGTTCAAATTCTTCCCTGCTTTCTAGTTTGCTTACTGTGAAATCTTTAAAAAGTTAAAATCTTTACATAAATGAAGGGTAAATATATTCAAGAGATTACACCTGAAAACTTATTCTGTTTTTAAACATGCACTGTTAGAACTTAGAATTCACTCAACACATATGAGGGTCTATGAGGTACCTACATTGGGATAGGCATTGTTAAAAAACAAAAATAAGTATTTGTGAACCTCTTAAAGGATTTTAAAGATTGCAGATGGCAACTTTCCTATAAATCAGTGGTTTGGTACATTAGAATCACCTGGGAAGCTTTTCCTCCTGGTGTTCAGGTCACCTCTCAGACCAATTATACCAGAATCTCCAATGGGAGAATCAGGCATCAGGAGGCAACGTCCCTCAGGTGGTTCCCATTTGTAGCTGAGTTTGGGAACCAGTGCTCTAGAACAGCGTTTCTCAATCTCAGCACCATTACATTTGGGGCTGGGTAATTTTAAGCCATAGGATTGCCCTATGCATGGAAGGATGTTGAAGCAGCATCCCTGACCTCTCTCCACTAGATGCCAGCAGCAGCTCCACCAGTCTGACAAGAAAAATGTCTCCAGATGTTACCAATGTTTCCTGGGGGCAAAATCACCCACATGAGAACTACTCACTAGAAAGAACATGTACATTAGGAAAGGAAGTCCCGTATACTCCAGTGATGATTGTCCCTTAAGTTTTCATTCTCATATTGTAATGACATTTTCCAGGTTTGGAATATATTTGGGGCTGGAAATTGAAAAAAAAAAAAAAAAAGGCAACAACTTAAATATGGACTCAAAACTTCATCACTTTTAGTTTCTATACTTCAAACCACCACTCCACCATGAAATTAAGAAGTACCTTTGAAGGACAATAATACTGATCCAACAAGTCTGATATATTCTAGCTACCTCACAGAGGAACAATATTGAAATGTCATAGAAGATGACACCAATCACTTACCAATCACAACTCTGGTTAAACCACCGAAAATATCATTACTAAATTATGAGAACTGAAAAAAGAAAACTTCCTTTTAAGGACAACAAATATACATGAGACACCATTCCTTCCATTATCCAGCAATGCCACACAGTTCTTCACTGGCCGGCCCTGACTTTCTGCTGTGGTGCTTAGGGCTGTGAAAACTCCACCCTGGGCAGAGCAACCATTCAGACACTGGACCTGAATCAAAATTTAAAAAATAAACCTAGATCAGAGTGGGCCCCAGAGTGCGTGGTCTGACATCTTCCTAGGTACAAGATTCCTAAAGGGCTGGTTAGCTCAGGAAAAAAAAAGTGTGTGTATGTGGGTAAGGGGGAGATGGAATATTGAAAAAGTGGGAAGAGTAGTTCCTCTTCAAACTTTGGCGCACATGCGTGTAGGAATCACCTGGGCTCTGAATCAAATGCAGACTCAGATTCAGTAGTTAGGTGGTGCTGCTGTGGCTGCTCGGGACTACAAGCCGAGAAGAAGGTTCTAGAGTGAGCCTGAGCAATCTGTCTACTCCCAACCTCACGTGGCTTCAGATCAACTCTCCTAAGAGTTCAGTGAAACAGGCAATATAATTGATCCTCTTTCTGTTCCCAGTGCCTCCTACCCCTAGCATTTATCAGGTAAAGCCTGGTTCAAATCAATGCCAAGAGCCCCTAGTGCAAGAGCCCCTAGTATGAATGACCATGGGACTTTGTGGACTGACTCTATGTCTATTTACCTTGGATCCATTTTTAGCACTAGCAAGCCACCCAATCCCATTAGAACAAAGTTTGTAAAGAAGAAACCTAAAAGACTTCAAATCCTTCCCTCTGCATCCACAGAGGCTTTGAAGGCTTAGCTTTCAAGACAGGGACTGTAGACTCCGTCAGCCTTGGCACTTACCTCACTGGCTTTCCAACTTTACCTTGGACAAGTGAACCATAGAGGCTTTTATACTATGGTAAGCCTGTGAGAAAACCTCATTTAGGGAATAATTACCCCTTTATAGATCACATGCTTGGACTATAAGTTTGGACACTACCAGTGGCCCAAAGTGCACAATTTTGAAAATCCATGATTAACATTTCAAAGGCAAAGCTTATGAAGCTATCTGGAATTCTGATCCCATAAGAATATTATATAACAGAATAAAGGTTTTACATTTTGTTAGGAGATAAGCTAACAAAATGAACTAAACTAAAACCACACTTAACTGATATTTTGGTACCAATTATTCATAGAACTTTGTTCAGCCAGTCCTTGTAGAAGAGCCCTATCCATTCGTGACTTTTTTTGTGTCTAATTTGTCAATGCTGATATGCAAACTAGGAAGAGAAAGAAGGAAGCTGGGTGACGAAGGATGCACTACACTATTCTCAAGGAAATAATAACTCTCTCCAATACAAGCTATGGAAAAGTACAGAAAAGGCCCAGAAACACGCAAGTTGGGCTTTCGTAATAAAATTCTAGTATAGTATTGGTTCTTCAGGCTTGAATTTTACATGCTTGTCTAATCTACAGAGCAAGCTTCCTGGGGATATTAAGCTAGGGTTAATCAGTTACTGCTAAACTAACCATGCTAATAAAAAATCAACATTTGAAGATTAATTCTTACACTACACCACAGGGCAAAACTCCTAAGTGACTCATAGGAAAATCTACCTACTGTACCAGGAGCTTTGAACTTGTAGCCCACAGCTAAGTATTTGTACAGGCTCTAACCTGGAAGCCTAGGCTGAGGGTTTGGGTCCTAGTTTCTTCCTTCCCTGGCAGTGACCTTAGGGAAGTCCCTTCACCTCTCTGGGTTTGTTTCCTCATCCATAAACATGAGGATAGTGGCTCTATTTAATTCAGAGTTGCTGTGAGGCTCAAATGAGAAAAGTGTTTATGAAAAGGCTTTGTAAATTTAAGTGCTATATAAAAATTTAGTACACAAGGCTCATTAAGCATGTATTTATAGACTATTTTTGTTATAAGTGCTATCTATTTTTGGTTAGGTTGTTTCCTTAAGTTCCTGCAAGTCCTGGTTCTTACTATGTATGGCTCCTAGTCCTCCCTGCCCTCCACGCAGACCATATTCTGGTTAAAACACAGTATCTGACCTAAGAAAAGAAGTCGCAAAAACACTGCTAAGCAGTTGCTTCAGCTGCCTAGTCCCTTTCATCCCAAGTCCTAGATGACGCTGGAAAACAACGAAACTTTCCAACACCACCACCTTTCTAATCCTTCTTTTATCAGTCCCATTTTACTATAGGCAAAAAACGACTGTTATAAGTAAAAATCGCAACACTTAAAGAGTCCAGCAAACATAATAAAAATACAATATGAAATCATTTAGAAGTAATTCATTACACCTTATGCTTCTCTTTCCCAAGAGACTGCAGGACTAGCCCATGTAAAAAACCCTTAAGAAATCAGTAGGGGGCAGTATGTTAATTACAACTTAAGGTGGGAAAATTCAGGCTTTGAATTTTAAGTTTCACTTGTCCTCAAAATACCCATGTGTTTACATAAGTACCACTTATGTTATTTTGAGCCCTATTGTTTAGGCTAACACTAAGAAGCTGCACCATGTTAATATTCAAAAATTCCAGTACTAAACTATTTGAAGGAAA
This sequence comes from Homo sapiens, assembly GCF_000001405.40. Taxonomy (NCBI): domain Eukaryota; kingdom Metazoa; phylum Chordata; class Mammalia; order Primates; family Hominidae; genus Homo; species Homo sapiens. Next base: position 73,306,794 of record NC_000008.11, on the reverse strand, counting down.
GGCAAGAAATTCACATTTTATGCAAGCAGCATGTAAGAAACACTTGTGGTTTTTTCCAAACCAAAAAATACAATGCTAACACCACTGCCACTTTCACACATCTTTGTGTGATCTTTGAAAGTTTCACAGACCAAGTAATGTTTTGTTTCCAAATGTGAATTCATTGTAAGTGGCTTGTCATTGTAAGGGGCTAATTTGACAGCACTCAAGGTTGCGGCAGTAATTGCCCTTACTTGTTAAATATTCTAGCAGCATTTGCTGCAGTGTTGAAAGTTTTATGAAGATTATAAGAGGATATTCATTTTTTCCCCCTGTGGCTCACTTCATTTCAGTTTCAGAGCATTTAGGAAAATGGTCCCTGACAGGTGTGAACCTGAGTTTTAAGAGAATTGACAAATAAAGTAAAAAAGAAGAAAAAAAATTCAAGAATGAAATACACTGGGGAAGCTCTTCAAGTAAAAAATGTTAGCATTCCTTCAGACCACATGAAAAGGTTTGCGTCCCCTCGCATCCACTCCAGTGTGGGGATGGCATAGGCCTGTATAAACCCAGGGATGCAGGTGACTGGAACTGGCCAGCCAGGTATGTCAAGGCAAATGAATCCCAAGGCCATGCTCTGTCAGCCTAGGCTCTGAACAATGGTATCTTAACAGAATGATAATTCACAATACAGGGAACCTTCTGAAGGCTACCTATTATGGGGACCAGCTGTATGCTTTAGAAAAAATCAGAAACCCCCATCTTCTGAGTTATTTTCCAATTATGTCTATATGGGGTCTCAGCCTAAAGGAGCTTCTAGGTCAGTTGATAGAATCTAGAAGTGTTAGTTCTTTGAATAGCTAACTACTATACCAACTTCTGATAAGAAAGATTAACATATTTTAATCTGATCTCTGGAGTTACAGGCTCAAAATATTGAACTTAACCCATTCAGCTGAGGCAGGAAATAGTTCTCTATTTCTTAAGGACTATTAGATTTTGTCATACTCCAAAGATTAGTTACAAAAGACCCTTTCTCTCAGGAAAATACTGGTTCTATGTGCAGGAAATAAGATACAAATCCACCCTGCCAGTACACCCCCTAGTGGAACTTCAGCATAGTACAGTTTGGGGGTCCAAAAACATCCTGGGTATTTAGGACTTTCTTTCCCAGGTCCAGTGGCTGTAACTGCACCATAATCATGTCTTCTACTTATTACTGAGCATAGAAAAACAAGCAAGCAAACAAACATAGCATGTCATCTGCACATTTATCCATATAGGCAGACATCTGGATTAGACACATGCAAATAGACTACTTACCATAATTGAAAGAGGCTTAATTTTAGTTTCTGAAAGAACTAAAGCAGAAATTTTAGATGAATTTGCTATTAATATTTCTCAACTCAAGACAAAACTTAAATGTAAAGGGGTTTCCTACTTAAAATTCATCTAACTCTCAGGTGAGGCTATTAAATTTTCTCAGATTGTCATGGGTTAGATATATTCAAGTTACTAAAACCGATTCATTAGAATTTCCCAAAGATCTCAAAAATCTGAAGCATGATCAGAGTAAAAACAAATGTAGGAGAAGAGAATAAGTGGAGTGTGAGCAGTTAAGTATTAAACTACAGGGTTTGTAGTGACCCAATCCTGCAATGAATGGCTAAGGGCTCTGCCGGGGCACTCTGCATTCAGTCTTTTTGAGAAAGCTATTCAGTCAGTGTTAGCATTAGCACAGGCTACACAATGCTTCCACTTTGACATATCCTATAGATTGATTTTATTTGGGCAGAAAATGGATAAAGCCTGGGATGTAGAAATAATGAGGCAGAAAAGAACAAATACCAACTTTGCTTCCTTCCAGGAATTGAGATAAATAACACAACTCACTCCATGATCAAACAAGAAAGGGCCATTCCTTGAGCCAAGAATTTCATGACTATTTTACAGGGACTGCCATCTTAACATATAAAGATATTATTAAGTGAACATGAAAATGTTTTGAACTTGTTTTTCTTTCTCAGGAATAGTGACGGATTTTTTTCTGAACTATTCAACTTCTGTTGTCTTCAAGTAAAACAGGACTCAAATGGCAGAACAGCCAAGCAGAGGCTCTTGTGTGAAGCATAAGTGTGTGCAAGGCTCTCTCCAGGCACAGTGAGGAGTCCAGCCCATCTGAAGTTTACAGTAGATGAGGGGATAAATAGGTGCTGACCTGGAAAAGCAGGTGGAAATCAGCTTTGGAAGGCCCAGGATGCCATGCTAATGAGCCTGGACTTCACGCTGTGAGCAATATGGTCATACAAGTGTTTTAAGCAGGCAGATAACAAACTCAAGGCTGCTTAGATGACCCTAGGTTGGAAAGCCAAAAGCGAATACAGGAAAAGAAGATCAGAGGCACTTTCAAGAGTCCAGGCAAGAGGTGATGGAGGCACACAGGATGAAGTAGGAAAGGAAAGGGGCGATCAATCAAAGCACAGGGGCACAAGCAAATAGTCAGGATTTGGGGACCCATGAATGTACGCAGGCTGGAGAGGTGAAGATAATGCTGATGTTTCTAAGCCTGGTGACCAGGGAATGCAAGAAGGAGCAAAGAGGAGTTTGTTCAGTTTTGTGACATGCTGCTTTAAGAGAATGTGTGGCGCAGTCAAGGTAGTTGAAGGCAGACAGAGAAGCACGACAAAGTGGGCTTATCATGGAAGCTAAAGCACTTGAGTTTCAAGGAGACGGTCAAGAGGGTCACATTCTGTAGAAAGATGAAGCTGCACACTGGATTTGGCAATGAGGGGAGCATTGCTGTTTTTTTCATTTAGGTTAGAAATTATGACATTGGTTATTTAGCAGTTATTTTTTAAACAACTGAGAAAAACAGACACAGATTAGAACATATTGAAGATGTTGGAGAACTTTTTATCTGATGCAGCGTCTGGTTCCCTATTCACACCAGCTATGTAAAGTGATATTTTATCATGTCATAGATTTTGATTTCTAGTAGCAACAGATTTGGGCCCAGCATGTAATGTATCAAATACAGAAACTCAAAGTTCAATGAGCATGTGATCCTATTTGGTGTATATAGGTATTCAGTCCCAGGTACCAAGCAGTTCCTATCAAAAGAGATGTTTTACTCAGTTTTCAACTGTGACTACAAGAATAAGATAAAATTGACCCCAGGTCAATTTACAACTCTGTTTAAGACATTGAAAGTACTTCTAAAGTTCAAACATTTTTATACATATGACATATATTTAATAACAGAAACCAGTTCTACTGGAGACTTCTAAAAATAGGCCATGAATTCCAAGTGTTTAGTAGCTATCTTAAGATAGGAAATCAATATTCTCTATAAACTAATTAGTCTTACAGTTATTATGGTAAGGAGAAATACTGGCCAAATATTTTTATGAATACTTTAGAAATGATTTTTGAAATTCTAAATGTAAGAAACCTTGAACAAAACTAGTTTCTGTAACCAGAGAACACAGGAATGCAGTATGTGAGATTAAAAACCAGTAAATCACATAAGAACCTAAACATTAATGATTAGGGACCATTTATGAGATATTAGGTACAACTGCAGCACTAATGTCTTTAAGTGCTACATTACTCAGATCTAGCTGGTGGGCTTTTACTTTTCCTGGATAGATTTTAACTAAATAGACTTTAGACATTTGGATATAGATAAATGCTTAATTCAGTAATTAGTATTTTAAAACTGTGAAACCTTTTAAGTTAAGTGGTCTATTAATTAACTACCAATTATCTTGTCTGACTACCATATCAATAGAAGTAAATTACCTACTAGCTATTTGACAGATTTAGTCCTTTACCATGCAAAAATTCTTCAGAATATAAAAGGCCTGGAGTTAAATGCTTTTGCTTCCCCCTTTTGGTTAATCAGGGATCAATTTGCTGCTCACGTATAAAGGCCAAATGCAGCTCTTCGGTTAAAAAGGATCTACAGATAAACTTTGGCTTTTAGAAATAGCAAGCTAAGATTCTACTTCTCTTAAAAAATAACAAGTAAAGCAATGTTAGTACTTTGAGGAAAACATGGGTTTGCATGGAGACCAACTTTCCATATTTCAAAGTAGAATACAGAGAGATATTTTTCTTTTCCTTTTTTTGAGACAGAGTCTGGCTCTCGTCACCCAAGCTGGAGTGCAGTGTTGCGATCTCAGCTCATTGCAGTCTACAACCCCTGGGCTCAAGCCAGCCTCCTGCCTCAGCCTCCTGAGGAGCTGGGACTACAGGCACGTGCCACCACGCCCAGCTAATTTTTGTATTTTGGTAGAGACAGGGTTTCGCCATGTTGCCAACGCTGGTCTTGAACTCCTGGGTTCAAGCAATCCACCCTCCTCGGCCTCCCAAAGTGTTGGGATTACAGGCTTGAGTCACTGCACCCCGCCCAAGAGAGGTATCTTTCAAGTTTTTACATCTCACCCAGATACAAACAGCCCACATGAATAATTTCTATGCTAGTGTTAAAGTGCATGATAGTGCATTCATTTTCCATGGTCTTGTACTGGGTGTTTCACAGTAGATTATGCTGACTAGAACCTACCCCAAATCTATCACTAAGTCTTGACTGGTGACCAGGAGAAGGTTCCTAGGAGAGCTACTGGTGATGGAACAACATTGGAAGATGAAGCGTCACAGCAGACTGGAAGGCTGTACAGAATTATGCCAGGCTGAGGAAAGGCTTCCAAAGGGTACAGAAATGGTACATGGTTAAGAGGGAAGGAAAGAATTGCCAAGGGGGTCCTCTTTTTGAGGACTGATCATTGGTAAATATGAATGGCTGTTACACATTCATTGTGAGCTTCATTCAAACTGGCATACCAACACCAGCCTTATCAAGTCACTAGCCTCACACCAATGAGCAGAGTTCTAACACAAAATAGTAAAAATCAGAACACATGTGGGACAGGGAGAATGGAAAGTTATGTAGGAAAGCAAAAGAAAATATGAGTGACAACAAGGGTGAGACAGCCCTGGTTTGCAATAATGGTCTTACACAGCTTTAGTCCAACATAATGCTCACCTTTTTCTTTCTTGAGATGGAGTATTGTTCTGTCACCCAGGCTGGAGTGCAGTGGCGCCATGTCTGCTCACTGCAACTTCGGCCTCCCGGGTTCAAACAATTCTCCTGCCTCAGCCTCCTGAGTAGCTGGGATTACAGGCTAGCACCACCACGGCTACTTTTTTTGTATTTTTAGTAGAGACAGGGTTTCTCCATGTTGACCAGGCTGGTCTCGAACTCCTGACATCAAGTGATCCGCCTGCCTTGGCCTTCCAAAGTGCTGGGATTACAGGTGTGAGCCACCGTGCCCAGCCCATAATGCTTACCTTTTAAAACTTCAGAACATAGACCCATGTGAGTATTCTCTGAATAGGTTATCTTCTAAATATTTAAGCCTATTATTATCAAATATTTATTGAGTGACTTAAGAATAGAGTTTTGGCCGGGCGCGGTGGCTCACGCCTGTAATCCCAGCACTTTGGGAGGCCGAGGCGGGCGGATCACGAGGTCAGGAGATCGAGACCATCCTGGCTAACACGGTGAAACCCCGTCTCTACTAAAAATACAAAAAATTAGCCAGGCGTGGTAGCGGGCGCCTGTAGTCCCAGCTACTCGGGAGGCTGAGGCAGGAGAATGGCGTGAACCTGGGAGGCGGAGCTTGCAGTGAGCCGAGATCGCGCCACTGCACTCCAGCCTGGGCGACAGAGCGAGACTCCGTCTCAAAAAAAAAAAAAAAAAAAAAAAAAAGAATAGAGTTTTGTTCCAGGCAAAGGAAAATGAAAGATGTATATAATAAACTGCCTTCAGACAGCTTGCCATCTACTTTGGGAGAATGATAACAAATGCTGTGAGAGATTAATGGAAAGAAAAGAAAAACCTTAGATGAGTCATTTAACCCCAACTTCACTGGAAAACAAAGGGTTGAACAAGAAGGTCTCTGGATTCTTGCAACTCTAATATCCAAAAATGCCAGAAGTGCTGCAGTGGGAAGGAAAGGTTATATTGAAACTTGAGCTACACCTTAAAAGACACGTGGAATGGAGGAAGAGGGTGTTTCAGGTAGAGGGAATAGCATGTGGACTGGTTTGGGAGTGCCCACAGCTTTTCAGTGGAAGTCCACATGGTTTTCTATTTCACTCACTTTTGCTCTGAGTCAGGATCAACATACTACTTGTTGAAATACAGGTATTAACTGCTGAAAACAGATATTAACGGTTACTTAAATGTCTGGTTCAGGATGATCTGTTCAAATGACTGAACAGTTCTTTGCTCAGCTGATGGACTTTTAAAAATGTATGGGGTAACTTCTTTTCCATACCCAGATACAGTAAAAAGACACACTCATTATTTTTTCTAGAAGGAAAACAGCACATGCCAACGTCAACACATCTTTGAAAAGTTGCCACCAACGCTTCGCATAAGAGGACTACTGGAAGGGAAGCTGAATTCAGGTGGCTCTTGTGACACTCCTTAACCCCTGTTAAAAAATTCACTGTAAAATCTATACTGAATTTTCCTTTAAATTTTGGTTGCTGAATCAAAACTTCTCAAAAGATTTGTAAATTTCAGCAAGAAGTCAGAAATTCCAACTCTAAAATGAATTTTCTGACTCAATATTGAAAATAAATTCTTAAGTTTAGATGCTTAGGGGAAAAACAGCTGGAGAATTCAGGAGCCTCCCATATTTTAATACAAAGTGACGTCATTACCATCAAGGCTTCCAAGAACTCCTTAAATTGTGTGGTTAAGCAACATCTCAAAGCACAGTGATGACTCTAGGAAGGTGCTATGCTCCTCCCTGGTATACAGATTCAGGTCCAGAATAATTTTTCTATTTAGAGATTTGATTTGACTTCCTCCTTATGTTAAAAAGTAGCCTAATATTAGAAAGACGGTATATCAATTTATGTGCATTTTCAAAGCTAAGGCTATGAATTTTCTGTGCTTTACACACACTAAATTAGCATTCATTTTATCAGATGTCTTCCTGGAGCTGGTTTCTTGTTTTAAGTATTTAACTGCAGATTGTATGGGGTTTCTTAAAAACCTGATTACACTTAAAATTTTACAATTAAGCAAAATAATCATGCAGACAAAGTAGGCAAGATGGCTAAACTTTAGAATACCTGGTGTAGGTAAAAGTTTAGTTATGTAGTCTTGCATCATCTTAGTCAAAGGTTACGGGAGAAAACAATCCCAGTCAGTATCTGCGGTTCATAATGAACCTACTGATAGTGCTGTAACTGTTTAGGGCTGACTTAAATCAACTGCAGTTTTTACGGCAGCTTCATCTTTACCATTCTTCAAATATGAAAATGACACTTCGCCTCCCACTTATGTATGTCTTTTATTTCAAATGGTAGTTGTTTTACTCAGGATTAGTCATAAACACACAAGATTCTTGATAAATTCTATGTCAAGTTTATTTGGTTGGACTGCCTTTTATTCATCTAACCACCCCTTTGACACCTGCTGCCTGTTCCTGGGGACCCAGCCACAGCAAGGACTTTAATTCAGTTCCCCACCCCCACTGAACACAACACACACCTACAGGCAAGCTGAAGTTGCCCAAACTGTATTTGGTGATTTCCTTACTTGTTTAAAACATATATAAGCTCAGGTCATTTATATATTCATTTCTAGAGGTTTGTAAATGAATTAAATAAAGTTCATGTTGGCCGGGTGCAGTGGTTTACACCTGTAACCCTAGCACTTTGGGACACTGAGGCGGGCGGATCACCTGAGGTCAGGAGTTCGAGACCAGCCTGATCAACATGGTGCAACCCCGCCTCTACTAAAAATACAAAATTAGCCGGGCGTGGTGGTGCATGCCTGCAATCCCAGCTACTTGGGAGACTGAGACAGGAGAATTGCTTGAACCTGGGAGGTGGAGGTTGCAGTGAGCTGAGATCACGCCATTGTACTCCAGCCTGGGCAACAAGACCAAAATTCCATCTCAAAATAAATAAACAGGCCAGGTGCGGTGGCTCACGCCAGCACTTTGGGGGCTGAGGTGGGTGGACTGCCTGAGCTCAGGAGTTCGCAACCAGCCTGGGCAACACCATGAAACCCCATCTCTACTAAAATACAAAAAATTAGCCAGGTGTGGCAGCATGTGCCTGTAGTCCCAGCTACTCAAGAGGCTGAGGCAGGAAAATTGCTTGAACTTGGGAGGCAGAGGTTGCAGTGAGCCAAGATCGCGCCACTGCATTCAGCCTGGGTGACAGAGTGAGACTCCATCTCGAAAAATAAATAAATAAATAAATAAATAAAGTTCATATTTAAAAATAAAACATTAAAATAAGCTTCCTCCAAGAGCAGAGAAAAGGTTTGATGCTTGAGGTGCAACATTTGAATAAGTACTTTTAATGCCAGATTAAGTTTTTAAGCAGTTGCTAAAAAATTAATGAGGTTTAATGTGACCTATTTAGGAGAAACAGTTCTTTGTTGTGTTCTATTAGAAGGCTAATCCGCCTATGGAAAAAAAAAGTAGAATCCTATTTCTTTACTCCTTCTTTATTGAATCGTATCTGTCTACAAAAGGAAAGGGAAAATACTGTGAGGAAAAAGAGCATAAAGTGGGTCAGCAGTGTGCAGTTATAGGGGACAGAGTCACACCTACCTTTACTGAAGACAACTTGAGATGAAAAACTGGGGTTACTTTTGCCCCTAGAGCAGCAGAAGGCCCTGCTCCCCTCCGTAGATCATGACATTGTTTAATGGTTAGAAGCGGACATTGTTTAAATCCCCAGCTTACCAGGTTTCACCACCTCGCCTCCCTCTCTAGGGTCCTATTAGGGTGATATTTGCGAGGCACTGTCTAACCCGAGAGAGTCCCGAAGCGTCCTGCAACAGGAAGATGCCCTGGACCCAATGGATGGTCAGGAGATGCGAAGTAACTGCCAGGGTGGCCTGGGCACTCCCAACAGACCACAAATGTTGATTTCAGAATCTTTGGCACTTTCCAAAATGTGGCTGAGCAGTAATTTGGAAGCCTAAATCCTGACTTTAGAAATTCATAAGAACAACCAATGTTTTATAAACTCAACAGAAAGTAAAATAAACAAACCCAGGGTTTTACGCTCCTTCGTGTTATTTTTATGGCAATCTTTCAAACTAGTTCAAAATGTTCAATCCTCTGCCCTCTCAAAAATACTGAGTTAGGGGTGGCGGGGGGGTGGGCGGGGACAAAACGACTAACAGTAACCAGCATACACTGCAGTTTACCATAGGGAAGAGCTAAGGAGACCTTGTGGCGAAAGAGTACAGGTTGCTTTCAGGCTGGCACTGAAGTCTCTCCCCTTCCCAACCTTCTCATTAAGGAGGGCCCAGCAAAGAAAACAAGGATGTTTATATTTACCCAGAAGTGTGCATGGCAATTGACCATCATGGTTCTCTCAATGAGCTCATCAGGACATTCCAGAAGGTGATGCCCAGAGACCACACCAGCATTATTGACCAGGACTGAGACTTCGCCAACCTCCTTGCGGACTCTTTCAGCCGTCAGGTAGACGTTCTCCCTCTTCCCCACGTCACAGGTGTAGGTAAAAACCTGCAAGTTACAGTGGGGCAGAATTTCTTCCTCACCATTCCCAGCTGTCCTCAGAAGTCCAGATGAGGAGAAAACATGCAAAAGAGAAGGAAGTGCAGAAAGTGAGTCACATGGCGATCAGTAGGACAAAGATCACACAAAACAAAAATACTACAGTGAGCTTCAAATTTCTAACGCTGCAAGGCTTGCCAACGACTGAGCTTTACAGCTGCCTTCCTCCCATGAAGTCTTTGGGAATTACAGCAATTTACTGGATAACTTTGCTTAGGGGAAAGTCATGTAATTGTGACAAGCCCAATACAAGTAGACCACATGGGATCAGCTTGCTGGAGCTAAAGACACCTGCAAAGAACTGATCTCAGCCCAGAGCTCAGAGAACAACACACACACACTACACACTCCTCTTTTTTTGGGGAAACAGTGGCCCAAGAGAAACAGCTCTTAGTCTTTAGTATGAGAACCCTCAAAATGGAAACTCACTTCAAGGCTCACAAATCAAAACTGCAATTAATAATCTGAACTCATCCAAAGCCAAGAAATGAATCCACAATTTTTAATGAAGAAATAGGGATCACTGGCTTGTTCTAACTGGGCTGACTCCTCTAAGAAGTACTCTCACAAATCAAGTTACAGGTAAATATGCAATTTTACCGCATAAGAACTTGACAATTTAAAAACCAAAATCGGTATCCTGGAAAATGAATACCCTTATCTTTTAGGTTTCGGCAGGGAGCACAAAAATCTGTATTTGCTACACCTCCATACCACCAATGAAAATGGTACATTTTCACCCTTAAATTAAAAACGCAGGTATCAATAAGTTTGATGATAAATTATCAATACAGGGGAGAAGTGCCCAAGTCAATTTTCTCCGTACAGGTAAATGTTTTCCCTAAAAATGAAAAATTTTGTTAAAAACCAACAGCCATTATCAAATTTCCTGAACCAATATTTATGGTTGGTTATGGACTTTGCTTTGGCTTAAAAAAAAAAACAACTCAGATTCAGGTTAGTTAATAAGTATTCAGAAATGCAGATTTTCTGGGGTGACCAAAAACATGGAAGAAATTTACAACGAAGCCTAAATCCTCCAAGAGCTTTCTCTTAGGAAGCAAGGCGTCTTTCAATCACGCTCAGGGAATGTAACTAAAGCACTTATCGCTGGCGAAACAATGTAATTATGTTCCTCAGGCTAAACTTATAATGAAACCGTCAATACTGCCCTCGTCTAAGGGGTTCAGACCACAGTAAGACAGACACTTCTTCAGTCTAGTCAGAACAACTTCCCAAAGACGCTTCAGTTTCCCATCGCGCCGCTTGTAAGTCGGAGCAAGACATTTCTTTGGGATCCAAACCTGTGGTAACAAGTTCCCTCCGCCTTCCCTACCCCGGAGGGCTTAGGAAACCCGCCCCCTCCCCCCGCCGTGGTCCCCAGAGACCGAACCTCCGCGAGGACAGGGCACCTTCTCCCTGGTAATACAGAAGTGATCGCGTTCCTTTATCAGGAAGCGAATTCCACTCGTCTCCCAAAAGACCGGTGGGGTGTTCCTTTCCTCCACAGCGGGGCTGACCAGGCAGCGGGGTTTGGGGCCTGCCGTGGTAGGGCGCGGGGTGGAAAGAGGCTTGACCCAACAATGCTCCCGCGCGGGTCCAGGTTACCTTGCAGCGCAGCGGCGTCGGCCGCCTCCAGGTCGCGGTAGATGTGGCGCACCATGCCAGCCGTCTCCTCGTTGCTTTGCGTGTTGATGTCCCACAGCACCAGCAGCGCCCGACGCCGGGCGAACTCCAGCGCGAAGAGGCGGCCCAGGCCGCTGCCGGCGCCGGTGATGAGGCACACCTGGCCCGCCACGCTCTTCTCCTTGGGCCGCACCAGCCAGCGCGCCGCGGCCAGCACGAACGCCCAGAGCACTTTGAAAGTGACCACGAAGAACTCCACCACGATGTTCATCGCGACGCCCGGGGCCCCGCACGAGCCCAGTGCCTGCGTCCGCGCCCACCCCGAGCCCGGCAATCGGGCTCCCGGCTCCGGGGCGCTTGTCACAGAGGCCGGGACGAGAAGGCTGCGCCCCGCGCCCGCCCCCGAGGTGCCCGCCGGGTTGGAGTGCGCGGCGCCGCTCCCTGCCTGCGCGGGGCCACTCCCGCCCGGGCTCGGCGCTGTGGCCCCGGACTGTGCCCGCCGCGGCAGTCACCCGGCTCGGCGCCTCCTGCCGGCAGCCGCCCGCCCGTCCCGCAGCGCCCGGCCGGCCGGCTCCGCTGCAGTGGCGGTGACAGCCGCGAGTTAGACTACTCGAACTGCCCTCATGGCCAAGCTGCTGCCGCCCGAGCGTCCCCGGAACCGGCGCGCCGGCTCCCTCTCACCCCGGGGGAGGGGTGCGCAGCGGAGGCGGCACGGGCCAGCGGGCTGCCGCGGGAGTTGTCAACTCGACCCAAGTTGCGAGAGGGTGGGAGAGTGGGGTGCGGGGCGGCGGAGCGCCGGGAAGGGGAGACTCGCTCGGCGCAGGCAAGCGCTGCCCAACGCCTTGCAGCTGCCCCCGAGGGCTCGCGTTCCCCGGCCCTGCACTCTCCGCGGGTGTCACTCGGGCACTGGGCTCCGCAGCGCAGCCCGCTTGCAAGTCAGAGCGCTCCGGGCCGGCTCTGAGCGGGCTCCACGCTCCGCGCTATATAACCCCGCGACCGGGAAGAGCCCGCGCCAGCCTCGGCATCGGCCCTCCCTCCGCCCGGCCTCCCCGCCCCCGGGCGCACCCCGCCCCCGGCCCAGCCCCCAGCCCGCCAGCCGTCCGCGGAGCCGAGCCGGGTAGCCCCTCTCACACGGCCGTGGCCGCAACCTCAGCCCTCCTCGCACCTCCCTTCGCAGCTCACGCCCCCTCCCGTGGGGTGTCCTGGCCTCCGCCTGCCGAGCTCGGCAGTCAGCAGAGCCCCGGCCATCCTCCTCCGGCCGTCCGGTCCCCACTGGTCCCTGGCTAGCCACTTTTCGTAAGCTAGAGCACTCCAGACCGCCCCGCCTGCGATCAGGCGCTGCGGAAGACAGCCCTGTGGGCTGGAGCGACGACAAGGACCTCGCGGAGCGGCGAAAGGGGTGTAGTCTGCGACTACCGCGGCAGGGAGCCGGGAGGGCGGCCAAAAGTGACTTCGAATTGCAGCTAGCCGTTTGGAACGTGGCCCAAGAGGCTCTCATTTTCCTGGCTGGAACCGTCGCCGCGGTGCTTGCCTGCGGTCCTGGTCAGCCGTTGCCCTCCCGCCGGGCGGGCGAAGACTGGTGCATGCTGGGATTTGTAGTTCGTCCCCATGAGGCTCGTCCTGGGAACATTATGGGGAGGAACGGAGCCTAATCCTGTCAGCGCAGCCTGGGGATTAGGACCCGGAGTTGCCAAGGTGTCAGCACTCTTTGCTCTTGAATTGATTAAAAAGTCTAATCAAATGCATATATTTTCTTCAAACAAGTTTTACCCGAAAGTTTGTTGAAAGAGGCTAAATCAGGGAGTTCTTTGCGTCTGCAAGGCGGCTTTTTAGTTCTGGATTCTTTTCCGGCTTATTCTAAGACACCTATGAGTCGTGGGGCTTCTCTCGCGAAGTCTTTAAGTGGACAGTACGCATGCGCCAACTTCCTCTTTTTCCGGCTGGAACCATGGAGGGTGTAGAGTGAGTTGCTTCTGGTCCTCTTGAGAATCCTTCTCCATCTCCAGAGCCAGATACTTTTTGTGTCACTTTTTCTCTCTCTGGCCGTAGCTTGCACCTTTGCCCACCTCCCTGCTTGATTGTGAACGCTGTGTGACACCAGTGGGGACCTGAGGCTAGGGTTGGGATGCGGGCGGTCTTAGGACGGAGGTTTTGGAGATCCCGGGAACGAGATGTCGGGTTGGAATGTGTGTGGAACCCGTCGGTTGGCTGACGGCCCAGTCCTCGGTAGAGGGTCTTTCGGGGGAGGCGCAGAACCTCTGAATTGTGTTCGTCCTTGGCTGGTGCTTGGTACAGGCCTCCCTGCCGCCAGGCCTTTGCTTTCAACATGTGGATCCTGATTGAACCAGAGTGGTGGTGGCTTGTTTTTTTTTTATTTTTATTTTTTAATTTTTGCGCTTAAAGTCTCGGGGTCAGTGCCTTGCAGTAGTCTTTCAGCTAGTACATTTTGTTATTCGGGTGTTGGTGTGTTTTTTTTGTTTTTTTTTTTAATTAGTCGTCGGAGGCCGGGCCTCTTGGTTGAAATAGGGAAAAACGTATTGCTATTGTCATATTTGTGATTGCGTTTTAGGCAACATGGTGTTAAAGGTTATTGACATGGAGCTAAAATATGCATCGTACACTGTAGCATGCCAGAGCAAGTAAAGTTACTAGTGACTAAAGTCAGTGACAGCATTTCTGGTAAACAACACTGCTCAGTACGGGAGTAATACAGCGCTGTGAGCTTTTTGAGCTATTGATAACATTTTTGTTTATTAACGTTAGAGAGAAGAAGAAGGAGGTTCCTGCTGTGCCAGAAACCCTTAAGAAAAAGCGAAGGAATTTCGCAGAGCTGAAGATCAAGCGCCTGAGAAAGAAGTTTGCCCAAAAGATGGTAAGTAAACTTTTTGAGGCACTAGCACATAAGGAGGCGCCTTATTGGGATTGAGGATGAGGTGAATGTTCTTGGCAAGATTTACTTCCTAACTGTACTGAGTAATTGCTTAGCTACCTAATGTTACAATCTGAAGGTAGTGGGGTTTTTTGGTGGGGGATGTAATTGCATACTGTGGCAAGAAAAGATTTAAAGGAAACATGTTGTAGTTTTCTTTTTAATGATTGGCATTGCTAATTGTGATTGAGCTAAAAATTATGAATAACTGATTATTGGTTTTCAGCTTCGAAAGGCAAGGAGGAAGCTTATCTATGAAAAAGCAAAGCACTATCACAAGGAATATAGGCAGATGTACAGAACTGAAATTCGAATGGCGAGGATGGCAAGAAAAGCTGGCAACTTCTATGTACCTGCAGAACCCAAATTGGCGTTTGTCATCAGAATCAGAGGGTAAGTTCAGTTTTACTGCATTCGGGTTTGAATGGGAAAAAAAAAAAAAACCTTCACATTACTTCTGGGAGCCCTGATTCTGAAACACCGGAGTAACAATATTTTAGGGGAAGCTAGAACAAGGAGGGTGCTGATCACTAATGGTTTAGTTGCAAGCCATGTTCCCCAAGCTCCTATCCCTTCTCTTAATAGAATACAGAAATTCAGTGTGTAACATGAGAGGATTCCTATCTGTTTAGGTAGGATTCGATATTCAAAACTATAATGGTTAGTATTAATAAAAATTTCGATGAAAGGCAAATGCATTTCTGGTCCGTTTTCACCACAGTATCAATGGAGTGAGCCCAAAGGTTCGAAAGGTGTTGCAGCTTCTTCGCCTTCGTCAAATCTTCAATGGAACCTTTGTGAAGCTCAACAAGGCTTCGATTAACATGCTGAGGATTGTAGAGCCATATATTGCATGGGGGTAAGTCTCTTTTCTCCTTTGATTTCTATTTGATAAATTGGTTATGTAGCAACATGAATTTTAGATGTTTTAACAGTGGTCACCTTATTTATGTTTGCTTTTTCACTTCAGGTACCCCAATCTGAAGTCAGTAAATGAACTAATCTACAAGCGTGGTTATGGCAAAATCAATAAGAAGCGAATTGCTTTGACAGATAACGCTTTGATTGCTCGATCTCTTGGTAGGTTCTATTTGGGGGAAAATTTGGTATTAGACCATGCGATAATTTCTTACCCTCTTGTGGCCGTACATTTCTCACTATTGTGAATCTTCATGTGTTCCCTATGATTCTTGATTTAGCTTAAAAGAAAACGTAAGACATGGTTTCATTAGCTTGAACCTTATCTTTGTAAAGCCATGCATTTACCTTGTTTATTCCTGGTTATGTTTTCATCTCACAGCCTATTCAAAAAGATTTTGAATAATTATTTCAAAACTTTTTGCAACTTTAATAATCTTAAATAACCTTAAAATATTTAGGTAAATACGGCATCATCTGCATGGAGGATTTGATTCATGAGATCTATACTGTTGGAAAACGCTTCAAAGAGGCAAATAACTTCCTGTGGCCCTTCAAATTGTCTTCTCCACGAGGTGGAATGAAGAAAAAGACCACCCATTTTGTAGAAGGTGGAGATGCTGGCAACAGGGAGGACCAGATCAACAGGCTTATTAGAAGAATGAACTAAGGTGAGAGACCTCATCCTGAGAAAGGTTGAGTTAATGTTAGAGTATAAGTGGTGGTAATCTTGAATACTTTTCCCATTAAATATTGATGGGGGTTTGAATTTTAATCAGTGCTTTTGTGGGGAGTGGGGGTCAACTATCTTAATGATTACAGTTGGTTTGTTTACTGCTTTTGAGGACCTTTCTGGAGGAAAGGAAAAGCCTGTTTTGGGGAGTCTTTAAAGATGGAAATTGGGTGGTCTTAAAAATGTAAACTCAATCATTACTTTATAACTGCCTAGTTTATGTTAATTGTTAGCTGCCTAAAGTGTTTTCTAATGGTTTTCTTTTTTCCTTTCAGGTGTCTACCATGATTATTTTTCTAAGCTGGTTGGTTAATAAACAGTACCTGCTCTCAAATTGAAATATATTGTTGTATTTGTGATTTGTTGTTGTTGTTGTTAGCCTGCCTCTGTCTTCCCTTAACTACTGTGGCAAGTGTGGTGTGTGATAAAATTAAGCCAAATCAACAGCCCATTTCGTGCAAAATCAGGGTCGAGTCTGTGTGAAAGACATCTCTTGGGTTTTTAAAAGGCTTTTCTATACAAAAGATTTTAATTTTTTGTTTTTTAACTGTGCTGAGTGATTCGAAATGGGTTTATTCTAAGAAAGCCTGTTTCACAAGCATTTGTACATGATTTGTCGGTAAGGTAATCCAACTTTGGTTTATGGAAAAAATTGAATTTAGTTGCTAAAATTTATTTCTCGGGCCTTCGCTTGTTTATAAACTGCCATGTAAATGTGTTGTTTTCCTTTTGCATTCCATTTTTGTGTTCTTGTTTTGCATCTTTTGCCATACTTACGTGAGTTACTAATAATTGTTACATACTGTGGGTATTATGAAGGAAGGCATGAAATTTGTGCCCAGGGATGCAAATTATTTCAGAGCATCTGATGAAATTAATGGGCAAAAACTTCAAAGGTTTTTTTGTAAATAACATTCCTTTATACTTCATGTATTGTTTCACCTAGACTAGTGAACAATGTAGAGTGTAACATGAAGTACATAGAATGAGAGTAAAAATGTTTGTGGTCCTCATTTAGTTGTCAAAGTTCTGACACACTGAAACAGCTCCCTTAGTAATTATTTTGGTACTACTGCTCCACAGTCATTTATTGCTTTTTAATATTCGAAAGTTGCTAGACAAATAGAATTTCTTTGAGTTCTTTGTTCCTGGTTTTGGGACCTATTTCTCTGGCTTAGTAAGTTTGTTTAGGGTCAGTGAATTTTGGAGAGAAATCAAGATGATCGTTTATAAAAATCATTTTACATATTTATGATTGTATCAGTGTTTTGCTAGATGTTTTTTGTCTTAGCAGTTGGGTCAATATTTTGAAATAGTACATGGATATCTAGGTAGAGCCAAAGAGTTTATTTTTTAATTTTCCTTTGTAGAGATGAGATCCACACCAGCCTGTATTCCCCAGCATGTTACTGAACTCCTGGCCTCAAGCAATCCTACTGCCTCAGTCCCCTGAATAGTTGGGATTACAGGCATGACCCACTGCCTCCAGAGGGTTTTTAAGTTATAAATTCAGTTTTGTCTTACTGCTTTGGTAGATAGAGAGTACAGTTCCCAGTGTTAGCACATCCAGTGTCATGAAGGGTAGTTGTGCCTCAGAAGATGTCAGAGCCTGTTTGGCTTCCAGGTTTTAGAGGAATAGTGAGGGCCATCAGTGGCCTCTGCAGGGTCAGAATTAAGACTAATTATGGAATGAAGTTGTACAGATGGTGTATTGCTTGCTTAATCTAGGTGCAGGTGGGTGGGTGCATGAAATGTGGGAAGTCTTCATTGGGATAGGAATAAGCACTTTATATACAGAGAGATACTTAGCAAAGCTTTTTTTAAAAAAAAATATATAAATATATAGCCCATGCAGACACATATTGTAAGTGTGGCCTGGGGCCAGGGAGGATGGGGAAATGTGGGAGGGGTTGCAGAGAACCAGGATTCCCATAGAGAACAGAGTAAAGTGGGATAACCAATCTGGTTTTATAAGAGGATTGTGAGGAACAATAATAGGTACGAAAATGTTTGTGAGCTGGTGGAACCTATTCAAATGCAGATTAACACCTGATTAGGAAACTCACTTCTTATAAATGTCATTGCTTTCAAGGGATCCTCCTCTGGAAGGCCTAACCAACCTTAGGGGTCTGGGCACCCAGTAGGTTCTCCTACAAGATTACACCTCATATATGTTTATTTCCTGTTCATCCTTCTAAGGTCCGGCTTTCTCTAGTGGATGGTCCCTTAGCTATCTCAGTTTTTATAAAGTTGTCTTGGACTCACTGGCCTTTAACCAGTGTTAACCTAGTTAGTAACTTCTTTGAAGGTTCATTTGTGGTTCGCTGGATTAGGAGTGTTGGCTTCGGAGCCAGAGTGCTTGGGTTCATATCTAGTCTCCACTTATTTGTTAGCGTGGGCCAATAAATAATCTCTGTCTCGGTTTCCATGTCAGCAAAATGGAGATAATTTTGCCTAATTTCATAGGATTTTAATGAAGATTAAATGTTAACAGGTCCTGTAAAATGCTTAGAGCAGCGCCTAGCTCGAAAGTGCTCAATGCTGCTGTGCAGTATAGCTTCAGCACTTAATGTGGGCACACAACAGTGAATTACGGAAAATAGCCTCTGCTTTCAGGTATCAGTCTGATGGGAAGACAGGCAACAGATACAGTGAAATGAGTGCCCTGGGGATGTATAGGATGTGATAGAGCTTCTTAGGGGTGTCTGGTGTCTTTGTGGGCCCACCTCCATGGGAAGATTGACAGCTTTCTGCTCCCAGTGGTTTTCCTTAGAAATGTGGTGTCAAAGAGCCAAAACATTCCTCTCATGTGCCTCCCTTCTGTTAGGTAGTAAACTTTAAGGCCAGGCCTTTTAATTTCTGCCCATTTGCTGACATGTAGGCACTCAGTGTTAAGTGAATGTATTAGTTTTCTTTTGCTGCTGTAACAAATGACCATAAACTTAAGTGAATTTATTGTTTTAACTTTTCTGGAGGTCAGAAATCTAAAATAGGTTTCACAGCCAAATCAAGGGGTCAGCAGGCCTGTGTTACTTCTGAAGACTCCTTTTCTTTGCCTTTTCCAGTTCTGGGAGCCCCTTGCTTTTCTTGGTTCGTGGCATCTCTGCTTCCATCGTCTTTGATCTTCCTCCTGCCTCCCTCTTAATATAAAAACTTCTGTGATTACATTGGGCTACTTGAATAATTGAGGATAATCTCCCCATCTCAAAATCCTTAATTCAAGCACACATCTACAAAGTCCCTTTTGTTGCTATATAAGGTAACAAATTTACAGGTCCCTGTAATTAGGGCATGGAAATTGGGAGGCCCATTATTTGATATTTTATTTCTGGCTCCCCAGCTATATTCTTTGTTCCTCAAAAGTGTCTTCAGCCTCCAGGTCTGGGTACTTGGCTTTTCATTCTGGAAAAAGGTCTTTTCTGACACACGTCTTCATATATCACCTTTTTTCATAGCATTAATTACTATCTGAAACTGCTGACTTGCTTTTCCCAGCCATTCTCCAATGTAAGGTTTGAGTCTTAGCTTTCTCTATTCTGGCACTTAGAACAATGCCTGGTGCATTGTAGGCACTTCACTTTTTTAAGGGAATCTAACCTCATCAGGAAAATAGATATTTAAAATCTTGAGACTTCAATTACTGGCATATTGTAGTCCTTGAGTATTTGGTGATGGGGGATGGCGACAGGAGGAATGGGGTAGAGTGTGGATTTATGGATATATATTTCTGTATATATAGTTTACTTTGGAGGACTCAGAAATTGCATTTTGTAGGAATAATGATTTGTAATAGTAGAAAACCATGTTAGGAGAGAGTACAGGAGATGCTTCATGCTGTGAAGATTTGGCAAGTTTCACAGAAGAGGTAGAATTTGGTCACCTGATGATAGGAACAGTTTGAGAAATGGCATGGAGTTTGGGAAGTGTCAGGTAGGGGTGTGATAGCAGAACTAAACAGGAGACCATTTAATAAACATTTGATCACTTGCTGAGTGCCAGTGTATCACTTGATCCACATAATCCTAGGTTAGTGTTTCTCCACTTTGATTGCAACCCCAGAACTAAATTCTTAATTGGTTTTGGGATGAGCCCTAGACTTTTTTCTAATTAAGTACTCCACATGATTTTTAATATGCAGCCTAGTCCTCTTGTTAGGTGGGTTAACTTTCCCTCACCCAGGATCACATAACTAAGTAGTGGGGCCAGTGTTACGATTCCAGGCCTAATTTGAGTGTTAAAAAAAATAACCAAATGACCTAGGAGAGGTTTGTGTAGAGCTTAATAAGAATGGAGAAAAGTGTGTTGAGAGCAGTTTCAGGAGTTTTTGTGGGCTCTGAAACCTTGTTACCAGGGATAAGCTTGCAGCTCTAGTGGGGAGTCAAGTCATGAAGGCAGAGGCTTTATATGATAACTTAATCTGGCAAGAGTACAGATGCTAAGATCCCACTGTGCAAGACAGGGTGCTAGGTGTCCAAGCCAGAGGGGGCACACACACCTAACCTTTTATAAAGGAACCAAAACAAAGGAGTCAGAACATGGAATTTGGGTGGACTCGTGAGGGAACTCGTCATTGTTGTCATTTACCTAAAATTGGGCTAGTCAGGTATTAAGTGGCTAATATTTGAAAGGTACAGCTCATCAGTACTCTGGAAAGCCTGGTTATTTTGAACCTGAAAAATAAGTCTTTGATACAAGCTGATGTGCAAACAACCCAGAAAATTGAATTACACCAAGCTTGCCCAACTGCCCTGTCTTTGCCCTATATGTGCTTCCTGGTGCTGTTTGCCATTGGGCCCCTCACCTTGTGTCACCACTGACCAGTGTTCACCCAGTTTTGATTCAGCTCACTCCCCCACATTACCCCCATACTCGGCAGCAGTGACCTGAAGGCAGAGGCACTAGTGCTGGTCGAGGAGTCCCGGTGGCCTCCGCTGCCCAAGCTGTCCAAGCACCCGTCATGGCCCTGAACCCTAACACTGGGCCCCTTGCCCTATGGAACTGAGGCGCGAGGCCCCGGGCGCCTAGCAACTGGTGTGCGTACGGCAGGCAGCGCTGCAGCCTCGGGAGACGCCGGCCGGGCCGGGCCCAGCGTCGCAGGGCTGCTGGCTGCGGGGCATGCTCACCCCAGGAGTGGTGAATGTGGGAGCTCGCGGCCACCTGCATCACCTGTCCCGCCCCGACGCCGTGGCCAGCCCTGCGACAAGGCTGGACTGGGCGGGGGGCTGAGGTGGGCACCGGGCTGCCGCTGGCTCCCACACTGCCCGCTGTGCCCGCTGCCCCAGCCACCCCTGCTGCCGGAGCCTCCTACCTGGGCCGCAACGGCCAGGATCGCAAAGAAATCCCTCCCCTCGGTGCAGCTGCGGGCACAGTGAGTGCTGGTGGCTGGCCCGTCTCAGGACGAGCCCTGGCCAAGGAGCGGGAGGCTCAGGGGACTTGCCAGGTCAGGGCTGGATGGGAGGTCGGGTCCAGAGGTCATCTAGTCCCACTCCCTCCCACGAAGGGGACACTAAGGCTCAGAGAGGCACGTGGGTCACTCCGAGGATGCTCTAGATGCACTTTATGATGGGAGCTGGCAGAAACATCTGAGCATGGGGACCTGAGGAAGGCTACTAGGTGGGGTCGGGGGATGAGATTGAGGGAAGCGGGTCCGCCTGCCGGATCTGTATATTCTTTCTGCACCCCTTACTTCTGGTAAGTAAGTACTTACATCTATCCGTTAAGTGGACACACCCTTACAGATTGACCCTCCCAGGCTTAAACTGGAGTGGGGGGAACGTGTTTACTTTCCTTCCCTTGCCTACCCCTGTGTCTTCCCTTCTCCCACACTTGCACCCAGCCATGCAGTGGGACATGGAAGACCAACCCAGTTAGACTGTTAAAACCCTCTTTCTGTTGCCAATTTTACTTTGAACCATTTCTGATTTACCTATAATTTGTGTGTGTGTTACTTTTCTCACCAGGAGTTAAACATTCTAGAAATTATTTGTGTAACATAGGTAGTCTTTTCTACTGTACTGGTCATTTTCCCATACAACCTTTTTGGGTTCATAGACATCATAAAAACTGGAGTCTCCAGACAAATGCAAACAATTTTGTGAGCACTTTTAGGGTATTATAATCCCTAAAGCACAAGAATTCTTGCTCCTCTTTATTGACTTGTTATGTACATTGTTAACAAGTTAAAATCTCTTGTTACAATGGTATTTCTTCAGAAATACTCTGACATTTCCTTTTTTAAGTTCTTCCTTACATTTTTCAAATTACATTATAATGTATAAGTACTTATTGAAACAGTACGGAAGTATATGGAGTTAGAAAGGAGAGGTCTATGCCTTTCTTTACTTTTTAATCCTTGTTAGAATTCATTTGGTGTTCATTCTTCCTTCTTTTTTCCTTTGTTTTTTGGTCATAATGGAATCATACCATGAATTATTTTGAGAAATGTCTTTTTTCACTTATGATGGAGCGGGCCAGGCATGGTGGCACACGCCTGTAATCCCAGCACTTTGAGAGGCCGAGGCGGGCAGATCACAAGGTCAGGAGTTTTGAGACCAGCCTGACCAACATGGTGAAACCCCGTCTCCACTAAAAATACAAAAATTAACTGGGCATGGTGGCGCGTGCCTGTAGTCCCAGCTACTCAGGAGGCTGAGGCAGGAGAATTGCTTGAAACCGGGAGGCGGAGGTTGCAGTGAGCCAAGATGGTGCCACTGCACACCAGCCTGAGTGACAGAGTGAGACTCCATCACCAAAAAAAAAAAAAAAAAAAAAAAAGATGGAGAATACCATTCATATCAGTTTACTTAGGTCTGCACTGAGTATTTCATAGTACAGATGTATCAGTTTATGTGACCATTCCTCATTGAGATTGGTTTCAATTTTTCCCTGTTACAAACAATGCAACAATAGGCATTCTTTTTTTTTTCTTTTTTTTTTTTAAGACAGAGTTTCGTTCTTGTTGCCCAGGCTGGAGTGCCATGGCGCGGTCCTGGCTTACTGCAACCTCCGCCTCCAGGTTCAAGCAGTTCTCCTGCCTCAGCCTCCCAAGTAGCTGGGATTACAGGTGTGTGCCACCATGCTCGAGTAATTTTTTTTGTATTTTTAATAGAGATGGGGTTTCACCATGTTGGCCAGGGTGGTCTTGAACTCCTGATGTCAGGTGATGTGCCTGCCTTGGGCTCCCAAACTGCTGGGATTACAGGTATGAGCCACCATGCCCAGCCACAATAGACATTCTTACACATGGGAACAGTTCTACAGAATAAATTCCTTGAAGCAGAAGTGCTAAGTCAGATGTAGGCACATTAAAAAATTTTGATAGAATCTTGCCTTTAAGAATCTTGAATGATTTATCTTTTTGTCAACAGACTGTATTGAGCAAAATCTGTATTTATTATTCTTTAAAAGAAGAGAATAGCTTCCACTTAGTGTTTATAACATGTCAGGTACTGTGCTGAACACTTCACATGCATTTTAAAATTTAATCCTCACCTTATGAGAGTCAGAGGCAGAATTATTTTCTTCATGACCCTGTGGTTCTGTAGCTCTTGAGGGGCACATTTAAGATTAGAATCCAAGTTCATTTTGCTTCAGTTCCTGGGTTCTTTGCAGGGTCTGAATCCCTGCTCAGTCATTGACTGGAATCTGTGTTTCATTGGGTGACTTAAGGATTAAATTGGATTGTGTATTTGCTGTTACAGTAATGTTATTAATAATTCCCTTCTCCAGTAACTTGCACAATTGGACATGGTCCAATGCTTCCTATGATGCTGGTTCCCCTGAACTGTCTGCCTCTCCATTCCTTCTCTGCCTTTTCTTCTTCCTGCCTTGCATATATTTTAAGGAAATCTCTGGCTTTTCTTCTTTCTCTCAAATCTCCTTTGCCAACTTTATTACAGTCTCTGGCCTTATTTCTCACGTGTAAGTAGATAACTCTTAACATTTTCATCTTCAAACCTGTGTACCTCAATTCATACTGCATAGATCCAGATTATATATCTCCATTGGATATCCTGTACTCACTTTTTTCTAAAACAGAACTCCTTGTTGCCCTCCACCTCCAGACTAGCATGTCCTCTTTGAATTTAATTCATGGTTCCATAATTCTCAGTCACCTCAATTCCCAGCCTCATTCAGCTTTGACTCCTTTTTCTCTGCTGAATCTCCCAAATTAAATAATCAATCTTGCATTCTCACTGTGACCACTCTAAATACTCTGGACTATTATGATTGCCTTGTAATTTCTCTTTTGGGCTCCAGTCTCTGCCATATTAATTTTTCTAAAGCATAGCTGTGAATAGAAACCATACCTCTGTTCAGAATATATACCATATGTCTGTTCTGTGGTTCCACATTACTCAAGAAAATATAGACCACTTTGTCCAGCATTCAGATTTGTCTGTAATCTCATCCAATTTATCATTTCATTATTTCTCACACTGCCTTTATCTGAACCCCTCCCTCCAGGCAATCCAGAGTACTTACATTACATTCTCTGTGACATCTTTCCCATCTATATCTTTTCCTGGAATGCCTCTACCTACATTTCTGCCGTCTAAATCTTATTTAAATGCCATTTTCTAATTTCTTTAAAGTCTTTTTTGAATCTCCCCCGAAAGTAATATCTCCCTCCTTTTAACTCTTCTACTACTTTATATATCTCCTAAGGATTTAATTTATACACACCGCTTTGTATTATAGTTGTATAAGTGGCTACTGTTTTTTCTTCTGGACTGGAAATTCTGTGCAGGCAGAATCTCTCTTTAGTTATTTTTGTGTGTTTTTTGTGCACGTGACACATTTATGTGTATATCGTACATGCTTAATGAATATATTTAAGTGAGTTACTACATTATTTGAGAATAAAAAGTCACATGTATTAGCCTATTGCTAGCTGTAGTGACAAACAGATCCCAACATTTTCTTGATTTAACATAGAAAAGTTATTTCTTGCTCACATAACAATTTCAAGGTAGGCGTCCCTGGTCAGCAAACGGCTTGCTTTCACTTGGTAGAAGGACCCAGACTCTGCCATTCGTCAGCACTTCACTCTTGTCTAAATCCAGTCAGCAGAAAGGCAAGGAGAAACTATGGAGAAAGCATACTTGCTTAGCTTCTTAGAAGCTTCTTGCAGTGTTACACATTACATTGGCTCACATTCCAGTCACAGGGAGGCAGCCACTTCCTAGAACAAACGCTATTCTCTGGAGGAGGAGCCAGGATTTTAGTGGACAAACAACCTTCTCTCCCACAGTTGATTTCTACTTGTGAAAACCTTTGGGACTTAGCTTGAACATCACTTGCTCAAAAAGCAAAAACAAACAAATAAACAAACAAACAAACAAAGAAAACCTTCCTACTTCTCCAGTCTGGTTAAGGTCAGCAAAAGTTCTGTTGTGCCATAGAATTTGAACGTAGCTTTATCGTAATGAACTAATTACTCCTCCCCACTACCTCCCATAGACCATGTGCTTTATCTTTAATCATTGTTGTATTACAACTACTAGCACAATGCATGACATGAATAAATAAATATCTTTCTCAATGAATCTATAACTCATCTTTCTTTATGTTCACTTGGTAATTATTTTGGTTCAAACAACCCTAAAATTAAAGATTATTTTGCCACCTGCTGTTTGACATTTGAGTTATTTTCATTCTCTTTTCTATTATAAGAAATACAGGAATTGATATTCATGTATCAATGATTATTTCTTTTTCTTTTTGTGGAGACAGGGTCTCATTATGTTGCCTAGGCTGGTCTCAAACTCCTGGGCTCAAGAGATCCTTCTGTCTCTGCCTTCTAAAATGCTAGGATGACAGGTGTGAGCCACCACACCTGGCCAGTGATTATTTCTTTAGGATAAATTCCCAGAAGTAGAATTGCTGGGTCAAAAATATATACAATTATAAGGACATGTATATTACTAGATTATTCGCTGGAAATATTACACCAATATATACTCCCACTGAAACCTTATTCCTTGCACTCCATCTTACTCTATTAATAGTAAAGAAAAAAATCCCTGCCATTTTGATTGGCGAAAGTAGCTCATTATATTATCTGCCTTTTATTTGAGTACTAGAGAGAATGAATTTTTTATTGACTGTATTTTCTCTGCAACAAGTTACCTGGTCTTTAATAAATGCACTCTCAGGATTATTTTTCTTTTCTTTTTTGATTTTAATATATACATATATGTATATATGTATGTATGTATGTATATGTGTGTGTGTGTATATATATATGTGTATATATATGTGTATATATATATGTATATGTATGTGTATATATAAAATAAATTACTGGCCAGGAGTGGTGGCACATGCCTGTAACCCCAGAACTTTAGGAGGACGAGGTGGGTGGATTACCTGAGGTCAGGAGTTCAAGACCAGCCTGGCCAACATGGTGAAACCCCTTCTCAACTAAAAATGCAAAAAAATTTAGCTGGGCCTGGGGCCATGTGCCTGTAATCCCAGCTACTCAGGAGGCTGAGGCAGGACAACTGCTTGAACCTGGGAGGTGGAGGTTGCAGTGAGCTGAGATCGTGCCACTGCACTCCAGCCTGGGCAACAGAGTGAGACTCCGTTTAAAAATAAATAAATAAATTATTCAGTTCTTTATGTCATTATTTAAAAAGCTATTCTGGGAACTTCTGGGCAATGTGGCAGACTGAGCTGGCATGGAAGGGTCCCCATTTTGCTTCAATATATTTCAAATGCTGAGTAAAAGATAATTTATGGAAATGTGGCTAAGCTAGGAACAAAGAAAAGGAAATCCCCAGGTGCCTGAAATGAAGGAATGTTCACAGAGAAAGCCACCGTTGAGCCATCTGCTGAAAGCTGGGAGTCACAAAGAAGTACTGTTCAGTTACTATGGCTTCATAACAAATTTCTCCAAAACTTAGTGGTATGAAACAACCATTTATTGTGCTCATGGATTCTGTGGGTCAGGAATTCGGACAGTGCACAGCAGAGACAGCTTGGCTCTGCTTCAGGATGTCTGGAGCCTCAGCTGGAAGATTTGAAGGCTCAGGACGGGAATCTCCTGAAGGTTTATTCACTCACATGTCTGGTGGTTGATGCTGGCTCTTGACTGAGACCTTAGCTGTAGATGTCAGCTGTAATCTTTGTATGTGGCCTCTCCATGTCACCTGGCTTCCTCACAAAATGGTGGCTGGATTTCAAAGGTGAGTGTCCTGAGAGCCAAGTGGAAGTCATATCACTTTTATGACCTAGCTTTGGAAATCACATAGTGTGGTTTCTACTGTTTTTTTGTTTGGCTGAGGAAGTTGGTTTCAGGGAAAGAAACATCTCACCTCTTGATGGAGGAGAGGAGGAACATCACAGTGAAGGAAGAGCATGTGGGACTGCATATGCATTAGTACACCTATCTTTGAAAAATAAAATCTACCACAAGAACCCTTTGACCCTAAGAAGATAACTAGAAAAACATCCCCTTATTGACCTGAGGAGGCAAGAAGGAAGCTTGCCATCTACTTGAGCTATGGTAAGAAAAGAGTCAGCTGCTAGAGATTAGAGATTAATGGTCCATACTAGCTCAAGTCTGGGGTCTGAATTCATATTACTACATGGTCAGGACCGTAGTCCAAGAAATTGACATTTTAGCTGGTCTGGTACCTCTGACACCCAGGGCCAGGCAAAGATCAATGAAAAACCTCTCTGCATAGCAAAGTTCCTGTAATTCAAGGAATCCTTGACTTCTATAGATATCGATCTCTCTATAGATGAGTTTGCAAAGATTACAGAATATGTAAGGAAATTAACTGCAAGGAAGCAGACTTGGCAGATGCTGCAAACGGGAGATTTGTACCCTAAAACTAAATAGAATGGCATAGAAAAAAATTTAAATTTTTCATATTCAAGAAGGTGAAGGAATGGAAACCATAAGACAAGAACAAGACCATATGAAGAAGAGCAGAAGGACTGGGAAAATGTCCTGTAATACTTAGGACAGTTTGGTACAACAAAGAATTGTCCTTTTAATTAACAGGGTAGCTAAAATGAGAATTAAAAAGGGGGAAAAAAAGAAAAAAAGAGTTGTCGTACCTAAGATGCTTGGGTTGAGACTCTCAGTATAGAAAATAGGGGGAGTTATGGATCACTAAAATGACTATAGTTAAAGATAGTCACTGAACACACTCATTAACTCACTTTCTTCTAAAATTCTATTGATAGGAAAGGGTTTAAAAATTTTTTTAATAGCATGGATTTATAAGGACTTAGAGAATAATAGATATAGTATCAACAAAATTTGGAAGTTGGAATCAGAACAGTATTGGGCTTCTCAACAATAAGAATCAAAACATGTAGACTATGGAATAGTCCTTTCAACATTTTTGGAAAAATAATTTATAATCTGAGATTCTGCTCTCATCCCAAGTTATCAATAAGTATGGGGGTGAAATGTAGAAAATTTTCAGACACACAGTATCTTAAAAAATTTTACTTCCAGGGGCCTGCCCCTGGGACCCTTGGGGCCAGGTGGTTTGGCCCCTCAGCGCCCGGGCGTCAGGGTAGGAGAAGGCTAGCAGAAGGGAGGCACTTGTGGTGGTTTTTAAAAAGAAAATAATGAGGATTTATTTTGAAAAGCATTGTGAAGGAGTCAGCTTGAATAGTCTTGAATGCTCCTGCTTAGGCCCAGCCTTGGAGAATGAGAATTGGGATTCTGACTGCAAACCCTGACTCCTTACCATACTCATTCATCAGAAAACTCTCCATTTTGTGTACAAATAACGTTTTAGGGGTAATCATTGTTTTAGAAATGAGAAAGAATTATACATCGTATTATGGCACTTTTTGTAAGCATCTATTCAGAGGTTTCTGAATCTGGCATTTGAGAGTAGGGCTGGGCCAGAACCAGGCAGACACACACCCCAAGGAGCAGAGCTGAGAGTTGGAGACTGAGGCAGAAATGTCTTTCTTCCAGAACCCAAGTTTCCTCACCATGGGCATGTGGTCCCTCGGTGCAAGAGCCCTGGGGGCTGCTGCCTTGGCATTGTTGCTGGCCAACACAGACATGTTTCTCTCTAAGCCCCAGAAAGCGGCACTGGAGTACCTGGAGGATATAGACCTGAAAATGCTGGAGAAGGAACCAAGGACTTTGAAAGCAAAGCAGCTATGGGAAAAGAAAATGGACCTGTGATTATGGCTGTGCGGAGGCCAGGCTGTTTCCTCTGTTGAGGGGAAGCTGCGGATCTGTCCTCCCTAAAACCCATGTGGACGAGCTGGGTGTCCCCCTCTATGCAGTGGTAAAGGAGCACATCAGGAATGAAGTGAAGGATTTCCAGCCTTATTTTAAAAGAGAAACCTTCCTGGATGAAAAGAAAAAGTTCTATGGTCCACAAAGGCAGAAGATGATGTTTATGGGATTTATCTGTCTGGGAGTGTGGTACTTCTGAGCCTGGAATGGAGGCTTCTCTGGAAACCTGGAAGGAGAAGGCTTCATCCTCAGGGAAGTTTTCGTGGTGGCATCAGGAAACCAGGGGATTCTTCTCGAGCACCGAGAAAAAGAATTTGGAGACAAAGTAAACCTACTTTGTCTGGTTCTGGAGGCTGCTAAGATGATCAAACCACAGACTTTGGCCTCAGAGAAAAAATGATCGTGTGAAACTGCCCAGCTCAGGGATAACCAGGGGCATTCATCTGCGTTCATTGGATGTGTTGCTCCCACTTGTGTCCCTAAGGAGTGAGAAACCCATTTATACTCTATTCTCAGTATGGATTATTAATGTATTTTAATATTCTGTTTAGGCCCAGTAAGGCAAAATAGCCCCAACTGACAAAAATCTAAAAAACCAATGAGGATTACTAAGCTAAACCCTGGAAGATTTGAGGCTTAAAATTGACTGCCGGGATGGGCGCAGTGGCTCATGCTTGTAATCCCAGCACTTTGGGAGGCTGAGGTGGGCAGGTCACTTGAGGTCAGGAGTTCAAGACAAGCCTGGGTTACATGACAAAACTCTGTCTCTACTAAAAACACAAAAATCAGCCGGGCATGGTGGCGTGCACCTGTAGTCCCAGCTATTCAGGAGGTTGAGGCAGGAGAATCACTTGAACCTGGGAGGTGGAGGTTGCAGTGAGCCGAGATCACGCCACTGCACTCCAGCCTGGATGACTGAGACTCCCTCTCAAAAAAAAAAAAAAAAAAAAAAATGACTGCTGTGCCTCATTACAAATGTATATGGTATTTGGGTGCTGTTGTTTGAAATTATTTTTCTTTCCAGGTCTTCAAAAATCTAAGAAAAGTTGATGGTTGACTTGAAGATTACAGAATTTAAGGTTTTTTGGCTTGTGTGTTTTCTACTAATAATTTGTTATATAATAATAATTTCATAATAGAATGGTCATGCTCTGGGATAGTTTGACAAAGGTAAATTATAAAGTGAAATGTCTTGTTTCATTGTCTTCCATTCTAACCTCAAAGATTTGTTTCTCTAGAATAAATAACCACCTCTGACTTTAATAAAAGTATGCATCAGAAGGCTGGGTGTGGTGGCTTACTCCTGTAATCTCAGCACTTTGGGAGGCTGAGGCGGGTGGATCACCTGAGGTCAGGCGTTCAAGAATAGGCTGGCCAACATGATGAAACCCCGTCTCTACTAAAAATACAAAAAATTAGCAGGGCGTGGTGGCATGCGCCTGTGATCCCAGCTACTTGGGAGGCTGAGGCAGAAGAATCGCTTGAACCTGGGAGTTGGAGGTTGCAGTGAGCCGAGATTGCACCACTGCACCCCAGCCTGGGTGACAAAGCAAGACTCCATCTCAAAAAAAAAAAAAAAAGCATCAGAAATCACCTGTATGTACAAGCTTTTCTGATACAACTAATAATAAAAATATATTTACCATAAAAAAATTTTACTTCCTATGAACCCTTTCTCAGGAAGCTTCATAAAACAAGGGAGCGAACAAAAACCAAACAGAAATAAGCTTATATGCACACATAAATGCATATATAATTTTTAGAAATTAAGGTAATGTGATAATGGCTCAGGGGTAGTTAATAAGATCAGAGAAACAGTATCAAAATCAGACTCAAATATTAGGGGATCTTGGCTTTATCTTTTTGTCTTAGAGTAGGAAAGAGGATTTCTTCAATATGATATTATAGAAAAATAGACAAATTTGACTATATCAAAATTTAAAGTTTCTGATAAACTAAAAGACATAAACAGGTTAAAAATAAACTAATATTGGGAGAGATATTTGCAACATATATAACATATAAAGAATTAGTACTCACCAAATATAAAGCACTACAAATAAGAATAAAACAAAACCCTGTACAAAAATGGGGAAAGCATAGAAATAGGCATTTCACAGAAGAGGAAACCTAAGTGGCAAATAAACACTTTTAGGGAAGTAAAAATTAACAAGGTACCATTTAACATCCAAAGATTAGCAAAAATTAAAATAGCTTAATTGGCAGGGTACAGTGGCTCATGCCTGTAATTCCAGCACTTTGGGAGGCTGAGGTGGGTTGATCACTTGAGGTCAGGAGTTTGAGACCCGCCTGGCCGACATGGTGAAAACCTGTCTGTACTAAAAATACAAAATGTTAGCCAGGTGTGGTGGGGCATGTCTGTAATTCCAGCTACTCCGGAGGCTGAGACAGGAGAGTTGCTTGAACCTGGGAGCCAGGGGTTGCAGTGAGCTGAGATCAAGCCACTGCATTCCAGCCTGGGTGACAGCAAGACTATGTCTCAAAAAAAAAAAAAAAAAAAAAAAAAGAACTATTACAAGTGTACATAAGAATGTGGGTAAACAAAAATTATGGGAATACAGGTAGAGATAACCACTTATTCAGTATAAATTAAGATTAGTACATGGAGAATAATCTATTAGTAGTAAGTAAAGTTAAATATCTGCACATCTTACA
This sequence comes from Homo sapiens, assembly GCF_000001405.40. Taxonomy (NCBI): domain Eukaryota; kingdom Metazoa; phylum Chordata; class Mammalia; order Primates; family Hominidae; genus Homo; species Homo sapiens. The sequence continues at coordinate 73,275,082 of NC_000008.11, read as the reverse complement.
AACCAGTGAATCCAATTTTAGGTATATTGCCCTGCAGAAACACACATGTGTATTAGGAGTCATTTACAAAGATATTAACTGTCATATTGTTTGTAATATTAGAAAATTCTAAACAATTCACCTTACCACTTGTAGGAGGATGGATAATTACATATTCATATAATCGATATGATATAGACAGCAGCTAAAATCAATAAACTAAATCTATATGTACACTCAATCTCAGTCTCATGTGACTCAATCTCAATGACTCAATCTCGAGTGAAAAAAAGTTGCAGAAGATATGTGTAACTTATTTATGTAAAACTAATAAGATATCAAACAACTCAGTATCTTTTCTCCTATACCTACGTGCAGTTAAAATATAAAAGCAGACTTCAAGGATTCACACCAAATTTATGAGAGTGGTTGCTTCCGGAAAAGGAGCATGATGGGGGATGGAAAAATATTTGCTGTCTTTCCCTTAAAAACATAGGACGCAAACATGCAAATTCTTAAATTTTGCTAATATTTAAGCAATATTAGCATATATTTAGCATAATGTTAGGGTGATAGGGAAACAAATGTTACATTTCTCTCTGTACCAATGCATTTTTTAAAGCAAACAAAAGATAACCTAAAAAAGATGAAATGGCCAGGTGCGGTGGCTCACACTTGTAATCCCAGCACTTTGGGAGGCCGAGGTGGGCGGATCACAAGGTCAGGAGGTTGAGACCATCCTGGCTAACACGGTGAAACCCCATCTCTACTAAAAATACAAAAAATTAGCCAGGCGTGGTGGCGGGTGCCTGTAGTCCCAGCTACTCGGGAGGCTGTCAGGAGAAGGGCGTGAACCCGGGAGGCGGAGCTTACAGTGAGCTGAGATCGCGCCACTGCACTCCAGCCTGGGCGACAGAGCAAGATTCCATCTCAAAAAAAAAAGATGAAATATGGTCTGCTGTATACTAAATAATATAGTGTCAGGTAAGCACCTGTCTCCCCTCACCCAAAAAAAGTCCTTTTGACAAGCAATATAATATAAAAGAGAAAATAGTTAACAGTAATCTCAAGGTGGTAAAAAAAATTAGATGAACGTTTCAGAAAAGCATAATTTGGATGATATATCATTACAAAATATAACATTTTGACCTTTTAATGGTATTTCTTAGTTCTATTTAGTAGTTTTAAGAGTCATAAAATATACTTAACTAAGAAATAAAATAATTAGAATACATTCCATATAGTTACCAAGGTTAAGCAAGATAAACAGTTGGATATTAAGAAGACCATCTTATGTATCAATCTCCCATTTAAATTTTGAAGTTTGAAGTATCTTTCAGAAAAAAAAAAAAAAACTGGCATCACCAACAAAAAAGCACCACAAGTTCTCACTCTGGGCGCAGACTTCACGTGGAACTGACAGCCTGGGCCCCAGGCTTCAGGCTTCACTGGGGACCGCCTCTTTCCACCTAGGAGCCTGACTCCTGCCGCCATCAACCTGCCGTCCATGGTGCCCATGGCGCCCAGGCTATTCATGCAGAGGGGTTCCTGCAGGGCCAAACTGAGCTGCCCTCAGCCCCACCTCGGCCTCCCTCCTGTGCTCATCAGTGACCACAGTCTGGAGAGGGCCAAGGTGGCAGGCGGCTGGCATGTTAGTGCCTCCCTGAGCGAGCACACGCCCAGCCAGGTTGTGACAGTGCCTGGGCTCGGCCATAACTTTGCTCTAAAATCAGAGTGGGCACTGGGAGCTGGGAGAGGCCAGGCAGGGGAAGCAAGCACTTTGAAGCCTACAGAGGCAAGTGGTTTCCGGGGCCCTGAGAGTGCAGGGATGCCCAGGTCTGCAGCCATGGCTGGGTGGCTGCAGCTGTGCCCAGGAACATGGGACTTTTGCCCCGCCACTCAGAAACGGGCACGGCTTCTGCCTGTTCCTCGCTCCCACTGGCTCCATGGAGCATGCAGCCCTGGCTGCACCTCCCCCACTGCAACTGGCATCATGGCAATGACCACTCCAGGCCGGTTGCCGCTGCCATCAGAAGTTTTGAACAAAATTCTGAAAACTTTTGAGGCTCCTAATTTCTCTGATTTTACTTACCTTTTTCCTTGGCATTATAGGAGAGAGATTAAGGGCATCATCTTTGCAGTTGGGAAGGTGGCCTGAGTTAGATTTCCATTTCAAACAGTTAGTAGCTATTGGATTTTGTTATCTAAACCCCAGGTTTCTCAATGTAAAATAGAGATGATAATAATAATAGTGCCATCCTCCAAGGTAGGCTCAATATTTACACTTTACAAAAATTAAGCAGCCATAAAAAAATGATGAGTTCATGTCTTTTGTAGGGACATGGATGAAGCTGGAAACCATCATTCTCAGCAAACTATCGCAAGGACAAAAAACCAAACACTGCATGTTCTCACTCATAGGTGGGAATTGAACAATGAGAACACTTGGACACAGGAAGGGGAACATCACACACCGGGGCCTATCATGGGGTGGGGAGAGGGGGGAGGGATAGCATTAGGAGATATACCTAATGTAAATGACGAGTTAATGGGTGCAGCACACCAACACGGCACATGTATACATATATAATAAACCTGCACGTTGTGCACATGTACCCTAGAACTTAAAGTATAATAAAAATATATATATATTAAAAAAAAGAATTAAGTGGGCTGATATAATGTGCATGTCATAGTGCTTGGTACAGTGAGTATTCAAGGAATGTTAGATGTTTTAATTTTATTATGATTACAATAATAAGTATATTAAGCCCTGATTAGGTCCTTTCACAAATGGGCATAGAAATGGACAATTTTCCTGAGTTAACTGGTCAAAGGTGGGAGAGAGGAGAAAGGAAAAAGGAACTTAGAAAATGTTTCTGAATCTGCAAGAAAGATATACTTCTCTCATTAGGAATTAATTGAATTGCCAGTGGTAAAGGGGGAAAAGGTGGAGATCTAAGTTTGTAGTTTCACCCTGAAAGGAAAGAGGAAGAGGCATTGAGTCAAGCTATACATCCCCTACCCCAGCCATTAGTCGATTCTTGGCCTATAATAATAATCATGATGATTATGATAATAATTGCAGCTATCATTTCTTTCTGTGCTTAAGAAGGATCCCTTACTGTGGTCTGAAATGAAGATTCTTGCTTGAGAATTAAAGCAGTGTACTAGGTTATATGGTTTGGCTCTGTGTCCCCGTCCAAATCTCATCTTGAATTGTTCTCCTATAATTCCCACATGTTGTGGGAGGGACCTGGTGGGAGATAATTGAATCATGGGAGTGGTTTCCCCCCTCATGATTGTGAGGCCTCTCCAGCCACATGGAATTGTAAGCCCAATAATCCTCTTTCTTGTGTAAATTGCACAGTCTCGGGTGTCTTTATCAGCAGCATGAAAATGGACTAATACACTAGGCATTTAGTTAGGTGCTGTCTTAGTATGTTTAGTGTTGCTATAAAAGAATACCTGAGGCTGGGTAATTTATAAAGGAAAGTGGTTTATTTCACTCATGTCTCTGCAAGCTGTACAAGAAGTATGGCTCTGGCATCTGGTTGGCTTCTGGCAAGGGCTTTTGTGTTGCATCAAAAAATGGCAGAGAAAGTCTAAGGGGAAGTGGGCACGTGCAAAGAGGGACCTAACCCAAGGGGCATCCTGGCTTTATCACAACTCCCTCTCCTGAGATGTAATCCATTTCCCCAGAACCAATCCAGTCTCATGAGAGTGAGAACTCACCCACTGCCAGGAGAAGAGGCACCTAGCCATTCATGAGAGATCCACTCCCATGACCCAAACACCTCCCACTAGGCCTCACCTCCCAACACCACCACACTGGGGGTAAAAGTCAGCATGAGATTTGGGGAGGAAACAAACCATATTCAAGCTATAGCAGGTGTTTTCCTTAAGTTACCTTTAAACTTCACAATGACTCTGTAAGGCAGAGTGTGCTAGTTCTCAAGATTGGGAGACTGAGGCATAGACAGGTTGACATGAAAATAAATGGCTGCCTTATCCAGGAAGGGGTGGCAGGAATGGGGGATTGGCAAAGGGCTTTGAGGTGGCATGGATGGGGATGTAAATATATCACTCACCATTGCATCTATATACATTCATCTCTTCATTTCTTGATTCACAGGCTGTGAAGTTTTATTTCACAGAACTTTATTTAGGGAAAGCTTAAATGTAACTTTTCCTGTAAGTTGAATATTTAGACACAAATAAGCAAATTAATTGCTTTCAGATTTTGGAAGTGGGAAATACTTTTGTTCACATAAGCACTTTGCAAGTGTTTTTCCTAATTTTTCTGAATGCTGCTTATTTTGTTAATATTTATTTATTAATTTATTTGTTTATTTATAAGATTAGAGACCAGGTCTCCCTGTGTTTCCCAGGCTGGTCTCGAACTCCTGGGCTCAAGTGATCCACCTGCCCTGGCCTCCCAAAGTGCTGGGATTACAGGTGTAAGCCACCACGTCTGGACTATTTTTTAAATTTTGTTAGAGCTTCATTTTAATATTTCTTCTTTAGTTGTGTTCCTTCGGCCATCTCCCCTCCTTCCTGAAAGATAATTTGATAAAAGTAATAGTTTTTGTTTTGTTTTGTTTTGTTTTCTGTTGCATAACATTTGATGCAAACCATTTAACCTCCCCAAATCTGTTTGTTTAACTCAAAAATTAGGGGATTAGGTCTCTTAATCAGTGATTTCTGTTGAACCATTCTGTTAATTTTCAAGTAAGGATCTCAATTCAGACAGGAGTTAGATATTCTTTTTATACAGATACGTAGACCTGACTTTGAAAAACTGGTTATTACGCTATTAAATTTTCAACGACTTTCACTTATCTCCTTGCTTATTTTTAGATGTTTGGTATTGGGATGGGGGTGCATGGGCAATTCTAATTCCAGAAATCTTGCACAGAATAAATTTTTATTATAATGACTGAGGTTTTAAAAATGAAGATTTGAAAAAAAAACTTTGTTGTTTTTCATTTCACTCAATGATTCTATTCTCTTCCACTAAGTAATTAAAGATTTTCTTGCTACTATAAGTTTTTAATGAAGGTTCTTATATTAACAGGAACAACTTTCCCCATTAACATACTAGTGTTGCTTCAGTGAGTTTAATCTCTGTAAACAGGAACCCCTTACCTTCTTAATATCTTCAAAAATATAGATAAATATAACCAGATCTCTATGTTGAGGTCACCTTTTAATACATTTTAAAATTTTTGTTTAAGAATTCTGCTTTTAAAACAATATGTGTCAAGTGCTGAGTAGTGCTGATTTTTAAAATAACAGTGAAAGCTACAGCTTTTTGAAGCTTACTCTGTTTACATACTATATTGAGTTATTATGTCATGGGAGCCCCTAAGGAGCTGGGTTTGTGTTGTATTATTGGAGGAGGCAGACAGTAGTATCTTAGTGCACAGCCTGCAGGAATGCTGAATAGATGATTGCTTAAATCTACCTGCATATATTAAGTGCTTTGAAGGTTTGCTGGGTGGATGAATTTATCCTGAGGCAGCCCAGAGTCGCTGTAAGGGTTGGTGGTTCTGCTAATGGAAAAGAACACTGTGCATCTGCCATTGCTTCTCACCCAGTGCAGATCAGACTATAATGAATGTTCAAAGTTTTCTATTGTATTAGGTTTGGAAAAATTCTGTATTAGAGCAGAGACTATTGTTTCAATGTGATTTATGACAGTGGTGGTTAACTGAGAGGTTTTCATCTTTTCATTTTAGGAGAGCAAAAACTTATTGTCAGTTTTTTAGGGAGATTGTGGCATAACAGCAAAATATATTTTATACTCGTAATCACTTTTCCTCAAATTCTACAGGACAATTATTAAGTATTCCCTGTATTATATTATGAGACATAAAGGGAGGGAATGACATGTTTAGACTAATTTTTAAATAGAGATTTTGCCCTAGCCAGTGTAGCAGGGATTGCTAAAGTTTTCTCACTGTACCTGTTCCTTCTTTTTTTTCACTAAAAAGATTCCTGACATTTTTGCTGGATACTTGATCCCCACAATGAAGTCTACATTTTCCACCTTGTTTTGCAGCTTGGTGTGACCACATGGCTAAGTTCTAATCAATAGGATATAATCAAAACTCTGTATGACTTCTGGAAAGTGACCTTAAAGGGAAGGAGAATGTCTCTCCCCTTCCTTCTTCCTGTAGGCAGGAGCTCAAGCTGTTTTGTCTTGTTTTTCAATTGTGGAGTATGCTCAGAACATCCCAAAGTAGAAAGAGTTATATAATAAGGCCCAATGTACCAGCCATTCATTGCAACAATTAGCAACTCATGGCTGATGTGGTTTTACCCATACTGTCACCACTACCCTCTCCCTCCCACGCCCATTATATGGAAGCAAATCACAAACATTGTATCATTTTATCCATAAATATTTCCATATATATCTGGAAAGATGAGAGTTCTTTTGAAAACACAAACCATTATGACATCTTAAAAAATTAATCATAATTCTTTAATGCTATCAAATATCCTGTCAGTGCTCAGACTACCCTGATTGTCTCATAGAGTATCTTTTAAAAAGCAATTCATGCAAAGTTCATACACTGCAATTGTTTGCTATGTTTCTTTTCTTTTTTTTTTGTTTTTTGAGACAGAGTCTCACCCTGTCGCCCAGGCTGGAGTGCAGTGGCGCGATCTCGGCTCACTGCAACCTCTGCCTCCCAGGTTCAAGCAGTTCTCCTGCCCCAGCCTCCTGAGTAGCTGGGATTACAGGTGCGTGCCACCACACCTGGCTAATTTTTTTTATCTTTAGTAGAGACAGGGTCTCACCATGTTGGCCAGGCTGGTCTCGAACTCCTGACCTCGTGATCTGCCTGCCTCGGCCTCCCAAAGTGCTGGGATTACAGGCATGAGGCACCGCGCCCAGCCTGCTATGTTTCTTAAATCTCTTTTAATCTATAGATTATCCCTACCCCCTATACGGATGATTGACTGATTAATTGTAATTTATTTGTGGAAAGAAACAGTTTATTTGTCTCAGGTCAAAACTGCAGTCTGATTTTGCTGATTGTATCCCCGCGATGCCATTTAATATGTTGTTTTGTCTTCTATTCCTCTAAATCAGGAGTTAGATCTAAAGGCTTCATCAGAGTTGGGTTTGATTTTTTTCTGGCAAGAATGCTATATAGATGGTGGTGTTCTGCCAGAGACACATCTTCGGCAGGAGTTAGTACTGCAGTGTTGAGGTAGAATTTCCTTCCTCAAGGAAACATCAGTTTTTCTCCAGGGACTTTCAACTAATTAGATAAAGCCCACTCAGATTATTGAGGAAAATCTCCTTTACTTAAAGTCAACTGACTGTACGTGGTAACTACATCTACAAAATACTGTCCCAGCAACACCTAGATTAGTGTTTAATTAGATAACTAGATACTATATAGCCTAACCAAGCTGAAACAAAACATTAATCGTCATAATTGCCAAGCTCCATTTATTAAGGTTTGCAAAATGGTAATATTTTATAATCATACTCTAATTCCCTCATTTATTAGTTGAGATACTGTGAGAAACTTTCCTATCATCATTTATTTGAATAAATGCTTGGTTATTTCCTGATATGTATTGGGTTTCAAATTAAGTTGATCCTTTAGTATCCTCCAAAGATGAGTAAGGTTTTCATTTGTTTTTGCTGTTGTTTTGTTTTTAAGTGCTGTACAGCAGTTCCCCCTCATTTTCAGTTTCTGGTTTCAGTTATCCATCATCAACTGAGGTCAGAAAATATTACATACAATAAAATATTTTGAGAGAAAGGGCACATTCACATAACTTTTATTATAGTACATTGTTATAATTGTTCTATTTTATTATTAGCTGTTGTGGTTAATCTCTTACTGTGCCTAATTTATAAATTATCATAGGTATGTATATATAGGAAAAAACATAGCATATATAGGGTTCAGTACTATCCACAGTTTCAGGCACACACTGGAAGTCTTGAGCTGTATTCCCCAGGGATAAGGGGGGATTACCGTATATTTACACATTTGTGTATTCTACATGCTTAACATATTTTAATCCATTAAAGTTAATATTCTTATTAAGGTTTATAGTCCTATCTTTGGTCAGTTGGCACCTCATTAAATCGGTGACTGCCATGATTGCAGTTGTCTTTGATAGATTCCTAGACTTCTGAAATGACAAATTATTACAGGTTCATTTTGTATATTTCCTACCACAGACCTGGAATCAGCTACTTCTTCCAGGGGCCCTAGTTTTTTTTTTCTTTTTTCAGGAATGAGATCACAGCCTGGTTGTTAGGGGTTTTTAATGCTCTTGGTTTGATGATTGTTTCTGGGCGCCTGCAGTTCAGTGGACAGTGCTAGGAAACATTTTTTCATGGTTATTTTAAATAAAAGCCTGTATAATGATACTTCCAATTCATGTTTAGGACTTTGGGAGTTTTCACTTAATCTTATTGATCTTAAATCTTTATGTTTTTCTCCAACACTGGAAACCTTGGTTGCCATCAGCACCATATAAACATTCACCTACTGAAAAGCCACCTCAAACCATAAGGTAGATCCTGTACGTTCAGGGAGGTAGAGCAGTAAGATAGAAGTAGTCTGGCTCTCTGACATCCTGGCACCAGCCTTGAGAGGTCTGGCCAGGCTTTTATATGGTGGAAAATATTCTTGTGTAAGCCATTCATATTCCAGCCATCTTTTCCCATGTCATGATGACACCTCAAATGAGTGGATAGAAACTTTGAGCAATCTATCCCAAGATAGAAGGGCTTCATAGATTGCTCCATCTCAGAGTTCTGTGAGGGACCATAAGCAGGTCCATTCACTCACTGAAAAGCCCAGAAGGCTGCCTGCCAGCTACACAGTCATCCTAAATGAGCCAGAGGTGGCCGAAGGTTTTCACTCTTCTGTCTCCCTCTTTATCAATTTCTTTTCTGTTCTCCAGATGAATGGAGATACAAGAAAAGGTAAGAATCATTTTTTAAAAGTTAAGATACCTTCATTAGTGTTTTGAAATTCAAATTTTAGACTGTGGGAATGTGACTGGATGTGAGGAGATCAGTTAAATCCTAATACAACAACCCAGGCATGAAATGACAGTAGCTTGGAGTAGGGTGGAGATGGAGAGAAGTAGACAGATTAAGAGATATGTAAGAGATAAAACGAACAGCTCTTATTGAATGACAAGATTTAGGAGGAAAGAGGGGTGTCCATGTTGGCATCCAGGTTTCTACCTTTTGTTACTGGAGCATGATGATGTCAGGTACTGTTAGGGAATCTGGAAGGAAACATACTTCAGTTGGAAAACGTGGCTAGTTTGGGGGCATTTTGAATTTGAGATGCCCTTGAGACATCCAGGTAAAGCTCCCTAATAAGCAGTTCTTTTTGTATGCTGATTGCTCAGAAGAGATGCCTGAAGATATAGATTTAGGATTCTTTGAAGAATGGCATGGGAGAGATCACCATGCTAGCCATATTTAACTGCTTACATTCCTTGAACAGAGAAGTTCTTTTGATACCTCTGTGTCATTGCCCAGCAACGACTCTATAAAGAGGTCTGACCACTCCTCCAACCTGGACTTAGCTTAGGGGGGTCATCTCCTTAAAGCCTTTCCTGAGAATTAACAACTCCCTTCTTTGTGTTCCACAGTGTCCTTTATGTGCCTTTAAACCAGAGATTTGCTTTTAACCCAACTCTAAGATGTTTCTTCCTATTCAAAGCCTTCTGATGGATTTTTGATGCACGTAGAATAAAATCCAAACTCTGTTATGACTTATAAAGCCCTAAAATACCTGATATCTGCTATCTTTCAAACCTTGTCTTATTCTCCTCTCCCCTTTGCTAGCTTCATATGTAATTTAAAAATTTCTGAAAGCCACATTAAAAATGCAAAAAGAGACAGGTGAAATTAATGTAAATAACCTTATTTAATCCAAAGTATCCAAACTAGTATCATTTCAACATAAAATCAATACAGCATATAAATTGTTAATGAGATATTTTAGATTCTTTTTTTTTTCCTCAAGAAGTGTTTGCAATCTGATGTGTATTTTACACTTATAGCACATCACAATTCTGACTAGCATGTTTTAAGTGCTCAGTAGCCACCTATGACTAGGGTCTACCATATTGGATACCATAGCTGTGATACACAGAGCTTGTCTACCTATAGAACATGCCAACCTCATTCTGGTTTTATAGCCTTTGCACTCACTGTTCTCTTTGTGAAGAGTGCTCTTCACTTTTAGATATTCCTCCAGATATCTGTGGCTACTCTGGTCCATTGAGATCTCAGCTCAGGATCACCTTATTGCCAGATGTGGTGGCTCACGCCTGTAATCCCAGCACTTTGGGAGGTTGAGGCAGGTGGATCACTTGAGGTCAGGAGTTTGAGACCAGCCTGGTCAACATGGCAAAACACTGTCTCTACCAAAAATACAAAAATTAGCTGGGTGTGGTGGTGGGCACCTGTAATCCCAGCTACTCAGGAGGCTGAGGCAGAAGAATCACATGAACCCGGGAGGTGGAGGTTGTAGTGAGCCGAGATCGCGCCACTGCACTCCAGCCTGGGTGACAAGAGTGAAACTCCTTCTCAAAAAAAGAGATCACTTTGTCAATGAGACCTTCCTTAGCCACCCAGTCTGAAGCGCTTCTTGCCCCTCATGACATTGCCAAGTCAACCCTCATTATTCACAGATTCTGCCCTTACAGATTCATCTGCTCACTAAAATGTATTTGTAACCCCAAAGTCAATACTTGTGATGCTTTCCTAGTCTCCTGTGGACATGTGCAGAGCAGCAAAAAATTCACCTGAAGTATACTTTCCCAGCTGAGGTCGAACAAGTCAATGCTCTGCCTTCTCGTTTTAGCTTCCATACTGTAAACAAGTGTCTTTTTCACTATTTAGTACCATGTTTTTTGCATTTCTGTCCTTTTTTTGGTGATTTTCCTATTTTAGAGGACCCCCAAGTATAGTTACACTGAAGTGCTGTTCAGTGTTCCTAAGCACAAGAAGGCTGTGATGTATCTTGTGGAAAAAATACGGGTGTGAGATTAACTTATTTGACCGTGAGTTCCATGTTAATGAATCAATAATGTATATATTAAATAAGATGTCTTTAAACAGAAACACAAATATGACAAAGTGATGTATGGACTGGTTGATGAAAATGTTGGGACCAGAGGCTCATAGGAACCTACCCTTATAAGTCCCCCTAGGAACAATGGTTCAGTATTTGCTAATTCAGTGTTCACAGTGACTTTATAGAACTTAACCATCACCAATATAGAACTCTACTTTTATTGTACTTTATCTGAAATAAACTTGGTTCATTCATTTACTTACCTATTGTCTGACTGCCCCAATTAAGCTTCAGGAGAGCAGGGACCTTATCTCCTTGGGTTCAGTATTACATCTTCCATGCTTGACATGACAGATGTTCAATACATTTTGCTAAGTGAGTGAACGAATGGGTGGATGAATAATAAATATGTGAGCCAATATTTAACATTTCCTTTGAGTTCTAAGCTAGGTGATAAAAGGAAATCTTAATTTAAAAATATTTGAAATATTTTATTATTATTTTTTGAGATGAAGTCTCTCTCTGTCACCCAGGCTGGAGTTCAGTTGTGTGATCTCGGCTCACTGCAACCTCTACTTCTCAGGTTCAAGCAGTTCTCATGCCTCAGCCTCTGAGTAGCTGGGATTACAGGTGTGCACCACCACACATGGCTAATTTTTTTGTATTTTTAGTACAGATGAGGTTTTGCCATGTTGACCACACTGGTCTTGAACTCCTGGCCTCAACTGATCCACCCACCTCAGCCTCCCAAATTCTTGAGATTATAGGTGTGAGCCACCATGCCCAGCTGAAATATTTTTAAAATGTTTAAATACACCCATATTTGGGGGTGCCTTAAAAATACAGTAATTTTTTCACAGCTGTTAGTTTTAAACAAGTTTATCTCAACACTAGTTCTCTTTACTGGTAATTTGAGAAAGCATTTTTTCAGTGATTTTTTAATTGGTTGCCCTAGAACATAAGTACTTTCTTCTTTTTATTATCTCTTCCTACGTGTGTGTGTGTGTTTTAAATAGCCTTTTTATTAGTTCTGTAAAGTATCCTTAATTTTTCTTTTTCCACTAGAATTAGGTAGAGACCGTGTTTACAGGAAACATCACATCAAAAATATTTGGTTTTTCATGATTTCAGCATATTCCTTAAGTTATATATTCTTGCAGATATGGCTCTTTTATTTTGATTTTTTTCAATTTTTTTTTTTTTGAGCCAGGATCTTACTCTGTTGCCCAAGCTAGAATGCAGTGGCATGATCATGGCTCACTGCAGCCTAGAACTCCTGGGCTCAAGCAGTCCTATCACCTCATCCTCCTCAGTAGCTGGGACTACAGATGTATGCCACTATGCTTGGCTGTTTTAAAATTTTTTGTAGATTAGGGGGTCTCACTATGTTGCCTGGGTTGGTCTTAAACTTCTGGCCTCAAGTGATCCTCCTGCCTCAGCCTCTCAAAGTGCTGGGATTACATGTGTGAGCCATTATGCCCAGCCAGCTGTTACTTAAAAAAATTTTTTTTTATTTTGGAAAATTTCAAATACACACAAAAGCATAAGGATAACAATAGTATAATGAATGTGTATTTATCATGTGAACTTTTACTAAAAAGCCAGTTTTAGGAAAACTTTATCTTGGCCTGATAGAATAAAATGCCACTAAGAGGGCTGTTCTTTGGTATAACCTTGGTCTGGAATGTTCAGAAATGCAGATGTCCGCTGGAGGGTGTGAGGCATTTATTGTTAGTCCCTGATGGCCTCTTCTGTCCTAGAAGAGGGGCTTTGAAGAGGGAGAGGAGGCTGACTTAAAGCTGAAAGAAAGTTGTCTGGTCATCTTCACCTTTACAAATAAAATGAGAAAGAAGCTGTTAGAGTCTGGATCGTGATTCTGAGTTCTTTAAGACTGGAAATTATAATTTACTCCATATTTTAGTTAGTTTTGTTGCCATTTTCATTATTTTTGTGCTTATAATTGTCTTATTTGTTTTCTCAAGTCTTTAGCAACAAATCCTGTGAAATCAAAAGAGTTTGTCTTCAAGTACATCAAAGAAAGAAGGAGCCACTCTTCTTTCTTTGTTGCTTGGAAAGAGGATCAACCCCAAGAATAGAGAGGGTGGTGGCAGCATTAGAGAACAAGCCTGGAGCCTTGCTGCAGGGAAGGAAGCGTGGGCTGGGCCCAGAGGACCTGGCAGGACAGGTTGGAGCTGCCAAAACAGGCCTTTGGAACCAGTGCTGAGCTGGATTCTCCCCTTCCCTTTGCTGTCCCTGACTACGTTTCCTAATGCTCTTCACCTGTGCTCTGTAGCTCCTTACTGTCTGGTCTCCATCCTCACTTTTAGCTGCCAACACTGCCATTTCAAGCAGTGTAAAAAGCATGTCCAAGATCTCATCACAAAATCTAAAAACTTTCCCTCCTTTATTTTTAACTAATTTCTCACTTTGTAATAAATAACTTTCCAGGATCTGAGGCAGTGGCCCCTCAGGAGTAGCTTCTTGGGGAGGGCTCGCCTCTCCCTACTCCCCCATTGCTGAGGCTACCTTTGGGTCTCCCCCTCCTCTCTTCCCTCCCCTTCTCCCTGTTCCTCCTTTTCCCTCTTTCTCTTCTCCCCTTTGCCCTCACCGTTTGCCCTCTCTCCCCGTGTTCTGGGCCACATTCTTGTTTTTCCCCTTCCCTCCCTGCTGGTGTGCAGCACATACACTGCGGCTGTGTTAAACTACATTCTGGAACCCTGTTGTCTCTCACCGGAGAAAGGCATGCTTTTTATGTGCTTGTATTAGTCAGGGTTCTCTAGAGGGACAGAACTAATAGGATAGATGTATATATGAAGGGGAGTTTGTTAAGGAGTATTGACTCACGTGATCACAAGGTAAAGTCTCGCAAAAAGCTGCCTGCCAGCTGAGGAGCAAGGAAGCCAGTCTAATTCCCAAAACCTCAAAAGTAGGGAAACTGACAGTACCGAGAGCCCCTGACAAATCACTGGGTGTAAGTCCAAGAGTCCAAAATCTGAAGAACTTGGAGTCTAATGTTTGAGGGCAGGAAGCATCCAGCATGGGAGAAAGATGAAGGCCAGAAGACTCAACAGGTCAAGTCCTTCCACGTTTGCCTGCTTTATTCTAGCTACACTGGCAGCTGATTAGATCGTGTCCACCCAGATTAAGGGTGGATCTGCCTCTCCCAGTCCACTGACTTAAATGTTTCTCTCTTTTGACAACACCCTCACAGACACACTCAGGAAAAGTACTTTGCGTCCTTCAATCCAATCAAGTTGACACTCAATATTAACCATCACAATGCTCTTCCTCTGCTGGGAGCCATATCCTCCTCCTTCTGCTCTCCCACATCCTTGCTTTGCTGGCTTCCTCCAGAAATGCTTCCCTAATGCCCAAGGCTGCAGTGGGAATCCCTGCTGTGTGCTCCCACGGCACCCTTATTTTTTGCCCCCCATCATAGCACTTACTAAAACTGTATTATCCGTTTTCTTTCTTTCTTTTTTTTATTATACTTTAAGTTCTAGGGTACATGTGCACAACGTGCAGGTTTGTTACATATGTATACATGTGCCATGCTGGTGTGCTGCACCCATTAACTTGTCATTTACATTAGGTATATCTCCTAATGCTATCCCTGCCCCCTCCCCCACCCCACGACAGGCCCCAGGGTGTGATGTTCCCCTTCCTGTGTCCAAGTGTTCTCATTGTTCAATTCCCACCTATGAGTGAGAACATGTGGTGTTTGGTTTTTTTGTCCTTGCGATAGTTTGCCGAGATCAGAGAAATGTATTATCCATTTTCTCATCCGTATTTCTTTTACTAGATTCTAAGCTTCTCAAGGGCAGGGACTGTTTTGCTTAGCATGTTTCTCTAAGGCTTTATGTAATTCTTGGCATAAAATTGACACTCAGTAAATAATTTATTTTGCATGAATGAATAAGCATAGCTGAATCTGGCTATCTCTAATTCTTTGTTGTGATCACTGGAAAAAATGGATGCAAAATGCCCAGCAAGGATCCTGGAAAAATAGGCATTTCATAAATGGTAGCGGTCATGGTGGTGTCACTCCTCACCATTCCCATGGGACTCCTCAGGGTTTCTCATGGTTGTACTCTTTGGATGTAGTCTTGCCTTGCATGTAATAGATAATGTATATGACTGAATTGAATATGTGTTTAATATATTAAGTAAGCAGGGTAAGTGATTGATTTTCCTTCTGTGTCCACGTTTAAAATAAAAGTGATGATTATCTAGAAAACATGTTTATTTTCCATGGAGCATAAAATTTGTCTTTTTTTTTTTAGGCACAAATGCATTTTATAATGATAATGTTTTTGAGAGAATCCAAGTATTCCATTGTCTTGTAGGTGATAACTTGCTATTGGACTTTACTTTTAAAAATATTACCCAATATCTGTAACCTGGAATTTGAAAGAATTCATTAAAATGTTCAAAGTTTGAAAGAGAAACATTATGACACATCTGTTTGCCTTGTCTCGGACGTGCCTTGTTTTTTTTGTATTTTGTGTCCTGTCTCTGCAGCAGCATCTCCCTCTCATCAGCACTGTTGAAAGAAGAAAAAATGTCAGTGCTATCTCCTGAAATCAAATGTGAGACTTCTAAATTCACCAGAAGTTCCTTTGGCAGTTGTTTGATTTTTGAGAGTAGTTGGAAGAAAGCAGTTTTAGAAACACAAAAGATTAAGAAAGGTAACTTTATTGTTATTATTTTCCTTAAGAAAACATAGAAATAGTGCCTTGAATTTCCATGTATTTTTTTCATCAGGCAAGGGACATTTTCTGTGACATTTATGTAAGAATTATATCTTAAATTGATGAAAAAGAAAAATGGAAGCAAACTAAAATTAATTTAGTTAATGTAATTCTGTGACTCATGATGGAAACAAATTTTAAAGAGCTGTATTTCTTTTTTTTTAAACTCAAATTTGTCTGAAAGAACTGCATTTCTTAATATCCATTGCAGTACTGTCTCTGTTGAATCACACTCCGTTTTATAAATGGCATTTTCTTTTAAATAACTCAAGGTGATTTTTATATTTTAAGACATCCAAATCTTTAACAGTGCTGTTATGTATTAATAATTCTAACCAAAGCCAGGCACAGTGGCTTAGCCTGTAATTTGAGCACTTTGAGAGGCCAAGGCAGGTGGATCGCTTGAGCCCAGTAGTTAGAGATCAGCCTGGGCAACATGGTGATACCCCATCTCTACAAAAAACACAAAAATTAGCTGAGCGTGTTGGTGTGCGCCTGTGGTCCCGGCTACTCAGGAGGCTGAGGGTAGAAGGATCACCTGAGCCTGGAGAGGGTGAGGCTGCAGTGAGCCATGACCATGCCACTGTACTTCAGTCTGGGCAACAAAGTGATACCTTGTCTCAAAAAAAAAAAAAAAAAATTCTAACCAAAACTTTATTTTTGACTGAGTTATGTGGAGAGTATCTTAAATCCCATAGCTGCTCAATGAAGACTAGTTTGATAACTTTTGACATGTAGATGAGTATATTAATAGTTATTCCCCCTTACTTTCAAGTTAATTATATTTCTTGTTTATTCTGAATTCTGCTTCCATCTTTATTGATGGAGAAATAATTCTTTTTTTTTTTTTTTTTTTTTTGAGATGGAGTCTAGCTTTGTCACCAGGCTGGAGTGCAGTGGTGTGATGTTGGCTCACTGCAGCCTCTGCCTCCCAAGTTCAAGTGATTCACCTGCCTCAGCCTGCTGAGTAGCTGGGATGACAGGCATGCACTGCCATGCGCAGCAGATTTTTGTTATTTTTAGTAGAGATGGGATTTCACCATGTTGGCCAGGATGGTCTCGATCTCCTGACCTTGTGATCTGCCCACCTCGGACTCCCAAAGTGCTGGGATTACAGGCGTAAGCCACCACGCCCAGCCAATAATTCTTGAAAATAGTAAAATGCAAACTACTCAATGATTTATCCCTCTTTGGCTTTGAATGTGTTGCTATACTTTTTCTTCAACTTTCTTACCAGGTTTCCATTAAAGGTACTCAGACAGCAGTTTATCCACCCTTCTACCCCCCAAATCTAATTGATGAAAAAAGAGTCTATATGCTTTTTGACCAACAGAAACTATTTTTTCCAAAAGAGGAAAAAATCAAAAGTTACAAAATAACATTTTGAACATTCAATATAATAATTTTAGTCCCATTAAATACCATTTTTGTTGCTGTGCTACACTTGCTTTGTAGAGAATACTTTCAAAAAAATTCTCTATGTTTAGTTCAAAGAACACCCAAACCTTTAACCTCTTAATCTCCTTTTTCTTTTCATTTAATGCCTTGAAAATTTTTAAAAATAATTTGACCGTCTCTCTGTGCAATGGATATGTGAGGTTAGTAGAAGAAACAATCTTGATGCTTCAAGGTGATGGTTTACAGATTTGGTATGGAATTTTGTGGACAGAAAATCAAAATCAGTGCCTCAAGTATAATTCTTTGACTCTCATTGCTAGCTAAGATGATCATCTGTTTACACCTCTTATTTACATAAAAGCAGGAAAATGGAAATACTCTAAGTGCTAGATAATATCAGACTCTTGAAAGTGCCTTTTATTTCAGTGTGAAGGTATCTAATATTCTGGGAATTCTAACTGTATAAAATAATGAAAGCAGAGGATAGTGACGACTGTGGAAGATCCATGAAGCTGTTCTTTTTCCTTATTCCACTCTTAATCATCCCCTTAATCTACTCCTTCCTGCAGTCCCTATAGTCAGGATGTAGAAGGAAAGCCATTCTCTTGGGAAAGATGCTAAATTACAGTTGCTTAATTTTCTTTACTTAATAGCTGATTTTGTGTATTTTATTATGTGTTTTAGGATGCAGTAAAACAAGTAGTATGCATTTAATCAAGATGATTCTTATATATTTTTAACCAGAATATACCACAGCATTTGGTCTAGAAGAGCTCAAGGAATGTATCAAAATGCCATATTTACCAGGACTGCAAAGTTGCCAAAAAAGTGTAAGTTCAACTCCACTAGAGGTTCCTAAAAGACTGCCACGTGCTGATGCCGAGGTGTCTGCAGTCAGGTAGATCATTGCTATTTAATTCTCATTTGTTGAATGTGTATTTGTAGTAATACTGCTGAATGTAGAGGTTTTTCTGGTCAGTGAATTGCATTCATTTTTGCCTGTTTTTTTTTTTTTTTTACATAAAGGATTTAATTTTTAAAATCTAAGCTATTTTATTCAGTTTGACAACTCGGCACTTTTCTCTGTTTTCGAGTGATGTTACCAGAAAAGATTTAAGGGCTTTTTTTTTTTTTTTTTTTTTTTGAGACAGAGTCTCGCTGTTTTGCCAGGCTGGAGTACAGTGGTGTGATCTTGGCTCACTGCAACCTCCGCCTCCCGGATTCCAGCGATTCTCCTGCCTCAGCCTCCTGAGTAGCTGGGATTACAGGCGCCCGCCACCACGCCCAGCTAATTTTTGTATTTTTAGTAGAGACGGAGTTTCACCAAGTTGGCCAGGATGGTCTTGATCTCTTGACCTCGTCATCTGCCCAAGTCAGCCTCCCAAAGTGCTGGGATTACAGGCGTGAGCCACTGCACCCACCCCCGATTTAAGGGCATTTTAAAAAAAACCTTGATTGTCCTAGCCTAGATCATGCCCATGAGAGCATTGGAATTTTTAGCATTAGAAAAAAAAATTAACTCTCTGCAATATTAAAAAGTTTCTGTACCCTCTATATAGAACCTTGTGCTTCATTTCTGGTCTGACTGAAGTAATGTGAAGGAAGATTCTGAATGAGATGTTGGCCTAATTAACATCCTGCATTGACTATCAGAAATGAATTTTTCAGCCAGAAAAGTCTCCCTGACCTTGAATACTGACATTTGAAAACATTATTATTATTATTATTATTATTATTATTTGTTATTTATTTTTTATTATTATTATACTTTAAGTTTTAGGGTACATGTGCACAATGTGCAGGTTAGCTACATATGTATACATGTGCCATGCTGGTGCGCTGCACCCATTAACTCGTCATTTAGCATTAGGTATATCTCCTAAAGCTATCCCTCCCGCCTCCCCCCACCCCACAACAGTCCCCAGATTGTGATGTTCCCCTTCCTGTGTCCATGTGTTCTCATTGTTCAATTCCCACCTATGAGTGAGAATATGCGGTGTTTGGTTTTTTGTCCTTGCGATAGTTTACTGAGAATGATGATTTCCAATTTCATCCATGTCCCTACAAAGGAC
This sequence comes from Homo sapiens, assembly GCF_000001405.40. Lineage (NCBI taxonomy): Eukaryota > Metazoa > Chordata > Mammalia > Primates > Hominidae > Homo > Homo sapiens. Next base: position 73,255,798 of record NC_000008.11, on the reverse strand, counting down.
ATGAACTCATTATTTTTTATGGCTGCATAGTATTCCATGGTGTATATGTGCCACATTTTCTTAATCCAGTCTATCATTGTTGGACATTTGGGTTGGTTCCAAGTCTTTGCTATTGTGAATAGTGCCGCAATAAACATACGTGTGCATGTGTCTTTATAGCAGCATGATTTATAGTCCTTTGGGTATATACCCAGTAATGGGATGGCTGGGTCAAATGGTATTTCTAGTTCTAGATCCCTGAGGAATCGCCACACTGACTTCCACAAGGGTTGAACTAGTTTACAGTCCCACCAAGGAGTGGGATTTCTCCACATCCTCTCTAGCACCTGTTGTTTCCTGACTTTTTAATGATTGCCATTCTAACTGGTGTGAGATGGTATCTCATTGTGGTTTTGATTTGCATTTCTCTGATGGCCAGTGATGGTGAGCATTTTTTCATGTGTTTTTTGGCTGCATAAATGTCTTCTTTTGAGAAGTGTCTGTTTGTGTCCTTCGCCCACTTTTTGATGGGGTTGTTTGTTTTTTTCTTGTAAATTTGTTTGAGTTAATTGTAGATTCTGGATATTAGCCCTTTTTCAGACGAGTAGGTTGCAAAAATTTTCTCCCATTTTGTAGGTTGCCTGTTCACTCTGATGGTAGTTTCTTTTGCTGTGCAGAAGCTCTTTAGTTTAATTAGATCCCATTTGTCAATTTTGGCTTTTGTTGCCATTGCTTTTGGTGTTTTAGTCATGAAGTCCTTGCCCATGCCTATGTCCTGAATGGTATTGCCTAGGTTTTCTTCTAGGGTTTTTATGGTTTTAGGTCTAACATTTAAGTCTTTAATCCATCTTGAATTAATTTTTGCATAAGGTGTAAGGAAGGGATCCAGTTTCAGCTTTCTACATATGGCTAGCCAGTTTTCCCAGCACCATTTATTAAATAGGGAATCCTTTCCCCATTGCTTATTTTTCTCAGGTTTGTCAAAGATCAGATAGTTGTAGATATGTGGCGTTATTTCTGAGGGCTCTGTTCTGTTCCATTGGTCTGTATCTCTGTTTTGGTACCAGTACCATGCTTCATGCTGGATATATGAAACTCAGACCCACAGATGTCTGCTGCGAGGTCTGTGGCTGGCCTAGGGGTGGGAGGGCCTAGGATGAGACCGGGAGGAGGGCGTGAAGAAGGGGAGGAGGTGGGACAAGCCCAGCCACCCAAATGACCAGGCATGAGGCGTCCCCTGGATAAAGCTGCATCTGGATCCCGTTTAGCAGCTTCCTTCTTGCCACTCCCAGTTCCTGTGACCTCCTGGGAATAGAGGAGGCCTCATTCCCTGAATGCCTTTTTTACAGAATAAAAGTGGTGGTGTTTTCAGTTTGGGCCAGCATCATCCTGATACCAAAGCTGGGCAGAGACACAACCAAAAAAGAGAATTTTAGACCAATATCCTTGATGAACATTGATGCAAAAATCCTCAATAAAATACTGGCAAAACGAATCCAGCAGCACATCAAAAAGCTTATCCACCATGATCAAGTGGGCTTCATCCCTGGGATGCAAGGCTGGTTCAATATATGCAAATCAATAAATGTAATCCAGCATATAAACAGAACCAAAGACAAAAACCACATGATTATCTCAATAGATGCAGAAACGGCCTTTGACAAAATTCAACAACTCTTCATGCTAAAAACTCTCAATAAATTAGGTATTGATGGGACGTATCTCAAAATAGTAAGAGCTATCTATGACAAACCCACAGCCAATATCATAGTGAATGGGCAAAAACTGGAAGCATTCCCTTTGAAAACTGGCCCAAGACAGGGATGCCCTCTCTCACCACTCCTATTCAACATAGTGTTGGAAGTTCTGGCCAGGGCAATTAGGCAGGAGAAGGAAATAAAGGGTATTCAATTAGGAAAAGAGGAAGTCAAATTGTCCCTGTTTGCAGATGACATGATTGTATATCTAGAAAACCCCCTCATCTCAGCCCAAAATCTCCTTAAGCTGATAAGCAACTTCAGCAAAGTCTCAGGATACAAAATCAATGTACAAAAATCACAAGCATTCTTATACACCAATAACAGACAGAGAGCCAAATCATGAATGAACTCCCATTCACATTTGCTTCAAAGAGAATAAAATACCTAGGAATCCAACTTATAAGGGACGTGAAGGACCTCTTCAAGGAGAACTACAAACCACTGCTCAAGGAAATAAAAGAGGATACAAACAAATGGAAGAACATTCCATGCTCATGGGTAGGAAGAATCAATATCGTGAAAATGGCCATACTGCCCAAGGTAATTTATAGATTCAATGCCATCCCCATCAAGCTACCAATGACTTTCTTCACAGAATTGGAAAAAACTACTTTAAAGTTCATATGGAACCAAAAAAGAGCCCGCATCGCCAAGTCAATCCTAAGCCAAAAGAATAAAGCTGGAGGCATCACGCTACCTGACTTCAAACTATACTACAAGGCTACAGTAACCGAAAACATTATTACAAATACTTTTCCTTCTAGAAATCAGACTGACTGACATACCATTAAAAGAAAACTCTCCAGAGGGATCTCTAAGTTAGTAAGATAGTCTCACATTCTACTCAGCTTCTGCTTTGGTTTGTTTATTTGTTCTTCAGATATTTGTTGAATGTCTAGTTCCTTTTTCTTTTTTTTGAGACGGAGTCTAGCTCTGTCGCCCAGGCTGGAGTGCAGTGGCGCGATCTTGGCTCGCTGGGAGCTCCGCCTCCCGGGTTCAAGCAATTCTCCCGCCTCAGCCTCTGGAGTAGCTGGGACTACAGGCGCCCGCCACCACGCCCGGCTAACTTTTTGTATTTTTTTAGTAGAGACGGGGTTTCACCCTGTTAGCCAGGATGGTGTCGATCTTCTGACCTCGTGATCCACCCACCTCGGCCTCCCAAAGTGCTGGGATTACAGGCGTGAGCCACCGTGCCCGGCCGAATGTCTAGTTCTTATTCACTCTGGTAGTATTAAAAAAAGTGAAGCACTTATAGCATTCTGAGTTGCACCTCCCTTTAGGGGAGGATTTATATTTTTATATTATCTTCCTATTATAATGAACTTTAAAGTCATCCAGTTATGCCTAGCACACAAGGTTGACGTTTCAAAATATGTTTCTTGAGTTTTCCAGCTAATACAATTGTTCTTTTTAAGTACTCTTGAAATAAATTCTGGTAATATAAATAGAGAGCTGGAACAGGTTAAAATGAAAAGTTGATAATTTTTATTTAAATTATGAAAATAAGAATAAGAACTTTGCAGAAAAAAAGGAAAATAATTATTTGATAATCTACCCATCATAACATATCCATTTTTATTGTTTGGATATTCCCTTCTTTCAAAAGAAAGAAAAAATTCTTTTTCATGGATATCATTTTCGTTGTGATTTTAGTGTACTTAAAATTTTTATCCTGCCTTTTTAAAAACTTTATATATATGCATTTTGTCATGCCACTATATGTTCTTTAAACAGTCTTACCAACCACATTATATTTCACTGACGGATCCACAGTTTACTTCATCACTTCCTATAGTTGGATTTTGAAAATGCTTTGATTGTTTTGGTTTTGTAAGTAACACCACAATAAACAATATCATACATATAGCTTTTGTCATCATTTTTAATATTATCTGAAGAAAGATTTTCAAGCTATAAAAATATAAAACGCAAAACTGTTCTTTCTGAAGTAAGGTTAGAATAAAATAAGGCAGAATTAGAAATGGAAGAGAGAGAGAGTTGCTACCAGATGGTAACTTAAGTCAAAGTGGAAAATGGCGGGGATGCAGAAAAAAGAGGGACCGTTTGAAACATGACTATAAAGCTACTAAGGACAGTCAGTTACATCGTAACCAAGACACTTGTGTCCCTGACTGTCAACTTATGTCATTTTCATCAAGGGTCACAGTGCCCTTTGGGGAGGAGGTAGGAGTGTGCAGGGCTGCCTGTGCCGATGGACTTTGTACTTTGCATCGGTATGGACCCGTCTTGTTACCCTTCCTTCGATACACGTGATCATCTCAAAGATACTGGAAGCCTGGAAAATACCCATGAATTAGCCCTTTCTGACTCTTAATTTGGGGTCTTTATTTTGCTTCTCATTATTTCCACCCTATTCAGGTTTTTGTTTGTTTGTTTCTGTTTTTCATTTGTGATTTGACTGTGAAATTATTTCTAAACATTTTACATTGATTTGAGTGTGAATTTACTTAGGTCAATGAAGGATAATTGACTATATTTTATTCATGTTATGACAAGTGTTCTTCATATATAAAGTGGAATAGTAATGGCTAAGTGACATAATGTATATGAAGTGCTTGGCAAACATAAGTGTTAGTTCTTTTCCCTGCCTTTAACTCAAGTGTCTTCATTTTAGCTGTTGTAGTGAGAACATGTCAAATTGCCTGCAAGTATTTTATTCTCCTGTGCACATTGCACAGCGGCCTGTGAAGGAGCGGTTTTGGCAAAGCAGAGAAGTACTCATTTTTGTTCGTTTTATGTACAACCCCTTACTCTCTTTTTTCCCTCCTTGTGTGAATATTTGATTGAAAGTGTAGTATTTTTTCAAATTTCCTTATTGGTAAGCAAAATATTTTAGTGACTCTCAAAGCACACTCTAGTAATATAAATAATAATAGTAATCCTAGAGGTGGAGTACTTAAAAGTCACTGCTGACTTTTAAAGTGTAAAATGGTTTCAAGAGGCTGGGCTCAGTGGCTCATGCTTGGAAACCCATTTTGGGAGGCTGAGGCAGGAGGATTGCTTGAGGCCAGCATTTTGAGGCCAGCTTGGGTAACATAGTGAGACCCCGTCTTTACAAACTTTTTTTTTTTAATTAGCCTTGTGTGGTGACATGCAGCTACCATCCCAGCTACTCAAGAAGCTGACGCAGGAAAATTGCTTGAGCCTAGGAGTTCAAAGTTACAGTGAGCTATATGATTGTGCCACTCCAGCCTGGGAGCGAGTGAGACCTTGTCTCAAAAAAAAATATTGTTACAAGAAATTTGGGATTTTATAATGGATTATCTCACCCACAGCAGATTCAATCATGATATATTTCCCCTAATAATCTACTTATTATCTAGATGTATTTCAGTGGGAACAAAATTATGACAAAATTCAGATTGAGGTGATTGATAGGTAAAAAGTGTACAAAAAAAGTGATAGTTGGTATTCAACGTATCCAAATGGCCTGTTTATCTTGATTCCCTCCCACTTAGCATTGCTTGAGTCATGACTAGTGAGAGGTATGATAAAGGTCTGTGGGAGAAGTTAGACCTAGCACTCAGCCACTGGTAAAATTTGCTAGCAAGATGTTGGGCTGGCTCATATCTGCTTCTGATGGAATGAGTTATAATGGAAAGACTTTCCTTTCCTTAACATTTATTTAATGTCTATGTGATGTTATTCAACAAGTGAGTTTCATTGTGCCCTGAATTTATATGTAAGTAATTTTATGATAATATATAATATTCAGGCTAAAGAAGACTAAGGAGACATGCAGTGTGGCACCACTTTGGGAGAAATCAAAAGGTAAGCTGACTCGTCCTTTTTTCTACTACCTCTCTTGGGTGTCATATACCTTATCTTTTTTTAAAAAAAATTCCTTTCTTTTCATTGATTAATTATCTTTGTTTTGTTACTACTTCTTTTAAGCTTTGTTTATTTTATAAACTAAGTGGATGTTGGGTTCATTATAAACATACTTTTATAATTTCAGGACTCAAGGGTAGGCCCTCATCATATCTCACTTGGGCCATTTAGTGCCTGCAAACTGGTCTTCTTGTTTTGAATGTCTGATCTTTGAAATCCTTCAATACCACAAAAAAAGCCTAAAACTTTGACTTCTAATCACATTAGTCTCTTCTTCAAACAGAATGACTCCCTCGTTACCCACAGACTGAGTATAAACTCTTTAGCTTGATGTTGAATCCCTTGCCATCTTCCCTCAGCTTTCCTTTCTAGCTTTATCTTCTAATTGCTATTTTTGTGAATCCTGTGTACTTATGACATCTAATACAGAAACTTATCTATATACCAATAGTTTTGGTCCCAAAAAACTACTTTTAAGTCAAGTTACTCCTAAGTTCATGGTGACTAAAAGGGTTTATGGTACTAAGGTATATTTTATTTGCCATTTGTCCTTCAGTCTATCAAATGATTCATCCTTTCCTATGTGCAACAATTATTTCATTAAAAGCTTAAGTTTTTTTATTGAATCAGTACAAATAGCCTACCATCAAAGAAAAGCCCAGGACTAGACAGATTCACAGCTGAATTCTACCAGATGTACAAAAAGAGCTGGTACCATTCACACTGAAACTATCTAAAAATTTGAGGATGAGGTATTCCTCTGTAACTCATTCTATGAGACAAGCATCATCCTGATACCGAAATATGCAGAGATACAACAAAAAAAGAAAACCACAGGTCAATATCCCTGATGAACATTGATGTAAAAATCCTCAACAAAATACTGGCAAGCTGAATCCAGCAGTATACCAAAAAGCTAATCCACCACAATTAAGTAGGCTTTATCCCTGCAGTGCAAGGTTGGTTCAACATACCCAAATCAATAAGGCAATTCATTACATAAACAGAGCTAAAGACAAAAACCACATGATTATCTCAACAGATGCAGAAAAGACTTTTGATAAAATTCAACACCTTTCCTATTAAAAACTCTCAACAAACTAGGTATTGAAGGACATACCATAAAATAATAAAAGCCATCTATGACAAACCCACAGCCAACATCATATTGAATGGGCAAAAGCTTAAAAACCTGAAAACCAGCACAAGACACTCACCACCCTTATTCAACACAGTATTGGAAGTTCTGACCAGAGCAATCAGGCAAGAGAGAGAAATAAAGTGCATTCCAATAGGAAGAGAGAAAGTGAACCTATCACTGTTTGTAGATGACATGATCCTATATCCAGAAAACCCCATAGTCTTGGCCCAAAAGCTCCTTAAGCTGATAAACAACTTCAGCAAAATTTCAAGATACAAAATCAACGTGCAAAAATTGATAGCATTCCTATACACCAACAACAGTCAAGCCAAGAGCCAAATCAGGAACACAATCCCATTTACAATTGGCACAAAAAGAATAATATACCTAGGAATACAGCTAACCAGGGAGGTGAAAGATCTCTGCAAGGAGAACTACAAAACACTGCTCAAATAAATCAGAGATGACACAAACAAGTAGAAAAACATTCCATGTTCATGGATAGGAAGACTCAATATAGTTAAAATAACTATACTACCCAAAGCAATTTATAGATTCAATGTGATTCCTATTAAACTACCAATGACATTCTTCATAGAACTAGAAAAAACTATTTTAAAATTCATATGGAACCAAAAAAGAGCCAAAATAGCCAAGGCAATCCTAAGCAAAAAGAACAAAGCTGGAGGTATCACACAACCTGACTTCAAACCGTGGTACAGGGCTATGGTAACCAAAACAGCATGGTACTGGTACAAAAACAGACACATAGATCAATGGAACACAATAGAGAGATCAGAAATAAGGCCACACACCTACAACTATCTGATTTTCAACAAAGCTGACAAAAACAAGCAATGGGGAAAGTTCTCCCTATTCAATAAATGATGCTGGGCTAACTGGCTAGCCATATGCAGAAGATTAAAACTGGACCCCTTTCTTACACCATATACAAAAATCAACTCAAGATAGATTAAAGACTTAAATGTAAAACCCAAAACTATAAAAACATTGGAAGACAACCTAGGCAATACCATTCTAGACATAGGAACAGGCAAAGATTTCATGATGAAGATGCCAAAAGCAATGCCGCAAAAGCAAAAATTGACAAATGGGATCTAATTAAACGAAAGTGCTTCTGCATAGCAAAATAAACTATCAACAGAGTAAACAGACAACCTACAGAATGGAAGAAAAATTTTGCAAACTCTGCATCTGACAAAGGTCTAATATCCAGCATCTATAAGGAATTTAAACAATTTACAAGAAAAAAATAACCTCATTAAAAAGTGGACAAAGGACATGAACAGACACTTTTCAAAAGAAGACATACATGCAGCCAAACAAGCATATGAAAAAAAAGCTCAACATCACTTATCATTAGAGAAATGCAAATCAAAACCTCAATGAGATACCATCTCACATGAGTCAGAATGGCTACTATCAAAAAGTAAAAAAATAACAGATGCTGGAGAGGTTACAAAGAAAAAGGAACACTTATACACTATTGGTGGGAATGTAAATTAGTTCAATCATTGTAGGAAACAGTGTGGTGATTCCTCAAAGACCTAAAAACAGAAATGCCATTTGACCCAGAAATCCCATTACTGGGTATGTACCCAAAGGACTATAAATCCTTCTGTAATAAAGACACATCCATGCATATGTTCACTGCAGCACTATTCACAATAGCAAAGACATGGACTCAACCTAAATGCCCATCAATGGTAGACTGGATAAGGAAAATGTGGTACACATATACCATGGAATACTATGCAGCCATAAAAAAGAACAGATCATGTCCTTTGCAGGAACATGGATGGAGCTGGAGGCCATTATCCTTAGCAAACTAATGCAGGAGGGTGTGGAGGGTGGGAGGTGGGAAAGGATCAGGAAAAATAACTAATGGGTACTAGGCTTAGTACTCAGGTGAAGAAATAATCTATACAACAAATCCCTGTGACACAAGTTTACCTATGTAACAAACCTACACATGTACCCCTGAACTTAAAATAAAAGTTAAAAAGAAAGTTAAAGATTTTTAAAACCTTATTTTAAATTTTTATCATAATCATACTTGTCTTCCTCTAATACACTCATACTTACATGACTTTGGCTTATGGAATAATGGAGTTAACTGAACACCTCCAAACAACCAACCAAAACTAAAATTACTAAGTAATGCTTCTATTGACATTATTGGTAGCTGTCAGAATTGACTTGTTAGCAGCTCTGCAAGCTCAGTCTATGGAAGTTTATAAGTTTAAATGTTCATGAACTTTTCCTTGGATGTTTTCTCTCTCTTAATTTCATATACTAAAACAATTTCTGTAATCAACAGACAGTGTAAAATAAAAATATAAATGTTAATTAGAACAAAAGACATTGCTGGCTGGGTGCGGTGGCTCACGCCTGTAATCCTAACGCTTTGGGAGGCCGAGGTGAGCAGATCATGAGGTCAGGAGTTTGAGACCAGCCTGGCCAACATGATGAGACTCCGTCTCTACTAAAAATACAAAAATTAGCCGGGAATTGTGGTGTGCGCCTGTAATCTCAGCTACTCAGGGAGCTGAGGCAGGAGAATTGCTTGAACCTGGGAGGCGGAGGTTGCAGTGAGCCAAGATTGTGCCACTGCACTCTAGCCTGGGCGACAGAGCGAGACTCTGTCTCAAACAAGCAAACAAACAAACAAACAAAAAACCCAAAAGACATTGCTTTGAATCTCGGCCCAAATGAACATTTGCCAGCCTCTTTTCTAACATTATGACTTCTGTGTCTTATTCACTCACCTTCATATCCCTACAGTGCCTACACTAGTTTCTGCAACAAAGTAAGTCTTCTGTAAATACTTATTATTACTTATTTTGATGTGAAGAATAACATTTACAGATTTTGTAATGTTAAGTCACTCTTGCATTCCTGAAATACACCCAATTTAGAAATGATTTATTATTTGTTTATATTCTGCCACATTTAATTTGCTAATATCTCATTTGGCATTTTTTACCTATGCTGGTAAGTGTAGTGAGATTGCCATGAATTTTCTTTTTTGTTCTGTCCTTGTCTGGATTCAGTGTCCACATTATAATGGCCTTGTGGAATGAATTGGGGACTATTCTTTCTCTTTCTGTTCTCTGAAGGATACGACCTAAAATTGGAATGATTTTTCTCTCGAAAGTTTGAGGAAATTCATTTATAAAATTCATTTGGGTTACTTGTTTTCTTTGGGAGAATCTTTTAATATTGGCTCAATCATTTTGAATTTAGGGCTCTTAAGGTATTCTAATTTTTCAATCAGTTTTGGTAAGTTATATTTTCTAGAAACTTGCATTTTGTCTAAGTTTTAAAAATTTATTAGCATAAAGTTTAGTCTTTGCTTTATCTGTAATTCTGTTCCTCTTTTCCCAATATTATATATTTGTGCCTTCTTTTATTTTCTTGAGTAATGTCACCAGAGGCTTTCCTTTTTTATTAGTTTTTTCAATGAAGAGCTTTTGTCTTTTTAAAAAATCCCTTTTATTGTAACTTGGTTTTCTACTTCATTGATTTCTCCCCTTTCCTATATTATCTTTTTCCTCCATGTTCTTTGGGTTTACTCTTTTCCTACTGTGTATCTAATACCTATGTTTTAAATTTTCAACCTTCTTTTCTAACATAGACATTTTAGGGTATAAACCTCTCTATATACAACTTTTGCTCCATTACACAACTTTTGTGATATTTATCATTTAGCAACAAATATTTGTATGTTTATTATGATTTGTTTTTTGACTGATAATTTAGAAAATGTGTTTATATGGTTTGACTGTGTCCCCATTGAAATCTCATCTTGAATTGTAGTTCCCATAGTTCCCATGTGTTGTGGGATGGACTCAGTGGGAGATGATTGAATCATGGGGGCGGTTGCCCCATACCATTCTCATGGTAGTGAGTAAGTCTCACGAGATCTGATGGTTTTATAAGAGGAAACCCCTTTTGCTTGGTTCTCATTCTCTCTTATCTGCCTCCATGTAAGACATGGCTTTTGCCTTCTGGTGTGATTGTGAGGCCTCCCCAGCCATGTGGAACTGTGAGTCCATTAAACCTCTTTTTCTTTAAAAATTACCCAGTTTCAGTTATGTCCTTATCAGCAGCATAAAAATGGACTAATACATGTGTACAAATTTCTAAATATTTCAGAATTTTAAATTTATCTTATTATTAACAACTTCCAACTTAATTGCATTTGTGTGTATGATACCGATTCTTTGAAGTTTTTTCAGGTTTGCCTAATGCCTGGAATCTAGTTATTTTGCTGCCAGAGGGTCTTTTAAAGTGTCAAGTCCATTGTACTGCTAAGAACAGAAGTCCTGATCATATTCTTAACTCTCACCTGTTTCTCTCTGAACTTCTCACTCATATTACCCCTGCAAACAAAACAAAACAAACAGAAAAATAACAACTACACTGGAGAATTGAAGATAGTGCTTTTTTTTGACACTTGAAACTGAAGTTAAATAATAATATTTTAAAGCAATATAGGTCAGTATTTTCAAGGCTGCATATATGTTTTTAAATAGAAATATTTCTACATATTTGTATATTGTATATAGAGAGGTTTATACCCTAAAATATTTCTACATGTATTTAGGGGTAATACGTAGTGATTGGAACTTTGATGAATCTGGATTCAAATCCTAACTCTGATAGTTACTAAGTATATGCACTCAGGCAAGTTATTTAGCATCCCTAAATTGTCTTTTTAAAATCTGTAACTCGAGATAGTACAGATGACTATTTCATAGTGTTGTTGTATGGATAAAATAGATGTAAAGTACTTGACAAAGATCATTCAACAAATGCTATCTGTTGTTATTACTACCACCCTATGATAGAAGTTTGATTAACGCTATTTCAGTTAAGTGAACGATTTTATTTTACTTTACAATTTTACTTCACTTAGCATTTATGAGAAATGTTTTTATTTGAAGAAAATAACTTGATAGGCATGTAAAATATGAAATGAGTTAATTATTTATGGAGATTATGCCTTTTACTTTGAAATAAATCTCACAGTTGTCCCATGTTTTAAAAAGTATTGTACAAAATCAGATTAAGTTGGTGCAAAAGTAATTGCGGTTTTTAGAACTGCAATTACTTTTGCACCAATGTAATTTTATATAATTAAATACAAGCATTAAAGGTTTTTTAGATAAATATTTTTTGAGGCACATAGTCATTTTATAAAGTAGCATTAAAACTGAGTGCGGTGGCTCATGCCTGTAATCCCAGCACTTTGGGAGGCTGAGGTGGGCAGGTGACTTGAAGCCAGGAGTTTGAGATCTGCCTGGACAACATGGTGAAACCCCGTCTCTACTAAAAATACAAAAACTAGCTGGGCATGATGGCACACGCCTGTAGTCCCAGCTACTCAGGAGGCTGAGGCATGTGAATCACTTGAACCCGGGAAGTGGAGGTTGCAGTGAGCCGAGATTGCACCACTGCACTCCAGCCTGGGTGACAGAGCAAGATTCCATCCTCCATCTCAAAAAAAAGAAAAGAAAAAGAAAGTAAACATGGCATTTTTAATTCAAAATATGTGTTATATCAAAAACTAGTCGTGTTTTTTTAATTTTCTGGGTACATAGTAGGTGTATTTATTTATGAGGTATATGAGATATTTTGATACAGGCGTACAACGTGTAATAATCACATTCACGTGAATGGAGTATCCATCCCCTCAGGCATTTATCCTTTATGTTACAAACAATCAAATTATACTCTTAAAGTTATTTTTAAATATACGATTAGATCATTATTGACTATAATTGCCCTGTTGTGCTATCAAATACGTGTTCTTATTCATTCTTTGTATTTTTTGTACCTATAAACCATCCCCACTTCCCCCGCATCTCTCCTCCACTATCCTTCCCAGCCTCTGGTAACCATCCTTCTAGTCTCTATCTCCATGAGTTCAATTGTTCTAGTTTTTAGCACCCACAAATAACTGAGAATATGTGAAATTTGTCTTTCTGTACCTGGCTTATTTAACCTAACATAATGATCTCCAGTTCCAACCATAATGTTGCAAATGACAGGATCTCATTTTTTTATGGCTGAATAGTACTCCATTGTGTATATGTACCACATTTTCTTCATCCATTCATCTGTTGATGGACACTTCAGTTACTTCCAAATCTTGGCCATTGTGAACAGTGCTGCAGTAAACACAGGAGTGCAGATACCTCTTTGATATACCGATTTCCCTTCTTTTGGGTATATGTCTAGCAATGGGATTCCTGGACCATATGGTAGCTCCATTTTTGGTTTTCTGAGAAACCTCCAAACTGTTCTCCACAGTGGTTGTACTAATTTACATTCCCACTAACAGTGAATGAGGGTTCCCTTTTTTCTCTGCATCCTTGCCAGCATGTGTTATTTACTGTCTTTTAGATAAAAGCCATTTTAATTGGGGTGAAATGATATCTCATTGTAGTTTTGATGCCTCTGATAATCAGTGATGTTGACCATATTTCATATGCCTGTTTGCTGTTTGCGTGTCTTCTTTTCAGAAATGTCTATTCAGGTCTTTTGGCCCATTTAACTAATTAATTAATTAATTTTTATTAACATGAGAGTTTAAATGAGACAGGGTTTTGCTATGTTGCCCAGGCTGGTCTTGAACTTCTGAGCTCAAGGGATCTGCTCACCTCAGCCTCCCAAAGTGCTGGGATTATAGACGTGAGCCACCCCTTTTGCCCATTTTAAAATGGGATTATTAGACTTTTCCCATAGAGTTGTTTAAGCTCCTTATATATTCTGGTTGTTAATCCCTTGTCAGATGGGTAGTCTGCAAATATTTTCTCCCATTCTGTAGGTTCTTTTCATTTTGTTGATTGTTTCCTTTGCTGTGCAGACACTTTTTATTAATAACTTGATGTGATCTCATTTGTCCATTTTTGCTTTGATTGCCTGTGCTTCTGGGGTATTACTCAGGAAATCTTTGACCACTCCCATGTCCTGGAGAGTTTCCCCAATGCTTTCTTTTAGTATTCATAGTTTGAGGTCTTAGATTTAAGTCTTTAATCCATTTCGATTTTTTTTTATATGTCGAGAGATGCGATCTGGTTTCATTTTTCTGCATAATCTCCAGTTTTATAATATCCATAATACCCAGTTTTCCCAGCACCATTTATTGATGAGACTATCTTTTCCCTAGTGTATATTCTTGGCACTTTTGTTAAAAATGAATCCACTATAGATGTATAGATTTGTTTCTGGGTTGTTTATTCTGTTCTATTGGTTTGTGTGTCTGTTTTTATGCATGCTTTTTTTTGGGTTAGTATAGCTCTGTAGTATAAGAACTAGTAGTGTGTAATAGTCATTTGTGGAAGAAATATTTCAGTCACATTATATTTAATAGAATATTATTCATGTGTGCTTAATTCATTTTAATAGCTGACTCCCCACCTCCTCCTCCAGGTTCTGGCTTCAGTGATCCTCTCACTGGAGCACCATCTCAATACTTAGAGAGACTTTCCAAAATAGCCATATTGGAATATGATACCATTCGTCAGGAAACAACCACAAAATCAAAAAAAAGCAAGAAACGAGACCTCCGAGACCGCTGAAAAATGTCGTACAGTGTGATGCTTTCTTCAGTGACTTTTAAGCTTTATATTTTCTTTTTTTATATGATATGATGCAAAATGATTTATATAAAAATGGAAATGTAAATAAATAAATATTTTACATTATAGATGAGTCATTTGTATTTTGTTAACATTACAGAGATAAATTATATTTTTTCCTTATTTATGTTGAAGGACTATAAATTATGGTTTATGGGAAAATAAGCATAAGATAAATTTTATTCCATGAATTTTATGTACATTGATTGTGTGTTTTGATTCAATTTGATACTCTTGAGTGTCTATTTTGTGCAATGACCTTGGCTAGCTGCTGGGGAAGATTGAAGAAAAAGAGAGGTCTTGAGGGCAGTGCAAGATGGCCGAATAGGAACAGCTCTGGTCTGCAGCTCCCAGCGTGATTGACACAGAAGACAGGTGATTTCTGCATTTCCAACTGAGGTACCTGGTTCATTTCATTGGGACTGGTTGAACAGTGGGTGCAGCCCATGGAGGATGAACTGAAGCAGGGCAGGGCGTCGCCTCACCCGGGAAGTGCAAGGGGTCAGGGGATTTCCCTTTCCTAGCCAAGGGAAGCTGTGACAGACTGTACCTGGAAAAATGGGACACTCCTGCCCAAATACTGTGCTTTTCCCAAGGTCTTAGCAACTGGCAGACAAGGAGATTCTCTCCTGTGCCTGGCTTGGCAGGTCCCATGCCCATGGGGCCTTGCTCACTGCTAGCGAAGCAGTCTAAGATCTAACTGCGAGGTGGCAGTCTGGCTGGGGGAGGGGCGTCTGCCATTGCTGAGGCTCGAGTAGGTAAACAAAGCAGCCAGGAAGCTCGAACTGGGCGGAGCCCACCGCAGCTCAGCAAGGCCTCTAGAGACTCCACCTCTGTGGGCAGGGCATAGCTGAACAAAAGGCAGCAGACAGCTTCTGCAGACTTAAACGTCCCTGTTTGACAGCTCTGAAGACAGCAGTGGTTCTCCCAGCATGGTGTTTGAGCTCTGAGAACGGGCAGACTGCCTTCTCAAGTGAGTCCCTGACTCCCGTGTAGCCTAACTGGGAGACACCTCCCAATAGGGGCCGAGAGACACCTCATATAGGTGGGTGCCCTTCTGGGACTAAGCTTCCAGAGGAAGGATCAGGCAGCAATATTTGCTGTTCTGCAACATTTGCTGTTCTGCAGCCTCCGCTGGTGAACAGGGTCTGGAGTGGACCTCCAGCAAACTCCAACAGACCTGCAGCTGTTGCAGCTGTTCTGCAGCCTCTGCTGGTGAACAGGGTCTGGAGTGGACCTCCCAGGAAAACAGGGTCTGGAGTGGACCTCCAGCAAACTCCAACAGACCTGCAGCTGAGGGACCTAACTATTGGAAGGAAAACTAACAAACAGAAAGGAATAGCACCAACATCAACAAAAAGGACATCTACACCAAAACCCCATCTGTAGGTCAACAACATCAAAGACCAAAGGTAGACAAAACCACAAAGATGGGGAGAAACCAAAGCAGAAAAGCTGAAAATTCTAAAAACCAGAGCGCCTCTTCTCCTCCAAAGGATTGCAGCTCCTTGCCAGCAATGGAACAAAGCTGGACGGAGAATGATTTTGACTAGTTGACAGAAGTAGGCTTCAGAAGGTTGGTAATAACAAACTTCTCTGAGCTAAAGGAGCATGTTCAAACCCATTGCAAGGAAGCTAAAAACCTTGAAAAAAGGTTAGATGACTGGCTACCTAGAATAAACAGTGTAGAGAAGACCTTAAATGACCTGGTGGAGCTGAAAACCATGGCATGAGAACTTCGTGGCGCATGCACAAGCTTCAATAGCTGATTCTATCAAGTGGAAGAAAGTGTATCAGTGATTGAAGATCAAATTAATGAAATAAAGCAAGAAGAGAAGTTTAGAGAAAAAAGAGTAAAAAGAAACAAACAAAACCTCCAAGAAATATGGGACTATGTGAAAAGACCAAATCTATGTTTCATTGGTGTACCTGAAACTGATGGGGAGAATGGAACCAAGTTGGAAAACACTCTTCAGGATATTATCCAGGAGAACTTTTCCAACCTAGCAAGGCAGGCCAACCTTTGAATTCAGGAAATGCAGAGAACACCACAAAGATACTCTTTAAGAAGAGCAACCCCAAGACACATAATTGTCAGATTTACCAAGGTTGAAATGAAGGAAAAAATGTTAAGGGTAGCCAGAGAGAAAGGTTGGGTTACCCACAAAGCGAAACCCATCAGACTGACCGTGGATCTCTTGGCAGAAAACTTACAAGCCGGAGGAGAGTGGGGGCCAATATTCAGCATTCTTAAAGAAAATAATTTTCAACCCAGAATTTCATATCCAGCCAAACTAAGTTTCATAAGTGAAGGAAAAAAAATCCTTTGCAGACAAGCAAATGCTGAGAGAGTCTGTCACCACCAGGCCTGCCTTACAAGAGCTCCTGAAGGAAGCACTAAACATGGAAAGAAACAACTGGTACCAGCCACTGCAAAAACATGCCAAATAGTAAAGACCATTGATGCTGTGAAGAAACTGCATCAATTAATGGGCAAAATAACCAGCTAACATCATAATGACAGGATCAAATTCACACATAACAATTTTAGCCTTAAATGTAAATGGGCTAAATGCCCCAATTAAAAGATATAGACTGACAAATTGAATAAAGAATCAAGATCCATCAGTATGCTATATTCAGGAGACCCATCTCACATGCAAAGACACACATAGGCTCAAAATAAAGGGATGGAGGAAGATCTACCAAGCAAATGGAAAGCAAAAAAAGGAGGGGTTGCAATCCTAGTCTCTGATAAAACAGACTTTAAACCAACAAAGATCGAAAGAGACAAAGAAGGCCATTACATAATGGTAAAGGGATCAATTCAACAAGAAGAGTGAACTATCCTAAATATATATGCATCCAATACAGGAGCACCCAGATTCATAAAGCAAGTCCTTGGAGACCTATAAAGAGACTTAGATTCCCATACAATAATAATGGTAGACTTTAACACCCCCCTGTGAATATTAGACAGATCGAGACAGAAGGTTAACAAGGATATCCGGGACTTGAACTCAGCTCTGCACCAAGCAGACCTAATAGACATCTACAGAACTCCATACTCCAAATCAACAGAATATACATTCTTCTCAGCACCACATCGGACTTATTCTAAAATTGACCACATAATTGGAAGCAAAGCACTCCTCAGCAAATGTAAAAGAACAGAAATCACAGCAAACTGTCTCTCGGACCACAGTGCAATCAAACTAGAACTCAGGATTAAGAAACTCACTCAAAACCACACAACTACGTGGAAACTGAACAACCTGCTCCTGAATGACTACTGGGTAAATAACGAAATGAAGGCAGAAATAAAGATGCTCTTTGAAACCAATGAGAACAAAGACAAAACGTACCAGAATCTCTGGGACACATTTAAAGCAGTGTGTAGAGGGAAATTTATAGCACTAAATGCTCAGAAGAGAAAGCAGGAAAGATCTAAAATTGACACCCTAACATCACAATTAAAAGAACTAGAGAAGCAAGAGCAAACAAATCCAAAAGCTAGAAGAAGGCAAGAAATAACAAAGATCAGAGCAGAACTGAAGGAGATAGAGACACAAAAAACCCTTCAAAAAATCAATGAATCCAGGAGCTGGTTTTTTGAAAAGATCAACAAAATTGATAGACCACTAGCCAGACTAATAAAGATGAAAAAGAGAAGAATCAAATAGAAGCAATAAAAAATGATAGACCACTGATCCCACAGAAATACAAACTACCATCAGAGAATACTATAAATACCTTTATGCAAATAAACTAGAAAATCTAGAAGAAATGGATAAATTTCTGGACACATACACTCTCCCAAGACTAAACCAGAAAGAAGTTGAGTCTCTGAATAGACCAATAACAGGCTCTGAAATTGAGGCAATAATTAATAGCCTACCAACTAAAAAAAGTCCAGGACCAGACGGATTCACAGCTGAATTCTACCAGATGTACAAAGAGAAGCTGGTACCATTCCTTCTGAAACTATTCCAATCAATAGAAAAAGAAGGTGTCCTCCCTAACTCATTTTATTAGGCCAGCATCATCCTTATAGCAAAGCCTGGCAGACACACAACAAAAAAAGAGAATTTTAGACCAATATCCCTGATGAACATCAATGAAAAAATCCTCAATGAAATACTGGCAAACCGAATCCAGCAGCACATCAAAAAGTTTATCCACCATGATCAAGTTGGCTTCATCCCTGGGATGCAAGGCTGGCTCAACATATGCAAATCAATAAATGTAACCCATCACATCAACAGAACCAATGACAAAAACCACATGATTATCTCAATAGATGCAGAAAAGGCCTTTGACAAAATTCAACACCCCTTCATGCTAAAAACTCTCAATACACTAGGTATTGATGGAACGTATCTCAAAATTATAACAGCTATTTATGATAAACCCACAGCCAATATCATACTGAATGGGCAAAAACTGGAAACATTCCCTTTGATAACCGGCACAAGACAAGGATGCCCTCTCTCACCACTCCTATTCAACATAGTGTTGGAAGTTCTGGCCAAGGCAATCAGGCAAAAGAAAGAAATAAAGCATATTCAATTAGGAAAAGAGGAAGTCAAATTGTCCCTGTTTGCAGATGACATGATTGTATATTTAGAAAACTCCATTGTCTCAGCCCAAAATCTCCTTAAGCCGATAAGCAACTTCAGCAACGTCTCAGGATACAAAATCAATGTGCAAAAATCACAAGCATTCCTATACACCAATAACAGACAAACAGAGAGCCGAATCATGAGTGAACTCCCATTCACAATTGCTACAAAGAGAATAAAATACCTAGGAATCCAACTTACAAGGGATGTGAAGGACCTCTTCAAGGAGAACTACAAACCACTGCTCAACAAAATTAAAGAAGACAGAGACAAATGGAAGAACATTCCATGCTCATGGATAAGAAGAATCAATATCATGAAAATGGCCATACCCACCCAAGTTAATTTATAGATTCGATGCCATCTGCATTAAGCTACCAATGACTTTCTTCACACAATTGGAAAAAAACTACTTTAAATTTCATATGGAACCAAAAAAGAGCCCACATTGCCAAGACAATCCTAAGCAAAAAGAACAAAGCTGGAGGCATCACACTACCTGACTTCAAACTATACTACAAGGCTACAGTAACCAAAACAGCATGGAACTGGTATCAAAACAGAGATATAGACCAATGGAACAGAACAGAGGCCTCAGAAATAACACCACACATCTACAACCATCTGATCTTTGACAAACCTGACAAAAACAAGAAATGGGGAAAGGATTCCCTATTTAATAAGTGGTGCTGGGAAAACTGGATAGCCATATGTAGAAAGCTGAAACTGGATCCCTTCCTTACACCTTATACAAAAATTAATTCAAGATGGATTAAAGACTTAAATGTTAGACCTAAAACCATAAAAACCCTAAAAGAAAACCTAGGCAATACCATTCAGGACATAGGCATGGGCAAGGACTTCATGACTAAAACACCAAAAGCAATGGCAACAAAAGCCAAAATAGACAAATAGGATCTAATTAAACTAAAGAGCTTCTGCACAGCAAAAGAAACTACTATCAGAGTGAACAGGCAACCTACAGAATGGGAGAAAATTTTTGCAATCTACCCATCTGACAAAGGGCCAATATCCAGAATCTACAAAGAACTCAAACAAATTTACAGGAAAAAACAACCCCATCAAAAAGTGAGCAAAGGATATGAATAGACACTTCTCAAAAGAAGACATTTATGCAGCCAACAGACACCCGAAAAAATGCTCATCATCACTGGTCATGAGAGAAATGCAAATCAAAACCACAATGAGATACCATCTCATGCCAGTTAGAATGGCAATCATTAAAAGGTCAGGAAACAACAGATGCTAGAGAGGATGTGGAGAAATAGGAATGCTTTTACACTGTTGGTGGGAGTGTAAATTAGTTCAACCATTGTGGAAGACAGTGTGGCAATTCCTCAAGGATCTAGAACTAGAAATACCATTTGACCCAGTAATCCCATTAGGATATATACCCAAAGGATTATAAATCATGCTACTATAAAGACATGCACATGTATGTTTATTGCAGCACTATTCACAATAGCAAAGACTTGGAATCAACCCAAATGTCCATCAATGATAGACTGGATTAAGAAAATGTGGCACATATACACCATGGAATACTATGCAGCCATAAAAGAGGATGAGTTCATGACCTTTGCAGGGACATGGATGAAGCTGGAAACTATCATTCTCAGCAAACTATCACAAAGACAGAAAACCAAACACTGCATGTTCTCAGTCATAGGTGGAATTGAACAATGAGAACACTTGGACACAGGGTGG
Organism: Homo sapiens; assembly: GCF_000001405.40. NCBI lineage: Eukaryota > Metazoa > Chordata > Mammalia > Primates > Hominidae > Homo > Homo sapiens. Next base: position 73,235,046 of record NC_000008.11, on the reverse strand, counting down.
GGAACATCACACACCAGGGCCTGTCAGGGGGTGGGGGTCTGGGGGAGGGATAGCATTAGGAGAAATACCTAATGTAAATGACGAGTTGATGGATGCAACAAACCAACATGACACATGTATACCTATGTATCAAACCTGTCCCTTATGCACAAGTACCCTAGAACTTAATAATAATAAAAAGTGAGGTCTTATTGTTGAGGTCATAAAAATTTCTTTTTTCCCTGCTTGAGTTTGGAAACAGTTGCTAGATAAGTATTCAGGCAGATGACAATGAAAATTTAGCTTGGTTTGCTGATCAACGCAGGATAGGAAGCCCTGTCTTAGATGTGTAGCAATAAGGGGCTTCCCATTACTGTCCTTCAGAATCGGGCAGATGGACACGCACAGGTAGTGTGAACACCCTCAGTCTCACCTGCACATCAGCGCCTTTACTGCCAAGCATAACAAGGCCTCTTCACTGTGTAGACAGGCAGGTCCCTGAGGAGAAAGGGAGGTGGGGACAGATGCTCTTCATCTCTATGGAGAGGAGAAAGAAAGTCTAGGTCAAGAGGAAAACCCCTTTTTGAAAAAGCCTGAGGAGTGGGGAAAAGTGTACATCTCTATCTCTTCCTGAGAAACAGGGAGAAAGCAAGGATATGACTGTGATGCCAAGGAGGGTGGGCTCTGGGCCATAAGAAAGCCACAGAGTGTTACAGACGTTTACAAACGGGCAGTCACATCCAGCGGGGTGCTCACAGAAAGCTTCAAGGAAGATATGGTGTTAGAAATGGGCCGTAAAGACAGGAAAGAAGGAAGGAGAGGGCATTTTCAGAAAGAGGGGGAAACAGAAGTAAAGACACTATGCATTTGGGAATGTCGCACTTGGCTGAGCACTAGGTATTCTAGAGCAAGTGTCATAAATCCACGTGCATGAAGGCACCAAGCCAGCACCAGATTGAGTGACACCAGTCAGGTGAAGGCTGTAGTGAACTGGGGCCTGTTTCTCCCTTTCAAAGGGCTCTGGCTGCCTAGCCTCAGCCCTTTGTGCCATGCAGGTTCAAAGCTGCCAGACATCCCAACTTTTCATGTTGGGATCCAGAAGCCAGAATCTGGATTTCTACATGAGAAAACCTTCCAATGTATAAATGTTAACAACTAATTTGAAATAAGCAGCTAATTCAAAATTTATAAAGCCATTGTGTTTCCCAAAGAAAATTATATCTGCAAGCTAGATCTGGCTTTTTGGGGCCATTCATGCACAACCTCAGGGACAAAGGAATAGAGGGCAATAGGTCCCAAAAGATAACTTGATCATCTGTGGTAGAGAGCCTCAGATGCCAAGCATGAGTTTATATTTAATGTTTCCCAGTGGGAGATTTTGAGAATGCAAGTAAGTTATTGCTTCGGTGATTAAGGATGAAGGTTCATCTAAGTATCATTTGTAGGCTAGACGGTAACAGGGGGACACTGAAGGTTGGGAAACCATTGGGAAGCAGGAATGGGAAGGAGGGACTGGATAATTAGGATATCAAGGGAGAGGACTTAAGATCAATTGTTTAGCTATAGAATATCAAGAAAGGAAGAATCAAAACTAGCTCAGGTTTCCAATCTTAGAGATAAGCATATCAGAAGGATATGCTAATTTGCAGGGGAATAAGATCATAAATGCAACTTCAGACATATTCGGTTTAAGGTGCCGTCAGGATGTCCACATAGAGATGCCAAGCAGGTATTTGAAAAGCAGCTCTGTAGTTATGGAAAAAAGACACTGACTAGAGTTGGAACTCTGAGAAACATTTGCACAGCAAAGACTGAGTTTTCCATGATAAAAATGTACAGAGAGAAAGAGTCCAAGTTCATGAGGGATGAGAGGAAATAGGAAGAAGACAGAAGACACAGAAGACAGAAGAGGAAGAAAGGAGGAGAAGAAGGAGGGGGAGTGGGAAGAAGAAGGAGGAAGGAGAAGGAGAAGCAGCAGCAGCTATCACAGATACAGGAGAATGAGCATATTCTATGTCCTTGCATGCTTTATATTAATTCATACATAATGCTATTAATACATATGTGTTTGTAAGCATTATGATACATTAGATCCTAGGAGAATAATTAACTACACTTAAATGGACATGTTTCTGCTTATGTCTGAATTTTGGTTAAGAATGATTTAGATTTATGTTTCTATTTTCTGATCACCTCTTCCAAGTATGGTCAATGATTAAAGAAATCGGAAGCAGGAGAAAATTTTCAAAGAAAATTTTAACTATTTTTTGGATGAACACTCCTAAACACCTTTGATTATCAGATGGATTTAATATTGAACTCCTACTATGTACTCTGAACATTTAATATTATTTATAAATCTTATGAAAACTCTAAAAAATAAGTAGGTGATATTATTTCTGCTTCATAAATAAGATAAATTTGGAGTCTCTGTTTTACACTAGGTCTCTAGCAAGAAAGTGGGAGAACTAGGATTTCAATCTACTAGGATTCAAAGCGGATATAATAAACTCCATGGAACAATTATTCTTAAAACCTTAAACCTAGCTGATACATGTAATAATGGTTTAATCACTTAAACTTTAGGGCAAGATAGTACTTCTGATACTGAAAATCCAGGGGTTCAGTCTAGATCCTGCTACTCGCCACACAGAAAGCCAATCACTGAGACAAGGATTATCACGGAGGAGGAAGTCTTTTAATAGGGTGCTACAGCCAAAGAGATGGGAGTTCAGTCTCAAATCCATCTCCCTGAACTACTAAAACTAGAGGTGTATATAGCAGGGAAGAAATGTAACAATATGCAAGAAAACAGAAACTAGGAACTAGGGAGGAGCATGGAATCAATCATGATGAATTAGTGGTCCAGCCTCACTGTCTGGATGTGGTGATCTGATGAGTTTCAGTTCTTTGATACTTTCTGTTTTGAGATGCTTGAAGGTCCTTCCCTGAGGAAGGAATTCACATAAAACAAATGTAAGTTTCAAGTTTTAAGACTAGAAGGATCAATTTCCATTTTTATCCAAAATAAAATTACCTATGGGAACATTGGGTTGGTTTCATTTCCACAGACAAAAATATCTCTCATGGGGACTTGTGGTGGTGGCTCATGCCTGTAACCCCAGCATTTTGAGGCCAGGAATTTGAGACCAGCCTGGCCAACATGGAGAAACCTGTCCCTATTAAAAATACATAAAAATTACCGGGGTGTGCCGGCACATGCCTGTAATCCCAGCTACTCAGGAGGCTGAGGCACAAGAATTGCTTGAGCCTGGGAGGCGGAGGTTGCAGTGAGCTGAGATTGCGCCACTGCACTCCAGCCTGGGCGACAAAGAGAGATTGTCTTAAAAAAAAAAAAAATCAAGATTGAGCTGAGTTCCTGACATGAACACATCATGGAGCATTTACACTGGTAGAATGGAAAGCAGGGACCATATACATGAATAATTATGTCTGCTCCCTGCCCCAGTCTTCCCTAGGAAAGAGTTAACTGAAGCCAATTCAAGAAAGGAGTGGAATGTTTATTTCTTTTTAATAAACAGGATGTGCTGACATTAATAATAAATCACCTTTTTAGCCTTGGGATTGGATTTATGTTTTTCATTAATTTTTTTTTTAACCACAGGCTCTACTTCCTTACCTCACATTTACTCTTTTCGTTTCTCATGAAATTTTAAGAAAAACCAGTGTATATTTTATTCACAGAAAGCTCGAATCACCCTCAAGTAAGATAAACTCAAGATTTAGAGATAAGCATGAGATGCCAACTTCTGATATTGCAGATGCCATGGATGTTCATCCTTGGGATGGAACACAATGACTCTTCTGCATTTGTGGTTTAGAAATTCCTCCAGTGTAAGCAATATCAATCATAACCTTGGGAAACTGTACCTTATGATAAATATTTAGGATGGGAAGATGGACTCCTGATCGTAGGCTGAGAAAACAATTCTTTACAAAGAATAATTACTTTGGTGAAGGACAAATCATTAGTAGTGATAGTTTCAAAGAAATTTCCTAAGACAGCTCACTTCCTTTTCTGTAATTTTCTGCTTACCAAGCAGCCTTCTAGTGTGTAATTTAGACTCGAGTACGTATGTCCACTAAAAATCAGATGCCTTCTCTTCATGACATGTTTTAGATCTGGGAATGAGTATGTTAATTAATGAATTGCTATTCTGCTTCACAGTCTCTGTGAATTTGGTTGGTGTGAATTACAGATCATGATCATCCTCATCAGATTAACATATAGAGGGTTTTTTTAATGAGAAAAATCACTTTAGTAATTTTGAAAAATAATGGATATTTTTAGGAATTTCAGCAATGTGGAATGGTACAAAAAAGAAGTCTAAAAAGCACCTCAAATCTCATCACTCATAAATAACATCAGATGCCATTTAAAATTGGATGATTCTACGTATGCTATACTTAAAGTTATTCAACTTAATTTTTACTCTGCTATAAGAAAAACTTCAGTAAAAATGTGACATTGCTTAAATTCAAATATTATTACTTTTAAAATTATATATTATAAATTCATATTTAGATCAATTTTTAGATTTATCTCCAAACTTAGATCTAGGTCTTCTTTCCTTAAAGATTCCTCTGTAAGGCTTTTGAAACTGAAGCATGCCTCCAGATCTCCTGGAGAGCTTGTTAAAATCCAGACTCTTGTAGGTCTGGAGTGGGGCCTGAGAACTTGCATTTCTCACAGACTCCCAGGTGATGCTGACGCTGCCTGTCCACAGACCACACTTTCCGTAGACCTGCTTGAGAATCGTCTGTACTCAGAATCACCTGGCAAACATCTGCGAATTACCATTGTCCAGGTTCCACCCCCACAGATTCTGATCTAATTGGTTTGGGGTGGCCTCTTGAACTGGGGTAATTTTTAAAAGCTCTTCTCATGACCAGCCTGGCCAACATGGCAAAACTCTGCCTCTACTAAAAATACAAAAATTAGCTTGGCATAGTGGCAGGCACCTGTAATCCCAGCTATCCAGGAGGCTGAGACAGGAGAATTGCCTGAAACAACCTCCCGGGAAGTGGAGGTTGCAGTGAGCCGAGATCGTGCCATTGCACTCTAGCCTGGGCAACAAGAGCGAAACTCCGTCTCATTTTTCTTCCCTTCAGACCTATATGGATGTTTTCCGTTGTCTTCTGGTATTAATTGTTACCATGGAGAAATCTGATTCCTCACCATGTTTTATCCCTTGTAGATTATTGGCTGTTTCTGTGGGGATGCCTCAAGATTTTCTTGATTTTTGAAACTGAATTAAAGTATGATTCACTGTAGGTAGTACCAGTTCAAGATGTCCTGGAACATGGTGTATTCTTTCAAGGCTGTAGAGTCCATTCTTTCTGCATTTTTGGAAATTTTTCTTTTATTAAATCTTTGAATACTTACTCTTTCTATTCCATAGTTTTGAGTTCTCTACTTCAGGGACACCAAATATCCTTATTTGGGATCATCTTCATCTGTTCTAAATATCTAGAGAATTGGAGAATAAGAATTTGTCAATATTTTCTATTTTCTTTCTGATTCCTTGAATCTGTGGAATTTTTTTCTCCCACGGATGCATTCACTGTTGATTATCTTAGCATTCTTCTAAGTCAGCAGTTCAGTTTCTAGTTGTGACTCTTCTTCCTTGCTGTTTCTAATTTATTAATTTTGTAATGATATTATTTATTTTCTTTGATCTACAATCACTCTTTATTTAATTCTATGTCCAGGGATTGGCAAACTTTTTTTTTGGTAAAAAGGCTAGAGGGTAAATATTTTAGGCTTTGCCGACCATACAGTCTCTATTGCAGCTACTTAACTCTGACATTGTAGCATGAAAACGGTTATAGACAATCTGTAAATTAATGGGCATGACTGTGTTCCAATAACACGTTATTTACAAAAACAAGCCGCTGGCTCGCTCATTCTCAGTGGCAGTAGTATGTTTAGCACATAGTGTTCTTTAAGTAATTGTAATCTTCCTCCTCCCTCTTTTCAAGACCAGCTCTTAATTCACTGCCTCTGGGGATAGTTTCCTAATTCTTCCTAAAGTGGATGCTTCTTCTCTGTTCTCAGAACACTTTGTTTACAGGCAGCATGATCATCACCAAGTTGATTTAATAATAACTAATGTTTTTTGCAGGCGAATTATGTGCAGGCCATTGCACTAAATGCTTTTCATCTACTATCTTGTTGAAACTTCCCAGTAAACCAATTTTACAATTCCTAGTCAACTCATCTTTACTCCATTCTCCTGGGTGACTATTAGGCACCTCTTTTCTTTTCAAATCACCAATGCCTTCCCTCAGCCTCCTATTCTGAGCTTATGACCCATCTCTTTATTTCACTAAGAAAATATTAAATAGACGGAGTCAGAAGAGAACTTCCAGCACCCTAAATGCTAATCTATAACCCTACCTGCTTCTGTTCTCAGACGTGCACTACCCATGTTCCCAAGAGCAACCTCTTCACTTGTGCAGCAAATACATCTCGATCTCCTCTTGCTGCAGCAATGTATCCCCGAACCATCACAGTTTTTCCTCTAAATTTGATCATTTCCACCAGCATAGAAACTTGCTACAAAATCTGTCTTAAATGAACAAGCATCCCTCTTGTCACCTGCTACTTCATTTCTTTGCTTCCCTTTATAGCAAAACTCCAGAGTGCCCTGGACTCAGTCTTCCTTCCTCAACCTCCTGGCTCTCTTGAACCCACTCCAATTAGGCAGTTGGCATCACCACTGCACTAAAACAGCTCTTGTCAAGGTTTCTGGTAACTTCCATGTGGCCAAAGCCAGTGACAATTCTCAGTCCTTATTTGCCCTGTCAAGCACCTTTTGACACAGTGGATCTCTCTTCCTTGAGGAGGCTTCCAGAGCATTATTTTCTTTCTCCTTTTACTTTTCAAGCCACCTCTTCTCATTCTCCTTAACAAAGTCTACAGCTGGTAAATTGGCACATGTGGGATTCGAGCTCCTCCAAGGCAGAAACTACTTCTTACTCATTTCTATGTCCCTAGTACCTAGCACTATCCCCAGCACCTCATGTGAACTGAGAAGAATCTTTATTATTTTGCAAGAAAGGATGTTAGTTGGCGATGAGATGGTTCAGATCAGAGATGCTGGACTCTGAGTAAGGTGAGGGAGATGGGATGGAATTTCCAAAGGGTGGAGAACAGGTAGGATACCTGGACAGCTAAGTGGCAAACATAGGGTAGGACCAGATGGAAGAAGGAAATTGAGTCTAGTCTGGCAGGCCCTGTCTTCAAAGACTAGCAGCATATAGTTGAGAGACCACTTCCTGGTCTTTAGTCAAGAACTCATTGCCTAAGGACATGTTCCCAGGGAAGAGAACTCCACATGTGCCAGAATTTTACTGGCTGTGCCTTCAGTAACAGTTCCCAGGAGGGTGGGCAAGCAAAATGATTGGGCAGAGGACTTGAACAGCAGTGCAGCCTCAGTGAAGGCTTCCACCAATCCCACATGGATCTGTGGAACTGGAAAAGACCTTCAGGATTTTCCTGCTCTGAGGCAAGGAGATTTCACCTTTATAAACTCCACCCCTCCCTGCACTAGTCAGCCACAAGATCATGGGATCATGGATCATGGGGTGCGACCCTGGGCAAGGTAGATCTCTTCTGCCGAGGGAAATTTCTCAGGAGGGCCTCTCCTGTGGACACTCTCAGCAACTGAGGAGCAAGTACTGCAGCTCTCAAGATGCAATTTGGATGGCACACTACAGTATTCATTACACCTCTCCCCAGAGAAACCAAAGTATGGTATTAGGTAGGAATGAAGATAAGCACCCAGGAGTAGAAGAAGAAGAAGATGGCTTGACCATGTATTGGTAGGGCTCCTCTTAGGAAATGGCTCAAATGAAGAGACTTTATGGACAGGGTTAAAGAAGCAGACACGATTGTGATGTACCTGGAGACTAACACAGTGAAAAGCTGTTGCCACCCTTAGGGCTAAAGGGCCAAAGGGAGAGCCAGTAGGAACAGGCACTGCAGAAGAAGTGCTGCCTGGTAGGAGCTGTGGTTATGAGGGATGCCAGAGATGGTGCCGCATGGGGAGCAGGGAAGTTCCTGACTCTTTCTACTCCCTCTTTCCACCTCCTGCCTGTGTGCCTCCCATGGCCAACCCCTGTTCACAGTCTGTTGATAATGGAGCACAGGTCCTGCATTCCACGGGAGTCAGCTTCTTGAGGTGCAGAGCAGGGTGAACAGAGAGTGGATGTGGGTAAGGAGATGGAGAATAATCAGCAGAGATCACAAGGTAAAAGCAGTATTAGAACCGGGGGCCACGGGTGCGTCTGAGATGCTACTCTGCTCTGCCTTCCAGGCTTTTCTACTGACTGAGACTGAGGCTGAAGTAGAGTCTGGGTGTGGCTGAGTCTGGGGTGGGTCCCTAATGTGAGGATTGAATGCCAAATTGAGGGCAATTATGAGTGGTAGGCATGGCTAAGTGTTCCCAGGTGGGAAGGTGGGAGGGATCGAGGGGAAAAGAGACAAGGAGGAGAATATGACGCCCAAGGAAGCAAAAACTCAACGAAACCCACACAGAACCCTGAGGCCATTTGACGTTGCCTCCAGTCCCACCAAGTCTGTTGGTTTTGTTTGGTTCTAGCTGAGGTCTCTAACACAGAGATCAGACGGAGGACCAGATCTTCCTTCCAGGGACACTTGAACTAGTGAACTTGGATGTGCCCTTCAGCATGAACAGCCTGTGAAATGCAGGGAGAGGGAGTGGCGAGAGAAGGGAACCTTTACAGTAAGGAGTTGGGCTGGATGGGAGCAACATCTTCCTATGGAAAGGCCATGTGTCACTGCCCATCACCATAAAAAAATCTTGTGGGCATCCGGTAATCAACACTTACGGAGCCCAAATGGTAGTGGAAAATGCTTTTGACTTTACTCATATAGTCGGAGTGAATTGGGCATCCAGGAATCCTGTCTTCCTGGTGTCCTCCCTCTTTGTTTTTAACCTCTGTAGCCTCCCTGCTCCCCCACCTTGGCAGGGGAGATCAAGGTTCTGGCGATTATTTTTCCTGAGGAGATGGGACGGTAGCAGCTTGTAAATGGTCCTCCTCCTTAGAGGTAATCCTGGTCTTTTAGTCTTTTCACAGTGGAACACCTATGAAACCAACCCATTTCCCTCCTGGCAAATGAGGCCACTCCCATGCACTTCTTTGATGTGTTATTCAAGTGAAGCTCCCCTTCCAAACAAGGGTGAGGGCAGGAGCCAAAAAAAAGGGTGGTGGTGGTGGAGGGCTGGGGGGTGGTGGTGAGGGAGAGAAAAGCCTTGTCCTTCCACACGAAAAATAGTGATAATAATTATTACTCTAGTGGGCTATTATTGAGCAGTGGTTCATCTATTCTGTGGCTACTCTATGTTGGTACATATTAAATGCATGTTGAATATCCCTAATGGGAAAATTGAAAGTGCTGCAAAATCCAAAACTTTTTGAGCACTGACATGACCCCGCAAGTGGAAAATCCCAGATCTGATCACATGTGATGGATCACAGTCAACACACAGGTGCGTGACACAGTGTATTCGGTGTCCTCAAGGAAAAAAAGACCCAGTCCATTTAAGCTGCAATATATCTGTGCAGACTCAAATTCCCCATGCAAGCACAACCATAAAAAGCTATAAAATGGTACGTGTGCCAGCTGGACACACCAACAGCAGCTCCCCCATGATGCCCCACCTGGGGCTAAGGCTTACGTGCATTGCTCACTGTTTTTTGGCGTGTGCTCTGTGGTATAAAGATATTGTTGAAAATGTCAAAAAAAAGGCTGCATGATATCCATAGGGTAATGCAGATATTCCAAAATCTGAAAAAATTCAAAATCCAAGACACTTCTGGTTCCAACTCACTTCCACAAGTTGAATATGAGGGATACTCAACCTGTACTATTTTGGCTTGAATGGCGGCCCTCCCAAAAGATATGTTTATATCCTAACGGCTGGAACCCATGAATGTGAACTTATTTGGAAAAAGGGCCTTTGCAAATGTTATTAAGTTAAGGATCTCAAAATGAGATCATCCTGGATTATCTGAGTGGACCCTAAATCCAAAGACAAGTGTAGAGTCCTTATAAGAGACAGATAAAGGGATCCAGGAGAAGAGGAGAAGACCATGTGGAGACAGGAGAAGAGACTGAAGTGATGCAACTGCCAGCCAGGGATCTCCTGAACCACCAGAAGCTGGAAGAGGGGAGTGATTCTCTCCTATGGCCTTCAGAGGGAGCATGTCCCCTTGTTCTCACACTTCGAGCCTCTGGAACTTTAAGAGAATAAATTCCTGTTGTTTTAAGCCACCCAGTTTGTGTTTATTGGTTTTGGTGGCTCTAGGAATCTAAAACTAATGTTTACATGCATTATTTCTAATCCTCATGGTGACTGGTAAGATGAAGGAATTTTTTCCCCCATTTTATAGGCAAATAAATTGCAAGTTAGTAACTTACCCAAGTTTCTGCAGCTGGTAAATTGCAGAGCCAGGATTTGAACCTGGACTTGCCTGAATCACAAATCCAAGTTTCTCCTTCATGATGCAGTTCTCTTTGAGTACTTCATTTTTGATATCCTTTCCATGCAAAAAGTGCTCTTCTGCAGTCCTGACTCATGGGCACGTCTCTGCTTGCCCCAGTCATACTCATTCACTCAGCAACATTTACAGGCACACCTCATTTTATGGCACTTTGCTTTATTGCATCTCACAGATACTGCACTTTTTACAAACTGAAGGTTTGTGGCAACCCTACATTGGGCAAGTCTATCGGCGTCATTTTTCCAATAGGATGTGCTCACTTCATGTCTATGTGTCACATTTTGGTGACTCTTGCAATATTTCAAAGTTTGTCTTTATTATTATTTCTGTTACAGTGATCTGTGATCAGTGATCTTTGATGTTACTATTGTAATTGTTTTGGGACATCACAAACTGCACCCACATAAGAGGGTGAACTTAATTGATAGTTGTGTGGGTTCCGACTGCTCCATTGACCAGTCATTTCTCATCTCTCTCCCTCTCCTCAAACTCCCTATTCCCTGAGACACAGCAATATTGAAATTAGGCCAATTAATAACCCTACAATAGCTTCTAAGTGTTCAACTGAAAAGAAGCATCACATGTCTATCACTTTACGTCAAAACCTAGAAATTATTAAGCTTAGTGAGGAAGGCATGTCGGAACTCAAGATAAGTAGAAAGCTAGGTGTCTTGCACCAGTTAGCCCTGCTGTGAATGCAAAGGAAAATTTCTTGAAGGAAATTAAAAGTGCTAGTCCAGTGAACACACAAAAAGTAAGAAAGTGAAACAGTCTTATTGCTAATATAGAGAAAGTTTTAGCAGTCTGGATAGAAGATCAAACCAGCTGCAACATTCTCTTAAGCCAAAGCCTAACCCAGAGCAAGGCCCAACTCTCTTCAATTCCATGAGGGCTGAGAGAGGTGAGGAAACTGCAGAAGAAAAGTGTGAAGCTAGCAGAGGTTGTTTGTTCATGAAATTTAAGGAAAGAAACCATCTCCATAGCATAAAAGTGCAAGGTGAAGCAGCAAGTGATGATGGAGAAGTGGCAGCAGGTTATCCAGAAGATCTAGCTAAGATCATTGATGAAGGTGGCTACACTAAACAACAAATTTTCAGTGTAGATGAAACAACCATATGTTGTGAGAAGATGCCATCTAGGACTTTCATAGCTACAAATGAGAAGGTGATGTCTGGTGAAATAGTTTAGATATTTGCCCCCACCCAAATCTCATGTTGAAATGTAATCCCCAATGTTGGAGGTGGGGCCTGGTGGAAAGTGACTGGATCATAGGGGTGTATTTCTCATGAATGGCTTAGTGCCATACCCTTGGTACTGTTGCTGTAATAGTGAGGGATTTCTCACGAGATCTGGTTGTTTAGAATTGTGTGGCACCTCCCCTGCCTTCTCTTTCTCCTGCTTTGCCTTTTGCCATGATTGTAAGTTTCCTGAGGCCTCCCCAGAAGGCAAGCAGATGCCAGCACCATGCTTCCTATAAAGCCTGCAGAACCGTGAGCCAATTAGGCCTCCTTTCTTTATAAATTACCCAGCCTCAGTTTTTTTTTTTTTTTGAGACGGAGTCTCGCTCTGTCACACAGGCTGGAGTGCAGTGGTGCAATCTCAGCTCACTGCAGCCTCCACCGCCCAGATTCAAGCGATTCTCCTGCCTCAGCCTCCCAAGTAGCTGGAATTACAGATGTGCACCACCACGCCCAGCTAATTTTTGTATTTTTAGTAGAGATGGGGTTTTGCCATGTTGGCCAGGCTTGTCTCAAACTCCTGACCTCAAGTGATCTGCCTGCCTTGGCCTCCCAAAGTGCTGGGATTACAGGCATGAGCCACCGTGCCCAGCCACCTCAGGTATTTTTTTATAGCAACATAAGACCAGCCTAATATGCCTGGCTTTAAAGCTTCAACACATAGATTGATTCTCTTGTTAGGCACTGATATAATGGTGACTTTAACTTGAAGCCATTGTTCATTTCCCATTCTGAAAATCCTACGGTCCTTAAGAATTATACTAAATCTGCTCTGCCTCTGCTCTAGAAATGGAACAACAAAGTCTGGATGACAGCGCGTGTTTACTGCATGGTTTGGTGAATATTTTAAGTTCACTATTGAGACCTACTCCACAGGAAAAAAATAGAGATTTCTTTCAAAATATTACTGCTTATTGACCATGCACCTAGTTACCCAAGAGTTCTGATGGAGATGTACCGGGAAATAAGCATTGTTTTCATGCCTGCTAACACAACATCCATTCTGCAGCCTATGGATTAAGGAGTAATTTTGAGTTGTAAGTCTTATTATTTAAAAAATATATTTAGTAAGGCTTTGCTTGCCATAGATTGGATTCCTTTCTTGGATCTGGGCAGAGTACAGTGGAAAACTCCTAGAAAGTCATCATTCTACATACTGTTAAGAACATTCATGATTCACAAGAGGAGGTCATACTATCATCATTAACAGGAGTTTGGAAGAAGTTGATTTGCACCCTCAAGTGTAACCTGGAGGGGTTCAAGACTTCAGTGGAGGAAGTAACTGCAGATGTGGTACTTGTCAGGGGATTGCAGCAATCTCATGACAAAACTTGAATGGATGAGGAGTTGCTTTTTATAGATAACCATAGAAAGTGATTTCTTGAGATGGAATCTACGCCTGTCAAAAATGCTGTGAACATTGTTGAAATGACAATTAAACATTTAGAATGTAGTATAAACTTAGTTGATAAAGCAGCAGCAAGATTTGAGAAAATTGACTGAAATTTTGAAAAAAGTTCTCCTAACGAAGAGACAACATACCAAAATCTCTGGGACATAGCTAAAGCAGTGCTAAGAGGGAAATTTGTAGCACTAAATGCCCACATCAAAAAGCTAAAAAGATCTCAAATCGACACCCTAACATCACAAATAAAAGAACTAGAGAACCAAGAGCAAACGAACCCCAGAGCTAACCAAAGACAAGAAATAAGAAAGCTCAGAGTGAAACTGAAGGACATAGAGAAATGAAAAATCCTTCAAAAAAATCAGCGAATCCAGGAGCTGGTTTTCTGAAACACACAATAAAATAGATAGACTGCTAATGAGACTAATAAAGAAGAAAAGAGAGAAGATTCAAATACTTACAATCAGAAATGATAAGAGGGATACCACCACTGACCCCACAGAAATACGAACAACCATCAAAAAATACTATAAACACCTCTATGCAAATAAACTGGAAAATATAGAAGAAATGGATAAATTCCTGGACACCTACACCCTCCTAAGACTGAACCAGGAAGAAGTTGAATCCCTGATGGGACTAATAACAATAACAAGTTCTGAAATTGAGACAGTAATAAATAGCCTACCAACCAATAGCTTAGCCCAGGTCCAGATGGATTTATAGCTGAATTTTACCAGAGGTACAAAGAGGAGCTGGTACCATTTCTCCTGAAACTATTCCAAACAATTGAAAAGGATGGACTCCTCCCTAACTCATTTTATGAGGCTAGCATCATCCTGATACCAAAACCTGGCAGAGATACAACAAAAAAAGAAAACAGGCCAATATCCCTGATGAACATAGATGCAAAAATCCTCAATAAAATACTGGCAGACTGAATCCAGTAGCACATCAAAAAGCTTATCCACTATGATCAAGTTGGCTTCATCCCCGGGATGCAAGCCTGGTTCAATACACCCAAATCAATAAACATAATTCATCACATAAACAGATCTAAAGACAAAAACCACATGATTATCTCAGTAGATGCAGAAAAGGCCTTTTATAAAATTCAACATTAAGTTAAAAACTCTCAATAAACTAGGTATTGAAGGAACATGCCTCAAAATATTAAGAGCCATTTATGAGAAACCTTCTGCCGATGTCAGACTGAATGGGCAAAAGCTGGAAGCATTCCCTTTGAAAACTGGCACAAGACAAGGATGCCCTCTCTCACCACTCTTACTCAACATAGTATTGGAAGTTCTGGCCAGGGCAATCAGGCAAGGGAAAAAAATAAAGGGTATTCAAATAGGAAGAGAGGAAGTCAAATTGTCTTTGTTTGCAAAGGACATGATCCTATATCTAGAAAACCCCATCGACTCAGCCCAAAAGCTTCTTAAGCTGATAAGCAACTTCAGCAAAGTCTCAGGATACAAAATCAATGTGCAGAAATCACAATCACAATGTGCAGAAATGCACCAACAACAGACAAGCAGAGAGCCAAATCATGAATGAACTCCCATTCACAATTCCCACAAAGAGAATAAAATACCTAGAAATACAGCTAACAAGGGAAGTTAAGGACCTCTTCAAGGAGAACTACAAGCCACTACTCAATAAAATCAGAGAGGACACAAGCAGATGGACAAACATTCCATGCTTATGGATAGAAAGAATCAATATCGTGAAAATGGCCATACTGCTCAAAGCAATTTATAGATTCAATGCTGCTATTCCCATTAAACTACCATTGACATTCTTCACAGAATTAGAAAAAGCTATTTAAAAATTCACATGGAACCAAAAAAGAGCTCGTATAGCCAGGACAATCCTAAGCAAAAAGAACAAAGCTGGAGGCATCATGCTATACTACATTCAAACTATACTACAAGGCTACAGTAACCAAAACAACATGGTACTGGTACAAACACAGACACATACACCAATGGAAAAAATAGAGAACCCAGAAATAAGGCTACACACCTACAATTATCTGATCTTTGATGAACTTGACAAAAACAAGCAATGGGGAATGAATTCCCTATTCAATAAATGGTGCTGGGAGAACTGGCTAGCCAGATCCAGCAGAAAATTGAAACTGGGTCCCTTCCTTATACCTTATACAAGAATTAACTCAAGTTGGATTAAACACTTAAATGTAAAACACAAAACCTTAAAAACCCTAGTAGAAAATCTAGGCAATACCATTCAGGACATAGACATGGTCAAATATTTTATGATGAAATTGCCAAAGGCAATTGCAACAAAAGCAAAAATTGACAAATGGAATCCAATTAAACTAAAGAGCTTCTACACAGCAAAAGAAACTGTCATCAGAGTAAACAGACAACCTACAGAATAGAAGAAAATTTTTGCAGTCTATCCATCTGACAAAGGTCGAATATCCAGAATCTACAAGGAACTTAAACAAATTTATAAGAAAAAACAAACAACCCCATTAAAAAGTGGGCAAAGGATATGAACAGACACACCTTAAAAAAAGACACATATGCGGCCAACAAACATGTGAATAAAAGGTCAACATAACTGATCATTAGAGAAATGCAAATCAAAACCACAATGAGATACCATCTCATATTAGAATGGTGATTACTAAAAAGTCAAGAAACAACAGATGCTGGTGAGGTTGTGGAGAAACAGGAACACTTTTACACTGTTAGTGGGAATGCAAATTAGTTCAACCATTGTGGAAGACAGTGTGGTGATTCCTCAAAGATCTAGAACCGGAAATACCATTTGACCCAGCAATCCCATTTGACCCAGCAATCCCATTACTGGGTATATATCCAAAGGAATATAAATCATTCTATTGTAAAGATACATGCATGCATATGTTCATTGTAGCACTATTCACAATAGTAAAGACATGGAATCAACCCAAATGCCCATCAATGATAAACTATGGAATACTATGCAGCCATAAAAAGGAATGAGATCATGTCGTTTGCAGGGACATGGATGAAGCTGGAAGCCATTATCCTCAGCAAACTAATGCAGAAATGGAAAACCAAACACCGCATGTTCTCACTTATGAGTGGGAACTGAACAATGAGAACACGTGGACACCGGGAGGGGAACAACACACACTGGAGCCTATTGGGGGAGGGTGGGGGAAGGGGAGAGCATTAGGGAAAAGAGCTAATGCATGTTGGGCTTAATACCTAGGTGATGGGTTGATAGGTGCAGCAAAGCTGTGTTACATAGGTGTTTACTGTGTAACAAACCTGCATTCTGCACATGTACCCTGGAACATAAAAAAACTAAAGCAATGTTTTTTAAAAAAGAAAAAAGTTCTCCTGTGGGAAAATACTATGAAATAGCATTCTCATGCTACAGAGAACTCAATCAAGGAATAGTCAATCAATGCGAAAACTTTATTGTGGTTTTATTTTAAGAAATTGCCATAATCACTCTCACCTTTTACACCACCCTGATCAGTCAGTAGCTATCAGAATCAAGACAAGACCTTCCACCAGCAAAAAGATGATGACACACTGAAGGCTCAGATGATTATTATCATTTTTTAGCAATAAAATATTTTTAAATTAAGGTAGGGAAAAATTCAAACCATGTTTTTCCTCTTTTCTCATTCAAAACACAACAACAATCAACACAAAAAAGTTCTGTGACCAAATGTGGGGGATTACTCCCCACCAAAAAATAAGCAATCTGCAGTTCTGCTGCAGATACGAACTGAGTATCCTCTAATTTAATTCTGACACTATCTACCTCAAGATAGTGTCAGAAACTTACAATCATGGTGGAAGGTGAAGAGGAAACAAGCACCTCTTCACATGGCGGCAGGAGAGAGAGAGAACAAGGGGGAAAGTGCCACACACTTTTAAACCATCAGCTGTCATGAGAACTCATTCACTATCACAAGAACAGCATGGGGGAAACCCGCCCCCATGATCCAATCACCTCCCACCAAGTCCCTCCCCCAACATTGGGAATTACAATTCAACATGAGATTTGGGTGGGCACACAGAGCCAAACCATATCAAATAATATCACAGGTATGTTCACTTTTAAAGACATTATGCTATTGCACACTTAATAGACCACAGTATAGTGTAAACATAACTTTTATATGACTGGGGACCCAAAAAAAATTGTGTGACTCACTTTGTCATGGTGTTCTGGAACTGACCCTGCAATATCTCTGAGGTTTGCCTATAATTAATGGGCTATTTGTGTTGGGCATTAAATTAGTGCTGTGGATACAAAATTGATTGTCACTAATTCCTTTTCCTCACCTCATTGAGGGCCTCAAATTTTAGAGGAGGAAAAGTCTAGCTTCCATATCTCAAAAAATAGGTTAAAATATTGTAGAACCCTAAGTTATGGTTTAAAATATTAGTGATTACTGGCATCTGTACAATTATTTATGGTTTAATAAAGGTTTTCCATCATGGTCTTAGTCTGTTTTATGCTACTACATCAAAATACCTGAGACTGGCTAATTCATAAAAAACAGGAATTTATTTCATACAGTTCTGGAGGCTGAGAAGTTCAAGATCAGGGTGCTGACAGTTTCAGTGTCTGGTGACGGCCTGGTCTTTGCTTCCAAGATGGTGCCTCATTTTTGTTTCCTCCAGATGGAAAGAGTGCTGTTTCCCCACATGGCTGAAGGTGGAAGGGTAAAAGGTACGAACTCCCTCTGTAAATCTCTTTTATAAGGGCACCTAATCTCACTCACAAGGGAGGAGCCCCATGGCCTCATCACCTCTTAAAGGCTCCACCTCTTTTTTTTTTTTTTTTTTTTTTTTTTGAGACGGAGTCTCCTCTGTGGCCCAGGCTGGAGTGCAGTGGCGCCATCTCAGCTCACCGCAAGCTCCGCCTCCCGGGTTCACGCCATTCTCCCGCCTCAGCCTCCCGAGTAGCTGGGACTACAGGCGCCCACCACCATGCCCGGCTAATTTTTTGTATTTTTAGTAGAGACGGGGTTTCACCGTGTTAGCCAGGATGGTCTCTATCTCCTGACCTCATGATCCACCCACCTCGGCCTCCCAAAGTGCTGGGATTACAGGCGTGAGCCACCGCGCCCAGCCAAGGCTCCACCTCTTAATACTCTCCCATTGGCAGCACGTGAATTTTGAAGGGGAAACATTCAAATCACATGATTTCATTTCAGCCTTGGACAGTGAAGTTACACGTGGATGTAACATGAGTAATTTTCTGGTGAGAGCAAAGAGCAGGTGGCCAATTCTGCTTTTGTGGACCGAGTGTGGAAGCGGGGCTTCAAGGTAGTCTCTATGACTGAGTCCATTGATGAGTCCAATGTGTGCAGCAGCTCAAGGAATTTGATGGGAAAAGCCTGGTCTCAGTTACCAAGGAGAGTCTGGAGCTACCTGAGAATGAGGAGAAGAAAATGGAAGAGAGCAAGGCAAAGTTTGAGAACCTCTGCAAGCTCATGAAAAAAAATCTTAGATAAAAAGTTTGAGAAGATGACAATCTTCAATAGGCTTGTGTCTTCACCCTGTTGCATTGTGACCAGCACCTATGGCTGGACAGCCAATATGGAGCAGATCATGAAAGCCCAGGCACTTCGGGACAACTCTACCATGGGCTACATGATGGCCAAAAAGCACCTGGAGATCAACCCCAACCACCCCATTGTGGAGATGCTGCAGCAGAAGGCTGAGGCTGATAGGAACAGCAAGGCAGTCAGGGACCTGATGGTGCTGCTGTTTGAAACCGTGCTGCTCTCTTCTGGCTTCTTCCTTGAGGATCCCCAAACTCACTCCAACTAGATTGACTGCAGGATCAAGCTAGGCCTGTTGAGGATGAAGTGGAAGCAGAGGAACCCAGTGCTGCAGTTCCTGATGAGATTCTCTAGCTTTGAGGGCAATGAAGATGCATCTTGCATAGAAGATCAGGAGTTTATACCTTGGGTCTTCATATAATGTCCCCACGGTTCTCACCGCAGCCTTGTGTGCCTTGTCCTACGTGGCTCCCTCTGCTAATGTCTAGTGTTTTTTCCTCTCCTGTCCTTGTGTCTCAGGCAGGAAACAAGGGCCTCAAGCCCCATTCCCTCCCTTCTCTGACAGCAGGATTGGATGTTATGTATTGTGGTTTTATTGTTTGATCATTTTGTTCTGAATCTAAAGTATGCAAAATAAAGAATATGCTGTTTTTATTTAACAAAACCCAAAACATATGAGTGATTTTGTGAATAAAGACAAAAGTGTGTTCCTAAGTCCAGAGGCTCCCTTGGTGTCACATGGTTTCTAGGTGGCGGCTCTCTACAGCACGCTGCCATCAGGAACACTTTCCAAACCTCCATTAGGTCCATCATAGACTCTTATAATCAGCCATAGAATTTCAAGTGCTTAATATTCCTCTGGTTTTTCTGTCTGAATTTTTCTGCATTTGAAAATGAGGGGGACTGCTACCTGGAATTATGAAGAGCTGGCTTCTAATTGAATGGGCTTAGAATGTTGAGTGCAGGGCAGACTTCAGCAGACAGTCCAAGTCAGAAGAAAGCTGAATTTAAGACCTGCTTTAGAATAAATATTTGTGATTCCTCAAGCAGTTCTTGTCTCTTAATGTATGGCATTTTCAAAATGCTTACAGTCTGTACCCTGATTGATGTTTATGTTTAAAGAAGTATAGAAATTGCCATCAGTACCTGTTGATCCCACGAGAATATTAAGCTAAACAGAGAAAATGTATGTGTTCACAGTTACAGGCACAATTTATAGTTCTTGGAATACAAGTTGATATCTACACAAAATAGATGTATAAAGAGAGGAATGCTTTTTGATTATTGAGAGTGCTTTGCTTGTGCCATGTTTTTACCTGAAACTAAAGAGACATCAGTGTGTAATTTTCCTACAACTCTACAAGCCTAAGTATAATCTGAGGTAATGTATGCACAAAGAGACCAAAAACCTATCTTCTAAAAACTGGGCCTGGTGAAATAATACTATCAGGGACCTTATCCTAGAACTTATAATTTTTGTGGTAGCTGACAGACTTGGAGTCTAGGCTTATAGAGTGTTGTTTTGGTGACAACAAAAATGTTGGAAGAAAAGATGCCTTTGGCTCATAACAAGCCAATTTCATTTAATATAAAGGTATTTTAGGCTGGGCACCATGGCTCATGCCTGTAATCCCTACACTTTGGGAGGCCAAGGTCAGGAGTTTGAGACCAGCCTGACCAACATGGAGAAACCCCGTCTCTACTAAAAATACAAAATAAGCCAGGTGTGTTGGCACGTGCCTCTAATCCTAGCTACTAGGGAGGCTGAAGCAGGAGAATTGCCTGAACCTGGGAAGCAGAGGTTGCGGTTAGCCAAGATCACGCCATTGCACTCCAGCCTGGGCAACAAGAGTGAAACTCCGTCTCAAAAAAAAAAAAAGTATTTAGCAGGTTAAATATATTCACAAATTGATTTACACTTTAGAAGATCTGGCATATATACTTGAAACAATTTCTGACAACTATCCCCTCTCCTTCCAACTACAGGTTGTGCTTCTGCAATCTTTTTTTTCTAAATTGTGATAAAATACACAAAACGATAAATTGACAGGCACTTTGGTTCACAACTGTAATCCCAGCACTTTGGGAGGCTGAGGCAGGAGGATTGCTTGAGGTCAGGAGTTTGAGAACAGCCTGGGCAACATAGCAAGACCCTATCTCTTCAAAAAATAAAAAAAGTTAGCCAGGTGTGGTGTTGCATGCCTGTATCCCAGCTACTCAGAAGGCTGAGGCAGGAGGATCTCTTCAGTTCAGGAGTTTGAGTTTGCAGTGAGCTATGTGCCACTGTACTTTAGCCTGGGCAACAGAATGAGACCATGTCTCAAAAAACAAAAACCCCAAAATTACCATTCTAACCATTTTTAAGTGTACAATTCAGTGGTATTAAATATGTTCACATCTACAATCTTGAGTTCTCTTGGTGTTTTGTTTAGGACTGACTTCCTTTCTTCTCTGTTAGTTTATTTTTATTTTTTTTTCTTGACTTCACTCTTACCATTCCAACAAATAGGCAAAAAATTCTGAAGCTTGGTACAAAAGGGGAAAAAGAACGATAGGACTTGTGGAAGGCTATCTCCTCAGAAACTGGAGGAGTGAGCTGCTGAGGCCTTTACTTGTGCCCTGCCTTCTGCTGTGGTAGCAGGAGGACCCTCTCCTGGGCTGCAGTGGGGCTGGAGGGCTGGGCAGTAGTGGGGAGGAGGAAAGGCATCAACTTCCCAGAAAAAGGTGGAAGCCTTTTCTGTTTCTATGGCAGGGTTGTCCTCAACCTTATGGAAGCTAAATAGACCTTTTTATGCCTTGGGACTCTTCTACTGCCAAACTGTAACCGATGCGCCCTCAGGTTCTACGGAGGAGGAGGAGAGGAATAAGATGTTTAGTGTTGAAGGACTCTGATCTGAAAAGGACTGGAAGAAAGAGAAGGAGGGTTTCTATATCCTGAGGCGCAGGTGCTCGAACCCCAACATGACACAGGTCTGATAGTTGGCATAGGGCCTAAGATGCTTGGGACTGGTGAAATGCTTGTGCTGCTGCCTAGGAGTGGCTAGATCAGAGAAGATCCATCCATCTCAACCCCACAGCTTTAGGAAAGAGTAGAGTTAATCATAACTTCAACATAGATGGAAATTGATCTTAGAGAGAAATTTGCCAGCTGCTGGAGTATGGAGGCTCTCTGGTATTGCTTACATAGACAGAATGGGACTGAAGGCAGAGAGTCCTAGTCATATACTGAGATGAAAGCTCAACACACAGTGGCGAGATTTGGCAAGCCTCTGCCTTATGGAGAGCCCCTAAGCAGGAGAGCAAAAGGGAGTAGACAGCCTTGTTACACTGTATTGTGAACCTGTGAATTCCTGTGAAAGTCTCAGTAGCTCAAGAAATATTTCTTATAATTTGGCAAGATTAGAGAGAAATCCACTCCTGAATTCCTTAGCAGAAGTTGTAGATGGGCTTGGGTGAAGATTTCTGTTTCAGCATACAGTTTTTCCTTGCAGAGAGATTATTCAAATCAGCTGAAAAACCATTGAGCCTACCATGTGAAGGCAACTGCAGTGGACATTCAAGTGTGGGTAAGACATGGTCCTCGCCTTCAGGGATTTTACAGGATAGTGTGGATAAGTGAGCATGGATACCTGTGTGATGGGATGGCATAAATGTTGTGAACTAATGTAAATGCACAGCACTGACTTTCTTTAAGACTTCATTTCTGGTATGGAGACCATATTAAGTCAATAAATGAAATAGAGTTATGAGGAAATCCACTAAGAAAATCACTAATTAATCAATTTATTTCAATATATATTGATCTTCCATGTACCAGGCACTAAGTCATTGAAAAATCTAAAGAAAAATAAGCATGGTCCCTGTTCTTGCAAGGCTGCCACACAGGATGGGGAGACTGACAGCCATCAGCAATGCAGTATCAGGAGAGGCATCAGCCGCCCCTTGACTTTACACCTTTTTTGGGGTGGAATTTCCAGGACCACTTGGACACTGGAGCATCCTGATTAATAAAATCACTGAAGGAGAGGCACAACCCCATGGTGCTTGGGTAGACAGGATGAGGAAGGGCAGTGCAAAAAAGGGCAGGAAGGAAGATAATTCTCCAAAGGGCAGGAAGGAAGATAAATTCTCCAAGTGTCTGAACATGTCACCACCAATGCCCACTCTGCCATGTTGAAATCTCTCTAAGACAGCATGATTAAAGCTGCAGCTCTTCTAAGTGGCCTGCGAATGTTTGCCAACCCTATAGTTGAACTGATCTTCCCCACCCTATTTATTTGCAGGATTATCACAGCTTGTCCATGCCCTGGGAAGGCCAACAGGATATGGCTACAGCCCGAGTTGATTTCCATTCCCTCTGAAGTCCAACCAAGGGGTCAGGGAGATAGCCTTAGGGACCAAACTAGAGCCTCACCTGGCTGGCTGGTTGCTGAGTGCCACATCTGTTGCTTTCAGAGCAGCCGGGGGGAGTGGAATATCATGGGCCTACTAGCAACATGGCGGGCATCTTCACCAAGCATGTCTTGGCTCAGGCTATTGTAACAATCCTATAAACTGGAGGCTTTAGTGACAAACAGTTCTGTCTCACAGTTCTGGAGGGTGCGAAATCCAAGATCAAGGTGCCAACAGACCTGGCAATTAGTGAGGGCTGGCTCCCTTGTTTGGAGACAGCCTTCTTACTGTGTCTTCATATGACTGAGAGAAAGAGAATCTCGTGTCTCCTCCTCTTTTTAAAAGGGCGCTGATACCATTTATGAGGACACCACCCTCATGAAATAGAGTTATGAGGAAATCCACTAAGAAAATCACTAATTAATCAATTTAGCCCACCTCCTGATACCGTCATATTGAAGAGAAGGCTTCAACATATGAATTTTGGAGGTTTACAAACATTCAGTCCCTAGCACAGCAGGCTGGAGTTTTGAAGTTCATGTTAGAATAGAGGTTAACCACGTGGGCTGTGATGTCATGCTGCCTGGGGGCAGATTCCCACTCTGGAAGTTGCCAGCTGTTTAACTGTTGTCAGGTTTCTTTGCCTTGCCAAGTGTCAAAATGGAGATGTAAAAAACCCAAAATAATAATAATGCTGGGGGTGTTGGGAGACGTAAGTAAAAGAATGCATGTAAAGCCATTAGCACAGTGTCTGTCACATGGTGCTTAATTGTGTTAGGTTTATAAACCCTTCAGGGGGGTTCCCACCACCCAGGGATTGAGCAAAACCCTAGGAGTCCCTGGGCTGGTGTGGGAAATAGGAATACCACATGAATCGTATTGTAACTTGAGATGGTCTGATGGGCCACTTTCCCCTCTTTCAGACGAGGTTGAGTGGGATACAATTACAATTTCTTAGTTTTTTTCAACCTTAGCAGAAAGGGTATAATTTTAATAAGATGAAAGGAAGCTTGCAGGCTCCTGATAACAAAGACTATCACAGGCCACCCTTGTGTGTCTGCAGTTTCTCAGATCATCTTGAGGAATCCAGATTAATGAATGTGCAGTAAAGGGATGACATTGGTGCATGCCGACAAGACCTCGCTTTCCCCATGGGGGATGAAGGAGGGGGAAAGGAACTCAACTTGAGTCCTCTTTCAATAATTGCTGCTGTTTAAATGGGGGTGGTGGTATACGTGTGTTTTAGAAAGACTCCTGTGAACATTCCTGAGCTCTATTCCACCAGGGTGGCAGCTCTGGTTTGTTACACTGCCTGATAACAGTTTAGAGTTGACGTAGGGAAAAACCATATATTCCTAGCTCTGTTTTTGAAAGAGACCGAGTAAATGTTCATATTAGAGTTTAATTAAAATGTGCATACATATTATTCTCTTAAATAAGTGTTTACACTGGTCCCTTCCTTTCCCTTTATGTTCCAAGTGAACAATACCAATATCTAACTTCTGTACTATTTTGGTTCAAGAAAACCATACAGAATCTAAGATTACCTCCCACACCCCACTTTCTGCCAGCTCCAGAATGGCTTTCTCCTTCCTTCCAATGTTTTTTTCCTTCATTCACAGCCTTATTGCCCAGTAGTTAACACTAATGCAGGAAAGACACATATAAATGTAATGCACTCAAAACTGTCAAGCCGTGAGTGACTTATTATATTCCGCCTCTATCTTGAAAATGACAACTTTCACTGACATCCCCCTTGGCCCTCCCAGTTGTCAAAGGAGTAGTGCTAAGAGTCCTAGAACAGTAGATCATAGAGCTGCTAGATAGCTAAGAAGGAGTATGACATCTCCATTGAGGCCTGTGAGAGAAGCATAGGTCCAATGCAGTTAAAACCTAGAGGATGTACGGATTAGTAACTGCTATTGTCACTTGTCTGATCTATGTCAGGTACTGTACTAAGTATTTAACAAACATTTCTTTTTATTTATTTATTTGTTTTTAAATTTCACTTTAAGTTCTGGGATACATGTGCAGAACATGTAGGTTTATTACATAGGTATACATAGGCCAGGGTGGTTTGCTGTGCCTATCAACCTGTCATCTAGGTTTTAAGCCCAGCATGCATTAGATATTTGTCCTAATGCTCTCCCTCCCTTTCCCCCCACCCCCCAACAGGCCCTGGTGTGCGATGTTCCCCTCCCTGTGTCCACGTGTTCTCATTGTTCAACTCCCACTTATGAATGAGAACATGTGGTGTTTGGTTTTCTGTTAGTTTGCTGAGAATGATGGCTTCCAGCTTCAACTATGTCCCTGCAAAGGACATGAACTCATTCTTTTTTATGGCTGCATAATATTCCGTGGTGTATATATGCCACATTTTCTTTCTTTCTTTCCTTTTATCTTTTTTTTGGATGGAACCTGTTGCCCAGGCTGGAGTGCGGTGGTGCGATCTTGGCTCACTGCAAGCTCCGCCTCCCGGGTTCACGCCATTCTCCTGCCTCAGCCTCCACGAGTAGCTGGGACTACAGGCTCCCACCACCACACCCGGCTAATTTTTTTGTTTTGTATTTTTAGTAGAGATGGGGTTTCACTGTGTTAGCCAGGATGGTCTCGATCTCCTAACCTCGTGATCCGCCCGCCTCGGCCTCCCAAAGTTTTGGGATTACAGGTGTGAGCCACCGTGCCTGGCCTGCCACATTTTCTTTATCCAGTCTATCATTGATGGGCATTTGGGTTGGTTCCAAGTCTTTGCTATTGAAAATAGTGCTGCAATAAACATACATGTGCATGTGTCTTTATAGTAGACTGATTTATAATCCTTTGGGTATATACCCAGTAATGAGATTGCTGGGTCAAATGGTATTTCTGGTTCCAGATCGTTGAGGAATCGCCACACTGTCTTCCACAATGGTTGAACTAGTTTACACTCCCATCAACAATGTAAAAGCATTCCTATTTCTCCACATTTAACAAACATTTCATTTATTCCTTGCAACAACCCCAGGTACTGTTTTGAGACAGAGTCTCGCTCTGTTGCCAGGCTGGAGTGCAGTGACGCAATCTTGGCTTACTGCAACCTCTGTATCCCGGGTTCAAGCAATTCTCCTGCCTCAGCCTCCCAAGTAGCTGGGACTACAGGCGTGCGCTACCGCATGCGCTACCACGCCCAGCTAATTTTTGTATTATTAATAAAGACAGGGTTTCACCATGTTGGCTAGGATGGTCTCGATCTCTTGACCTCGTGATCCACCCGCCTCTGCCTCCCAAAGTGCTGGGATTACAGGCGTAAGCCACTGCGCCCGGCCCAAATCCTGTGTTCTTAACTACTCTGCAGCCCTTTGGGACACGGGACTCTCTGTGGGATTATAGAAAATATACTTTTTTTCTCAAGCTGTTTATAGTCTAGAATGAACTAGAATGTATGCAATAGTATCTTGCTGTTCTACCTTAAATTATTTTCACTATCTGTTCACCAATAATCTGTTCCAACAGAAAATGCATGGAGCATGA
This sequence comes from Homo sapiens, assembly GCF_000001405.40. Taxonomy (NCBI): domain Eukaryota; kingdom Metazoa; phylum Chordata; class Mammalia; order Primates; family Hominidae; genus Homo; species Homo sapiens. The sequence goes on along the minus strand of NC_000008.11, from coordinate 73,208,417 downwards.
TTTTGTCATGCAGGGGAAGATCCACACGGATATAATTACTTCCCAAAGTGTGTTTTAGATTCACTTCCCCCAAAGGCAATGGTGTGGAAGCTTGAATGTTTATTCTGTAAGAACAAATGATACACTTAGTGTAGTACCTCCAGGTAAGGTGGCCTGGGGACTGGGGTAGGCTGGGCATGAGGGAATTATTTGGCTTGTGAGATGTTGCAGACAGATTTCAATACAGTCATGCATCGCTTAACATTGGGCATACATTCTGGGAAATGTGTCGTTAGGCAATTTCATCATTGGGCAAACACTGTAGGGTGTATTTACACAAACCTAGATGGCAGAGCCTGCTACACAGCAAGGCTAGAAGGTGTAGCCTGTTGCTCCTAGGCCACAAGCCTGCACAGCATGTTGCTGTACTGAATACTGTAGGCAACTGTAACACAACAGTAAGTATTTGTGTATCTAAACATAGAAAAGATACAGTAAAAATACAGTATAAAAGGCTTAAAAAATGGTACACCTGTAGGGCACTTACCACGAATAGAGCTTGCAGGTCTGGAGGCTGCTCTGGGTGTCAATGAGAAAGTGGCAAGTGACTGTGAAGGCCTATGACATTACCGTGAACTACTGGAGACTTTATAGACACTGTACACTTAGGCTACACAAAATTTATTTAAAATTTTTGTCTTCAATAATAAATTAATCTTAGCTTATTGTAACTTTTTTACTTTATAAATGTTTTTCTTTCTTTTTTTTTTTTTTGAGACTGAGTCTCTGTCACCATGGCTGGAGTGCAGTGGCGCAATCTCAGCTCACTGCAACCTCTGCCTCCCAGGTTGAAGCTATTCTCCTGCCCCAGCCTCCCGAGTAGCTGGGATTACAGGCTCCCGCCACCACACCTGGCTAACTTTTTTTGTATTTTTAGTAGAGACAGAGTTTCACCTTGTTGGCCAGCCTGGCTCAAACTCCTGACCTCAAGTGATCCACCTGCCTCGGCCTCCCCAAGTGCTGGGATTACAGGCATGAGCCTGTACTTTTAAAAAACTTTTTGGCTGTTTTGTCATAATAATTAGCTTAAAACACATTGCATGGCTATACAAAAATATTTTCTTTCTTTATATCCTTATTCTATAAGCTTTTTTGTATTTTTATGCTATTTTTTTTGTTAAAAGTGAAAACATAAGCACACACATAGCCTAGGCCTACACAGGGCCAGGATCATCAGTGTCACTGTCTTCCAGCTCTACCTCTTTGTCCCACTGGAAGGTCTTCAGGGACAGTAACAGGCATAGAGCTGTCATTTCCTATGATAACAGTGCCTTCTTCTGGATACCTCCTGAAGGACCTGCCCGAGGCTGTCTTACAGTTCTTTTTTTTTTGTTTTTAATAAGTAGAAGGAGTACAGTCATAAAGATAAAAAGAATAGTATAGTAAATGCTAGGCGATAAAAATTTTCCAGCTCCATTGTAATTTTGTGGGACCACTCTCATATATGTGGTCCATTGTTGACTGAAATGCTATGTGGTGCATGTGTTTTTATAAAATGAAAAATACAGTTTCCCTCAGGAGCAGCAAAGCTTTGGACCCTGTAGTGTGATAGAGTGATGGGTTTCCCTAATTATTGCTGATTTACTTCCATCAGAGAATGATTTACCACTAGCTGTGTTATGGAAGGTAACATAGGGTAGGCACTATGATAGAAATTAAGAATGCTGATTATCTTATTTGTATGTGAAATCTAGAAGTAGAAACCATAGAATGAGCGTGGAATGATGGTTACCTGGGCTGGCGGTGGGGTTGATGGGGGAGTGGAGTGCGAGAATGGGGAGTTACTGGTCCAGAGGTACACAGTTTCAGTTAGACAGGACAAATAAGTTTCGAGATCTATTGCACAGCAGGTGACTATTGTCAGTAATAATGTATATTTCAAAATAACTAAGAAAGTAAAGTTCAAATGTATAACCACAAAAAAGTTAAGTGAGATCATAGATATGATAATTAGCTTTATTAAATCACTCCACATTGTGTATGTGTGTGTATATATATATATATATATATATATATATATATATATATATATATCACAACATCACATTGCACTTGTGAAAGTTGTCAGAATCAAAGTGGAGTCAATTGTGTTAAAACTTCTGACAAACAGAGCTGGGGAAGGCCATGAAGGAAGGGATCTCATGCACGAATGCCTGATAACAAGAACTATCAAGGCCGGGTGCAACGGCTCATGCCTGCAATCCCAGCAAGAGGAGGGAAGATCGCTTGAGCTCGGGAGTTCAAGACCAGTCTGGGCAACACAATGAAACCTTGTCTCTACAGAAAAATTTAAAAATTACCTGGTGTGATGTCTCACACTTCTAGTCCCAGTTCCTCGGGAGGCTGAGGTGGGAGGATTGCTTGATTGCTTGAGCCCGGGAGATGGAGGCTGCAATGAGCTGTGATTGCACCACTGCACTCCAGTCTGGCCAACAGAGGAGACCTTTTCTCAAAAACAAAAACAGCAAAAAAGTAATACAAGACTCTACCAAAACCACAACCTTTCATTGCACAAAGGCCATTGCAACCTTACATTTCAAAAAAAAGAAAAAAAAAAACTTCTGCTGAAGACACTTGCCCAAAAACTTCCTATCCAGCCTCGGACTGGTACCACCTTGTTATTGATCTGTGTGGCCAAGGATAATTATCGCAAAATAATTATATAATCCTCCTTTTTTCTTTAAAAATCTTCCTTTATCTCCCTGAACACACAGTTTACTATGGCACATGTATTCCCATTGCAATGCCCATTCCCAAATAAATGTCATTTTGCTTTAGAGAGTTTCCCTCTGTTTGTTATCTAGGTTGACATACTCTATTAAAATGACACAAATTAAAAAAATAAGAGTGCTGAGATGAATAGGTGTTTTGGCTCTTCACTGAGGGAAAGAAAGACCTGTAAGCAGCCGAGTCCAATTGAGAGGTTAAGTGCAGACATGGAGGTGTGTGTAAAATTCTGTGTGAGAAAACAGGTCAGAGCACCTAATTCTGTTTGTGAGTTACAGGGGAGTATGAACATTTGGAGGAGGCTTTACGAGGTCAAGAAGGTCATTTCAAGTTGTGGAAACACAGCCCATTGGTTGGCTTGAAGGTATGAATATGTGTGTCATTATTGCAGGATTGTGAAAAATTAGTGACTGGGACATCAGCTCTGTATGGGGAGGTGAGAAAGATGGGGAAGGGAGGCAAACAGGTTTTCTTTTTTCTTTCTTTTTTTTTTCTTTCTTTTTTTTTTCTTGAGATGGAGTCTCTCTCTGTCGCCCAGACTGGAGTGCAGTGGTGCCATCTCGGCTCGCTGCACCCTCCACCTCCTGGGTCCGAGCGATTTTCCTGCCTCAGCCTCCTGAGAAGCTGGGACTATAGGTGCCTGCCACCACGTCCGGCTAGTTTTTGTATTTTTAGTAGAGACAGGGTTTCACCATGTTGGCCAGGCTGGTCTTGAACTCTTGACGTCGTGATCTGCCCGCCTCAGCCTCCCAAAGTGTTGGGATTACAGGCGTGAGCCACCGCGCCCAGCCGCAAACATGTTTTATAACAAAGATATGCAGCAAATTTCTTCCTGTTATATTTTAACAGTAACAAAATGCAATTATTTTAACAATAAAAGTGGGAAAGAAAATAATGCAGCATAGTTTTCATGACCACCCTGTTTAGATAAAAGTTCACCTTTTCAAATATTCCAAATCATAACAATTCCACTGGGTCATGGTCCATTCCTGGCCACTGAGCTCCTCATGAAAGTAGAAGTCTAGAAAGTGGAGATATTTCTTCTATAATTACAAATGGCAAGACTGATGTTAACTTATTGTGGCTTAAGAGATGTCTCTGACAGGTTGGGGTGAGACCTTTGAATTTAAAAAAAAATTTATACAAATTAATGGGGTACATGTGAAATTGTGTTACATGTATATAATGCGTAGTGATCAACTCAGGGTATTTAGGGTGTCCATCACCCGAGTATAAAACATTTTTCTTAACTATAGTCACCCTACTCTGCTCTCAGACATTGAATGTATCCCTTCTATCTAACTGTATGTTTGTACCCTTCAACCCACTTGTCTCCAGCCTCTCCCCTCCCGCAGACTTGAATATTTTGTTGATCTTGCAAGGGAAGAAATTCAAAAACACTTCAAGAGAAAATAGAGAGGACAGAGGTTAAAGCTGTAGAAGTCTTTGTTTCTTTACTCTTATCGACCAAATGACTTCTAGGCATAAGTGTGTGCTTGTGCTCACACACAGTGAATTATTTGTAGTTATTTACAAGATCACTCTATTTCATAATTGTAAGCTTTCAAATGGACGTTAATGATGAAATTCAAATGCCAAAGGAACAATGCATGTCATAATTCACAGGGCTTGCAGGCCATTCCAGCCTTTATAATTGCTACCCAATTAATGGTGACGCTTAAGCATACTGGAAACAATAGCAGAAAAGAGATTTACTTTTTTTTTGTCGAGGGGTGGGTTAGAGTTTGGGTCTCACTCTGTTACCCAGGCTGGAATGTAGTGGTGCAATCATAGCTCACTGTTGCCTTGATAACTTACTGCTTGGCTCAAGCAGTCCAAGCTGGGACTATAGGCATGTGCCCCTGCACCCAGCTCCAGGAGATTTACTTTGAAAATACTCTTTGAAATAATGCTAAGGCAGCTGAAAGCTCCCTGGGTGGAAAAAGCAGAGTAGGTCCTGGAACTACCAGGACACTTCCTCAGAGAATTTGAGAGATTGGGTGCTTTGATCTCAGGTTTGGCTCTCTGAGCCTCTCCCAGAGGGTGTGTTCTATCCTGCCCTGATCCAGGCCCTGATCCATTCAGAAAGTTCCCCAGAGAAAGCAGTTTCAGAAATAAGAGAGAGACAGTAACAATTCAAGCTTTCTTCTTCGGTGGTTACAAAGAGGAGGAGAACACAATAACCAGCACAGGATGGCTTAATTTTAAACGTTAAAAAGGAGAGAGTGAAAAGCAAATATGAAAACGTATTTCAAATTCCAAGGAGAAAAAAAAAGAGCAGCAACTCCCCACTTCGACTCCTGTGTGTGTTCATGGTGTCTACCCTGCCCAAGGAATCACAGGGCTGTTCATTATTTTGGAAAAAGGAATTTGTTATTGACATATCGATGTGTGCCCTTAACCATTTGGTGGGTTTTATTTTTCAATGCCCCTCTTTCATGTTCTGGAGTTTTTCCGGGACAAGGCCTCTCCATCCTACGGGATTACACATGGTCAGATTCATTTTACATTGGATGACAAATTGCATTTGAATTCATCGGGTTGAAAGGTCAGGGCTGTTCTCTGTTACCCAGTCAGGCTCCCTCAAAGTGTCTCAGTCATGAGAATATGTTGGAATCCCTGGGTACTCCATGCCGCTGCCCGCCCAAACCCTCATGAATACTGAACTCTGCGCCGACTTGGATTCCTAATTGGTGACTCCATCAAAAGGAGGAACCACAGCCAAGGACAGACAAAGTAAACGGCGTGGGGTCGTGTCATTCCTCTCCCACAGTCTGTACTCAGTGGTAACCCAGAATTTTTAAAAAGATCTATTTCCTGAACCCTAAATAGGAGATATTTTCTCCAGGATACTACTTCGTGACAATAAGTGCCTTACCAAAGATATGCCCAGAATTATTGGGAGGGGAATAAAAACGTAGTTCTGTACTATGGTTGTAAAAAGGTTGAAGAATGTTTCTAACCCAAGTAGCCCACAGGCCCAACAGCTTTTATCTGGTAGAGAAGGTTTTGTTCTGCTAAGTTTACATTAATTTGATTAAAAGTGACTGACCCCAAGATGCTTGGTTCTCCTATGAGCACCTTGTTTTGGTCTCTGGGTGGGCTAGGTATAAATGTCATGCTACACACACACGAACGCACATAAGGAGAAAAACCACATCCACTCGGATTCTGCTGGTTTTAAATCTTGTGCCATTCACACTAGTACTGGCTAGAATTTAGTTTTGTACTATCTCTAATCAAATGAGTTTTCATAAAATTTTAATAGTGAAAGGAAATTGTAAATAAAACACTCAGGAAATTTTTTTCAAGTACTTTTGAGCTCTAGCTAACATAGAAACAACATGCAAATTTCAGTCATTTTTTTACCTAAATCATTTAAGACGATTCTTTCAAGTCTTTTGCTAGGCTATATTAATACCAGTTTATTCAGCTAAATAATTACTTACCTCCTCCTTTCTCCAGGTTTCCAGAAACATCTATTGATAATTATGTTAAAAATGATGATATTGGTCATCATGTATACTTGTTATTAAATGTATATAAAAGTAACAAATACATAATAAAAATTTCACAATTCAGACTTTTCCCTTCATTAAGTATTTAATAACAGCTATCTTCTATTAAACCTTTTTTTAGTAGGATGCTAAATGCTTTATATCCATCTTATTTAACCTTTCACCAGCCCTGGGAGGAAAATGTAAATATGATATTGATATTGCAGATGGGATGCAGAGAGGTTAAGTAACTTGCCCCAGCTCACATAGCGTGAGTGGCAGAACTGGGATTCAAATTCAAATCTTCCTGATTCCAAAGCCAGGGCTTTTAACCACTGTGATGTACTGCTTTCATAGTGTGGTAAACTGGCCCCGCATGTGTCTGAATGAGTGAGATTCTTCCTGTCCATTTCTCTGCCCATAGCACCTGGCCTCCTGCAGTCATCAGCAAACACTTGTCCTGCCCTTGTAAATAGTTTTGGACGAATGAAGGATATGGTTAAAGACCAAACGAAAGGTAATATCCACAACAGGAAAGACTTGCTAACAAATTCATGAGTAGATTTTAATTTAGCTGATATAGTGAAAGTATTTTTGCGTGAAACAAAATCCCAGATCCTGCTTGCTTTTGTTGCAATGTGAAAATATTGATGGAAAGATTTAGCAGCTGTTATTCATACTTCTGAAGAAGGCAGAAGACTTTCATTATAATGATGATTCATGTCAAAAATAGAAGTGCAAATAATATATTTTTTTAAATTTACACTTTAGTTCTTTCTAAAAAAGTTTCAGATGACAGATCTAATAAATGATTTTTAATTGATTTTAGTTCGTTCTTTAGTCTTTAGATACATTGCATCTGTGTACAATGATGTAGAAATTCAGTTCTATTCTACACACAGGCACTGATAGCCTTTATGTGCCATTCTCTGAGCTGGCTGTTCCAGACACTTTTCTTCAGGGACACACAGGGTAGAAAGGTAGGCAAGCGGACATGCGCTGAGTCTGGAATTGAAGTTTTGGCCGGGCATAGTGGCTCATGCCTGTAATGCCAGCATTTTGGGAGGCCAAGGCCCGCAGATCCCTTGACCCCAGGAGTTTTAGACCAGCCTGGGCAACATGGCAAAACTCCGTCTCTTAAAAAAAAAAAAAAAAATTAGCCAGGTGCGGTGGCCCACGCCTGTAGTGCCTGCAGGGGCTGAGGTGGGAGGATTACTTGAGCCCAGGAAGTCAAGGCTGCAGTGAGCTGTGATTGCACACTGCACTCTAGCCTGGGTGACAGAGAGAGACCTTGTCTCAAAAAAATAAAAGCAAAACAACAACAAAAAAGAAGTTTTAAAATGATGGTTATGACCCATATAAGCACTATCACACCAGTATTTGGCACTAACAATAAGAGTAACAATAAAATTCTGAAGCACTTCCACAGAGAGGCAGTGGCACAGTTCAAACACCAAGAGTGGACTTGAAGTTTAGTCAGAGTATCTTCAGCTTACACCTTTGGATTTAACTAAATTGGAAATTACATTTTCTCCACATCTTAATCGACTAATTTTATCTTTCTTGCAAAGGGGCAGGTTAATTTTACCTGGGTAAAAATTTGTCAAATAAACCAGCATTTTTTTCTAAGCTGTGTAGTCTATGGCATTTTGTTGTAGCAGCTGAACGTGCTAAGACATCAGATCCACAATTGTGTAAGTCACTTCCTTGGTTCTGCTTCTGTGAGCAACTCTCACTGATACAGCCCATTTTGAACCTGTTCATAAGCTTGGCTATTATAAAGATTCTGATTAATGAATGGCTTTCTACTTTCCTTTCTATTACTTCTTTCAAGTACAGGGAGGATTAACTCTGTTCTCTGGGATTCAGGGATTTTGGGGGCAAAGCCTTTAGTCAATGGAGCTTCTAGGAAAATTGCTCTACTCTTGAGTCTCAAATTCTTTTTTTTACCATGAGCGTGCATCAAGTTACAACTGAGGGAAATAAAACATATTTTAAAAAAATTTTAACTGATATTTGATAAATAAATGTGTATATTTATTTACACATTTATTTATAAAAATAATGTATATTTTATATATAATATATATTTTATTGTATTATTTATTCATATATAAAAGATTATTTTAATATATTTTAATACATGTATATTAAATAATATATAAAATATATATTGTTTTTATTTATATATAAAAATATATTTTTTATTATATTAAAAATATAATAAAGACAGAGAGAGAGGCTGGTGATTACCTCCAAGATTGTTTCTAGCATTACATGTGTGCACAGGTTTGGCCATGACTTTATCAGAAGAAAACTCTGTGTTTTCTATTTGATTTCCTCTTGTTCACCTCAGTTTGGTTCAATGCCATCTGTGAAGCATCTGTTATAAGTCATGTACTGATGGGGGTCCAAAATTTTATACAGATCCCAAAAATATAAGTCTATAAAATTAGAAGGAATTTCACCCAATCTCTTGCTTGATCCTTTTGTTTTGTATATCAGGAAACTAGTTCAGTGGGTGATTTTCTCAAGTTTGTGCAGCCTGTTAATTATAGAACTGAGTCTAATATCCAAGTTGTCTGATTACTAATGCTGTTTTCTTTTTGCTGTGCTAGACTATCTCTGATTTGTTGTTAATTGTAAAAAGCAGTCTTTTAGGCGTTACCAACTTCACCAGATATAACAAGGCCTTCTTTTTTGGACCACCTCCCCTTATGTACTAGCTAAGAGCTCACAAATGCTTATTAGAAAGGAATTTGACTTGCTGTTTTTCTCATTATTTTGATTGGTACATATGTCAAGAAGTGAAACTCAAGTTCAGATGAGTCATATTCATATTTCATAACAGGGCAGCAGCAAATTGGTAGCCAATATTATTGGAGAATTAGGATTAAATTTAACCGTGATGAATCAAAGACCAAAGGAAAAGTAATGGTTTCTCAGTATCACTGGACACGTCCGTTGATTTGAGTTATCTTTGAATTCACAGGAGACACAGGAACAAAGTTTCCTAGACATCACCCTGGTAAGGACTTTGGTGGTCTGGCGACCAGCCTGTGAGCTGGGTTCTCAGAAGCACATCTTGAATTTCCTCTGCAGTATCCCCTGCTCTCCAGCCTCTTGTCTCTATGCCTCTTGCAAACTTTCAGCCTGGAATCACTCCCACCCTAACCCATCTACCTCCAGGTGGTAGTGAACTCTTGGAAAAGCCCACACAGCTATGTCAAATGGGGTGGCCACAAATTCACACTTCTAGGCTCAGCTGGGCCCTCAGTGCTGCCATTCAGTTTTTTGTTTTTTGTTTTTGAGACGGAGTTTCACTCTTGTTGCCCAGGCTGGGGTGCAGTGGTGTGACCTCGGCTCTCTGCAACCTCCGCCTCCCGGGTTCAAGTGATTCACCTGCCTCAGCCTCCCAAGTAGCTGGGATTACAGGTGCCCACCACCACGCTTGGTTAATTTTTTGTATTTTTAGTAGAGACAGGGTCTCACCCATGTTGGCCAGGCTGGTCTTGAACTCCTCAGGTGATCCACCCTCCTTGGCCTCCCAAAGTGCAGGGATTACAGGCGTGAGCCACCGCACCTGGCCCCATTCAGTTTTTTGTTTTCTCTTTGTTAAGCTCTCTCTTTGGTCTTATCAGTTCTTTTTTCATTACTGACTCAGTTCTCTTAGCAGATGCCCTCACCTTCTACTTCACCTAAACAATTTGTCAAATCCCCTCTGCCATCCTCTCCTGGTTTCTGTGAGTCTGCACTGATCTCTGGTCTGAAGAGGCTGGGGAGCCTTTCTTGCTACCAACACTCCTACCAAGCTTTCCACCTCTTTTCCTGCCATCCCCTGGGACCCTACTTCATCAGTAATCGCGTCTCTCATAATCTCTGATCTTTCTCTGCTGGCTCATTCTCCTCAGATTATGAACATGATGAAGACCCGCCTATCCTAAACAAATCAACAAAAAACAAGCCAAAACTTCTCTTGGTTCCCTGTCCTTCTTTAGCTACTAGCCAATCTCTCTTCTCCTTTGGGAAGTTTTTCTGAACAATGATCCCCATTTCCTCTGTCAACTTCCTCGACTCCTGTTCACGCCTCAACCTCCCTGGGTCTAGTTTCTGTTTACTGCCTCCACTCTCATTCATTTGTTTGTTTATTTGTTCATCCATCCATTGCATTCAACAAGTATTTATTGATCAGATGCTAGGTGCCAGGCATTGTTCTAGGTGCTGGAAAATAGCAAAAAAAACTCCATTGCAACTTCTCTTGCAAAGTCACATATTCCAAAAAATATTATTCTTTTAAGACATTGATTATAAAACAAATACAAGATACACGAAGTAACTTCATGGTATTGGTCAAGGCTCCACTTTGACCTCATTATTCCCCAATCTGTTACCTACAAAGATCCCCAGTGTGGCAGGTTGCAACTGCCTCTGCCAGGCCAGAACCCATATCCATCCCCCTGCTCCCTGCCTGCCCCCTGTGGAGTTCCTAGAAATGTCAACCTTAAAAGCACATCAATTTAAACACCAAGATGTCTTCAGTGTTTGCCCTGGAGCTCCAGAAGCTTTTGGTGAAGGGAGGTGAGGGTGGGGGGCTAGTGGGAAAGAATCAGAGGAAAGGAGAGGGAAGAGAAGCCCCAGGAGAGAAAGAGCTAAAGATTATGGACCATTCCACTAAAAGCCAAGGCCCTGATCAAAAGATAATAATAACAGTAGAAGTAGTAATAATAATAAATAAATGAAATTAATATTTTATTATTAAATTCATTGCAAAATTTGGAAAACACACAAAAGCAAAAGCACAAGAGGATAATAAAAATCACAAAGTGTACTTCCCAAAGGAAGCTATTCTTTTGGTATGTTTCCTACCAATAGGTATTTCTCTGTACATGTGGTGTACATCCCATGCAAAGTTGATATCCCACTGTAAAAGCTGATTTGCATATATCATTTTTCACTTAATATTCTATTATGAGATTTTTTCCTCAACTCATTAAATGTTCTTGAAAAGCATGAAGCTGGAGAAACATGCAAAGAATAGATTCTAAGAGACTGCAGCAAGGGGTTTAGATTTTTCCTGAAAACAGTGGGAATTCCCTGGAGAGATTTTCTTCACCCCCTACTTTTTTTTTTCTTTTTTTTTGAGAGGTTTTCTAAGTCAGGCTAATTGAGGAATAATTCACGTGCAGTACAGTAAAAGTCACCCTTTTGAGGTGTGTGGTCTGATGAGTTTAACAAATGGATGCATGTAATATTATCACAACCAAGACATACGATATTTCAATCACCACAAAAAGTCCTTTTGTGATCTTTATGTAGTCCATCCCCTTTTCTCAATCTAACCCCAGCAACCTAATCTGATGTCTTCGTTTTGCCTTTTCCAGAAAGTCATATAAATGAAATCATACAGAATGTTACCTTTTATGTCTGACTTCTTGCACTTAGCATAATGCTTTCTATCCACATTGTCGCATGTTTGTTCCTTTTGGTTGCTGAGTGGTATTCCATTTGATAGTATGGCACAATTTGTTTATTCATTCACCAGTTAATGACATTTGAATTGTTTTCAGTTGTTGATTTGTAGTTTTTTCTTTAAGGCCTTTGTCTAGGTTGGTATTAGGGTAATGCTGACTTCATCAAACAGTTTGGGAAATATTCCTTCCACTTCCATTTTCTGCAAGAGTTTGTACACAGTTGCAATGATTTCTTCTTTCAATATTTGCCAGAATTTACCAGTGGCACATCTGGATCTGGACTTTCCGTTGTAAGCAAAATTTTAATGGCAAGTTCCAATTCTTTTATACATATAGGACTATTCCAGTCATCTGCTCTTCTTGAGTGAGCTTTGTAGTTTGTATCTTTCAAGAACTGAATCTATTTATCTTTTATCAGACTTTTTGCTATTAATTTTATAATCTTTTAATCTTTTAATGTCTGTAAGATCTATAGTGATTCCCCTCCTTTCATTCCTGAAATTGGTAGTTTGTGTCTTCTCTCTCTTTTTTTCTCGATTACATTAGTTCAAGGTTTATACATTTTGTCCATCATCTCAAAAAGCCAGTTGCTATTTCATGATTATCTCTATTTGTTTTCAGTTTACCTGATTTATGCTCTTATCCCTATTATTTTCTTCCCTCTGCTTGCTTGGGTTTGATTTACTTTTCTTTCTCTCATTTCCTAAGGTTGAAGCTTAGACTGTTGATTTGAGACCATTCTATGTTTTAACATAAGCATTTAATGTTATATATTTCCCTCTAGGAACTGCTGTAGCTATATCCCTCCAATTTTGGTATGTTATTTGTTTTCATCTTCTTAAAAATATTTTATAATATATCTTGCGAGTTCCTTTTTAACCAAGAATTATTTAGAAGGGTGCTGTTTAAAATATTTAGATACTTTTCTAGATACTCTCTTATTATTGATTTCTAATTTTAATTGGCTGTGGTCAGAGAACAGAGTTTTATATGATTTTAATTTTTAATTTTTTTTTTATTTTGAGATGGAGTCTCACTCTGCTGCCCAGGAGTGCAGTGGCACAATCCCAGCTAGCTGCAACCTCCATCTCCTGGGTTTAAACGATTTTCCTGTCTCAGCCTCCTCAGTAGCTGGGATTACAGGCATGAGCCACTATGCCTGGCAATTTTTGCATTTTGAGTAGACATGGGGTTTCACCTCTTAGCCAGGCTGGTCTCGAACTCCTAAGCTCAGGTGATCTGCCTGCCTTGGTCTCCCAAAGTGCTGGGATTACAGGGGTGAGCCACGACTCCCAACCAATTGTAATTTTTAAAAAAATTATTGAGGCATGTTTTATGACCTAGAATGTGGTCTATTTTGATGAGATTTCATAAGCATGTCAAGTGAGTGTGTGTTCAGCTATTGTTGGTTAGAGTGTTCTGTAAATGTCAATTAAGCCATTTGTTTAATAGCACTGTTTGCTATCGTCATACTGATTTTCCATCTACTTTATTGAGAGAGGCCGACATATATGAAGAAGAGATGCTCAATATCAACATCACTAATCATCAGGAAAATAGAAATCAAAACCACAATGAGAGCATCTCACACCTGTTAAGATGGCTATTATCAGAAAGACAAGAGATAACAAGTGTTGGAAAGAATGTGGAGGAAGGGGAACCTTGCAGACCGTTGGTGGAAGTTCAGATTGGTACAGCCATCATGAAAACATTACAAATAGAACTACAAATAGAACTACCGTATGATCCAGCAATCCCGCTACCAGGTATACATGTAAAGGGAAAGAAATCAGTACCTGGCTGAGATAGCCACACTTTCATGTTCATTGCAGCATTATTCACAATAGCCAAGATACGGAAACAACCTAAATATCCATCAGCAGACGACTGGCTAAAGAAATTGTGACACACACACACACACACACACACACACCCCAGTGGAATAGCATTCAGCCTTAAAAAAGAAGGAGATCAGCTGGGCACAGTGGCTTATGCCTATAATCCCAGCACTTTGGGAGGCCGAGGCAGGTGGATCACCTGAGGTCAGGGGTTCAAGACCAGCCTGGCCAACATGGTGAAACCCCGTCTCTACTAAAAATACAAAAATTAGCTGGTTGTTGTGGTGTGCTCCTGTAAGCCCAGCTACTGAGGAGGCTGAGGCAGGAGAATCACTTGAACCCAGGGAACAGAGGTTGCAGTGAATCAAGATCATGCCATTGCACTCTAGCCTGTGTGAAAGAGTGAAACTCTGTTTCAAAAAAAAAAAAAAAAGGAGATCTTGCCATTTGTGACAACATGGATGAACCTGAAGGAAATTGCACAAAGTGAAATAAGCCAGACACAGAAAAGAAAATACTGCATGATCTTACTTGTATGCAGAATCTAAAAAAAACCAAGTCAAATCAAATACACAGAAATAGAATAGAATAATAGTTACTGGGGCCAGGGAAGGGAGGAAATGGGGAGATGTAGGTCAAAGGGTACAAAATTGCAGTCCAGTAGGATGAATAAGTCTAGTGATCTAATGCAGTGGTCCCCAACATGTTTGGCACCAGGGGCCAGTTTTGTGGAAGACAATTTTTCCATGGACTGGAGAGGGGGATGGTGGTGGTGGTGTGGTGGTGGGCAGGGGGAGAGGTGGTTTCGGGATGAAACAGTTCCACCTCAGATCATCAGGCATTAGATTCTCATAAGGAGTGTGCAACCTAGGTCCCTTGCATGCACAATAGGGTTTGCATCCCTATGAGAATCTAATGCCACCACTGATCTGACAGGAGGTGGAGCTCAGTTGGTAATCTGAGTGATGGGGAGCAGCTGTAAATATAGATGAAGCTTCACTTGCTCACCCACTGCTCACCTTTTGCTGTGTGGTCTGGTTCCTAACAGGCCATGGACTGGTGCTGGTCCATGGCCTGGCGATTGAGGACTCCTAATCTAATGGACAGCATGAGAATTACAGTTAACAAGATTGTATTGTATGCTGGAAGTTTGCTGAGAATAGATTTTAGGTGTTCTTACCACACACACAAGTAAATGTGTGAAATGATGGATGTATTAATATGCTGGACTGTAGACCATTTCAGTATGTATGAATATATCAAAATATGTTGTATACCTTGAATACATAGTACAATAAAAATATATAAAAATTATTGAGAGAAGAGTGTTAAAATCTCCAATTATAATTGTATATTTGTCTATTTCTTTTTTGTTCAGTTATGCTTCATGTATTCTGAAGCTCTGTTAAGTACACGTACATGTAGGATTATTATGTCATTCTGATGAAGTGACCACTTTGTCATTACACATTACATAATGTCTCTGTTTATCCATGGCAATATTCCTTTTTTCTGACATCTAGTTTGGCATTAACCATTTCAGTTTCATTTTATTAGTAATTTCATAATTACTGATTATTTCATAGTGTATCTTTTTTCCATTCTTTTATTTATTTATTTATTTATTTATTTGAGACAAAGTCTTCCTCTTGTCCCCAGGCTGCAGTGCAATGGTGCAACCTTGGCTCACTGCAACCTCTGCCTCCTGGGTTCAAGCGATTCTCTTGCCTCAGCCTTCCGAGTAGCTGGGATTACAGGCATCTGCCCCCATGCCCAGCTAATTTTTGTATTTTTAGTAGAGACAGGGTTTCACCATGTTGGCCAGGCTGGTCTCGAACTCCTGACCTCAGGTGATCTGCCTGCCTCAGCCTCCCAAAGTGCTGAGATTACAAGCGTGAGTCACTGCACCTGGCCTATCATTCTTTTACTTTTGACCCATCTGTGTTTCTATTTTTAAGGTGGGTTTCTTACAAACAGCATATACGTGGGTCTTGCATTTTTAATCCAATCTGACAGTCCTGGCCTTTTAATTTGGCTTCAGCCACACCTGTAGCACTCAGATAATCTCTCTTTCTGGCCCCTTGCCCCTTCCCTAGTCTTTCTCATGAGCACCTGGTAGAAGCCAGTGGAAAGAGCTTGCAAGTGGGTACAAACTCCCCCTGTGTCTGGTGATCCTACCTATTCCAAACTGATGTTCTAACCCACACTAGCTTTTAAGAATATGTTAAAATTTTAGATAATTTCTGTCTCCCCATGTGTATGGTAGCCACCTCTTCCTTTCTTGCTCTGTCAAAGGTGAAACAATATTTGAGTCTCATCTGTCCTCACAGGGTTTGTCACTCTTTGGTATTCAGTTTACCTTCCAGGGAGAGTGGAATTCAGTATCTCTTATGACCTCAGCTATTTGATGGGTTCGAAGAAAAGTGATGGTTTTGTAGAGACCAGCCATTTTCCCATTTTTCAGGGAGCTATGCTCTCTTACGCATTCTAAGTGGAAGCAGGATGATGCACTGAAAAGAGGGGAAGGAGATAAAGGGAGGAATTCAGGATGGCTGCTAGGCTTAGTTTGAGCAGTGGAATAAATGTTGACGCCACTTACTAATAGTAAAATGGATCTGGGGGGAAAGTCGAGAGGTCCGTGTTGCACATGTGAAGCCGTAGATCATGTGGATGTGTCCAGTTGGCTGTTGGATACTCAGAGGAGAGCTCTGGTGTGACAATTTCCCTGTGAGAGTTGACAATACAGAGATGATATTTACAGCCTTGGGACTGGATGGGACTACCTAGGGACAGAATGTAGACAGAAGAGGCTGCCTATAACTGAGCCCAGGGACAGTCCAGCACTTGACACAGGATGGAGGAAGCGGAAGGAGCATAAAGGAGAAAGAGAAGCAGTGGCCAAGGACACAGAGGAAAGACATTAGTAATCCCCTGAGGGAAGATTTTCATCTAGATTTGGTAGGAATCCATAAGCCACAAAACATTGTGTTTCATTCAAGACAAACTTGAGATCATAAAAATCTATTGACTCTTTTGAGACTTCCTATCGCTTATGGAATCTTGGGCCCAGGACCTTTCATTGATGCCAAGCAGAGGTCTGCTCCTGCTGAGGCATGGGCTAGAACCTCTCTCTTCCCAAGACCAACTGCAGTGAAAGTTAAATGGGCTCTTGAAAAAAATCCTGCTCCAAATCCCTGAGGATCAGAATGAGCCCTTCATTTGGAGCTCAATAAGATTTCTGGTAGTTGCATGCAGATATGTCTTTTTTGCCACTTTACTAGGCTTTACAGATATGTGCATTTGTCAGAAGATTGATGCTGCCCTTCAAATATTTGTCTCTTCTTCTCCCTCTGGGGCAAGTGCCCCATGGTCTGATGGGTGCTGGCCACATCACACAGATTCCTTCTTTGGTCTTTGCATGTGTTATTGTGAAATCTCCTGGTTATTCAGAGGAGACACGCTCTGTTGAATAAGAGAAATGTGGTCAAAGGAACATACTAATGAGGCTGATTAGATGGTTTTATTGGTGGTGACCTTTCTATTTCATGGTGGGAATGTGTTGGTTTTTGTTTTAAAAATAAATCATGCATCTCACATTTCTTTCATTTGGCATCTGCATCACCTATAGACCTATACTATATAACAGGGTTTAGAAAGAAAATAACGTTAGTGTGTTTAGATTTTTTTCAGGCAGTTAAAAACAATATTATGCTTCCCTTAAACATTCTGATTGACAGAATGATAAGACAAGCTGTATGAAGGAGGGCGAGTGTTTGAATGACAGCACCAAACACTGTCAATGCTACTTGTGTTTCCTAGTGTCTCTAAGAGGCCACCAGTTTGAACATATACCTAACACACTGATCCAAGGATCTGAGGCCATTAGCTTAAAGGGCAGTGCCCAGTTCCTAAATTAGCCTTTTTTTCCTTGCCTAAGACACATAAATTTGAAACCCCTCTTGATCTTTATCCATCTCCTTCGCACCAAGAAGTTAGATTCAGATCATTATTTTTAGTTAGTTCAGGCATTTCTGTGACTGTGTGCCATCTTAAGGATCTTAGTTCTTTCTACCAACCACGGGGAATGGACTACCATGACAGTGCTGTCATGGGTGGCCCCCACGCCAGCAGTGTCCTAAGATGGCCCTTCCTCTCCTTCCCCCGTCCTTCCCTCACTGCCCAGCGGGGAGAGCACTCCTGGCCCAGTGGTGATGCAGCATTGGTCTTGGGGCACCTGGGGCCACACTGGGAGGCATTTTCCATGTTTGTCTTTCTACAGAAACCAGTTGCATCAACTCATTCTCTTTGCACATTGCCTCTCTTAGGGTTTTATTTTGTTTGTTTTGGTTTATTTGGTGGTATGGAGGTTTCCTTAATCTCAGAGGAGTGTATGAATAATTAGAAGCAAGCTGTGATCACCAGCGAAGTTTACCATCTGGGTCTGCTTCTGAGTAAGTTAACTGAACATGCTTAACATATAGTCTGTGAATTTAAAAGAAAAAAAATTTTTGTTTTTATGGAACTCAGATGTCCAGATCAGTCCCTCTGTCTCTTAAGAGCTCCTTGAGTTTGGCCTGAATGTTGTGGAAACCTGTTGATTGCCCCCAAAGCTGTACAGATTCCTTGCGGGGGCAGAGGAAGGGCTCTTTCTCATGGTGGTGTCTAGCTCCACATTCCTGGTTCTCCTAAACTCACTCAGGTTGTGGACTGTATTGCCATCTGCTAGGTGCTATTTTGGTTCTATTCTATAACAACCCAGACATGAAACTTAGCCCATTCCTTTGGTTTACACACACACACACACACACACACACACACACACACACGTGTGTGTGAACACATGTACATGCACGAATACACACACAACCACTTGCACGAGGTATATGGCTGGGATGCAGAGGGAATATGTTTGAGAAAAAGGAGTGGAAATGCACGTCACAGCAACAAAGCTTCATATTTAATATTAGACATCCTGGTTGTATTAGGATTTTCCAGAGAAAGAGAACTAATATGATGTGTGCTTATATAGAGGAAGACCTATTTTAAGGAATTGGCTCACACGCTTATGGGGGCTGGCAAGTCCAAAATATACAGTTCAACTCTGAAGGCTGCCAGGCTGGAAAGCGAGGGAAGAGCTGATGCTGCAGTGCCAGGCCAAAGGCTCTCTGTGGTGGAATTCCCTCTTGCTCAAGGGAGGTCAGTCTTTCATTCAATTCAGGCCTCCAACTGATTGGATAAGGCCCACCCACATTATGGAAGGCAGTGTGCTTTACTCAAAGTCTGCATATTAAAATGTTCATTTTATCCAAAAACACCCTCACAGAAACAGCTAGAGTAATTTAGACCACATATCTGGGCACTGTGTCCCAGCCAAGCTGACATATAAAAGTAACCACCATCTGGTTTTCAAAAGTCCTTTCCTACTGCACTGAGTTGCTCAACGATTCTAGTCTTCCCACTCTGCCCCCAAATACCTGCTTATTTCTAGTGCTGTGAAATTTGGCTATTTATTTTATTCAGTTGAATCATCAGGGTCTCATTTTCCATTTGAAGTGGTTTATGAAGGTGTTTTCCTGAACAAAGATAGTTTCCTCCCTAAGAGTACCGGGGCTAGCTGGTAAGATGATGATTTTTCTCACTCTGTTTCCTCTATAAAAATGCTGTCAATGGAGTGGCAATTCAAAAGTCTTTCAGGATGTCCTGTTTTAAAGAAACTGCATAAACAATCAGCTGCATCTAACAAAATGACAACAATTTATAATATAAAAGGGCAAATGGTAAAGGGTCTATCAAAAAGAAACCTTCCCTTATTCATTTATATTAAAATAAGATGATGTATAAAGTTTGACTTCTCTGCAATTTCTCAGGAGCACACTGATAAGGAAAAGGCAGGCACAACTGCAGGTTGCTTTTTATCAAGCAAGAGTGAATAATTCCAGCCTAGAAAGCTGGAATGCCCTGTTGTACTTTGCTTCTGCCCTGGGTGAGTTCTGCCTCATGCCTACAGCTAAAAATACCTTGCTTCTGGCCAAGCCGGTGGTGGCCAAGAACAGTTAACTACTTAGAAGCTGATTCAGGGCAGAGAAGCTTTTCTCTATGCTTTTGTTTTTATCTTTTATCTTTATTATTAGCATTCGTTTATTCAAATGATAACAGCTAATATTTTTGAGTGCCTGCTGTGTACCAGAGTATTAAGCAGAGTGTATGCTGCATCTCACTTGCTCCTTACAATTCATTTATTAAGCATTCCTGTAAGCTTCATTTTATGGATGAGGAAATTTAGCTACTGCTTCCAAGGTCACACAGCTGTTTAATCCTGAAGCTGGGATTTACATCCAAGAGTATTTGTTGTTGTTTTTGTTTTTTGCTTCGACACAGGATCTCAATCTGTCGCCTAGGTTGGAGTGCAGTGGCATGAACACGGCTCACTGCTGCCTCAACCTCCTGGGCTCAAGCGATCCTCCTGCCTCAGCCTTGCATTGTAGCTGGGCCTATAGGCACATGCCACCATGCCCAGCTAATTTTCAGATTTTTTGTAGAGACAGGGTTTCACTATGTTGCCCAGGCTGGTCTCAAACTCCTGGGCTCACACCATCCTCCCACCTTGGCCTCCCAAAGTGCTAGGATTACAGGTGTGAGCCACTGCACCTGACTTTCCAAGAGGATCTGACTCCAAACTAGCAACTCTCGGCCTCCTAGAGGCCAGGCTTTCTCCTGTCGTGTGCTGGATATTCTGCTGGATGCGTCCCTATAGTAAACCAGTTAGTTTTGTAAAATCTCAGCTAGTTCATCACATTACATATATAGTCACTTAACAGCATTTTACAATAGAATTAAGAACTCTTTTTTTTTCTCTATTCCTTTCTGCAAATCAATTTTTACTATGTAGGAGGGAGGCCCTGGGGAAGCCTCAGCTTCTTAAGGCTGTGGCCCAAAAAGTCTCATGGAGCAAAGTTCCAACTCACTCCTCAGTGGTGCAGCTTGGGGCCAGTGTTAGCATCAACGTGGCATTGTGACATGGCGGGGCCCAGGTGTCCTCCTCAGGCCTGCCACCTGCTCTGACATCTGAGGGGTGTTATCTGTCTTGCTCTGAGTAACTTTTTGAAAAGAGGATTATTGGATACTCTCTGAGAATTTACTCCAGGATCTTAAATCAAAGTCAGGAAAAATAGAAAAACATAAGACAGAACAACAAGAACATCCTGAATTTCATAACAGGCAGGACTGGTATTAATATACATACATACATATATATATATATATATATTTTTTTTTTGAGAGAGGGTCTCGCTCTGTTGCCCAGGCTGGAGTGCAGTGGCAAAATCACTGTTCACTGCACCTTCTGCTTCCTGGGTTCAAGTGATTGTCCCATCTCAGTCTCCTGAGTAGCTGGGACACAGGTGCGTGCCACCATGCCCGTGAGAGCACAAGGCGGTTATTCCCCCTCCCTCGCGTGTACAAGGAGGAAGGAATGTTGTGGTCCAGCTGAGGCCTCATAGCCTCACTCCACCCTGGGGCTGGAGTGTCTGCTGCAACGTCACGGCAGCGGCAGCGTTCTTAGCTTTGCTCACAAGTAGTCAGAGTCAAATTTTTCAAATTTCAAATTTCAAATGGAGAATGATACAGTGAAAAGAAGAGGCTATAGAAAGAAAATGAAGAGAAATCCATATGCTGATTCAAATTTATGAATTTTTTGTAGAGACGGGGTTTTGCTATGTTGCCCAGGCTGGGCTTGAACTCCTGGACTTAAGCAATCCTCCTGCCTCGTCCTCTTAAAGTGCTGGGATTGCAGGCATGAGCCACTTCACCTGGCCTAATATTCTTAATAGCTATGGACAGGAGGAAAATGAAAACTGCCACTTGCTATCTCTCTTGTGTTCCCCACAGTGCCACCCCTGCAGTGATTCAGCTGGAAGGCCAGGGGTCTCCTCCTGAGCTCCTGGGAGCCCAAGAGGAGGTGACTTTTCAATGTGTTGCACAGAAAGTATCTAGGAAGTGTCTGTTTTCAGTCTGAAGCCCAGGATGAAAGTGAATAATCCCATTGAGAGGGGTTAAGAGCAGCTCTCCTCTGCCCTGGTGATGGAGCACTGGCCACTATAGGGGTGGGGACCTTGACACACAGGACCAAGACGTGCAGCAGCAGAAGCAGCACAATGCTATTTCCTACTAAGGAGCACAAGAAGCCAGAGAGCTGCAGACACATCGAAGGGTGAGACAGCCTTGGACTCAGCACAGAAGAGACTTTTACCACGCGTGAGCAAAGCTAAGAACTCTGCCGCTGCCCTGACTTTGCAGCAGACACTCCAGCCCCAGGGTGGAGCGAGACTATGAGGCCTCAGCTGGACCACAACATTCCTTCCTCCTTGTACACGCAAGGGAGGGAGGATAACTGCCTTGTGCTCTCATAATTTATATTGTAAAAATTCTTCTTAATAATCTCTCTTCCTTGTTATCCAAGTAATATACATGGATTGTGAAGCACATAAAGAAGAAAGAAGAAAAGAAGGACAAAAAAGGAAGAAAAGAAAGAGAAGAAGGAAAGAAAAGAAAGGCAAGCAAACAGCATGGGAGAGTTTAGTATTGAGGAAAAGTGGGTGAAGGGCACATAGGACATCTTTGTACCATTTTTGCAACTTCTGTAAATCTATAATTAATTCTGCAGCGTGCAGCTTTGGTTACGCACGTCTGTATAATTTGTTGTAATTAACAAAGCACAGTAAATCGAATGAGAGCTAATTACAGAGCCGGAGCTAGTCATTCTCCTCAAATGTTTGGCATCTGTATAATGTCTCCATGATTCCTCTGTGAATCTATCTATATCTCTGGATTGCACAGACCCCATCCGACGTGAGAGTAAGGATCTATTGCCCTAAATGGGCAAAACCCCAGCGACCGCCCCTGAATCGGATTCTGCCTTAATAGTGCTTATTTCTTTCTGGGTATATGATCCATCTCTGTTTCCCCCAGAAAAATATCCTTTTACTGAAGGCTTCAGAATCTGGCTGCTCAGGTAGGAAACAGTGCTCTATGAAAGTAACGAATATAGCTAATGAAGAATGATACAGTGAAAAGAACAGGCTAAGAGAGTGAAGAGAAATCCGTAGGCTGAACACAAAAGATGAAAAAGGCGACGCAGTGAAGGCCATGTATTATAGGCCTAAAATTAGGGCCCGATATTATATGTTGCTTTCAGATCCGAAACCAGAAGGACCTCGAATGGCCTGACCACAGGTTTCCCTCCCCACTTTGCTCCCCTGGATAAGGTCCCATTGCCAAACGACACTGCACATCACCGAGACCAGGCACAGTGCCGGTTATGCCTAAGCATCACGCTGCAGTTCTCTGCCGGCCCACGGAATGATTCAAACAGGCCAATCCCATCCTTCCATGGGAACCAGGGGGAACCCCACCCTCTTGGTACTCCAAGGCCTGTCTCCCACAGCCCCTGCTTGCTCACTGTGTTCCCGAGTGCAACCCCTGTGTGGCCCTGCTTGGCGTGCAGTGTCTACCCCGGGCTGTGACTATGTGACTCATAAACCGTTGTGGATCTCATCTGCCCAGTGTTGGGCGTTGCGTGTTCAGCCATCCCCAGAACGCTAGGGTGGGACTCTCTCCGTCACCAATGGGGTGAAGAGGAGGTGATCAAAAAGGGTGGAGGGCTGTGTCAGTAGCCGGAGCCTTGCCCGTCTGCGGAGCCGCCTGGCCTGGCCTTGGGCGCAGTGCTTCATCTCTGGTGTCTATCTTTGTGTATTCCAAGTCATAAAATAGAAAGCTGTTAGAGCAGATTGAGTCACTTCTGTTTGCCTTGATTTACTTACATTTCCTCCCTTTGTTGAGAAAATGTCAACAACCCAGAGTTTGCATTTCAGGGGTTGGTGCATTTCAGGGTGGGAAGAGCTGCACCACCAGGGCGGCTGGCAGCTGCAGGGGCGGGCACCTCAAAGGAGTGAGGGAGCAACACGTGGATGTACTGAGACCACAGGAGGAAGGGAGCTTATTATCTCCAAGCAGGCCTATTTTCTTGTTAGTGAGGTTTTTCCACATTAAATGTGTAAAGGGGCATAATCACAAGCATGCTTTTGAGTTCTAGGCATATTTGAGTAATTCAGAACAGGTTTTTCCTATCCAAAGGGACAAATAAAAGGAAAGGCTGGGAAAACAAGCTACTGAGGTTATCTTCCCTTTAGGAACCAAAGGAATGAGAGTAAATAAGTTCATTAAAGAAGAAAGTGTCCTCAACTATGTTTTGGGATCATTATCCCTATCTGTCCTTTCAAAGACCTTTGTTTTTATGATAATGGGACTACTTCATACTACTTTTTTGGGGTCTCTCTTTGATTGTTCACAATAATCCTATGAGGTATAGCAGCAACTTAATATTTATTGAAGACAGGAGGAGGCAATGCAGACATTATTATTCTCAGATAGCAGCTAAGTCAATGGTATAACCAAGGGAAATAGGGTCTCCCATTCTTTGTTACCATCATATTGGAAAGGATACATGTGGTATAAAAATCCTTCTTTGCAAGCTTGCCATGTCTCGTTTAGACAGTGCTGATCCCTGCTGCCCCCAGACACAGTGGAGACAGAGATGCCAAACAGGGGAAAAAGCTGGCTGGGGCTGGGTGCGGGGGCTCACGCCTGTAATCCCGGAACTTTGGGAGGCCAAAGCGGGGAGATCACTTGAGGTCAGGAGTTCAAGACCAGCCTGACCAACATGGTAAATGCCCATCTCTACTAAAAATTAAAAAAAAAGTTAGCTGGGCATAGTGGCACACACCTGTAGTCCCAGCTACTCATCGGGAGGCTGAGGCAGGAGAACTGCTTGAACCCAGGAGGCAGAGGCTTCAGTGAGCCGAGATGGCACACTGCACTCCAGCCTGGGCGACAGAGTAAGACGCTGTCTGAAAAGAAAAAAAAAAAAAAAGAGAAGGCTGATACTCTGGTACTCAGTCAAGGCTTCACTGACTGGTGGTACCTTGGAAAGGGTCACATGGTCCAAGAGATGATCCAGATGTGGAATTCCAGAAACTCTGGTCAGACCAAGGGGAATAACTCCTGCTCACAAAGACTGACCTGTAACCCAGATTTCCAGCTGGTTAGTCCACATTGAGATCCATAACTGCCAGTGGCATGAATGTGTATGTCAACTGTTCAATCTGAAGATACACCTTCTCCCACACTGCCATGTTTTCACATCTCTGACACAGGGATTCCCATCACAACCACTGTCAGTCAAGCAGCAGTTCTGACATAGTTGCCGTTGCCTACACATAGATGGATCTGGTTGTTACTTCTTGGGTGTCATGCTTGAAAAACGGCGCAGCAACCAGTGATGCTTCAGTGAGCAAACTCTGAGGACCCCTTGGGGGAAGGAATGTGAATCATGATTCCTGTCTGAAAACTTATGTGGACATCCATTTGGTAAGATCAAGAAAGCACTGATCTGATCTGAACTGGTGTTGGCAGCTTGAGAAAACTTGGAAAAAATTATTGGAGTGGATTTCTCAGTGAAGCACGCTCTTCCCCTACTCGGCTCACTGAAGCCTCTGCCTCCTGGGTTCAAGCAATTCTCCTGCCTCAGCCTCCCGATGAGTATCTGGGACTACAGGTGTGTGCCACTATGCCCCACTCCGAAATAACATTTAATTTTGGAAAACCTTAAGCTTAAAGAACAATTTAAAAAATAGTTCCATGAATACCTGTATATCCTTTATCTAGATTTTCCTGTTGATATCATTTTGAAGGCATTTCCTTTACTCATCACTCTTTATGTTTCTTTGGGCATTTTGTTTGTATGTTTGTTTGCTGAATCATATGAAAGTAATATGCAAATAGCATGACACCTCACTGCTAAACACTTCAGCACGTATCTTTTAAGAATAAGAACATTCTTCTAGGGTATAGTATTATCACACCCAAGAAATTTAATATCAATATCCTAATATCTAATAAACAGATCAAATTTCAAATTTCTATTGGAATATATATATTTTATATATAACATATATATTATATATAATATATAATTCAGAACAGGTTTTTCATATCCAAAGGGGCAAATAAAAGGAAAGGCTAGGGAAACAAGCTACTGAGGTTATCTTCCCTTTAGAAATCAAAGGAATGAGAGTAAATAAGTTAATTTAAAATATATATATATAGCATATATTTTAAATTCTTTTTTAAAGGTGCTGTATTACAAACATTGTTGAAGGTACACAGGATGATATTGTGCAGGAAAAATACAGACACCAAAGACAGTCTAAAAATGATTCAGAAGAATCAGACATTGAATTTGAAGAAGTTTTAGGAATTATTGCAGCCATTTTATTTCAGTTATATTTTTCTTTTCATTTATGTACAAGCTTGATGTAGAATAAAATCTATGTCAAAATAAGTGTAAAATGATTAAAAGTCAAAGTGAAAGGAAAGCATTATGATGCAGTGTAATTGGCATAAATGTTTCTTCTTTGTGGTACATAAAATAATGGCACGACTTACATATGATAAAATACTCTAGGCAGCTGGGGCTTCAGTGACAAGGAGAAAATATGCCGGGACACGAACTCAGCCGTGCATCCTGGAGTGTAACTGCATGGCTGGCTCCCTCTCCAGCATCTATTTGGCTGGAAACAGCCTGACCGACTCTCACTCTCTTTCTCCCTCTTCAGGATGCCAGGCAGGCATCTGTAGCCTCTGTCTGTTGCAGAAGACCAGAACATGTCACCCTAAGATACGCCACTTTGGCATAAAAGTTATTTTGAGCTGAAGGCAATCGAGAAGAAGCAGATATAAGAAAAGGTCTCTGCTCTACCCCATTAGCCTAAAAGCAAGACATAAATTTACCAAGACTATGATGTCCATCGTTACCTCTCTACCAGAAAGAACAAAGGTTGTTCACTGAAGGCAACTTTAGATCCTTCTCATCCTGGAGATGGCACCGAAGAATCCACATGACAAATTCCCATTTCCTCGCCTTCCCTCAATTTGCTAACCCTAGAGACTCACAGTACTTTTCCTTTGGTTACTTCTCTAACAATTTGCTCTTCTTTGTTAAAAATGCCATATAAAACCAGAGTTCTAAGATACTTTGAGAATTTCTCATTTCCTGGGATCTCCTATGTATATATGAAATATACATGCTAATAAATTTGTTTGTTTTTCTCTTGTTAATCTGTCTTTTGCTACAGGGGTCCATCCGAGCTACAAACTCAGAAAGGTAGAGAAAAAATTATTTTTCTTCCCTTACACTGTGGTCATATTCTATCTTCAGATGGGTTGCAATACAAGTAATTTAAGTTCCTCTTTCTCTCTGGGTGGACAAATCCCCTTAGATATTCCTAAGCCATATCTGAGCCCATCTTTAGGCAGACATTTTCTGAGCTTTCTCAGCTGGCTAATCACAGACATTGCGGGTTTATCTTCCAACCACCATCTGCTCCTGCAGGGCAATCGGATTTCTGCTTTCAAGGATCACCTTCCTTGTCACCTTCTAAGTACTGGCTATAGGTGCATCTTTGCCTACTTGCCCTGGATTCCACTCTGCAAAAGTGAGTATTGTTGAAGTTAACTGGTCTCTCTCAGCTTGTCCCAACAGATAGACTCAGAGAACCCCTAAGCATTTGGTCTCCTGTTCAGGGAAAATTTAGAAATAGATGGCGTTGCCATTGACATCTTTTCACCTCCCACCACCATATGATTTCTCCTTCTCTTCTCCAGAAACTCCAAAAGCATTTCTCATTCTTTTTTTCTTTCTATCTAATACCAAGCTTCCTACCCTTGGAAAAAGTTTTCTGCTTAATTAACCCATGCACAGGGATGAATGATTCCTTTCTCTTTGTGGTTTGGAACATAGACTGTAGAGAAAGGGGAGGGAAGAAAGGTTTTGTTTTCTGTAAATACTCAGAAACCCTATAAACCCTTGCCAGAAAAGTGGGAACATTTTCTTGCTTGATAGATTCAGGGTTCTTTAGAGGGACCTCAAGAGCTGCTTAACCAAATACCTACCATTTGAGTGTGTAAATGCTTGCTTTCATTGAGTAAAGTAACATTAAATAAAGGCATTTAATTAAAAATTTTTAAAATCAATTTGAGTGGGTTGTATAGTTATTGTTTTTGGTTTTCTAGCAAGTTTTCTCCTGTTTCCCTTCTTTTGGAAGTGGACTCCCATGCCTGGTCATAAAGGCATGGATTCATGGCCTGGGTCAGCAAATCAGAGAATCCCATTTCCCTGGAGCTCGACCCAGCTGTGGCCAATAAAAATCCTCCTGTGGGAATCAGTCACGTTTCCAGGATGGTAGGAAAGAGACGCTGTCTTTTCAAGAAGCTTGCTGAATTTGGATGGTGTAGATCTGGGGATGCCAGCAATCACTTTCTTTCTCTCTCTCTCTCTCTCTCTCTCTCTCTGTGTGTGTGTGTGAGAGAGAGAGAGAGAGAGAGAGAGAGAGAGAGCAAGCTAGCAATGTGCAGAATAAAACCAAGAATATATACAGGCAAAGAACTAAAAGTAGATCTACTATTCGGCCCAGCAATTCCACTACTGGGAATCTACCCAGAGGAAAAGAAGTTATTACATGAAAAAGACACATGCACACACATGTTTATAGCAGCACAATTTGCAATTGCAAAGATATGGAACCAACCTAAGTGCCCATCAACCAACAAGTGACGAAAATATGGTACATATATACCATGGAAATACTACTCAGCCATAAAAAGGAATGAAATAATGTCTTTTGCAGCAATTTGGATGGAACTGGAGGCCATTATTCTAAGTGAAGTAACTCAGGAATGGAAAACCAAATATTGCATGTTCTCACTTACAAGTGGGAGCTAAGTTATGAGGACACAAAGGCATAAGAATGATACAATGGACTTTGGGGGCTCAGTGAGGGGAAGGTTGGGAGGGGGGTGAGGAATGAAAGACTATATATTGGGTACAGTGTACACTGCTCAGGTGATGGTTGCACTAAAATCTTAGAAATCTCCACTAAAGAACTCATTCATATAACCAAAAACCACCTGTACCCCAAAAAACTATTGAAATACAATGAAAAATATATCGAGAGAATAAGAGACCGGCAGAGATAAGAAACAGAAAGGGAGAGGTGTGATGGAGCTGGATTCTCTGTCTCCTGAAGTCTTGTTTCTACAGAAGCTCTTCCTTTGATACTGAATAGATTTCAACTCCCTGCCTTTTAAAACCTTATTTGAGTTGGATTTCTGCCACTGGCAACCAAAAGCATCTCAAATAATGCAGCCATTGTACCTGTTCACTGAGTTGTATAATGGCCCCCAAGCAGTATGTCAGGGAAACGTGACTGTACCTTTATTTGATTACACACTGTATTTTCCCTTGTTTCCAAAGGTTTTTGCTCACAAAATGTGTTTCCTTTTGAACAACAGAAAAGATAAAAGGGAACTCTGGTCCAAGACAGTATTTTTGCTGTTTTACTATTACTGTTGTTGGTTTTCTCATCAATATGAATAGTTTGCCACACACACACACACACAAACACACACACATACACACACACACACACACACACCCCTACCTGGGTCTAGATTAAAGATTTCAAGCTCAAGTAATTACAGGAGTGAAGCAGGTCATGCCAAATGATGAGGAGGTGCAGGCATTATGGTAATGTGATAGACGGTAGAGGGACAGAAGTGAGCTGAAAGGAATATGCTGTCTAAAAGGCAGCACCATTCAAATTAAAACAACAATAGCAACCCCATGTGGGTCAAAGCAAACACATCTGTGATCCATCCTGCAGGCTGCCATTTTGCAGCTCCTGGCCCAGAGCGCATCAACTAGCCTAGCTCGCTTAGCCGCGAAGCACTGGGTTGTGAAGAACAGACTTCCATTCAAGCTAGGTCAAGGAAAGGGCCATTACCCATAAGTGTATGACAGGTAATTGCTTGAACACAAGATACAAAGTGCAAGCCACGTGGGAACTGGAGTGGGGCACTGCACAGAGCCAGGGACACCCTATTTCTGATTACAGTCTCCATATTGAACTTCAGAGTCTCAAGAGAGAGTTGACTAGTTTCTGGCCAGTGAGTCAGACATCTGTTCCTTGTCTAAAAGGTATATGTTGGAGACGGAGGCAGGTAGGATGTGGCCACTTAAGCCCATGTCTCAGCAGAGGCTGTGGACAGGGGTAGAGTGGGGCTGGGCTGGGCAGACAGTTACAACTGTCTCACATGGCAGGTTGGCCACTCCTACGTTATCAACACCTAAACTAGTTCAGATTAAGATTTGCTAACTTTGCATATTTTCTTTTAATTTTTTTCTGATCTGATAGAGGATGTGGGACTTTTAATAGGGCATATGTGTGTGTGAATGTGTATTTACAATTCGTCATCAGTGAACATCCTCTGGACTTGCACTGGGTCAGCTCTTATAGGAGCTTTTCTCTGGCTCCTTGGTAATCGTACGTCTCACTCTATAAGGCTCTTCTTATTCCACAGCAACACTCCTGCCTTGTGTTCTGCATAGATGAGTATAAAATGTATAGTTTCTTCCACTTTCAGAATATCCTGAATATCATTATCCAGTTAATCTTTCCAAAGTACCATTGTTATATTACTCTTCTCCTGGGAACATGCCATGGCTCCCTATTGGATTTCTTTCTTTCCTTTTTCTTTTTTTAGACAGGGTCTCATTCTGTCACTCAGGCTGGAGTGCAGTGGTGTCATCACAGCTCACTGCAGCCTCAAACTTTTGGGCTCATGCTATCCTCCCACCTCAGCCTCCAGAATAGCTGGGAACGCAGGTGTGCACCATCACGCTCAGCTAATTTTTAAATTATATGTAGAGATGGAATCTCCCAATGTCCTATAGGTTTTCTGTCCTGAAAAAATGAACTTCTCTGAATCTTGTACCCAATCGTAAAATGCTTCAATACCAGCCCTGTAGGGAAAGTGACAATGTCTAAAAATGCCTGGAGCAGTGCCTGGCAAAAAAGTGTAAAATAAGTGCAACAAAAATAAATATTTGTGCCGCAGATTTGGGTACTGTTTCCTGAGTCTACATCATTTCCACAGAGACCCCAAGCTCCTTAAGAACATTCCTTTGCTTTCTCTGTATCCTCCACAGCTGTCTAGAGCAGCCGACCACCCAGCACGTGCTCAGTGAGGCACATGCAATCAACCTGAAATATGGTAGGCCTGGTCCTGTGGCCCTGTGGCCCTGAAACAGGTTTGAGCTCCAAAGAGTGAATTAGAGGCTGGGTGTGGTGTCTCACACCTGCAATCCCTCAAACCTGTGTGCTTGGCTTTTCTTAGGCTCTGCGGAAGCCAGTGGAGTAGAAGCCCAGTGTTTCCCTGCACCTACAAATAGTCTCCGAGGCTCTTGTAATGGGCTGCAAGTTTCCTAGACCCTGTTCAGGGTGTTTCTGGGATACTTTTCATAGATTTGTTATCCCAGGATGAAGACTTAAGCACCTTATAACTCTCTTCCCCAAGACAGGACTAGGAAACTGCATGGTGGGAGGTTAAATAACAGCCAGTGAACTGCTGACAAGCATGAGTTTGCATCAACAAATCTCAACCTGGCCTGGCTCCCTAGATACCAGTGTGTGTTCGTTACCCTTCTTTGGTTATAAGGAGGAGAAGCATACTCACTGGCCATAAAAGGTCCATTGCCTTCAAGCTAAAAGCTTAACTTCTTAGCACGACATTCAAGACCCTTCTGATCTGGCTTCTGCCTGTTTCATGGGTTTCATCTCCTTCTCTTCTACTCACACTCCTCCCTCACCAATGCAGCGCACACCTAACGCACCTATGCACATGTGCACACTATTTGTGTATAGGCACCCTATGTTCTAACCATGTTCAACTTCTTGGAGTCCCCCAAATTTATCATATCCTTCCATGTTTGGAGGCCTTTCTAGATTATTTTCCCCTCTGTCTTCTGATTCACTCCAATTCACTCTTTTTTTTTTGAAACAGAATCTTGCAGGAGAGCACTGGTGTGATCTTGGCTCACTGCAACCTTCACCTCTCAGGTTCAAGCAATTCTTGTGCCTCAGCGACTCGAGTAGCTGGGATTACAGGCACGCACCACCACACCCAGCTAATTTTTGTATTTTTAGTAGAGACAGGTTTTGCCATATTGGCCAGGCTGATCTGGAACTCCTGACCTCAGGTGATCCACCTGCCTTGACCTCCCGAAGTGCTGGGGATACAGATGTGAGCCACCACGCCCAGTCTCTAATTCATTCTTTGGAACTCGGTGTCGTTGTTTTTTTGTTTGTTTTTGAGAGAGGGTCTTGCTCTGTCACCCAGGCTGGAGGGCAGTGGCATGATCATAGCTCACTGCAACCTCAACATTTTAGGCTCAAGCAATCCTCCCACCTCAGCCTCCCATGTAGCTGGAACTACAGGTGTGCATCACCACACCCAGCTTATTTAAAAAATGTATTCTGTAGGGATAGGGTCTCACTATGTTGCCCAGGGTGGTCTTGAACTCCTGGGCTCAAGTGATCCTCCCACCTAGGCCTCCCAAAGTGCTGGGATTATAGGCATGAGCTACCAAACCCGGCCCCAGTGTCAAGTTTTTAATAAACCTTCCTTGGCCCTCCAGAGCTGACTCGGATGCCTCCTGTCACGTGCCCTTGGCATATGGACCCACCGCCCATAGCACTCACCACACTGCTCTGTCTCTATTGCTGAACTTGTTTATATTCTTTATTGGATGGCAAACTCACTAGGGGCAAGAGCTATATTTTATTCACCATGGTATTGTCACATTTTGTTAGAACTCAAAATTTTTTTGAATGAGTGAATTTTCCCCTAAATATGTTCCTTTTGTAGAAGCAATACAATGAAGTTAAGAACATGAGCTTAGAATTTTGAGTCTCAGTTCTGCCACTGACTAGCTAAGTAACCTTAACCTCTTTGAGACCTGCATAGTTTATTGAGAGAAGGGACAGCTTGAAATCCTGCTCTCTTGGCCCCAGGCTCAGCAGGACCTGTGTCCACATAGGGTCAACCAGCAGAGGACCTAAACTGAGATGCCTGGCTAGGGACACTAGTCACCAAAGAGACAGGGCAAGATTTTCCTCCTTCTTGCAGACCTCTGCGGTTTAAACGAGACTGCTCCATATCTGCTTGTCCTTTAGGGGTTTCGTGAAGTGCTGCCTTGATTCAGTTTATTTTCTCTAATCGGCCTTTAAAAAGAACAAGGGTTAAACTCTATGGTTTGAAAAGTAGCAAAAAGAGAAAGACATAAGAATCCACCTACATGTCTAGACATGCCTGTACTATAGCTCTCACTCCATACTCTATTTTTTTAAAACTTTTATTTTGAAATCATTTTAGACCTTTCCCGCTTAAATCGTCTTCTTGATTTGGAATTGGTTTTT
The DNA here is from genome assembly GCF_000001405.40 of Homo sapiens. NCBI lineage: Eukaryota > Metazoa > Chordata > Mammalia > Primates > Hominidae > Homo > Homo sapiens. Next base: position 73,175,475 of record NC_000008.11, on the reverse strand, counting down.
CATCAAAAAGTAAGTGGTGTGAGATAAATAGTGTCCCGGAGACTTTATTTTTTCTACTACTAATAAGGAATTTTCCAAGGACAGTGAGATACAGGGATCATCTACAGAACCCGGACAGGACACAGCAGAATTCACCCATTCCTATCTCCTTGGTTAATATGTCTGTTGCCAGCATGCGTTGAACTGGGGCCCAAGCAAGTGATTTCAGTTGTTGATTCAAAACTCACTGAATTTCAAGTTTAATATTGGTCTGCCTGGTTACTGTGGCCAGAAACCTTAAATAGAAAATAAAGACAAGGTGGATTATTGGTCTCCAATTGCCCCTCAAAAGCAACCTTCGTCTTTGATTGGGTTTTTATGTGGATACTCTCTCCCCATTATGGTGTTCAATACCCCATGCCCTGCACGCCAGAGCTGACTTACTGGCAGGAGGGTGCTCACTAGCCTTGGGGGATAAGCTTTTAATCATCTACAAAGAGCAGTTGGCCTTCTCTAAAAACACTTCAATAAAGCGAGATTCAGCCCTCAGTCGGCTCAGCCCTTGTCAGCCCCAGGCTTCCCTGTGCCAAAATGCATCGAAGCCAGAAATGGAGGTCAAAAAGTTGCTCAGCGTTGGCCATCCTGCTTGCCGGTTTTTTTGTTGTATGCTGATTAAAATATAGGTGAATGTTGGCTAGCTTCTTTCTTGCTCCTATAAATACGGTCATGTCAGTTTTCATTCCTTTCTTCTCTGTCTGGCTTTGCCAAGACGGTTTTGCCAGAGGATGAAGAGGCTGAACTCATCAGTAGAGCTGTCGGCTTACAAGAGGGATTCCCGGTGTCCCAGACGATTAGTGCTGATGATGCACATCAAGAGGATGGTGTTATGAGATCATCCGGGAACTGGCCGGACGGATCAGGACAGTCAGGGCTTTAAACCCTTTCCTCTGGCTTGTCTGAGTGCCTCCAACGGCAGCTGCGCGCTGTGTCCACTAGATGGCGCAGTGACACAGGCCCACACCAGGGGGACGTCTGGGAAAGCAGGGAGCCGAGGATGAACTCACCGAAGCTCTCTCCGCTGCTGGCTCTATTTCTCTAAGTCTCCATATACATGCCGTAAAAATTGTGTGGATTTTGTAAAACGCCGTGGACAATAATTAATGGCAAGAAGCCAAAGAAATGCAAAAATAGCCCTTGATTATGCAGGAGCAATGCCTTTTTTTTTTTTTTTTTTTTTGACGGAGTCTCGCTCTGTCCACAGGCTGGAGTGCAGTGGTGCGATCTCAGCTCACTGCAGCCTCCGCCTCCCAGGTTCAAGCGATTCTCATGACTCATCCTCCCGTGTAGCTGGGCTTACAGGCGCCTGCCACCACGCCAGGCTAATTTTTTTTTTTTGTATTTTCGTTAGAGACGGGGTTTTGCCCAGTTGCCCAGGATGGTCTCGAATTCCTGACCTCAGGTGATCCACCCGCCTCGGCATCCCAAAGTGCTGGGATTACAGGCGGGAGCCACCGCGCCCGGCCAGCAATGCCACTTAAAGTGGATCTAATCATCTCTGATACTTAGAAAATGTATCCTAGTATTTGGCGGAAAATAACATGGCTTAAACAGCATTTACGTTTTGCCTGGTGCTGTCTTCCCATGCCTTATCTGCATTAACTCATTTAACCCTTATAATAACCTCTGAGGGAGGTGCTATTAATATACTAATTTACAGATAGTAAGATCCAGGTATAGAGAAGTTAAGTTACTTGCCCAAAGTCACAGGGCTAGTTAGTGCTACAGGTGAGACTCAAACCAAGGGAGTTTGACTCCAAAGTCCAAGCTCTTAATGACTGTACTAAAATAGAAGTCTGGGAGCTCTGCATGGGTGAAAAAGAAGCCTTTCAGCTTTCTTATTACTAAGGAAAGAGCTTCGCTTCTAGACTTCTTCATCCCTAACATCCCCCCGCTTTAATATTACAGCATCGGGACGTCACTGAGATATGTCAGTGTTAACCAGAATCCTCATGTTCTAATTATACAGCAAATGTCATCATCCCTACAGAAATAATGTCAGAGGAATATCATATTTTTGTCCATCTGTTTAAAAGAACATTTACAAAAATCTGCCTGGTGGATTCTCATTCTGATTTTTATTTACAGATAGGAAAATAAATGTGCTAAGTCATTTGTCCACTTAAGGATACACAGGCTGTGGCTAGATAACTTACTCCAATATTCATTCTTCCAGCTTCCATTTCTTTTTTGTGTATTTTATTTTATTTTTATTTTTTGAGGCAGAGTCTCATTCTGTCGCCCAGGCTGGGGTTCAGTGATGTGATCTCAGCTCACTGCAACCTCTGCCTCCTGGGTTCAAGCGATTCTGCTGCCTCAGCCTCCCGAGTAGCTGGGATTACAGGCATGTGCCACCATGTCCGGCTAATTTTTTGTGTTTTTAATAGAGATGGGCTTTACCCACGTTGGCCAGGCTGGTCTCGAATTCCTGGCCTCAAGTGGTCCACCTGCCTTGGCCTTCCAAAGTGTTGGGATTATAGGCGTGAGCCACTGCATCCGGCCATATCTTCCATTTCTTTAATGAAGTCTACAGGACATACACAATGTGAGTGGCCCAGGACATGCACAATGTGAGTGGCCCAGGACGTACACAATGTGAGTGGCCCTGAGGATGAAGACAGCAAGGGCAGATTTGCCACTTTACACCATGCACAGTTTGATAGAGGAGGCAAACACCTCAACACGTCATCAAAAGCCGTGCTGTTGGGGCTGTCCCAGTACTTTAAACAGTTCAGAGAGGGGCTGCCTCACTCTGCTAGGGATCAGCCTCCACAACAGATGGGGTCCTTGAGTTGAATCATGAAGGATGAGCTGGGACCCCCACGGGTAAACACAGGGGGAAAGAACAGGGTGTGAAAATGGTTGGAGTTTGGAATGGCTGTTGTGCTTTGGCTGGAAGACCTGCAGAAGATGAATCTCAAAAATTCCCAAAGACCAGGCACAAATGTCTCCATGTTTTGAGCTTTCTTCTGTAGCTGACAGAGAGCCACAGCAGGCTTCCTGAGAAGAGATTAAGTCATTAGGTTTGTGTTTAAGAAGAGGACTCTGGTCTGAAGGATGGACTATGGGTTGGGGGGCCATGGCTAGAATGGACACAGGGTCCAGTTAGGAGGTTTTGTGATCATCCAGATGAACTAAGACAATTAGGGTAGGGGATGCTGAGTGGGATGGAGAAGAAGAGTGTTAGGAAAATTTCAAAGATACTATAAATAGAGCCTTTATATTCATACATATATATATATATATAGTATACACATACATAATAATTCATGCAAATATGTATATGTACATACAATACTATTTTAGAGCCAGTTTTATCCCACAAAGGGTTTGGGATAGCAGCACAAGACTCGATAACCACCAGATAAACATAGGGACCAAGGGAGAAGAAAGCATCCAATAGGACGCCCCGTCTTTGGCTCTTTGGCTTGGACGACTGGGTGGAAGGTGCTCCCTTAATCAATAAAGGTCATGATGGAAAAGATGCAGTGTTCAAAGGGATGGCCAAAGTTGTTTGTGTGTGTGTGGTCTTTTTTTTTTTTTTTTTTTTTGTGATAGGGTCTCACGCTGTCACCCAGTCTGAAGTGCAGTGGTGCAATCATGGCTCACTGCAGCCTTGAACTCCTGGGCTCAAGCAATCCTCCCACCTCAGCCTGCTGAGTAGCTAGGTAGGACAACAGGCATGTACCAAGATGCCCAGGTAATTTTATTCTTTGTAGAGGCAAGGTTTCACCATGTTCCCAGGCTGGTTTTGAACTCCTGGGCTCAAGTGATCCTCGTGCCTCAGCCTCCCAAAGTGCTGGGATTACATGTGTGAGCCACTGTGCTCGGCCCAACGTTGCATTTCAAATGGGAAGTCTGAAGTGTTGTGAACAATCAAGCAGCTATCAGGAGAAAAGCCAAGGTTGGAAGTGTAGAATTTGGAATTGTCAGAATATTAGTGTAGACAGAGACTGTGAGGGTGGACGTCATTATGGACTCTGATGAAAATGTGAACCATTGAGTTGTTTCCAAATATTTGGCTGTTTGGTATCTCATAGATCTGACTGCATTTTCCCCCTTTTCATCAGAAGTTAATATCATATAGAAAACTTCAGTGAGTAACAGTAGAACTGAGCAAAAGATCCAGTGTTTCCAGGATTCTTTTGTTCTGTTTTTTCTTGTGCCCAAAGTCCCATGCACCTTTTATACTCAATGTTCTTCCCAAGGTAAATCAAAGACTGGTGTGGAGGGAAAAGCCTTGAGATTTCAACCAGATTGTTGGCAGATTCTACATAAAACTCTACCTCCAGTGCCCAAGTAACGCTCTGGCTTTTTGCAGAACTGGAGAGAACATGTTTTGCTGGCAGGTGAAGAAAGGGAGGGCCTCAAGCTTGCATTTATTTTAAAACTGTGTAAATGTTTAAAATATGATATGTAAACTTGCCGTCAGACCACTTTTCACTTTAAGCACCCTTGACAGTTAACCATTAGGTTTCTCGGGGGTGGAGGAAGCTCTCTGGGTGTTCTTTGGGAGAAGACAGCAAAAAGGCTGCTTTCTAGGTGGTACAAGTTTTGCCATCTGCTTTTGGCTTTGGCAAAACAAAGGAATTGAAGGCACTGTGCCAGCACGTGGGTGAAATTGAATAGAAGAGGCCTTGTTCCTCCAAGGTCAGAGCTTTTACTGTGGTGACAAATAACTCCCAAATCTGTTTCCCAAGAGCAAATCCTCATGTCTCCATCACAACACTCAAGAGCAGCAGATGGACTACAGCTCTGTTCCAGGCTGTGGGCCAATTCTGGGTCTCCTTTTCACATCTTCTCGAATCTTCTTGTTCTGGAACAAAGGCTGCAGGAGCAGCATGCAGCCATGGCAGAGAGCAGCAGTGCAAGAGGCGGAGCCACGGCACATGCATTCACTTCAGGTTGCTGCTCAGGCGAGCCTGCGTCATGGCCCCCCGTATCCTACTGGCCAAAGCAAGTCTCACAGACAACCCCATAGTTGTTGGAGGCAGGGATGTGATATGAGGAAGGAGGAAGGCGATGCTTGAGCATAGCTGTTCTGTCTGCCACCATTAGTCATTCATTCGTTCATTCATTCATCAAATATTTCTTGAGTGCTAACTCTGTGCTAGCACTGTATCAGAAATTGATCTATAGAAGTAGACCGATCTGCCTCCTGCCCTTGGGGAGCTTGCAATCTAGTATGGGACACAAATAATAGAACCAGCAATTATAATGAAGGCTGAGCCCAGTTCCAGATTCCAGATCCCTTAAAAGGGTAGTGGAGCAACATAGCACTGAATGACCACCATGAACTTTTAGGGATAAATCACTCCAGAATGTTATCATACCAAGGCCTGTAAACTTCTCTAGAACCTCTTGGTGTGTTTCTATTCACCCGTGGCCTTGGACCTGATGGCTATGTAAGAACACATGTAAAAGATAAGTGTGAATGAATCAACGTTTTTCCACTGATGGGATGGAAGATGGGGAGGGGTGGTGGAAGGCTTCTGTTCTTGAAAAGTCTACTCAGGTCACTAGTGGCCTCCTGGGACTATTTATGGCCTTGTTTGCTGAAATAATGTCAAGTCTAGCATGTTACCTGCCTTGATATCTTTTATCCCACTTGCCATCTGCAAACCCAGACCCACCTGCCTTCCTAGTCTGCTCATGTCCTGAATCAGTAAGGACTTAAACAGATTCAGCTCTGTTTTCGGGGGCTGAGGATCCAGTTACTGTTGGGTACTTGCCTCCTTGACTGGCTGCCCCAGCCTTGAAAACTGGATTCCTGCTGCATCCCTAAGCTTTCTTTATAACTTCTCAAACTCTGCCACACTGTTCTGACCCATCCTTCCCAGGCTTCCACCCAGTGATTCCCTGTATATCTGTTTGATCCCCAGTTCCAGGGTTAATAACTGCCAGCACTCATTCAACATCTTTACAGAGTGGTATCTCTCACAAAGCTCCTCCCTGTGGGTTCCACTTCTCCTGTGGCCCGCTTGATCTCGGGACCAGGAGACAGACAGAGTGTTCTCCTTACATCCCAGTGTGGCCTCCTATACCCTGGTGACACACTTTGCTCCTTTGCAAGGAGAAATTCTTGGTTACATTTGTGTGGATGGCTTCACTGGTCTTCAGGGAAGCCCCTGGCAAAGGGTAGCTGCTGCTCTGCTCCACACTCACTGCTTGGTGCAACCAAACTACTGAGAAGGTATTGAGGAGTGGGTTCATGCATACGATGTGCAGACGGTGGCCAGGGAGGGGATGGCTTTGAAGTAGGGCAGACCAAGGATTTCCTCCGTGACTCGTTCACCTTTTCCATGAGTTCTTACACAGACATCGGGTCCAAGGACATGGGTGAATAGAAACACATCCAGAGTTCTGGAGAAGTTTGTACAGGGCTCACCGAGGCTGAAAGCAAGCCAGCCAAGTGGGGAAGCAACTCAAGTGCCCTGTCTGCAAAGCTTTACTGAGATTTATTTGGAAAGTTATGGTCTCTCCCACAACGAATCTGTAGATTGCCTTGCTCTGATTACAAGAAGAACGTTGAGGTCTTCATTAACAGTCATCATCAGATTCCTTCTCTCCTTAAGGAGATTAATTAGGTAAATTTCATTACAGTAACATCAAGTTTCTTGGAAAGAAACCATTCAACTTGAGAATGACTTTGCGTTTATATCTGGAAACAAAGCAATGTGAGTGTTTACAGTGAAGAACATGAAACGTTAGGTTTTAATAGATGTTGATGTCATTCTTGGCCTCCTGCAAATGATATAAATGACTCTGTGAAGAGGTAACACATTGTTAAATGTAACCAAAATGCGAAGAAAGAAGTGAAATGTACACACATGACGTTCAGCCCTGCCTCCCACTTCCCTCCCCTGACTTCGCCATCTGAGCTGAACCAGAAAACCACTTCCCTCCCCTGCCTTCACCATCTGAGCTGAACCAGAAAACGGCAGCTGACATGCCCCATCTGTCAGATGTCAAAGAGAGAGATGGAGGACTCTCTCTCGTCCTGTTTAGTGGGCTGATGGTCTAGAATTTCCAAAGGGGAGCCCAAATGGCCAAGGAAAGAGAGGCCAGGTTCAGACCTGGCTCTGCCACGACTTGTCTGACCTTGGACCAATCACCCCCTCTCTGGGCCTCAGTTTCCCCACATATGAGCTGAGAAGTCTGAACTCACAGGCTTCCAGCAATCATCATAAAACTGCTGAGAGAATAACTTTCCCACCATTTGGGTAGATTGTACAATATGCAGCCATTTGACAACTACCCTTTCAGCCCCAAGGGAATATAGAAGCTTTTTTTTTTGGTTTTGAGATGGAGTCTCATTCTGTCACCCAGGCTGGAGTGCACTGGTGCGATCTTGGCTCACTACAACCTCGCTTCTCTAGTTCAAGTGATTCTCCTGCCTCGGCCTCTGAGTAGCTGGGATTACAGGCACACACAACCACGCCTGGCTAATTTTTGTATTTTTAGTAGAGATGGGGTTTCACCATGTTGGCCAGGCTGGTCTCAAACTCCTGGCCTCAGGTGATCCACCTACCTCAGCCTCCCAAAGTGCTGGGATTACAGGTGTGAGCCACCGTGCACAGCCAGAATATGGAAGCTTTGAGTCTGAGTCCTTGAACCTGCCCAGGTGGCCAATCTGTGGCTGACCTCAGTGACAGTCCAGGGCTAGGACAGTGTTGAAACTCTGCCGCTCTGCTCCACACTCACTGCTTGGTGCAACCACAGTTGTTGAGGAGGTATTGAGGAGTGGGTTCATGCACACATGGGCCCGTGGTGGCCAGGGAGGGCATGGCTTTGAAATACGGCAGACCACGAGTTTCCTTAATGACTTGTTCACATTTATCTTCTCCATGAGTTCTTACATAAACATCAGGTCCAAGGCCACAGGTGAACAGAAACACATCCAGGGTTCTGGAGGAGTTCTGTCAGCTCAGAGACAGACTGTGTCAAAGCTTGCTCTTAGGACCTGCTGCCCCCACCCCGCTCTGTCCTCCATTGGTTTTGCCAGTTTTCAGAGTGTCACCCTATGTGACTCATTCTCACACCATTGCCAGGTGGGCAGGGCAAGTGTTACGTAGCATTGCTAAATGGAGCTCAAGTGTGTTAAGGAAATTGAAATTTAGACACAGCATACAATTTCTTCCATAATGCTGGGGAGAGGGGCGTCTCTCTGTGATCTCTCAGTACCCCTAAAGCCATTCTGCACAGCAGCTTTGGATGATTGGATGACTTTGGGAAGAGTTAGGCAAGGTCCAGAGTGATCTGTATATCTGATTTCCCCTAATAATTAATTAGTTAGTTTGTTCTTCTGTGGAGGCTTTAGGACCTGGCTAAGCTTTTAGTCGTCCTCTAGATCAGGGGTCACTAACCCCCAGGCCATGGACTGGTACTGGTCTGTGTGTGGCCTGTTAGGAACTGGGCCACACAGCAGGTGAGCAGTGGGTGAGTGAGCATTACTGCCTGAACTCCACCTCTTGTCAGATCAGCAGTGGCATTAGATTCCCACAGGAGCATGAACTGTATTGTGAACTGCACATGTGAGGGATCTAGGTTGTGTGCTCCTTATGAGAATCTAATGCCTGATGATCTGAGATGGAACAGTTTCATCCTGAAACAATCTCCCCTGTGTCTGTAGAAAAATTGTCTTCCATGAAACCAGTCCCTGGTGCCAAAAACGTTGGGGACCACTGCTCTAGGCCCCCACGTGACCTGAGTGCTAAACTGGACTTTCTATTTAAGACGTTAGAGGGTCTGTCTCTGAGGTTCCTCCTCCACCGTTTCTGACCTAAAATGTGTATGGATGGAACACGAATAATCAGAGACATGCTAGGACTCCACGGGCCTCCGAACAGATTTGCCTGGGCCTGGAGAGTCCAGGAGATACCCGCAGGCTCTAAGGCATTTGGACCTTCCAAGGAAGCAGGGATGTTGGGCATTTTTGCACTGACTACACACGCCCTCAAAATACTGTGCTCTGTTCTGGACTCAACAACTTATGAGTGACAGGAAAAAGTAAGATGAAAACTCAGAGGTAAGCCACAAAGATGAAAAAGTAGATTGGTAGATGTTATTTTTGCATGAAGATGGAAAAACTAGGAAGAGGCCATTTTGGAGAGAAAAAGTCAAGGGGAAGTTCGGGAATAATCTTCAAACACGTAAAGTTTATTTTACAAAAACAGGAGGCCATTGCTGTCCACGGAGAAGGGAACGAAGAGAGACGTGCATGCACTCTTGGCTGGGCGGATTCAATTAGCAAGAGGAAAACTGTCTTGCCAGCTAGAATGAGTGTCTGAAAGTTGTAAAATGACCTTCTCTGGCACCCTCCTAAGCAGGGTGGATTCTCCTCTTGCTAGTGAGTTTACGAGTTGAAGTCCCTGACAGTAGCAAAAGGGCTAGATCAGACATCCCATTAGCACTCACCCCAGTGGTTGTAATTTTTCACTGAAGACCAAATAAAATCTTTAGATTTGTAGAAAATGGCATCAAGAGAGCAAGAACATTAGAGAAAAAGGAAAATATTTGAACTGTCAGCTCCAGGAATTGTAAGCACAAGAGCTGGGATGCAGGGCCAGTGCCCTGGAACATGTAAAAGCCCAGCTTTGCTTCCCTCAACTATTTCTCAAACTGTTTACAAGATGGAATTAGCTATTCTTCCAAGCTTCCAGAATTCTGTGATTGTGAGTGCTTTTTACTTAAACATTTTTTAAAAATTTTTTTATTTTTATTTTTGAATTTTCATAATTTGGTGACAGAAATTGTTTCATTTTTATTTTTTGGAGACGGAAGTCTTGCTATGTTGCCCTGGCTGGTCTCAAACTCCTGGCCTCAAGCAATCCTCCCACCTTGGCCTCTCAAGTGGCTGGGCCTGCAGGCGTGCACCACCACACTTGGCTATGAGTGCTTTTTAAAAAGAATGGTTTGAATTTGTTTATATAAGCTACATAGGAATGACTCATTGTCCAGTCCATTGGCCACTCTGGAAGTGAAAAAAGAAGAAATAAGACTGTTTCGGTATTGAAGACCTAAACCAACAGTGAGGCTTGACTTTGCTGCGAGTTGCTTGATTTTCATGTGTGTGCATGTGTAAATAATAGCTGGTACCACTCTGAGCTGTGTTTCTCATTGTAGGGTTGGCTCTTAGTACTCTTGCGATGTAAGTCACAGCAATGTGCTGTGCTGAAACGGACAATGGACTCCATCACTATGAAACGGACAATGGACTGTCTCCATCACTAGGAACTGTGTGATCTTGGGCAAAGCCACCTAACTTGCAGAGTTCTGGTTTGCCTATCTCTAAGATGAAGTCTTTAGAATAGACTAGTGTTTCCTAAATGTCAGGCAATTGTCATTAAAGTCACATGTTTACCTTCCAACTACTACCTGTACTTTTATATTAATATTTTCTTTACATTAACTCATTTTAAAATTAGATAAATATACTTAAAAGGTAATTTTGTATCTTATTACACAAGGAATGCTACACTACTTGCCATAAGTAGAAAATAAATGCAAAGTAAACACAATGAAAATAAAACAATGTTATTAAATTCTAGCTAGTAACTGCTGCTTGCCAAAGACTGAGCCTGAGGCCTGTGCTCTCTCTTTACTAAAAGGAGATTCAGAAGTGTTAGAAACATATTAAAGATATATTAGTCCCCCCTCCAAAAAAAAAAAAGATATATTAGTCCCAAACTGATACTTTCTCTTTGACATAATCATGAGGGTTGAAAGGAACTTACAAGGCTGGCTAAATCTTTTTTAAGAAAACTTTTGTTTTGAAGTGATTTCAAATTTAGGGAAATTCGTAAGGACAATACAAAAGAACTCCTGTAGATCTTTTAGTCAGATTTACTAGTTACTAGTTCTGGCCATATTTGTTTATCATCCTCTTTTTTTTTTTTTGAGACGGAGTTTTGCTCTGTGGCTGAGGCTGGAGTGTAGTCACACAATCTTGGCTCACTGCAACCTCTGCCTCCTGGGTTCAAGCGATTCTCTTGCCTCAGCCTCCTGAGTGTCTGGGACTACAGGCATGCGCTACCACACCTGTCTAATTTTTTTTTTTTGTATTTTTAGTAGAGACAGGTTTCACCATGTTGGTCAGGCTGGTCTCGAACTCCTGACCTTAAAGGCTCTGCCCGCCTAGGCCTCCCAAAGTGCTGGGATTACTGGCATGAGCCACCACACTTGGCCCTCTTTCTTTCTGGATATATACTTGTAATTTATTTCTGAACTTTTAAGCAGGCTGCATATACTATACCTTTAATAACTCAATATGTGTTTCCTAATAACAAGGATATCCTCTTTTATAACCACAGCGTAATTATCATGTTCAGGAAATTTAACTTTGATGTGGTACTTCTGCCTGACTGAAGTGTATAATTCAATTTTGTCAACTGACCCAAGAACATTATTGATAGCCTTTTTTTTTTTCCCCCAGACCAGGAACCAGTTCAGATCATGTTTTGCATTCACTGGTGCTGTCTCTTTAGTCTTTTTAAGCCTGGAACAATTCCTCAGCCTTTCCTTGTCTTTCGTGATGTTGACATTTTTGAAGAAGGCAGGCCTAGTTACTTTATAAATTGACCCTAAATTCCTGGTTGTCTGATGTTTTATCTTGATTAGCTTCAGGAAACACTGGTATGCTTCTGATTTGCTAGTATTTAATGCCATGTCGATGTCCCTGTGAAATCCTTTCTTGTGTGATCCTGACAGCCACCCTATGCTTGGCTGACCCTGAAAGAGATCATCTCCATGTTAACTTTTATTACTATCTTTCTGAAGAAATCCAAATGCTAATATTGACCAAATCACATTATCTAAAATAAATCATATCATCCACAATATTTCATGTTGTTTCTGGTGCTACCAGATATTGTATAGACAGCCTAGAACTTCAAAAGAAGCTCTTTCTTTATACCTCTGTCTACAACAAGGATCCATGATGCTTTTCATTTGGGAGTCAGGAATGGCTGGGGAGAAAGAGTAAAGAGAAAGATGCATGAGGCCAGGCACGGTGGCTCACACCTGTAATCCCAGCACTTTGGGAGGCTGAGGCGGGCAGATCATCTGGGTTAAGGAGTTTGAGACCATCCTAGCCAACATAGTGAAACCCCATCGTCTGTACTAAAAACTACAAAAATTAGCTGGGTGTGGTGGCAGGTGCCTGTAATCCCAGCTACTTGGGAGGCTGAGGCAGGAGAATCACTTGCATTCGGGAGGTGGAGGTAGCAGTGAGCTGAAATCACGCTACTGATCTCCAGCCTGGGCGACAGAGGGAGTCTCAAAAAAAAAAAAAAAAGTAGATGGTTGTAGCAGTGATTTGTGCTCAAAGTGGCCTCTGTTGCGTACAGGCATGGAAAATAAATAATGGGTGAGAGATGGTCCCTGGTGAGGAATTATCTGGGTCAGAGTAGACGTCTTCACAAGCAGTTACAGAGGCAGACAGCAGCTGGTGGCCAAGAAGTATGACTCAAGTCTGTCACCGTGTCTGCTATATGAAGAATCTTTGTAGTTAAAAAAATATATGTTTAGAGACAGAAAACCAACTCAAACTGGCATAGGTAAAAAGAATAATTTATTGGCTCATTTATTAGGCTTCAAGAATAGTGAGATCCAGGAGCTCAAACGACATAATCAGGACTGTCTCTCCGCTCTACCTTTTTCCATGCCAGCTTCTTACTCAAATAGGCTCTTTCCATTTGGATAGAAAAAATGGCCCTGTTTGGCTTACACAATTGTCACAATCTTAGGAGAGACCCTCTTGTGCCTGTTGGTCTTCCAAAGTGCCCTCTGAATAACCCTCCCTGGGTCAAAAGTTTATCACCCAACCCATCATTGTGTTTAGGAAGGGGGAATACTCTGGCCCGGCCTGTGTCCCCCACCTCCCATTCCCTGGGGAGTCAGGGCACATGACTGACAAATCCCCCAGGTGTGGGAGAGGCAGTTCCCCAGTGGAAAAGGTATTTTGTTTGTTTTTGTTTTTGAGACAGAGCCTTGCTCTATCACCTAGGCTGGAGTGCGGTGGCATGATCTTGGCTCACTGCAACCTCCGTCTCCCAGGTTCAAGCAATTCTCCTGCCTCAGCCTCCCGAGTAGCTAGGACTACAGACATGCGCCACCGCGCCTGGCTAATTTTTGTATTTTTAGTAGAGACGTGGTTTCACTATGTTGACCAGACTGGTCTCGAGCTCCTGACCTCAGGTGATCCTCCTGCCTCGGCCTCCCAAAGTGCTGGGATTACAGGCATGAGCCACTGTGCCAGGCCCCAGATGGAAAAGATATTAGTCAAGGAAACAACAAGCAGATATTCAGGACAGCAATGATGCAGTATGGAGGATGATTTGGTGAGTTCTCTGATGCCATATTAAGAAGGCTTGGTGCAGTGTAGCGATTAAAAGCCCAGGTTTTGGTCTGAATCCTTGTTCTACCATTCACTAGTTCTGCTGGTACTTGGTAAATTATTACAAAATAAAAGCTGAGAGAGACATATTGCAATAAAGCATATCAGGAAATTATTAGAATTTTTCAGAGTTTAGAATCACTGGTTTTGAAAATTGTCATAACATTGCAAAGCAGATATCCACAGGGTTAGAAACAGAAATTAAATTTTGATTATCACCCTTAATGGAAAATAACTTTATTTCCACATGAAGCTCTGGATGAACCAAATCTAGTACTAACAAGGAAGATAATTTTATAATTAGTTTTTCCTTGCCACTGAAGATACAATGATAGAATGTAAAAACAGGTGTCTTGAATTATATATAAATCATAAAGCTACTTTCAGTTTCCTGTATGACTTCAACAAGCTACAGGGAATGTCAGAGGAAACATTAAAACGCCACTGTATAAATTTGCATCAAAAATTAAACTCAGACTCACACAAAACTGATTTGTATGAGGAGTTAAATCTTTTTAGAAAATCTCTTCTGCAAAAATTGTCAGCTCTAGATGTACTAAAATTTGTATTTCAAAAAAATTAACAAATTTATCTCAAAGTTGTCAGACTATAAAATACTTTTAACAACTTAAGCAATGGTGACTTTAGTGGAAAAGTCATTCTCAAAATTAAGGATTGTCAAAAATTATTTGTGACCTTGCATTTGCCAAGAACTGACATCACTTTCAATTATACTGATTAAGAATGATGTTGCTAAAAGCAATAAGTGACCTAATAAATGAATTTGTAGAAAAGCATGTGAGAAAAATCTTATGATCAATCAAGATAACATTATTACAACATTAACGTGATAACAATATCGTTCCCCGTATTATACAAAATTGACCCTTTTTTGCAATTTATAACTTTGTTATTAATGCATTGCTATTACCCCATAGTACATTTTATAAGTAATAAAATCTTTTTAATGAATTATATTTTAGTACCTTTAACTGCACTTTTCCTCCTGCTTTTTGAATAAGGGACCCTACATTTTCCATTTTCACAAGGCCCTGCAGATTATGTAGCTAGCACTAGTTACATGCTATACTTTAGGTGCAAGTGAAGCTGGAAAAACGTAGTTTCAGCGGATTCTACCTTGGGAAGGAGGATTTCGTAAAGGAAGAAACCAACTAGTCAGGAATGATAGACTATCAGCTCCCCACCCACCTCACTGGCTGCCAAACCACTAACCATATTTATTTTCTCTTGGTTTAGGAGATCCCAGCAAAGTTTGAAAGAGGATGAGATTCAGTGCACTAAACTCACCATTCTAAGGATCAGCCACTTCCAAAGGCTGGGGTGGTGCATCAAAGAGAAGCCAGCTGTGCCCCAGCTCCGTGAGGGGTGGTTTCCCTAACACCATGTGGCCCCTTGGCTCCAACTCAGCTTTCTCAATGCCTGTGGGCATTTGTCTGCCTCCCAGAAGTTATTTTTGTGCGTGTGTACTCTTTGGTGATTTTCCAATTCTGTTTAATGCACAGAATAGATAACTACAAATATTTACCTCTCTCAAAGCTAGGTCCCAGGAAATTCTTACTGATTTGAAAAGGTTAGTGATTTAATCTCATGCCATTTTCATGTGAGCTGCATGACCGTGAGTAGTCCCAGAATTCTCCTCTGCAAATATCCTGAAAGAAAAAGAACAAATTGTTCTGAATTGAAGAATGAATTCCAACCTGCTAACCAGAAACCTCCTCTGAGAGACTTGGCAAAGATGCATCTGCTGTCAATGCTTGGATCTTTCTTTTTATGCCTCAAAGGATACCATAAACACGTGTGTGTGTGGATGGCCAGTTTCCTAAAATAAATCTCATGTCTCATTCTTGTCCAGAGACTGGCCATCAAGCTCCCTGAGAAAACATGGTCTAAAAAGGAAGAATGGCCAGTCGTGTACCCCTAGAAAGAGACCACTGAAACACAATTTTTAATGTTTTAGAGATCACCCAGACCAAGTCCTTCTGTTTAGAGATAAGAACCCTGTGCCCGTGAGGCTGCTTGTTGGTTAGAGGATGAGTTGTGGACTCCTGGGTCCTGATCCAGGGTTTATCTGTTTCTCTTCCGCACCATCCCGCCACTGCCAAAACAAAGGAAGCAGGTGTCCAAGTGTCATCTAAGGGGTTTAGAGTACCTGTTTATCCCAGGAAGGGGAGACTTCTGGGTCTCCCACAGCAGGGAGCATAAAGGAGGAAAAGTCAAGACTAGAATACTGCTGTTTAGATTTGCAACTGGAATACTGGGGCCAGGTGGAACAGAAACAGGGATTAGAAAATTGCTTCAGTTTGGGATTGAGAAGGTAAGAAAGTGAGTTTGTATGCCATTTTTGTGGGAGAGGAGGAAGGAAAAGGCACCTGACTTTGACATCCCAAGAATCTGTGTGTGCGTGTGTGAGAGTGTGTGTTAGTGTGAGTGTGTGTGTGAGCATGTGTGTGTAGGCATATTTGAGTGTGTGAGCATGTGAGTGTGTGTGTGTGCATGTGTGAGTGTGTTCAAGAGTGATGGTTGTGAGACCACAAAGCTGCCATGGAGTCCCAGCTCCACTGCTGACTGGCTGTGTGCTCTGGGCAAGTCAAATCAAGTCATCTCTCTATGCCTCAGATTCTTTAGTTATAAAGTAGGGAGAATTGCCAAAGTCACTTCATAGAAATGTGAGGATTAAATGAGATTATCTATGCAATGTGCTTGGAATAGTGCCTGGCACATGGTAAGTGCTCCATAAATGTGTGCTTTTATTATCACATCAGGTAGCATCTATGACCTAGACTTTTCAGGCTGTTAGTGTACTGCGACCCCTGTCTACCAGGTACGCTTCTCACCTGCTGTACAGAGATGTAACATCCACCCATCCAGATTGCATGTAAACACAACTATGTTTAGAAAGGGACAAGCTCACCTCCCAGCCCACTCCTCCATGTGGGGATGCCCACCTCCCTCACCCACCTCGGACCTGCCTCCAACAATGGTTGGCAGGGTCAGAGGTCCATGGACTGTGGCTCGTATCCCAGTCCCTAAATGAAGACATTGTCTCCTTTCAGTCAGGAGAGTTGTGTCTGCATTTACCTATGAAATAAGTCAGATCTTAGGATTTATTCCTTATAGCGGATTTTTAATAAAAAATACCTTTTGCATGACTAGAGCAACATTGCCATATTGAATTGATTTTTGTCCACCTGCAGCCTGGGGAGACCAACCTTGCTCCTTGTTTCTTCTTTCTCATGACTTTATGGGCCTCCTGGGTTTCCTGGCTTTTTTATATTGGTGACTCTAGCTACTGAAACGTCTTTACTACTTTCTTTTCTTGCTGAACTGACTGGGTACCTGGAATCCTGCCCTTCTGAGGCTCCAGAGGGAGGCAGAACAGCAGAGGGTTAGATGATCTGAGACTCTGGGTTCAGGAGAGATTCTAGCCTGAGGCAAGGGTAGAGTTAATCAATAAAACAAGAAACCCTGAAGGGGACAAAAGCCCACATCCAAAGATGGGAGAGAAGTGCATGGTGGCTGGAGGTGCCACATACTAGCCTCATGGGCTGAGCCACAGGGGCCCCTGGCTGGCTGTAGCTCAGAATGAAGAGCTGCTTCCACTGCTACCTGCTTGGACTGAAGTGATGGAGGCCTTCCAGTGGGGGCCCTGACCTCAGGCAGCCCCCAGAGGCCCACATCGCTGGTCCCAAAGGACTCTTGATTCTCACTGACCACTGCTCAGCGAAGGGCAACACCACTGGGGTGAACTGGGTGTCCTCAGGGGTTCCTGAGCTATGGACAACTGTCTGGTAAATCCAAATAGATTGGTGGGCCAGACACAGCAGCTCACACCTGTAATCCCAACACTTCGGGAGGCTGAGGCTAGCAGATCACTTGAGCCTAGGAGTTTGAGACCAGCCTGGGTAACATGGCGAAACCCCATCTTTACAAAAACTACAAAAATTAGTTGGGCATGGTGGTGTGCATCTGTAACCCCAGCTATATGGGAGGCTAAGGTGGGATGATGGCTTGGGCCCAGGCAGCAGAAGTTGCAGTGAGCCGAGATCGTACCACTGCACTCCAGTCTGGATGACAGAGCAAGACCCTGTCTCAGAAATAAATAAATACATAAAACAAAGAGATTTGTATTTAAAAATTAAAAAAATTAGATGAGTGGCATAGGGTTTGCAGCAGCTGTGGTGTCTGGGGCCTGACCTCATAGTGAGATGTATAGTCGAAAACTGAGGTTGCTGGCCATGTCCCAGGCGAAGGAAACCTGACTGTAGATCTCTGGCATTCTGAGTTGATAACTTTATAATATTGTTCCCTATCCTCTTAGCAATTCACTTCCTTACTCACCTATCTACTCATTCCAACACCTGCTGAACGTCTACCATGAGGCAGACACTTTGCTGAGCAACAGAGAAATGGAGAAAAGAACAGAGCCCTGTCCTCAGTCAGGTCTGCTGGGAAGAAATCTTAAGAGAAATCCTCAGTGCTTAGAAAATTGCAGATTAATTTCATGTGTCAACTTGGCTGGGCCACAGTAGCCACGTATTTCATCAAACATTATACTAGTTGTTTCTGTGGAGTTATTTTTTCGATGATGTTAACACTTACATCAGTAGAGTTTTAGTAAAGCAAATGCCTCTCCATAATGTGGGTGAACCTTACCCAGTCAGTTGAAGGCCCTAACAGGAAAGACTGAGCTTCCCTGAATAAGAGGGAATTCTGCCAGCAGATTGCCCTTGGCCTGGAACTGCAGCTCTTCCCTGGGTTGCTAGCTTGCCAGCCTGCCTTGCACAGTTTGACTTCCCAGCCTCCATAATTGCAAGAGCCAATTCCCTAAAATCCCATAAAATAATTTCTCTCTCCCTCTCTTTCTTTTTCTGTCTACACACACACACACACACGCATGCACGCACACGCACATGCACACACCCTATTAGTTCTGTTTCTCTAGAAAACCCAAACTAATAGGGGAATACAGCCTCTGTTATATTCCTCTCCTGATGACCTTTGCATTTTATTAAACAAGTTTGGCATGAACCCGGGAGGCGGAGCTTTCAGTGAGCCGAGATCGCACCACTGCACTCCAGCCTGGGCGACAAAGTGAGACTCTGTCTAAAAAAATAAAAAAACCAAAACCAAAACCAAAAACCAAAACAAGTTTTTTTTTTTTCCCCAAAGATGAAATACACATTGTGGAAAACATAGAATATACAAACAAATAGGCTGGGTGTGGTGGCTCATGCCTGTAATTTCAGCACTTTGGGAGGCCAAGGTGGGAGGATCACTTGAGGTCAGGAGTTCAAGACCAGCCTGGGCAACATGGTGAAACCCCATCTCTACTAAAAATACAAAAATTAGCCACATGCAGTGACACATGCCTGTAGTCCCAGCTACTCAGGAGGCTGAGGTGGGAGAAGCATTTGAACCTGGGAGGTGGAGGTTACAGTGAGCCGGGATTGTTCCACTGCACTCTAGCCTGAGCGACAGAGCAAGACTCTGTCTCAAAAAAAAAAAAAAAAAAAAAAAGAAAGAAAGAAAAAATAAAAAAGAAAGAAAATACAAACAAATAGTACAAAATAGCCTGTAAACATCCTGCTGGGTGTGCCTTTTTTTTTCCTATGCAAACATAGACATGTATACTCAACAACAAAATTTGGATCATGAAGCTTTATTCTGTCTTTTTTCAAAAACATGAATCATGAGCATTTTAAAAATCTCATTAAAATTATATGGAAAGATGTTTAGGGCCTGCCCACTCATCTGTTTTTGTTGGAAATTTAGGTTGTTTCCTATTTCCTGTTATTATAAATAGCTATGCAATGAAAGTTTTTCTACATAAATCTGTCTGCCTCTCGGATTATTTCCTTAGGGAAGATTCCTGGGAGGGGAATTACTGAGAACGTTTGCCTCATAAATGGGAGAATTATGAAAAATGGAAGGGGAAAATGCAATAAATTGAATGAACTGGGCTTCTGAACTCATTTTAATGGAGAAAATAAGAAACACCTGACCTCCTCCAGGGCTGAAGTCATGGTCATTAGTGTTATTTAGGGAGACAGTTGGGTATGGTAGAAAGAAGCCGATTAGGAGCCAGAGCTTGGGTTCTGGGCCTGCTTCGCTTCTCTGTACAGCCAGGAGCCCCATGTTTTGCTTCCAGTTTCTTCATCTATAGAGAGGAGATATAGTAATGACCTTGCCTACTTTGCAAGAGGTTGCGAGGGCCATTGATGCAATTGGTGTGAATGACCCCTCTCACCCACCTGGCCTTTCCTCCCCCTTCCAGAACAAGCAGAACCCTGCTGCTTCTGGGAAGTCTGTTTAGACTTTCTGAGGATAAATCAGTAGCCTCTTCTCTAACATTCTCCAACCTCTTTTCTATAGCGTATATAACGTGGCATTAAAATAACCACTTCACACTTCTATTCCTCTAGCTGGCCTGCGAGTCTGAGTCTTATTCATCTTTTCTCCCCACTGATGCTTAGTATAGCATCAGGCATGCCAGAGATGCCCTATTCACATTGACTAAAATAAATAGTAAAGAGCTACATGAGCATCATTCACAAACATTTATTAAGCACCAACGGTGTGTCTCTGAACTCAAAGCACTCACTCGACAGAAGAAGAAATATCGCATTTGCTGAGTGCCCAATCAGTTGTGTGGATGCTCAGCACTGCAGGAACTTGGGCAGAGGGAAGACATCACTGAGGGCCCAAGTGGCCAAGAAGTCTTCTCAGACCAGACCTGGGCCTCTGAGAAACACTGGCCTCGGACGAAGAGAGAATACACAAAGGTAACCCCCCTGCAAAGGGGATAGCATGAGCAAGGGTCATCCAGTGGTGTAATATGTGGTCTGGTATACAGTAGGGGCCTCGTAAATACTTGCTGAGTGAGTAAAGAAGAGCACAGTGCAGTGCATCACATTTTCTGAGAACAAGATGGCCTTTTTGCACCTTCCCAAAGAGACTGTCTATTCTATCAATGCAAAAATGACATGTCATCCAATAAATAGGAATGGAGTGTCTAATCACCTCATCAGTTTCCAAATACAGGTACAAACACTGTCCAGCTAAATTTCCTCAGTGCTGCTCACAAAATTACAGGTCCACGTAGCTGTGCATGCTCCTCCACTGCCTCCTGTGACCTCCCTGGGTCTGTAGCAGATCTATGAGGAGCAACTGGCTACTCTGTCAGCTTCTGTTGACAGAGCTTCCACGAGCAAGTGACATGAAACTGAGGTGTCATCCTGCCTGATTCACGGTTCCTGTAGACAGGTTTTTTTTTTTTCTTTTTTTTGAGACGGAGTCTGGCTTTATTGCCCAGGCTGGAGTGCAGTGGCCTGATCTTGGCTCACTGAAACCTCTGCCTCCTGAGTTCAAGTGATTCTCCTGCCTCAGCCTCCCAAGTAGCTGGGACTGCAGGTGTGCACGACCATGCCCAACTAATTTTTGTATTTTTAGTAGAGACAGAGTTTCACCATGTTGGCCAGGCTGACCTCGAACTCCTGACCTCAAGGGATCTGCCTGCCTTGGCCTCCCAAAGTGCTGGGATTATAGGCGTGAGCCAATTTTTTTTTTTTTTTTCTTTTTTAAGCCGCTCTGTCCATTCTGTTCTGGCTGACATGGCCCAGCCTTTTATTTGTGTCAGTCATGTTGCTTGCCAAAAATCAGAAATTGTAGGTGTTTATCACAAAATCATCAGTAATCATGTTGGACAATGTGTTTTATCTCTTGGCATCTAACTTTAGGTAAAAGCTTCAAACTTGTCTTGGAAATGGATGGGTCAGTAGACTGATGTTTTTTGGGTAAAATTAATTTCAGCTGTAAATAACATAGACCCTCTCCTCACCCCTTCTAAAAGGTAAACAAGGTAGTTGCTTAATTATTTCAAACATATAAGAATCCAGAACTAGGTAGTGGAGGGTGTGTGTTGACTTCATTGTCACCAGGGATACAAAGCTCCTCTTGCCTCACCGTCATCCATCCCTAGTGAGGCAGGAGAATAGGGTCTGGAGGCAGAGAACCTAAGGCTGTTTCAAGCTGACTTCCTAGATCTAAATCAAAAGGAAAACCCCAAATTTCCAAGCCCATGTAACAAAAGGACCAGAAGCCACTCCCTTTGCCACATCCCCCTTTTCTGTGTAGCATAGGAAAAATTAAAAGTACCTCTGATTTGTCCCCTCCCACAACCAATCAGGCTGGTCACAGGCCAAGTCTTCATTTGCATAGGAATATAACTTTGTACCTTCACTTCAACCTCTGATTGGTCACTTTCCACACCAATCAGATGTTTGCATAGGGTGTAATTTTGTAACTTTGCTTCAGCCTCTGATTGGTCCCCTCCCACAAGCAATCAGATTGATGGTGGCCACTACTTCATTTACATAGGGTGTACACCAAGTAACCAATGGGAGTGCATTTTGTTCAATTCTTTGTTCAAGACTCCAAGAACCTGGACACCCTCCACTGGTAACACTAGGACATGGCCTGCTTCTTCATGTCCAAGGTTAGCCATTTCAACCACTTCCCAAACAGCAGGGTGGAAGAAGTGAAGGGGGAGGGGTGAAACTCCTCCCTTTTACAAAACTTTCTGGAAATCCCACACAACCCTCCTGCTTACATCTCATTGGCCAGAACATAGTCAGATGGCCACACCTAGCTGGGAAAGAAAATAGGAAATGCTGGGTATTGTATTGCTGTAGCTGGGTGTTGCTGTCCCCATCTAAAAAATAGAGCTCAGTTAATTTGATAGAGGAGAGGATGGATATTTGATGGACAACTAATAATCTCTGCCTCAAACTTGATTTCAGCTATCATAATCTTTGACTCACTTCAGAAAGCAAAGCAACGATATAAATAAATGAAAGAAACATGCCAAAATATCATGCTTGGGAAAAAAACTTGTTTTCTGAATGCCAGGCTCTAAAATTTCAGAGATATTTAATCAAAAGTTTATAGCCCAATTTAGGGCACTGATGTGTCTAACACTCTAGCCAAATATGTATATGTGTATGTGTGTGTGTGTGTGTTTATGAAATATAAAATGTATCTGTTTATTTAAATTGTTAGAATGCCAATTAACATTTGAATAAGGCAACTTTTGCTTTGAAAGTTTGACAATGATTTGTAATTGTCCTATAGTTATATTTTTTCAGTGTTCATCATTTTAACATTATTTATTGTGAAATATACATGTAAGAAAGTGCAGAAAACGTGAACTTAACTTACTTTTAAATAGAGCTTTAGAGTGCCTCTTTATCATTATTTAGCTTGACCCTCTGGACAGCTCTGTGAGGAGGGAATGGGAGACATCACACTTTCTAAGTGAGGAAGCACAGAAGGGAGATGACTTTCATGAGGTTCGAAGACAGAGGTGGATTCAGAGCTTGAATCTACGTCTTCTGCCTCAGAGCCCCTCGCGTGTTTACCACATGCTGCCAGAGACTAGAAATTCCATGAAATCTGTCAGAGATAGAAAGAGGCGGCACAACTTTCTGGAAAATTATTGGTAAGTAAAAGTGAACAGAGAGGACTAGTAGTCGCTGTTCATATTGAAACATAAGATATCCCAGAGCTGTGGAGTCGATGCATCGTGAATTACCACTTGACATAAACAGTGCCTTAGTGCGAGGAACATTGCAAAGCAGCTCTCACAGATTTAAGATTTTACTATAAATGAAATAAAGGGGGAAAGAAGGACATATCTTTGGCAACCCTTTCTCCTTGTCACTATTTTTGGTTCCTCATCTGAAGAAAGTTTGAAAGATTTCCTTGTAAGGACAAAAGAAAAAAATCATGCCATGGCCTCGTGACCTCAGTAGAAACAGTCATGAGTGAATGAATATTTCTCTTCTCTAGCACTTGGGAAGAATTGGTGGCAGACTGTAAAGACTTCCCACCCACCCAAATGGCATAAACGAATGAAATCAGCCCAGCGATTTCAAAAGGCCGTCTCTGGGACTGATTAATCTCAGCATTTCAGATACAAAATGCCCCCGGGATTTGGATAAGAGTGCACCCAAAGAAGAAGGCAGCCTTTTCTTCCTTAAGTAGACATTGGACCCGAGCCCTTAGAAGAGATGTTTGGTGATATGTATTTGGTTTTCATAAACCCTTTCATCTATGGAATTTCTTCCAGATGGAGGAAAGAGGAGAAGCAATAAAGCAAATGTCTCCCTCCCGTGTTTTTGCAGATTAGTTGTAATTGTGTGAACAAGTCACTGAACAGTGAGAATAAGTATAATCTTTCTCTCACACAGGAGTCAACTGACCCAGCTCATTTATTTATTAAACATACAATGCTTACTGAGTGCCAGGTGAAGACTTTACAGATAGTAATTCATGTAATCCTCCTACAACCCTCTGAGGGAGGTATTATTTACAAGAAAGGAAACTGAAACACTCAAAGTTTAATTAACTGGCCCTAGTCAAAGAGCCTGTAAGTGGAACCAGGCAGGGACCATGCCCTGAACCACCATTTATTCTGTCTCTCATCTTCCTGTATAGGGAAGTCCAGGAAGAATGCCTATCTGAAGACAAAGTCACTTGGGAGCAGGGATTATGTATTTATTAGTTTCACTGCCTTATAGATATATAATATACATATATATGTATATAGTATATGGTGTAGAAAACTTATGCTTCTCTTAAAAAAGGAAGGAAAGAAAATAGGAAGGAGGGAGGCAGGGAGGGAAGGAAGGGAGGGAGGAAAAATGGAGGTAGAATCATTATATACCAGAAAGAGAATCCTGGTTTGGACATTCTCTCAAAGGCTGCTGAAGATGAAGCTATCCTCAGTGTCTTCATTTCTTTAAACCGGGAGGAAGGATTGTCACAACCAACCTGCTTTCACTATGAGTTGTTTATAAATATAAGTCAAATTAAATAATGTATATCAAAGCACTTTTAAAAATTCTGGTATATATGCTCAAGTATTTTTGTAATTACTATAATCAAGCCAGCTTACCAGTTTTTGCTTTCGATTTTTCCTTATCCCAACTTACTTTGACTTTCGGGTAGAAAAAAAAGACTCAAACTAAAATTCTCATGTTCTCCAAAAGTCATTAGAACTAGCTGCTAATCTTTTTTCCTTTAGCTGAACATTCCAAATATTATACCACTTCTTCAAACACAAAACATTCATTCTTATAATGACACCTTCACAAAGGAAACATTTTCTGAATGGCATTCACGCAAAATCTTAAAGTATACTCATCTTCAAGGCTTCGAAATGTTGGATTGGCTCACAGTTGTTCAGCCCTTCTGTTTATCACGAAGGTAGGGGTGATCACCTTCTGATTATCTGTATCTACAGCAGCAGAGTCTTCCCTACAGGAAGCTTTATTCTCTTTAGGCCTCTTCCTGTCAGTCAGCTGTCAATCACAGAGCAGGGCTCATGGCCTTTGAAGTATCTGCTTTCTCTCTTTCTCCTTTTCCTAGAAGAGTTTCAAGGGCAGACATCGGGGCCCTGTCAGAGGAGGATTGGGACTGAGGGATGGGGTATCCGGGTTTACAAAATCTTGATTTTTGTATTGAGACAATCTCGCTCTGTTGTCCAGTCCCCTGCAGTGGCACGATCTCGGCTCACTGCAGCCTCCTGGGCTCAAGTGATCCTCCCACCTCAGTCTCCTGAGTAGCTGGGACTACAGGTGTGCACCACCATGCCTGGCTAATTTTTCTATTTTTATGGAGACTGGGCTTTGCCATGTTGCCCAGGCAGGTCTTGAACTCCTGGGCTCAAGCGATCCGCCTGCCATAGCCTTCAATACTACTGAGACTACAGGCATGAGCCACTGTGCCTGGCCTGAGTCTATGAAATCTTTAGCTTCAGATTTGTTTATCTATTTGCTCATCTGGGTATCCCACAGGCATTTCCAACCCATCGTGTCCAAATCTTTTTTAACATTATATTTGATTATAGATTTAGGGGGTACATGTGTAGGTTTGTTACCATTATATTTGATTATAGATTTAGGGGGTACATGTGTAGGTTTGTTACCATTATATTTGATTGTAGATTTAGGGGGTACATGAGTAGGTTTGTTACCATTATATTTGATTATAGATTTAGGGGGTACATGTGTAGGTTTGTTACCATTATATTTGATTGTAGATTTAGGGGGTACATGAGTAGGTTTGTTACCATTATATTTGATTGTAGATTTAGGGGGTACACGAGTAGGTTTGTTACCATTATATTTGATTGTAGATTTAGGGGGTACATGTGTAGGTTTGTTATCATTATATTTGATTGTAGATTTAGGGGGTACATGAGTAGGTTTGTTACCATTATATTTGATTATAGATTTAGGGGGTACATGTGTAGGTTTGTTACCATTATATTTGATTGTAGATTTAGGGGGTACATGTGTAGGTTTGTTACCATTATATTTGATTGTAGATTTAGGGGGTACATGTGTAGGTTTGTTACCATTATATTTGATTGTAGATTTAGGGGGTACACGAGTAGGTTTGTTACCATTATATTTGATTGTAGATTTAGGGGGTACATGTGTAGGTTTGTTACCATCATATTTGATTGTAGATTTAGGGGGTACATGTGTAGGTTTGTTACCATCATATTTGATTGTAGATTTAGGGGGTACATGTGTAGGTTTGTTATCATTATATTTGATTGTAGATTTAGGGGGTACATGTGTAGGTTTGTTACCATTATATTTGATTGTAGATTTAGGGGGTACATGTGTAGGTTTGTTATCATTATATATGATTGTAGATTTAGGGGGTACATGTGTAGGTTTGTTACCATTATATTTGATTGTAGATTTAGGGGGTACATGAGTAGGTTTGTTACCATTATATTTGATTGTAGATTTAGGGGGTACATGAGTAGGTTTGTTACCATTATATTTGATTGCAGATTTAGGGGGTACATGAGTAGGTTTGTTACCATTACATTTGATTGTAGATTTAGGGGGTACATGTGTAGGTTTGTTACATGGGTAGGTTGTGTAACGCAGGGCTTTGGGTTTCTGGTGAATCCATCACCCGAATAGTGAACACTGTACCCAGAAGGTAATTTTTCAAGCCTTGTCTCCCTTTCACCCTCCCGGCTTTTGGAGTCCTCACTGTCTATTATTTCCATCTTTATGACCAAGGTACCCATTGTTTAGATCCCACTTACAATTGAGAACATGTGGTATTTGATTTTCTGTTTCTGCGTTATTTCACTTAGGATAATGGCCTCCAGCTTCATCCATGTTGCTGTGAAGGACACGATTTCAGTTTTTATGGCCGTGTATATTCCATGGTACATACGTACCACATTTTCTTTATATAATCCACCATTCATGGGCATTGTGTCCAAATCTGAGCCCACCATCATGAACCTTCTTCTCTTCCTCTGTCCCCATTTCAGTGACTGATACCACCATCCACCAAGCCCTGGAGTCACTGTGGCCCTTCTCTCTCCCTCACACCCACAGTCACCAAGTCCCCCTGATTCTGCCTCCTTAGTGGGTCCATCTCGGTTTGCTTTCAATTCTCCTTCCATATTGTGGCTAGAGGGATCTTCTGAAACTAATTTGTTCATTATTACTCCTCTGTTTAAACAGTTTCAGGGGCTTATTCCTGGCATGGCACAGAGCCCTAACTCCTAGCCTGGCAGAAAAGGCTCCTAGTGACCTGTTCCCTGCCCATCCTGAGAAACCTCAGCTCCTCCTGCTTCCTGGCACACACCTGCACTTAGCCACACTGGCTGCATTCAACTGCAATTACCTCTCCCTCCTTTTTCCACCTGTCTAAGTTCTCTGCGACCTGGAATACTCAGCTCAAACATCCTGTCTCTCCAGCCTGCTGCCCAGGTCCTCCCTGCTGCTGCCATAGAGACCCAAGTAAAGCCCTTGCCATGTCATATGCTGTTAGTTTCCCTTTATCTATTTAGAAGATCTTCAGGGACAGGAGCTGCTTGTTTATCTTTGTATTTCCAAACCTAGAATAGAGTATTGCACCAAATACATGTGCCAAAAATGTTACTGAATGAATAAATGTATTCTAATATTAATTGTCTACTGCCTACAGACTCAGCCAGTGCCACTCTGCAGGGCACACTGAATCCCACACAACATAGCCTCTGATCAGGACACCCACTTTACACAAAGGGAGTGTGGGTGGGAGCCCAGGGCCATGGAATCCACTGAACATATCACAAATTGTACCATCTAGAAGCGACTGCCTCATCATGGAACACAAGAGCAGCCTACTGGATACACAGACACAGCTGAAGATTACACTGAGATGCAATTATCTGAAAGGATAGGAGTGTCCTCAGACACCTCTCTATGACACTGTGTAGAAAGAATACACAAGTGTGGGAACAAAGGGGTGGAAGTGGGAGTGCCTGCACTTACTATCACTTCCAGTGATCCACTGGGGGACTTGGCACTTCTCACCTCCTCAACTCTGGGCTCTGCAGTGGAGGTTCTCTTCCCTTAAAGGGACACACTCTTGCCAAGGGACCCAGACAGGGCCCCACTGCACTGCAAGCTGCAGCTGCCTCTGGGACATGTTAGACTCCTTGTGTCCAGGGACCAACAGACAAGAGAAGGAATCACCATCTTTGCAGGTGTAATTGCCCCTGTCAGGCAGGAGGGGGTAGGGTCACTTTTGCACCTTGAAGCAGAGAAGAAGACATGTGGGCCCCAGATGCTCCACTGAGCACTCCCTGTGCTCACTTTGGCAGCTGACTTTGGTTTGGGCACCCCCCATTGGCCTGGCTGAAATGATTGTAGAATTGTGCTGCCATTCAGGATGCTTTCTGGTCAACTTTTCTTCCTTCCTGCTCTCCTTTCACAGGTGTAATCCTTGCATTGCAGTTTGGTCTTTTTTTTTTTTTTTTTGAGATGGGGTCTTGCTCTGTCGCCCAGGCTGGAGTGCAGTGGAGTGATCTTGGCTCACTGCAATCTCCGCCTCCTGGGCTCAAGCAATTCTCCCGCCTCAGCCTCCCAAGTAGCTGGGACTACAGGTGTACATCACCATGCCTGGCTAATTTTTGTATTTTTTGTGGAGATGGGGTTTCCCCGTGTGGCCCAGGCTGGTCTGGAACTCCTGAGCTCAAGCAATCCACTCTCCTTGGCCTCCCAAAGTGCTGGGATTACAAGCGTGAGCCACTGCCCCAGCTGTTCTCTTTATTTTTAACAGGCATTTCCCCTAATAAGTCTGTTGCACTTCTAATCCCATCTGGCCAGCTGCTTCTCAGGGGACCAAGACTGCACAAGATGCAGTCCTTTTCATGGGCATCT
Organism: Homo sapiens; assembly: GCF_000001405.40. Lineage (NCBI taxonomy): Eukaryota > Metazoa > Chordata > Mammalia > Primates > Hominidae > Homo > Homo sapiens. Next base: position 73,146,774 of record NC_000008.11, on the reverse strand, counting down.
GCTTTTTAAGAGATTTCCTAGAGCAAGCACTCTTTAATAAAATAAGTTAATGCCAAATAGTGGAATTGTAGGCCTGGCAGCAGGCATTCGGGAGTGTCTTTCACATGCTCTAGTGCTGGTGACTAAGCTTATTCCTAAGGCTGGCTGGCCTGGAGCACCTTCTCCCTCAGCAGATGTGCTTGGCTTCTGGTTGGCTTCTTCTTGTAGCCTGGTTGGCTACAGGTCATGTCAGGCTTTGGAATCAGACAGATGGGCAATTCATATCTTGGATTTGTGGAACCTTACCCCCTGGTAAAATAGGAGCAGTAACACTCATTAGGTTACTGGGAGGATTCATATAGAAAATAAATGTAAAGTGTGTAGCATACAGTAAGTGCCCAATAAAGTGTAGGTAATCATACATTATTCTTACTCTTAAACCTAGGAGACATCTTAAAGACACCTTTAAAATCTACTAATTCTAGGAGAGAATGGTGAGGCTAATCCTTTTTTTCTACTGAAGAGCTGAGTTTTTAGAAATGCGGTTGGCTTTTGTTTATTTTTTTTTAAAGGCCATTTCCAACTGAATAGCCTATCATTTGTATAACTGTGGCTGTTCATCAAATGGACATAAACACACAGCAAGAAGCCTGCCCATCTGCCTTTTGGTGTCTGGGCTCACTGTAGCACAGGTCAGTCATGCCACCCATCTACCAAACTGTCTTAGTCTGTTTGGGCTGCTGTAATAAACTAGTGCACACTGGGTCACTTATCAATAGAGATGTACTGCTCACATTTCTGAAGGCTGGGAAGTCCAAGGTCAAGGCACCAGCAGATTCTATGTCTGATGAGGGCCTGCTCCTCACAGATGGGGCCTTGTTGCTGTGTCCTCACGGGAAGAAAGATGGAAAAGGCAAGCAGGTCCTCTAAAGCTGCCCTGTTTTTTTGACAAAAAGAAAGAAATTTTATTATATATCTAAGAAAGGACTTGTATACAAAGTGCATAAAGAACAATGAAAACTCAAGAAGGCAACCCAGTAATATGGGCAAAAGATTTGAAACGATGTTTCACAGGAAGATATAAGAATCACCAAAAGGCACAGGAGAGTATGCTCAGAAATATTAAGTCATCAGGAAAATGCAAATAAAACCACAATGAGATACCACTTTCACACAGTAAAATGGCTTAAATTCAAATACCAAGCAATACCCAGTGTTGCTGTGCACGTGCTGCAGGTGACTCTCTTGTATGTTGTTGTTGTGCGTATAACATGCAGTCACCTGATTTGAAAACATCAGATTTCTTGTGAAGTGGATCACAAACTTATGAGATGATTCTGCAGTTCCATTCTGAGGTATCTACCCAAGAGAAATGGAAATGAATGTTCTTAAAAATTCTAGTCCAGGCTGGGTGCAGTGGCTCATGCCTGTAATCCCAGCACTTTGGGAGGCTGAGGTGGGTGGATCACCTGAGGTTAGGAGTTCGAAACCAGCCTGGCCAACATGGTGAAACCCCGAATCTACTAAAAATAAAAAATAAACAATAAACTAGCCAGGCATGGTGGTGCACACGTAGTCCCAGCTACTAGGGAGGCTGAGGCAGGAGAATCACATGAACCTGGAAGGCAGAGGTTGCAGTGAGCTGAAATCGTGCCACTACACTCCAGCCTGGATGACAAAGCAAGACTCTGTCTAAAAAATAAAAAATAAAAATTCTAGTCTAATAACATTCAAAAGAAATTTACTTATCCCCAAAATCCTAAACAACCCTTTTGTCAATCAAGAGGAGGATAAGTAAATTGTGGTATGTTCAGACCAAAACCTCTACTCAACTATAAAAAGGAAGCTACTGATGCATGCAGTGTGAGTGAATCTCACATTGTGCTCAGTGAGATGTGTTAAACACAAAAGGGCACATACTGTGTGATTTTAATTATATGAAATTCTAGAACAGGCAAGGTTAACCTATAGAGAGAGCAGTCAGATGAGTGGTTGCCTGGAGTGGGGAGTGAAAGGGAGATTGACTGTAAAGGGGAGTGAAGGAGGTGAAAATGTTTTATACTTTTGTCAAAAGTCATCTACTTGATATTTCAAATAAGTAGAACTTATTGTACATAAATTATGTCTCAATAAAGTCGGTTTATAAAAACTTGAGTGCTTTTTAAAAAAATTATTTTAAGTCCCATGATACATGTGCAGGATGTGCAGGTTTGTTACATAGGTAAATGTGTGCCATGGTGATTTGCTGCACCCATCACCTAGGTATAAAACCTGTTATGCATTAGGTATTTATCCTGATGCTCTCCCTCTCCCACCCCGCCCCCACCAACAGGACCCAGTGTGTATTGTTTCCCTCCCTGGGTCCATGTGTTCTCATTGTTCAGCTCCCACTTATAAGTGAGAACATGCAGTGTTTGGTTTTCTGTTCCTGTGTTAGTTTGCTGAGGATAATGGCTTCCAGCTCCATCCATGTCTCTGCAAAGGACATGATCTCATTTTTTGTTATGGCTGCATAGTATTCCATGGTGTACGTGTACCACATTTTCTTTATCCAGTCTACCATTGATGGCCATTTGGGTTGATTCCATATATTTGTTATTGAGAATAGTGGTGCAATAAATGTACACATGCATGTATCTTTATAATAGAATGATTCATATTCCTTTGGGTATATACCCAGTAATGGGATTGCTGGGTCAAATGATATTTCTTGTTCTAGGTCTTTGAGGAATCACCACACTGTCTTCCACAATGGTTGAACTAATTTATATACTCCTGCAAACTGTATATTATAAAAGCATTCCTATTTCTCCACAGCCTTGCCAGCATCTATTATTTCATGACTTTTCAATAATTGCCATTCTGACTGGCACAATGAGATGGTATCTCATTGTGGTTTTGATTTGCATTTCTCTAATGATCAGTGATCATTAGAGCTTTTTTTCATGTTTGTTGACCTCATAAATGTCTTCTTTTGAGAAGTGTCTGTTCATGTCTTTTGCCCATTTTTTAATTGGGTTTCTTTTTCTTGTAAATTTGTTTAAGTTTCTTGTAGATTCTAGTTATTAGATGTTTGTCGGGTGGATAGATTGCAAAACTTTTCTCTCTTTCTGTAGGTTGTCTGTTCACTCTGATGATGGTTTCTTTTGCTGTGCAGAAGTTCTTTAGTTTAATTAGATTCCATTTGTCAATTTTTGCTTTTGTTGCAATTACTTTTGATGTTTTCATCATGAAATCTTTGCCTGTGCCTATGTCCTGAATGATATTCTTCTAGGGTTTTTATAGTTTCGGGTTTCACATTTAAGTCTTTAATCCATCTTGAGTTAATTTTTGTGTAAGGTGTAAATAACGGGTCCAGTTTCAATTTTCTGCATATAGCTAGCCAGTTCTTCCAGCACCCTGTATTAAATAGGGAATCCTTTTCCCATTTCTCCTCAAGCCCTTTTATACTGGCACTAATCCCATTAATAAGAATGGTGCTCTCATAAACTAATTACCTCTCAAAGGCCCCAACACCTTGAGAGTTAGGCTTCAACATACAAATTTTGGGAGGATATAAACATTCTGACCATCGTGTGAACCTTCCACAGAATCAAGTTCTGCTTCATATAGGATGCCAAGCTCAGCACTTACCTTCACACAGGTTGCCAAGGTGTCACATTTACCTATTCCTCTAATAATTGGGCAGTCAGCTGGCCATGCTTCTTGGAAAGAAGTGATTTCATCTGGGTACATGATGATATAATTAGACAGTGAATATGTGTCTGCTCTTGGTCGTCTCCTACTCCCAGGCCTTGTAACCTTTCTCTGGAATCTGTTCTTAAATGCCCAGTTATTAGCAGCCAAGTGATGAAATAGAAAATAGCCTTAATTTCTTAAAAGGAAAGGGGAAAATATTACTGAAGTGGAAAATAGGATGGAGGAACAGCTTGAAATGGTTCCCGATGTTTGGGAAATTCAGGTCATAGTAAAGTAGAGACTATTTGTGTTATTTTTTCCATTTAAAAAAAGTTAAAAAAAATAAATGAAGTCTTACAGACTCTGAAAGAAATTTCTATCCAGAGACCACAAAGACTGGACCTTAACAATGCTTTTTAGAAATCTGGATCCATGATAATAATGCCTGGTTGGGGAAAGGGATAATATGTTTGCAAAGAAACTAGACTTTTTATCATGTTTGGGGTTGAGTCTGCTATGGGATCTTCTTATTTTTATTATGCATTGTACATCTGGCAGAGAGAAAAGCTAGACCCAGAAGCCTGAATAATTTTGGGTAATGAACAAATACTTCTGTAATGAACAAATACAAAATTTATATAATGATGAATCAGATGAATGGTTAATTTACAATTAAAGTCAGCAAATTTCAGTCCCTCAAACAAATGTATTCTATAGATTAAATAAACAACTCACTGTTTTACATACCTTGAGATTAAAGTTTATGTTTCAGAAAATTTTTTTTTAACTTTTAGGACCATCCCAGAAAGAAAAGTACATGATGAACTTGTGAATTTCTTAAGAAGCTTCTTGTTTCTTTTTAGGAAACACAGCAACGGTCATGGTTCATATAGTTCAAATAAAAATAAGATATTTTCCCTCCTGTCTGATTTTGCTGTTCTTTGTATTACAGAGATTACTGGAATAAAAACGCTTTTTAGCCCACCTCTCTATTAATAACTAGTACATGACGTAATAGGATTTTGCCCTCAAGATATTAAATTGATTCTGACCTACAGTTTCTTTCCATTTTAACCAAGACAGAATCAAAGTGTTTGTGTTTCTGTTTTCTTATCATCCTATTAACCAGACTGTTGTATTTGAAAGTTATATTTTTTCACTATAAAAATGATTCTTCCTCCCTGTTATTTTCCCTCTTTCCCCTCCTATCTTCCCTACCACCTTTCTTCCTTCTTATTTCTTTTAAAAAATATTAGTTGAGCACCTATTATGTCATGTAACAGATTAGATGTTGGAGATTAAAAGATAATTCAGACATAGGCTTTCACGGAGGAAGAGAGTACAGTGGACAAAGCAGATGTGCAAACAGAAAATCACAACACAGCGTGAGTGCAGCGCTTGAGACACATCCAGGGAGTGCAAATGAAAGGCACCACCTCAGAATAATGAAGGGTTGCACTTCATCCAGGGCCAGCCTCCTAGGGAAGTGAAGCTGTGCCTAAACAGGTGAAAATGAGTATGTGTAGGAGAGGCAGGGGCTCAAGGCTTTTCAGGCTGGGGACATAGCACAAGCAAAGGAACAGAAGTCAAACAAGAACAGGGAACAGAAGCAGATCAATGTTGCTGGAGTATAAAGTGTGAGGTGCGGAAGGGCAAGAGATGAGGGAAAGAGATTTTTCAGGTGCCAGATCATGAATAAACCTCTGCGTTGTATTAAAGAGTTTGGATTTGATTTAATAAGAAAAGAGACTATACTTGTGAGATCCAAGACTGAATGCAGGGAAACTAATTAAGAAACTGTCGGCCATGCACGTGGTGGCTCACACGTGTAATCCCAGCACTTTGGGAGGCCAAGAAGGGCGGATCATTTGAGGTCAGGAATTTGAGACCAGCCTGACCAACATGGGGAAACCCCGTCTCTCTTTAAAATACAAAAAATAACCAGGCCTGTGCCTGTAATCCCAACTACTCAGGAGGCTGAGGCAGAAGAATTGCTTGAACCTGGGAGGCAGAGGTTGCAGTGAGCCGAGATTGCGCCATTGCACTCCAGCCTGGGTGGCAAAAGTGAAACTCTGTCTCAAAATACATAAATAATTAATTTTAAAAAGAAACTATCACACTGGTCCAAGAGAAGAAAACATGAGGGCTCAAACGAGAGAGGGAAGAGGGGAATGGAGCCGAGAAATATTTGAAAGGTAAATTCAGCAAGTGTGAATGACTGCTTGGACATGAGGGGTAAGGAAGGCAAGGGCAGGAATGTGAGATATCTGCCAGGTTTCTAGTTTGTGTGATTGAATAAAAGGAGTGCTTTTAGTGCAGATAAACTAATCTTGGAAGGAAAAATGCTGAGCTGCATTTTGGAAACATTCAGCTGCAAATGTCAATGGGGTATGGGGCAGAGATGTCCAGATTTGGATGTATAAGTCTAGAGCTCAAGGAGAAGAATCTAAAGATACAGATTTTTTGGAGTTATTGGCATGTTGTGGTTAAAACCATAAGAAAGGATAAGATCACCCATGATTGCTCTGGGAAAGTGTTTAGAATAAGAGAAGCAGCGGGTTAAAGATGGAACTTTAGAGACAGGAACATCTAAGGGAGAGTTAGAGCAAAAGGAAACCCACGAAGAAGCCAGAAAGACAATGGTCAGAGGGATATGACAATTGAAGGCATTGTCACAGACACAAAAAGAATGAAATGTCTCAAGGGCAGCAAGAACAAGAGTATCTGATGGAGAAGTACATAAGACCATTTGAAATGTGTTCATCAGACCTGATGATCAGAATTTCACTGGAGAGAGAGCTTGGCTAGAGGGGAAGACTCCAGGAGGCAGAGGTCACACTACAACAGCTTGAGGAGGGAATAGGAGCTGAAAGTTAGAACAAGTGAAAGCAAATTATTCTTTCAAGAAGTTTGACTGAGAAAGAGAAAAGTGAGATTTGACAGTAACTAGAGGGGAGTAACAGCAACATGGAGTCAATGGAGGTGTTATTTTTCTCTATATTTGAACAAATCTTCTTTAGAGGCTGAAGGGAAGGAGTCACTTAATAGAGAAAGGTTTAAAGATATAAAAACTAGGCTGCGCGGATTGATAGAAGTGTATTTTGGGGGAAGCAATGGGAGGCATTAAGCATACAGGAGGAGATTTTGGTTTTGAGCAAGAACAGGACTCTTCCTCCTATGAGACTGGAGGTAGTAAGAATGGGTATGGTTAGAGTCAAATTGGTAGCCAAGAGCTCAATAAGTTGAGAAAGATTGCTGCTGGGGATCTCAGTGAAAGTCCTCAGCTGACAAAATGGGGGTGGAGTTTGTGAAGCCTTGTGAAGAGTGGTGAAGGTTGAGAACCGTCTTTGAGAGGACGGTTGAGGGAGCTGATGAAGGACAAGTGAAATACGACCAGCTGGTTGAGTTGGGAAACTGTCACGGTGTCAGTCCTCAGAGACTGTGTGTGACTTTTCTCCAGCAGCACTGATTGGACTGAGCATCAACCTAGAGAAAGAGGAGCTGCGCCTGTGATCTAGGGCTGGGGGGCACATGACCCAGAACTATCAGGGTGTTAGGGAAAAGATGAGAGAGAGCATTCAGATGACCAAAATGGGATCCAGATGGAGTAGTGAGGTCAGGAAGGAGCTCACAAGTTGAGAGAAAATGGAGAGTAAAAGAGGCTAGACATGTTTGAAGTTGAAGAAATCTTAAGCTGCAACATTCTACTCTCTCCTTTGCTGATGAGTTTCTTGAGAGAGCTGGTCTATGGAGAGAGTAGAATGTTGCAGCTTCAGATTTCTGATATAAAAGTAGCTCTAGATGACAACAAGATCCAAGGTGTGGTCCTAGAAATAAGTGTAGAGATGAAAGCCATTGAAGTTAAAGAGGTCTTTAAAGTGAAAAAGATATAGTAAGGTCCAGTCAAGGGCACTATATCTACAAGGTACACTCAAATTTCCTGGATTTGTGGGATAGATGGGTGTAAAAGTCTGTGAGCCAGGTTCTAAAGACTTTTGTGATTATAATTTTTCATCTTTATTTGGTGCTTATGTGTTTCTAAAACTATTCTAAATTCTTTGTATACATGTAAATCCTAAGAGGTAGGCATTAATATTATCCCCATTTTATAGATGAGGAAATCTTAAGAACAGAATGATTGAGTAAATTGCTTAAAGGCACAACATTAACAAGTAGTGGAGATAGGATTTGAACTCAGGCAGACTGATTTCAAGATCTTTGTATGTAACTATTGTGTTCTTAGCAAGAGGTTGACAATCCAATTCTTTTCCAGTAATGCTCATACCTACCTTTCCTTTTCATGTCCACTATTACTTCCCTTGGTTGGGTTCTAATTGCCTCTCTGCAATCTGCAATCTGCAGGACCTGCAATCTGCAATCTGAAAGGACCACTGCAATCTGCATGCGGGCCTTTCACAGACTGCTGCCAAATTACAGAGTTCTGACATTGGTCTATCCCATTGCCCTGCTGTACCCCTTGTATTTTTTTTTTTTTTTTTTTTGAGATGAAGTCTCGATCTGTCGCCCAGGCTGGAGTGCAGTGGTGTTATCTTGGCTGACTGCAACCTCTGCCTCCCACATTCAAGCAATTCTTATGCCTCAGCCTCCTGAGTAGCTGGGATTACAGGTACATGCCGCCATGCTGGACTAATTTTTGTATTTTTGGTAGAGACAGGGTTTTGCCTTGTTGGCCAGGCTGGTCTCAAACTCCTGACCTCAAGTGATCCACCCACTTTGGCCTCCCAAAGTGCTGAGATCCACCGTGCCCGGCCACACTCTTTATCCTTAATGACTCCTCACTGGGTCGAATCTGAACCTTCTTGTTCAGACCGTTAATGGACTCTGCAATCTGATCCCCATCCTCATTTCCAGCCCTGTCTCCTCTTACTCTCTTAAAAGACCTTCTTACAGCAGCTCCAGTGCTCAGCACAGTGTCCCACACATAACAGGTGCTCAGTGATTATTCGTTGATGAAGTCCTATTTTTCCCACTAATGAAAGCTCTTCATAACAGGGAAGAAAGCTTTGTATCCCTGTTAAAGGAGAACAATCTGGGAGGAGGACATTAAGACCATCTCGACCAGCAAGTTCTCACCCTGAGACACACAGGGTGGTGATCATTTAATAGACGAGGAGCTGAGACATTGAGAAGATAAGTTGTGAGCCAAATTTAGAAAAAAATATGTGAATTTTCTGCCTCAGTCTATGGTACTAGATTAGAATTACCTTAGATTTGGCAATTGCATTCATCTGTCTGCCTATCTGGTAATAACCTGAACCCTTTGAAAGCAGAAACTCACCTTTATTGGTAGCTTTCTAGAGCCTAGAATAGCATCTTGTAAACTGAAGATTCTCAGTAAATATTTGTTGAATGAAATAAAATAAGTGGGTGTTAATCTTTACATCCCAGGAGCAGCTTTGTTTACATATTAGATAATTTAATTCAATTTAAAATACATTTACTAAGTGTTTAGTCCCATATTGGGCTAAGCTCCCAAGAAATAAGAGAATTATCACCAGGCACAGTGGCTCACACCTGTAATCCCAGCACTTTGGGAGACTGAGGTGGGCGGATCACAAGGTCAGGAGATCGAGACCATCCTGGCTAAATGGTGAAACCCCATCTCTACTAAAAATACAAAAAAATTAGCCAGGCATGGTGGCAGGCACCTGTAGTCCCAGCTGCTGGGGAGGCTGAGGCAACAGAATGGTGTGAACCCAGGAGGTGGAGCTTGTAGTGAGCTGAGATCACGCCACTGCACTCCAGCCTGGGTGACAGAGCAAGACTCCGTCTCAAAAAAAGAAAAAAAGAGAGAATTATCATATGGCTGCATTGAACTTATTTATGCATTGCTGTATTTCTTCATAAATGGATCAAAAGTAAGATGCACATACAAACATGTAATGGGCCCCCATAGATTATTTAATTGCTTTGAATTTTGTATGTCCTTTGCCCAGGAACGCTATGTTCTGGAGTAGATTGATGACTGTTTGGAGTACAAGGTAGGGTGAACACTTACATCATGTCTTCACCTCAATCCCTACATGGTTGGACCCAATATTAATATTAATACATTTCCCTTATATTCTATCTGCAGTTTACAAGGCATGTTCACATTCATTATATTACCTAGGCTTCGATGAAAAGCTAGGAGTGTCCCCATGTTACAGATTCAACATTCATTTAACAGATATTTACTGAAATAAGCCAGGTACTATTCTAGCTACCATATTAAAGATTGAGTACAAAAACAAGTTCTCTACTCTCATAGACTTAGCTTCTTGCCAGGGCAGGCAGACAGTAAACAGAGAAGTAACCAGAAGATAATAACGTGGCTCTGAAGACAATGAAGTGGTGTGATTGAGAAGGACCATTGTTGAGAGAGGCTTCTCTGGGGAGGTGACACTTGGGCTAGATGTGTCCTGGATGAGAATCAGAAGTCACTCATGGGCAGGTCCCATGGAAACCTGTTCCAGATAGAAGGAGTAGCAAGTTCAAGGACTCTGAGGTGAAAATGAACTTGGTATGTCCAAGGGACACATGTGTGGCAGGAGCCTAGTGGAGAATGAATGAGATGAGATTGGAAAGATATATGGGTGCCCCATCAAGTAGGCCTTTTAGGCAATGACCAGTCAGTGCTGGATGTCTCACTCTAATTGCAGAGGGGAGCCGTTGGGGGTTTTAAGTAAGCATGTGACTACTGGGAAGCATTTATCCACGGATTCCTCACGTTCCTGCATGGTCCAGGCCTTCTGAACAAAGGCATTTATTGCCAATGTTCATTTAAGGAGACATTCCAAGATAACAAAGCGTAGAGATGTCTCTCTCCCTCTCTCTCTGGAGACATCCCAGGGTAATAAAGATAAAGACTTCCTCATGCCCTCCCCAGAGGAGATTTGCTTACATTCCAAGGTAATGAGTAATCTCTCTCTCAGCAGCCCCATACATGATTGAATTTTCCTAATTTCAGGTTTCCTCTTCTGTGATACACCCCATGCACATGCAGGTAACCTCTGGTCCTATCACATTGGGGAAATAAAGCAAGATATTGCTCTGGCTCCTGCTTTTGCTGTGAGTAACAGATGGTCTTTTCTCTGACCCTGAAGTCTCTTGTAACCTCTCAGCACATGTATGTAACACTATGGTAGGCTAACTTGTTAGTTTGCTAAGATAAAATTCCAGACCCTTCACAGCTTCCAAACTTGTCAATGACCTTATCCTATTTGCTTTTGAAAAATATTTCATAATAAGGAGACTGAGAGTTTGCGAGCTGAGAGGATTTTCCCAAGGTGAGGCAGCCATAAGGTTCCCATTAGGACAGTCAATACTACAGGACTTTTTAGGCACTTGCTTAGTTTTCTCAGAAGAAAACATTTTCTCAGAAGAAACCATTCTGATCACTGTGAGTTTTCTTTCTGAGCTCTCCAGGTGTGTTGTAATTCAGTTCCGGTTCATAGACTATTCCTACCAGTCCTCTGAAGGTCTATAAATTCAAAAAGTGGTGCAAGAAACAGCCCGATGGAAGAAATACATAGAAAGTTAGACCACAGACTTTGTGAAAAACAAAGTAAATAGGCTTGTTATGAGATTAAAAAAAAACCTATTTGAAATTTGATGGATTCTCATTTGAATTGAGTTTATTGATGAAAGACTTTATATCAAGCCACCTTTGCATTTTGTGAAAGCAGCGTCTCAGGGTGCAATGAAATACACCCCCACCCCCCACCGTCTTGTTTAGTCTATTGGCGTCCGATAGGCTGGAATGCTGCCAGCCCATGCATTGCAGAGCACTCGGGAGCTGCCTCCCACAAGGCACAGCTCTCTTGGTGTGGGAGGCTGTTCGATTCATGTCACCTGGAGAGAACAGTCACAAAGAGAAGAGTCCCTCGAGGCCTTCGTTTGTTTTATGTGTGTTGAACACAAAGCAAGGAACACTCTTGGTTGAACTCACTATTCCTGGTTCCTTCTGAACATCTGCTCCCCAGTAAAGAATATTGTTTGGATTCAAAATCAAAACAGAAATCCACATTATTTTATTTTGCAGTGTCCTTGTCTCCCCGTGTTGATCTCTGAAGTCTCTTGTAATCTCAGGTCTTAAAATAAGTATTTCTGTTCCAGGCTCATATTTTCAAAGGAATTGGTCACTTCAAAATTGCTTTGTGCTGAACTGTCACTTGCTAGAGTCTTATGCCCTATGTTAGATATGGAAAAAGCCCTAAGAACTGACCTTTGGGATCAATTACAATATTCTTTGGGTGGGCATTAAGGCAGTGGTTCATAACTTTTTGTACTGAATATCTTAGCAATTGCTGGATGAAAAACCTTGTTCCTATCATCAAAAAACAAAAACAAACAAAAAAACCCCACTTTTTCCAAAAGAGCGTTTCTACCTTGACATGCATTCTCAGTGGCTTAGAACTTTTAGGAAAACACTGCTTCTCACCCAGACTCACAAGACCATTTACAACCTTGGCAGTCAATCCTAGACCTGAGTAATTACATCTTGGAAATAGGTGTTTGGTGATTATTACTTTAGGTGAGGAATATTTGAGATCTAGGTAACCTGTAAAAACGTTGATCCCATTTATTTTAGTAATGGGTATCCCTTAGCAGTATCCTGGTAGTAAATATTTGCAGGCTGACAAGTATTGTGATCTCATTTTCAAGGTCGTGTTTTAAATCACTAAATAGCTCTCCTTTTCTACTTGCCTGGATGGACAGGGGCTCTCCATTCCCAATTTCCCCTGCTCTTTCTCCATTCAGTTATGACTGCGCTGGGTCTCACCCATGCACAGTGCCCTTCCTGTCTCCAAGCAGTTGACCATGTTCATATCTGAGGCTTTTTCAAGTAAAGGGAACTGAAGGGCTCTTCAGAGGCAAGAGATAAACAGGTCCATAGAAACTTCCCTTCCAAACTGAGACATTCTAACTTAAAATATTTAAACTAGGCCTTATGGATCACAAAAACAGTGTGGTTCTTTTCAACCTGATTCTCAAAACAAGCAATCCAACCACACACGCAGCTGAATCAAGTTTGTTGATCAACATACTGGCATTCGGAGTTACTTGCCCTGTTTCTGAGAGTGACAACACCATCTACTTCTTTGAAATATCTGAGCTGTCTGATGCAACGTTGGCTTTGCCTTCCTGTTTAACTATGGCGTGATGGAAAGAGAATTGGATGCGAAGTCTAGAGATGTAGGTTCCACAGCTGACTTTACTGCTGATGAGCTTGTGACTCTGGGTAGCAAGGAGATGTTCCACAACTCTCCCAAAGTGGCAGTGCTGGAATCTGAACCTGGGCAGCTGGCCCCGTGCTCTGACCTTCCCCACTGCAGTGCACTCCAATGGGGGTGTTGTCTGCCCTGTTAACCCGTGGGGTTGCTGTGATAATCACAGTTCACATCAGTAAGGAAAGTATGTTAGTTTCCCAATTCTTGAATGTAGTAAGCCAGGTTATAGGGTTATTTTCTTTGATCACTTAAAGTGATTTATCTTATTATTAAACTGCAGTGATAGCCTCTTACCTGGCTTCATAGCCCCCACTCTCTTTCTCCAAACATTCCTGCATGACCCCACTCCACTAACCCTCCTGGAGAACCACTACCATCACAGGTCACCCTGGAAAGAGTATTGGAGTAGAATTCAGAAGTCTCACATGCCAGCTCCAGCTTTCTCAGGTTTCCCTGAATTGTGTGATCTCATGTAGTTCACTTAGCCTCTCTCATACTTAGTTTCCGCATTTATAAAATGAAAGGGTTGGTGTAGATTTAGAGATGAAAAACAGGTTATATTTCTCAAGCCAATTTGATCAGTAGCAGCTACCCAGAGCCATGGGTTGAGAAGGATTCTGAGGTTCCAAAAGAGCTTAGCGGGAAAGAGCAATGCTGGCCTCATGTGGGAAGGAGGCAGTGATGGCGCCTGTGCCATGTATTTGCCAGCGCTGGTTTAGATGATCTCGAAGGTCTTCCCAGCTTAAACATTTGATTCTATGTTAATCTCCTGCTCAAAACCACCCATTTTTCTCCATTGCTTAGAAGCCAATCAAATGTTCTCAGTCTTTATTTTAGTACCAACCTTAATCCAGTTATTTCTAAAGATTCTCTAACAAGCACTTTCCGAACCTAAATGTTTGCTAATGCCAATGAGCAGATAAAGTGGTTCTTGAAAATGAGGTGATTTAGGCCAGGTATGGTGGCTCACACTTATAATCCCAGCACTTTGGGAGGCCTAGGTGGGAGGATCGCTTGAGCCCATGAGTTCAAGATCAGCCTGAGCAACATAGAAACCTCATCTTTATTAAAAATAAATTTAAAAATCAGCTGGGCCTGGTAGCATGCACCTGTATTTCCAGCTACTCAGGAGGCTAAGCCAGAGGATGGCTTGAGCCTAGGAGTAAGCAGCTACAGTGAGCTATGATTGCTCCACTGCACTCCAGCCTGGTGACAGTGTGAGACCCTGTCTTGAATTAAAAAAAAAAAAGAAAAAAAGAAAAGAAAAGAAAATGAGGTGATTTGCAGGGTAGATAATCTTTGGGTAAATGTACAAGGGCTGATTTATCATCTATGTGAAGATAACAGAAAGCACTGAACAAAAATTAACAATTGATTTGATATGTGGCATTATGTAAATAGTATGGTGTTATGTATGTATGATATAATATATAGATTTGGGAAAGGAATTTAAAGGATTAAATAGCATGAGAACTTTATAAAGACACAGCATTAGGCTTGTTTTCCTTTGAAATAGTTTATTTTGTCATGATACGCTTATTGAGTCAAGACCGTATGGCCGAGTGGTATAATAAAATGGATAGGCTTTGGCATCGAATGCCCTGGGTTAGTTCCACTGTTTACGGCTCTTGGCCCAGGTATCTCAGTTTCCCCCTCTGTGAACTGGGGGTAAAGCACCTACCACCTAGGGTTGTGTAAGGACTGAGTGAGTCAAAATACACAAAGTACTTGCAACAGCATCTGGCTCATGTTAACGCTAAGATTATATGACCTCAGTGGGATGATAGAGAGAAGACAGCACTTTTTGCTTTATCACAAAACTTGCCATCACCACGCAGATAGCACCAAGGGGTTGTAGAGGCCAGGCTGTCCCACAGCCCTCAGTATCTACTTAGATTGGTGTCCTCTCTGACCTGTGTCATGAGTTAACACCTCCAGGATGCTGCCTTGTGCTTAAACCATAGGACAGGCTTAAGAATTAGTAGAAAGATTCTTGCGTGTGTAAAGTAAATATGTTATTAACTTATTAATCTTAAGTTGTGAAGAGAAGGAGGAAGGGAAAAGCAAAGAGGAAAGGAAGGGGAAGAAGGGGGGGGAAGGAGAAAAGAATGAGGGAAGAAGAGGGAATAATAATCTTCTTCACCAATATATTTAATTGAATATTAATCTAGAGGAACAATTTATGATGAAATTTGGCTCTGTGAGTTCAAAGCACATTAAATCCTTTTACAGCCTCTTGAATGTATATCAGCACTAGGTCAACTTCAAAATTCCTCCAAGAGGAATAACTCCTTTCTCAGAGCATTGAGAGTTTATCTAAGTACTCCCTTACCCCCTCTTTAAAACAAACAAACAAACAAACAAACATCATATCTTCACAGATTCTGGTCTTCACATTTATTTAAATTAAAAAAAAAAACTGGGCCAGGTGCGGTGGCTCATGCCTGTAATCCCAGTACTTTGGGAGGTTGAGGCAAGCAGATCACAATGTCAGGAGATCGAGACCATCCTGGCTAACATGGTGAAACCCCGTCTCTACTAAAAATACAAAAAATTAGTCGGACGTGGTGGCGGGCACCTGTAGTCTCAGCTACTCGGGAGGCTGAGGCAGGAGAATGGCGTGAACCCGGGAGGCGGAGTTTGCAGTGAGCTGAGATAGCGCCACTGCACTCCAGCCTGGGTGGCAGAATGACACTCTGTCTCAAAAAAAAACAAACAAACAAAAAAAAAACAAACAAACAAAAAAAAAAAAACTGGAAAACTTTCCACGGGGCTGGATTGCCTGTGGCTCTCCACAAATCATGGAAGTCACCTGGTAGGTTTGCAGGCCATTATGGTGCTCAATAGGTTCAGTCAGTCTGCCCAGAGCTTTGACATTCAATGGTGGGAGGATTGTAAGATACAGTCAGGGGTGTGGGTGGTCCAGCTGACCCACACAGCCTGACTGTGAGATGTTGTAACGAATGGGATGGATGCTCATGGGTCTCCTCCAGGGTGTGAGTCTGTCCATCACCTGACAGAGTGTCAGAGTTACAACAGAATCTTCTTTAGGCTGTTTTGCTATGAAATGCACAGAAGACTCACATGATGCAGGGGTGGATAAGGATGTCATTCACCCCTTTGACTTTAGACAGTGCTGTGTTTCGTTCATCCCTGCCACTGGACTGTCTGATATTTTGTTTTCCAAGGAAACATCTCCACTAAAACAGAGGCCCCTGTCGGAAGGAAACTCGCCTGCCTTGTACCTCTGTTTCCCCAGGGCCTGTCCCAGAGCTTAGCATATTGTGGAATCCCAAGAAGTACTCACTCAAGATCTTCACAGCTTCCTTGTTAACAGTTTACAAACCAACTAGCCCTAGGTTTGAGAGAGTTTCAGTAACTCCACCAGTATTGATTGGGTGCCGATTCAGTGGCTGGCACTTCAGTGGATACTAGAGAAATGATGGTGAGTAAGACATAGTCCCTGCTCTTGAAGAATCTAAATCCCTCATTTCAGGCCCTGATGTTTCTGGCTTTATCTCGGGCATTTTAGTCAGGTTGCCCTGCACGCAGGGCCTCAGCCTTATTCCAATTGCTTGTAATGCTTGTTCCCTGGTGCCATAAAGAATAGCACTTGAACATAAATTTAATTTCCTCAGCAAGGCCATTTTTATACTTTCTGCAGAAAGGGTACACTCGCCAGCAGTTTTGTCATGAGAGTACACTGAACGAAGGAGACAGGGTCATTTATAACCTGATGCTTCCACCCTACTGCTGTGTCTGGTTTCCATTGACTGAAATGGGACCTCACATTCTGTATTTGTCCCGATTGGCTAGCAACTTAGAACTTTTTAAAAGAGGCAAAGGCAGAGGTGTACAAAGGAAGGAGAAGTAACTTGTGGAATGCTGAGAAAGGTAAAAACACCTTCAAATAAGGAAGAGGAACAGGCTATGGCCTACTGCTTGCTTGGACCAGTATAAGCATGCCAGGGCAAATATTTAGGCTAAATTGTGGAAGCTAACAACATAAAGTACATTGATTTCCTTATTATGGCTAGCAGATATTTAAGAATGTTAGCAGGTCTTTGAATAAATTTTGTTTCTAACAGAAGTTACTATTTGTTCTTAATTAGATGGGGAGGAAAGTCTTTGAAGAGGAACCTCTACTTCGCTTTTTACATCAGGATGTCCCTCCTGCTCTTCCTCTTGCCCGGAACAACCTCCACCTCCTCTCCTCCATTCTTCCTATACCCTGAGACCAGCTCAAGTACCCCCTCTCCCACAAAACCCTCCTGACATCACCAGATCCTGCAGCTCCCCTGCCCAACCACCCATAGTCTTGACACATCATCATTTTCCTTACAAACTGCAAGGCTTAATTACACAGCTTTCTGTGGGCTTCCCTTGTTTCACCATCATGCTTATCTTATGCCCCAGTAGAATGCCTTAGGTGTGGGTCTTCCACGTCTCTGTCTCCCATAGTGTTCATGTTGCTCTTACTACATGGTTACTGCTCAAGGAATACTTGGTTGATGGTATAGTTCTTTTCTTCCTGTTTTATTAGTGCATATAAAGACCATCAGGACAGTATTTTATTTATAGTAATCCTTTATGTACTTGTTAGCTAAGGTTACTCCATTTCTCACTTTTTCAGATTAAATAGTCCCAGTTCCCTGCATAATTCCCAATGGTTCTCATCTTTTACCTGATGTGATTGGAGCTGCATTCCAGGAGTACGTCCCATGAAACACCACATGAAAAAGTATTCTGTGGGTAGTTTGACAACTCTTGCTCTTTTGTTTACTGTGGCTATGCAGATCCTTTAATATCCTCTACTATGTTATGAATCTTCTAAAAGTAAGTCTAGTGTGCCTACTTAACACTCAAAAGTTTGAGTCTTATTTTACTTTTACAGGCATAACTTGGATTTATTGAAAGTTCAGTTCCAGACCACTGCAATAAAATGAACATCACAATAAACTGAGAGACATGAATTTTCTTGGCTTCTCAGTACATACACAAGTTAGGTTTACACTATACTGTAGCCTATTAAGTGTGCAATAGCATTATGTCTAAAAACAACCAACATACGTACCTTAGTTAAACATACTTTATTGCTAAAAAATGTTAACGATTATCTGAGCCTTCAGTGCATTGTAATCTCTTCACTGGTGGAGGGTCTTGCCTCAATGTTGATGGCTGCTGACTGATCAGGGTGGTGGTTGCTTAAGGTTGGGAGGCTGTGGCAATTTCTTCAATAAGACAAGAGTGAAGTTTGCTGCATTGATTGACTTTTCCTTTCATGAAAGATTTCTCTATAGCATGTGATGCTGTTTGATAGCATTTCCCCACAATAGAATTTCTTTCAAATTTGGAATTAATCCTCTCAAATTCTGATGCTGCTTTATCAAATAAGTTTATGTAATAGTCTAAATCCTGTGTTGTTATTTCAACAATGTTCATAACATCTTTATCAGAGGGCTCAGAAGGGAACAAGAAACATGTTATTGGAAGCTGGAGGACAGGGGATTCTTGTAATATAGTGGCAGAAAGCTGAGCAGAATTGTGTCCTGCAATTATGTGGAAAGCAGAGCTTCCAAGTGATGAAACTGAACACTAGGTTGAGACTTCCAAGAAAGGTCCTAAGACGTGGTCTGGTTTTGCTGCTTATAGTGAAGTGTGAGAGGAATGAGATAAATTGTGTGAAGAACAGTTAAACCAAAAGAATTCAAGACTTGATTATTTGGGGAATTCTCATTTTACCCAGATTGCAAAAGATGCTAAAATTAAGAGATTCACCATCAAAAAGCATGCTGTAGAGAAAAAGCTGAGATCATGGCTGGATCTGTTTGATAATACTCTGGAAAAATAAAACATTTCAGAAAAATGAAAAGTTCAAAGTCTTTAGTCACAAAAGAAAAAAAACACAAAAAACTTTTTTGTAAAGATTAAAGATGCACCTCACAGATCCCATTATCTCAGCAGAAACCAAAAATAGAGATGGGATTATCTAGGAAAGATCTTTGAAGGATCCTTTCATCAAATGGAGTAAATCCCTGTGATTTAACATGGGAGACTTACAAGGTTTCTGAGGATTTTTATACCTGCTGAAACACTTCCAGCTTGGACCGAAAAGGACAGAGTGCAAAATGAAAGAAGCCTGTTGGTCCCCTGAAATTCAGAACACAGACCAATAAAACTACTCAGCTGCCTTTTATGAAAAAGGAAGGATGGCTCAGGCAGCAGAGCAGTGAACTACAGAGGATTAGTTTTAGGTTTTAAAACCAAATGGAGTTTGCCTCACTGCAGTTTGAAATCACTTGATTGATGATTTCTTTTTTCTTCTATTTTCTCCTTTTTTGAACAGAAATGTCTATGTCATCCTATGCCTGTCCTGCCATTGTATTTTCAGAGAAGATAACCTGAACTAAAAAAAGATAACCTTTTTTTAGTTCACAAGTCTAGGTAGAGAGAAACTGTGCCCGAAGATCTGTTACACCCAGAGGCTGACCCATACCTTATTTAGATGATTTAGACAATGAGATTTGGCACTTTGAATTTGTGCTATAATGGGTTGAGACTCTGGGTGCACTGGGATAGGGTTAATGTATTTTGCATGTGGGGCAGACATGAATCTTTCAGTGCCAGAAGGTGGACTGTCCTAGGCAGAATAATGTGCAGCCACTCAAGATGCCCACACCCCAATACCTGGAACCTGTGAGTATGTTATGTGGCATGGTGAAAGAGAAGGTTGCAGATGTAACTAGGTTTGCTAATTAGCTCACTTAAGACGGGGAGATTAGTCTAGATGATCTCAGTAGGACCAGTTTATTTATATGAGTCTTTAAAAGTGGAAGAAGAATCAGAGGCTCAGAGATGGTGGGTGAAAGGGACTGGGCCCACTGTTGCTGGCTTTGGAAACAGGGGGAAGGGCCTTGAGTCCAGGAATGAAGGCAGCCTATGGAAACTGGAAAAGGTAAGGAAACAGATTCTCCTCTAGAGCCTTCAGAAAGGAACTCAGCCCTGATAACACCTTCATTTCAGCCCCGTGCAACCCTTGGCAGACTTCTGATCTGCAGGCTGGAGATAACACGTTAGTGTTGTTTTAAGCCACCATGTTTATTGTAATTTGTTACAGCAGTGATAGAAAATAAAATACATTTAGTGTCTATCAGAAACACTTGGAAGGCTTATTACAATATAGATTGTTTTCCCCAAGTTTGTGACTCAGTAGATCTTGGGCGGGGCCTGAAAATAGGCCTTTCTTTCTCAGGAGAAACTGACGCTGCTGGACTGGGGACCACACTTGGAGAATCCCTGCTTTATCTCCTTTAAGGCCTAAACTGTGGCAGGTCACTCAGCTTCTGAAGTGTTCCATGTTATTTATTTAACAATACTTTGTATCCTTTGGCTTGAGAAATTTAAAAGTGAAAAGAGGACTTGAAGGGATGGGTGTTAGAAAGCAATTAGTACCCTAAGCGTGCACAGAGAAGTTTGTAAAAGTCATTCTTATTCCCTGTAGCACACAAATGGGGATGGGCTCATGTCAGAGAGATCAGCAGCGGCCCATTCAAGAATGTAATTAGAGATAACAGCATCTGAGTGTGTTATGTTTTCCATGGTATGGAGCTGGATCCAATGGTTCTCATCACTCAGCATGGCAGTAATCCTTGGCATGGAGCTAAATGGAACAGTGACTTCAGAATGACAACATTGATCTTGATTTTAAACTGAGCTCAGGAATTTTTGTGTTCTCAGGTTTCACTGCATGCCTGGTATTGCACAAATTCTTCAGGTTCTTTTGCTCTAAATAGGCCTTTTTAAGCTCAAAATCAGTTCTGTATGCTGAATGGACTCTCTGACTCAAGGCCAGGCACAACAGCAGGTTCACAATAGATTTTGTATTCTTGCTGGGCCTCCTCAACATCACTTTGCAAGTAGTAGCTTTGGAAGAATATACAATGGTACTCTGTATTATTTTTCAAAGCACATTCATGTCTTTCATCTCATCCTAGCTGTCACAGATATTAATGACAAAGCCAGGAAGAGAATCCAGGTTTCCTGGATCTTAGACTCATGTTCTATCTGCTTTGTGCTCCTGAAACACTTTTACGTCAGTCTCTAGATCAATGCCCAGAATGTTGTTCCATCTATAGGCGAAACATAGCCTGTGGGGTAGGGGGGGAGAAAGAAAGAGAGAAATAGAGAGAGACAGACAGAGATAGAGACAGGGAAGGAAAGAGAGAGAGAAACCGACAGAGACAGAGACAGAGGCAGAGAGAGGAAGAAAGAACAAAAAAGTGAAGAAGATGAAGGTAACCCCCAAACAGGGAAGGATAAGCAAAGGAGGAAAAGAGAAAGAAAGAAGAAAGAAAATAGACGCTGAACCCCCTAAAGGACCACTGGGAGCCATAACCTTCCATGTCCGTGAATAGGAATAATAATCTAGTTTCCTTGGGATGGTGACAAAAACACCATCATAACCCCGAGAGAAGCGGTGGGTGTCACAGTGATTAATTACAGATAACAGTTGTCACTTCCTTTTCCCTTGTCTCCTTGCCCTGCCCTTCAGTGATGGCTGAGCTTCTGTTGCCTCCTCCCCACTTTCTTCTCCCTCACTGCTGGGGTCTGAGAGAGCTGTGTAGAGAGGTTACCTGCCTGCAGGTCACCTTGTGCTGTTCACAGGCTGATCTCAGGGTCCTCATGGGGCAAAGTGAGGACTGGACAATGACACGGACATGCTGCCTATCGCTTGGCTCCAGTCCCATGCTGTTAGCATCACAGAGCACCCAGAGTGATTTCTGGAACAGAAACTGGACAAACAACCCTTGCCGTTCTTTTTAGGTTTCATCTTGACTACTATAATATTTAGATCATGAAACCTTTTGACAGTGAATGAGAGTCAGTGTAACACTGCTCAAAATGGTGAAATATTTTGAGAATCTAGAATGGAAACACAATATCCCTTATGTAAGTATGCTTCAACAACTGTCAGTATGACCGGGTTAGGGGATGGGGAGATGGCAAAGAGGAAATGCCTGTCAAATGTTAGAGGATGTGCTGGGTTTTGTGTTGACTCTTAGTATCCAGAACCATCTCACTTTGTTCAAGGATCTCTTTCTTATTCCTCATCTGTATTCTCTCATCCTATTCTCTTACCTACATAGGAGTTTCTTGAGTAGTCAGGATCCTGGCATAGCACCTGGCACACTGCAGGTGCTTAATGAATGAGTAGGGGGATACTGGAGACAGAGAGGCACTGCTTGTGGGAAGAGCTCAGGCAGAGATTGCTGGATCTGTCATTTGGCAGGGGTGTGGGAGTCATGCATCAGACAGATGGTTAGGCTCCATGATTCTACCATTCCTCCAAACCCTGAGAGTTCACAGTTCTTATGTATTTAGAAAAGTTCAGAAATGCCAATATCTGCATCTGAAAGTGTGATGGTTAATACCGAGTGTCAACTTGATTGGATTGAAGGATACAAAGTATTGTTCCTCAGTGTGTCTGTGAAGGTGTTGCCAAAGGAGATTAAAATTTGTGTTAGTGGATGGGGAAAGGCAGCTCCACCCTCAATCTGGGTGGGCACCATCTAATCAGCTGCCAGCATGGCCAGAATAAAAGCAGGTGGGATGCTATGAACAAGCCGTAAGCCTGCCATAAACAGGCCTTAAAGAAACTGGCCATAAACAGGATTTCTGCAGCAATGTGACATGTTCATGATGGCTATCATGCACACTGCTGAAAGTTGTTGGTTTACTGGAGCAGGGCAAGGAAAACCTGGCCCGCCTGGAGTGGAAAACTGCTCAAACCACAAACAATAGCAGGAGTGGCCTGTGCCTCAACAACATGCTTTTGCTGCAGATAATCAGCCAGAGCCTGTTTCTCTACTCCTCGCTAAGAATGCTTTGTTTCCCGTAAGGAAAGCTTTTAGCTAATCTATAATCTATAGAAACTATGCTTATCATTGGCTGTCAGTAAATATGTGGGTCAGACTCTGTTTGTGGCTTTCAGCTCTGAAGGCTGTCAGCTCCCTGATCCCACTCTGCACTCTATTTCTGTGTCTGTCTTTAATTCTTCTAGTGCTGCTGGGTTAGGGTCTTCACGACCGAACTGGTCTCGGCAGTGGAAGAACATGGAAACACTAGGCTGACTTAGTCTCCCAGCCTACATCTTTCTCCCATGCTGGACGCTGCCTGCCCTCAAACATCAGACTGCAAGTTCTTCAGCTTTTGGACTCTTGGACTTACACCAGTGATTTGCCAGGAGCTCTCAGGCCTTCAGCAACAGACTGAAGGCTGTGCTGTCGGCTTCCCTACTTTTGAGGTTTTGGGACTCAGACTGGCTTCCTGGCTCTTCAGCTTGCAGATGGCCTATTGTGGGACTTCACCTTGTGATCATGTGAGTCAATACTCCTAATAAACTCCCCTTCATGTATACATCTATCCTATTAGTTCTGTCCCCCTAGAGAACCCCGACTAATACAGAAAGGATTGTATTAAAGTTTTACGGTGTATTTTTGTCAGAGGTTTATAAATAGCACCATAATTTGTCTTTAGCGCAAGTTCCAAGTTTTTAATATTTTCATTTATTATATTCCATTTCTGTAGCAGAATTGGAAACCAAGAGTCTGAGGACCCTTACTATTGTCATGCTATATTATTTTACAAATTGAAAGGGTATGTTTTTAGAATTGCAAAAGAAAGTTAACTACTTCAAATGGAGCAAATATCAGCAAAACATAAATTGCCTCTGCCCAAGGAAAGTAGTAAAAAGGATCAAAACTCGGGTCTTTCAAATATTTCCATAAAACCATCCATCAATCTAGAAGCTCTGAGAGAGCACACAAGGCTTAATAAATGGTTTCCCATGGTGATAATGTTTGGTTGTAAAAAAAAAAAAAATAGCTCGAAGTTCTATAGCTGAAGGAAAGAGAAAGAAAAGGAACAAATATCATAATTATGAAATTTTTCATAAAAATTGAAAAATATTTTACCTGTAACAACTATAAGCAAGCTTCACATAAAACAAAACAAGCTTCATGTAAAACAAAAAACTAAGCCTCCATTGTCACCAATCCCTGCAAGATTTGCCAGGCTTTATGTTCTTAAGGAAAAGAATGAGGAACTTGATAAGAAGTTTCCCAGCATGGTGCAGAAACTTGATTCATACCAAACCAAAAACTGCCCCGAATTGTCCAGGAATTTCGGTTATCTATTATAGTTGCTGAGGGGATGGAGGCTTGAATCTGTGCAGAAATATTATTTACATGAATGTTTGGGAAAGGAAGTTCCCAAAGGAAAACGGTAACATTCCACCTAAGAAATTATACAGTCTCAGGCTTTGGCCAGTCATTGCAGGAGTAGGCTTCTTTCATATTTGATAGCATTTTATATCAACCCATAGATGATTTGCGGATCATATATGGGGAGGTGAGTCTTCACAAAGGAGGGATAAAGCTGCCATCTCCTGAACCCACTGATCAGTTTTTGTCTCACTAAAAGTGAGAGAATAAGACATTATGGCTCCAATGTATGAGGACATTGCATCATTTATCAGGTATTCTTCCCAAAAAGTTAGAATGCAAACTTAAGCATTTAGATCTAACTTCCAGTTTATAGGAAGCACAGTGGATAGAAGATCTGTTGCAACAACACCATGAGGAAGTCAGTAGAGAAATTCAGAATGTGAGAACTTCTATAACATATCTGACATCTCTCAACAGGTCAATGGTAGGAAAAAATAGCATGTGTGCTGATAGGGCAGAGACTGTTGAAGATCAGGAGACCAAGGACATGGGGCAAACAACGTGTGGACCTTATATTTAGATCCTGATGAAAACAAACCAACATTGGGGAAATAGTTGGGGAAATTAGAATATTAGATGATATTAAGGAATTACTGTTACATTTTTTAGGTGTTATGCTAGCATAGTGGTTATGTAAGAAACTGACCTTAATTTTTAGAAAGATGTACTGAACTATTAGGGTAAAATGGCCTTTAAAATACCTCAAAAGGTTTTCATGTGCTTATAAGTGTCAATAATTCCTTAATGCCTTCATAAGTTGGTTTGAATTACATTTTCTTAACAGTATGCTTGAATGTTGATAGTGTTTGTCTAGTAGAGAGAGAGGGGAGAATTTCTGGAGTCATGTCTCTGAGCAGGCAGGAAGAGCTGTGATCTAGCACAGGGCCAGCTACTCAGAGCGGTCCAGGGACCCTTGCCAGCCTGTAAATTGCTTGCTACTGGTCCTCGAGAAGATAAATATGAAAGTTGAGAGTACACATTTAGAAACTTTTATAGAAATTCAACAGAGTCATTTTATGCCCATTGAATCTAATAATTTTAAAATGTGGCTTAAAATGGGGTTTTCCTGTTATCCATAACAGAAAGATTCATAAGTGACATGATATCTCATATTTTACCATCTCTATTTGCTGGGCTTCTTAGCCTGGATTCTTGGGTGTGCTTCATGGGGTCTGTGAACCTCTTGAAATTGCATGCCAAATGGAATTGCAGACAGATACTCTCACACCCACATTCATGCCCTCACACACATTTGCCAACAGCTGTCATCAGATTCTTGTAGAGGTCCACAACACCCAAAATGATAAAGAAGCCTTTCCCTAGAGTTGCCTTAGAGTAATCCTCCCCACACTGCTTAGGGTTGCCTGTGTAGACGCTTTAATTTTTTCCAGATTTTAAACGTCTCAAATGCTAATTCCTAGCTCTACGCCCCTCTACAGGTCTTTCGTTGGCCGCTCTCCTCATCACTTTGCCAAAAGGCAGCTCTGAAAACACACACTATGGGCCAACCAAGCTTCCACCAGGACAGACAAGCTCCCTTCCACCCAAATTGGTTAAGGGGGTGGAGGGTGCAGGCCACTTTCTCAAGCCTCCGGCACTAAGTGCTGAGTTATTGCCCATCTCAGCTCTACCAGGTTGGCAGCCTCCATTTGCACAATCTTTTTTGGCTTAGCTACTCACCACACGATGCACTGTTTAAACAAATTCCAGAAAGCACATCAATTATTACTAATGAATTCCAAATCAAATCATCCAGAACTACAAAGGGCCGCCAGATGTTTCAGGCAAGGAGAAAAGATGGGATGGGAGGCGTGGGGAGAGGAAGGATTCTTTCCCACCACTCTGTTAACTTGAATCTGAAAGCCATAATTTATCAGGCACCCATTATAAAGAGGCATCACATACATCTGAAAATATTTTTTGGAGATTGTTCTGATGTTAATTTCATTGTGGGATATTACTTTATATTGGTATCATACCTAAAAAAACTTTTCAGACCTCTTTTACACAGACATATCTCACTTTGTCCTTAACAGTGTCTGAGTGAAGATGCAAAGGCTGTGACTGTTTCTCATTGTTTCAGATGAGTAGGCTAAGGCACAATGAGACACATAGGGTTTTTTTGTTTTGTTTTATTTTAATAGTAGGGAGGGCTATGTTTAGAAACCAGGTGTTCTGAAGTTCTGGTTGGACACTGTCATTCCCAAACAACCAGTGAGCCACTAGAAAGAAAAAAATCTTTCCAAGGAGTAATGTCACAAGGGCCCATAGGAAAACCACAGATGTGTTTTAAAGGATGTATGTTAATGAGCTATAACCAGGGCCAGAAAACAAATCTGCAGTGGTGAGCCTAAGTGAGGAAGTGAGAAAGCTGGGATGGCCATGGCAGGTGACAGTCCCCCATGGCTGGGATCTCTGGTAGGGAGTCAGGGGCAGAGGCTCTTTAGGCAGTGGGATACCACCTTTTGCAAAGGTACGCAAAAGTTTTCAGTGGTAAATCACAGCAGACTGGCCCTTCTCTGAGCTTCTGACTCCTCCTGGAACCTTGTTCCATTACCAAGCAGAATTAAAGACCTCCAGAGGACTCATGTCTAAAACAGAACCCCTTCAAAAGGCTGGGGGTCAGCGTTATCAAAATATAGATGACTTACAAAGTGATGATTTTGGACTTGGAAGTGAGAAGGAGGGAATCGTGGCATAGGAGGCCAGGAAGGGACCTGAACATACGTGATCCAACATGTTCATCTCTCAGGTAAGGGACCTGGGGCCCAGGTAAGGGCAAGCCATTTGCCAGGGGTACACCCCTTTTCTTTAGAGATGGAGTGAACATATGTTAATGAATTGCTTCCTTCTACTTATCCTCATCTTTGTGCTCCTTGCAAATATTCACAGGTTTCCAGTAGGTTTAAATATTTAAAACTTGTGCTCTGAAATGTTAGAATGAGTAAGAATTAAGTGCTGGCTTTTGTCTCTCCTACCATACCTTTGATCAAGAAGTCAAATTTTCTTTAGAGGTAGATTTCTAGTATTTTTAAATAAGAACACATGTTAAATATCTCAAAAAAAAGGCCTTCATGTAGCAAAAAGTCTTAGTGGCTACACTTCTGTTGATACTGTGTGAAGACTGCTGAAGAAGGCTGGAGTTTTGTTTGTGAGTGCATTGCATGCTGCATTCCAGCCCTACAATACATTTGATTTATAAACTCTAAAAATAAGACATACTTTAGAAAAAGATGTGGGCTTGGTCAGAGTAAAAGTAATGGAATAAACAATTTCTTGCAATCACTAACATTCCAAAACCATTTTCAAGAGTGATTATCAAGCCAAGAACTACAAAAACACTTTAATTTACAAATCAATGCAAAATAAAAAAGCTTTACTTACTGACTCAAGAAATATTGTTTGTTTTTCAACTCTAGGATCAAAAGTATATAAGCATGCATAATAAAGAAATGTTAAGTGTTTAACATCTAGGCTATTTTAAATTTTAAGAATAAAAAAATTCAAAATATATAAATATTCTTGGGTGTGCTTCATGGGGTCTGTGAACCTCTTGAAATTGCATGCCAAATGGAATTGCAGACAGATACTCACGCACACACATTCATGCCCTCACATATTTGTGTGAGAATGTGTGAGAGAAAGTGTATGTCTCCATCAAGTTCTCTTCTGACAAATACCACAACCATCCTTTTCTCTACTGAAGCCACTGGCCAAGCGCCATGCTTGAGGTAACCAAAACCCAATATTTCTTTAGAGTTATAAAGAAATAACTTGAAGGACTGCCCAACCCCCTTGAGAAACAGAAGTGCTGAGCAAAGGCACCAACTAGGCATTGTGAGCCATCACAACTTTGTGTTTGAGATCTACTTTCCAATGGAGTAGTCATTCAATAGATATGTATTGTTAGCCACCCACCAGGAGCTGGATTTCACTGATAAGTAAGATACAGTCCCTGTCTTACAGGAGGTTCTAGCTCTGGAGAGGAGATGGATAAACGGACTGTACAGCCTCACATTGTAATGCACCGGGACGAAGAAATAATAGTAATAACGGCTAACATTTATGAAATGCTTGCTGAGGGTGTGGCGTTGGGCTGATAATGTACGTGGTGCTGAGAGAGCATGGGGAAGGGATGGGAGTAGTCAGGAAGAGAGAACACTTTGTTATATATGAAAACAAAAGCAGGCTGCCCACACACACACACCACACACAAGATGACACACGATGGAAGAAATGTGGCAGGAGAAAGGCCACAGGCAGGCTGATGGAACGTTGCTTTATTTTCATTACCTCATAAAACCTGAAGTGACAGATACCTGGAAGCCTGTGTCCCTCAGCCCACCCCTGAGCCTCACTCAGTTTCATCCACTCTCTGGCACTCAAGGAAGTCAGGAGCAGACCAAAATGCCGTCGGTTAAACAATAAAGCCGAGAGTTTATTGAATGCCCTTTTTCCACCTCAGCGAAATATTCCTGGCTTTGCATTACAATGGATGTTAAAGCCGTCTCATGGCTTTGAAGTCTGCAGAGGTGGCTCTGAATCCTGTCTAAGCCCTCTGAAGGGTTGAGTATAGGACCCTGGATACATACATCATCTAACTGAGCCTCAGTTTCTTCCTCTGGGAAGTCAGACTGCGAGGGCTTCACTTCCAGGGCTGCCGCAGGGATTCAATGAGCTACGAGAAAAGCACAGTACCTGACACACAATAGTTAAGGTCAGCAGCTCTTACTGCTGTTATTCAGTCACCCTAGCCTCTAGGTGACAGCCCAAAGCCTTGGCACCTGGAACTCAGACCCAGACCCAGATTCCTGCATTCGCCTGTGAGTGCGCACATGTTTGTGCATTCGTGTGTGTGTGTGTCCTGGGCATGGAGTATAAGAAAAGGGAAACGATGGATCAGTCTATAGCAGGGTTTACCAACCTTAGCACGATTGGCATTCTGAACTAGATAATTTTTTGTTGTGGGCGACTGTCTTCTTTTTTATTGGATTTTAAACTAATTTTCATTTAAAATTGTAGTATATAAGCATGCATAATAAAAAATGTTAAGTGTTTAATATTTAGGCTATTTTAAATTTTAAGAATAAAAAAATTCAAAATATATAAATATTCAGAGAAAGTGTGTATCTCCATCAAGTTCTCCTCTGACAAACACCACAACTCTCCTCCTCTCTGCTGAAGCCACTGGCCAAGCACTATGCTTGAAGTAACCAAAACCCAGTGTTTCTTCAGAGTTGTGACTTTGAAGGGCTGCCCAACACTCTTGAGAAACAGAAGTGCTGAGCATTGCAGGGTGTTCAGCAGCACCCCTGTCCTCTACCCACTATATGCTAGCAGTGCCCACACTCCCCTTAATCCCCCGCCAAGCTGTGACAACCAAAAATGTTTCCAGACCTTGTCAAATGTCCCCTGGGCAAAATCACCCCTGACTGAGAACCACTGCTCTATACATTGACATTTTACACCTCTTGTTGCCAACTAAATAAATCATGGGATTGGGGATGACTGAGCCCATGGGGATTAATGTTACATGAAAGGTTTCCAACATTCTGTATAGATAGCACCGTGGTCTTTTGCCCTACCTGTCGAACTAGAGTAAAACAAACAAACAAACAAACAAAAAACAAACCAAAAAACCTGCTTCTAAGGACAGACCTTGCCAATGTTACATGCAGCCTTTCACTCATGCTCTTACCTGCACAGCTCTCTTACTTTTTGAGGTCAAAATGCTGTTTCCAAAACAATCTCCCCCTCAGGTTTTCTGACCCACCACAACTCCTTTCTGCCTCCCAAGTCAGCTCCCTCCTCTGCACTTGTGTGCCAGGACACCGTGGCAATCTCATCCCATGCACCTCGCTGGGCTCCTGTTTCTCATTTTGTCTAAGGGGACACCCTGTTGACCTCTTTCTTGTTCTTCTGGACGTCTGTGTTCCCCACCCCCCACCCCAGCTGAAGCAGCCTCCCACCTCCTTCCTGCCCATCACCCCATCTTTTCCTTACAGAACTTTTTCCAAACCCTACTCCACAGGGACATCTTTCCACACTCTCTGTCTGCTAATCTCTCTTCCCTCCAACAACTTTCCCATGAAGATATCTATCTACCCCTTGGTGGACAGATTCTGAGAAGAGCATCGTTTGACAACATGCCCAGGGGATTTTATTAAACGCATGGAAACACTTCACTGCTCTTGGCCGCCATTCTTGAGCTGCTTTCACACAGCAGTTGTGGTGAATTTCAAAGCTGTCTCTCATATTTATCTTGATCAAACATCTGTGTGTTCTATATCTACTGACAGTTGAAAAATGAATGCCTCTACAGTAGATGATTGGCTATTTACAAAGTCCACTGAACAATCAAACCTGTACCCTTGGGCAGTTCGTTCCTGTCTTGTTCTTGTTGATTTTGCTCTCTGATTCAAGTCAATTTTGTTTTCCAAACACCCCCCGCCCCTTTTTTTCTGGCATTTAGCTCTTCAGTTTATAACACTTTCTCCTATACTTCAGTTCTGGCTGTAGAGTTAGAAGTAATTTTTAGTGAGGGGAAAAGACTTAGAGTTAAGTGAATAAAGAGATGACAGTGGGTAGGGAAATAAAGGCTTTGGGGAATGTGCTGTATCTCATGTTCAGGACCCATTTATATTAAAACATATTAATGTTTTTAGGTTTATTTTTGCATTTCACTGAACCAATAGCATTAGCAAAGGCTACTTAGCATACTTTCAGGAAGAAGTTTGGGCATATGCTGTGCTTAATGAATCCAGTTACCAAAACTGTCTTCCTCAGTGTAATAAGAATGGCTTTTTCTTCTGTGTTAAAATATAGAATAGACTACTGAGCTTTTATGTTTTACAAAAATTTCCTGCTGTGCAGCTCTTGGTGTTCTGGTTTTCATTAAGTTTATCCAGTGATGCATCCATAAGCTGTGAGCATGTTCACCCATTTTCCTGATGAGAAACTAAACAGAGGCCATCACGGTGGCTCACACCAGTAATCCCAACCCTTTGGGAGGCCAAGGCAGGAGGATCATTTAAACCCCGGAGTTTGAAACCAGCCTGGGCAAAATAGCAAGACCCCGTCTCTATTAGAGAGAGAGAGAGAGAGAGAGAATGAACAGTACAGTCTGTGGGTTCTCTTGATTGAGATCTCGGTGTTAGCACTGATAAGACTAGCACTCCTATTCCTCACACCTTCTGCATCATTGATCCCATTCATTAGTAGAAACCCACAGTTTTTCACTGAAGTTTGTCCATTTCACCCCTACGGGTGCTTATTTTTGTCCACTTCTTTTCTATTTGCATAGGTAAATTTTTAAGACTCTCAGCATGCTTGTTGCTCTCCTGACCGCATTTCAGTTCTTCACATAGGAGCTCATCTTCCTGTCCTAATAGCTTTAAAGAAGCTGAAATATAAACTGACCTGAAAACTACCTTTTAGAGTTTATTAACAGGGCAGAAATTTTAGCTGAGGACTACCTCAGCCCACTCTTATTTTACCTACACTGATGCCTATCCAAACTGGGTTTAAATCCCTACTTCATTTTCTAACTGTGTGTTGGAGCTAGGTGTGTCAGTTCTTTCCTCTGTGAAAGGTATTTCATAGGCTTTTCATGAGGATTCGATGAATTAATAACAAAGCACTTCAAACAGTGCCTAGCACACAGTAAGAACTCAATAGATGTTAGCCCTATTATTATGGGAATTGTGATCAGAGAAGAGTATCAAAAGAAAGTCCTTAACATTTCTCTTGGAATGGAATCAGAATGAGAGCTCTAACAAGAACAAGGCAAGATACAGACCATTACCCTAAAAGTCAGAAAATACCAACTATGAATGGTTTTGTGAGGCAATAAACATCAATTTTAAAGTGAATTACCGGGCCGGGCGCAGTGGCTCATGCCCGTAATCCCAGCACTTTGGGAGGCCAAGGCGGGTGGATCACCTGAGGTCAGGAGTTTCAGACCAGCCTGGCCAACATGGTGAAACCCTGTCTCTACTAAAAATACAAAAATTAGCAGGGCATGCTGGCGGGTGCCTGTAATCCCGGCTGCTCGGGAGGCTGAGGCAGGAGAATTGCTTGAACCTGGGAGGCAGAGGTTGCAGTGAGCCAAGATTATGCCACTGCACTCCAGCCTGGGCAACAGAGTGAGACTCCATGTCAAATAAATAAATAGATAGATAGATAGATAGATAGATAGATAGATAGATAGATAAAAGATAAGGATAAAGTGAATTACTCAATTAAAAAATGGGCAAATGACTTGAATAGACATTTCTTTAAAGAAGATATACAAGTGGTCAGTGAGTACATGAAAAGATGCTTAACATCACTAGTCATTAAGGAAATGCAAATCAAGACCGTGTTAAGATACCACTACATACTCACTAGGAGAGCTATAATTTTTAAAGATGTGCACATTCACCACCTGGAAGCTGGGGCCATTTCACCCCGCAGTGCCCCCAGCCTGGTGTAAAAAACAAAGTGCACATTGCTGGTGGGAATGTAAAAAGACGCAGCTGTTGTAGAAAACAGTTTGGCAGTTCCTCAAAAATTTAAACATAGAACTACTATGTGATTGTATAATCCCATACCTAGGTATATACCCCAAAGAATGGAAAACAGGTATTCAAACACATACATGTGCACACATGTTTATAGCAGCGCTAGTCACAATAGCCAGAAGGTGAAAACAACCCAAATGTTCATCAGTGGATGGATAGAAAAATGAAATGTGGTACACCCATGCAATGGAGTACTATTCAGCCAAAAAAGGGACGAAATATGGATGTATACTACGACATGGATCAACCTTGAAAAAAACTACGCTAAGTGAAAGGAGCTAGATGCAACAAGTCACGTATCATATGATCCTATTTATATGAAATAACCAGGATGAGTTTATCCATGGGAACAGAACACAGCCTGGTGCTTGCCAGGCTCTGGGGAAAAGGAAGAATCAGGAATACCTGCTTAATAGACACAGGGTTTCCTTTTGAGGTGATGAGAATGTTTTGGAACTAGATGAAGGGGACGGTTGCACAACACTGTGAATGTACTAAATAGCACTATTGTCCAGTTTTTATTACTCCACTACAGCCCCCAACACTCTGGGGGTGACTAAATGTTGTTCATTTTCTTCATTATCCGTCCAGCTCAATGAAACCAAATTGCACTGAGTCTGGCTTTGATGCCAGCTGGCTGAATCATTCATATTAAAATGATTAATTTTATGTTATGTGAATTTCACCTCAATTAAAATACAAAGCAGAAGTGAATCACTCACTTGCCAGTGAGCATTTCATACTTCATTGAAATAGAAGGTATATTATCTAGGTATTCTCTTGGATATTTCAGTACACCTAAGAAAATTCTGAGGAAATACTTGCTTTAAAAAGCAAGAAATGCCAGACATGGTGGTTCATGCCTGTAGTCCCAACACTTTGGGAGGCTGAGGCTGGTGGATCGCCTGCTCAGGAGTTTGAGACCAGCCTGAGCAACATGGTGAAACCTCGTCTCTACAAAAAATACAACAATTAGCCAGGTGTGGTGGCATGCACCCTGTAGTCCCAGCTACTCAGGAGGCTGAGGTGGGAGAATCGCTTGAGCCCAGGAGGTGGACGTTGCAGTGAGCTAAGATGATTGTGCCACTGTACTCCAGCCTGGGCAACAGAGAGAGACCCTGTTTCAAAAAGCAGAGAGAAAGAAAGAAAGAAAAGAAAGAAAGAAAGAAAGAAAGAAAGAAAGAAAGAGAGAGAGAGAGAAAGAAAAGAAGGAAAGAAAGAAAAGAAGGAAAGAAAAAGAAAGAAAGGAAAGAAGGAAAGAAAAAGGAAGAAAGAAAGAAGAAAGAAAGAAAGAGAAAGAGAAAGAGGGAGGGAGGGAGGGAAGGAAGGAAAAAAGGAAGAAAGGAAGAAAGAAAGGAAGGAAAGAAAAGAAAGAAAGGAAGGAGAGAGAAAGGAAGAAGAAAGAGAAAGAAAGAAAAGAAAGAATGAAAGAACGAAATAGAGAATGAAAGAAAGAAAGAAAGAAAGGAAAAGAAAAGAAGAGAGAGAAAAAGAAATCCAAAACCCCAACAAAACTGGTAATGAACTCTGGACTTTAAATTGCGTTCGTGTGAAGGTGCATCCTCCACACCGTGGTAGAGTGTTTCCCTCTCACTGTTCAAGCCTCACTGCGTTTATGGCCTGGGCCTCTGTGGCTTGCCGGGCAGGTGGGCATGCCCTGCTCCCCAGTAATGCAGGTGCCATGAAACAGCTTGATTGGTGGAAGAGGGAAACCTAACCAGACAGGGGAAAACTGCTAATGTCAGTTTTAAAAAAAATAAGTGTCTCTGTTGTCAGAATCTTCCAACATGCTCTCAATGTACACATTGTAGCAGACACCTCTAGTGCTTTAATCCAGAAGGGTGACTAGTGGGGGAAATTTGAAGCCCCATAATGAGGCAGTAGATACAGGGGATGGTATTTATGAAAGTGGGGCTTTCTGCCCATTTCATACCAAATATGCCATCACTCCTCATGCCCCTGGCTACAGCCAGCCCGAATGGAATAGAACTGACCTCAGAACAATTGTTTGGCTATACCAAGTGCCGCTTTTTCACTGCCAGCATGGAACCCAGGAGAGCTCAGTGAAATCTGTGGTTTTAACCATATAAAGCCTGCCACTGCCTGCAGGCCACATATTTTCCAGGATGTCCCATCTCCAACTCTTGTGTCACTTCAGTTTAGCTACCCCTGTCCACATTGCCACTCCATGCTGCTT
Source organism: Homo sapiens (assembly GCF_000001405.40). Classification (NCBI taxonomy): domain Eukaryota; kingdom Metazoa; phylum Chordata; class Mammalia; order Primates; family Hominidae; genus Homo; species Homo sapiens. Next base: position 73,111,841 of record NC_000008.11, on the reverse strand, counting down.
CCAATTTCCTATGTCCTATCTTTGCTTGTTGTCCAGCTTTTATTATGCTGCTACAGCCCAAATACTCGAGTGGTGACTACATGTTCTTTTCTTCATTATTTGTCCAGCTCATGATACCAAATTACACAGAGTCTGGCTTTGATGTCAGTTGGCTGGCTTCTTTCCAGGTGTTAATTATTGAAGACCTTGTCTTACTATTTGATATTAATTACTTTGTGTGGGCTTCAGTGGAAAAAAATGGTCCAGGAATGGAATGTGACCTTAGAAAACAGGTCCAAATCCTGAATATTCTCCCCACAAGACAGGCTGCACAGTTTTTTAACCCTGAGAGGAATGATGCAGTGCATGCAGGTACCTTCAGAGAGGTCTTAAGACATTGGTAAACCTAAAGAAAAATGAGAAGAACAAAAAGAGGAGGATCAAGGAGAGTGGATGGGTGTGATGGGTGTGCAGGACACAGCAAGGCAAAGATACTAGAAGGATGGGAACTCAGGGAGCACCCCTGCTAGCCATCCTTGGGATTAAAATGGGCTACAAATGGTCACTTTCCATGTAGTTGCTCCTGGGAGACATAACAGTTAAGACTACAGACTTGGGAATCAGAGCAGTGTGGGTTTTAAGTCAAGCTTTTCCAGTTATGCAAGCAGTCTTCAGGCAAAGTGTCTCATCCCCTACGTTCCCAGTTTCCTCCTCTATAAAATGGGGATAAAATTGACTGCAGAATATCTTTATTATTATGAGACCCTCATTTCCCACCTCTCCTTTTATGAGCATCCCACTTTCATTTTACAAGAGGAAGATACAACCTATCTCTAATCTTACCATACTGCATTGTCCTGCATCTGACAAACCTCTGGGATGCCTAATAAAGGGACAATTTGGCAGATGGGTTTTTTTGTTTGTTGGTTTGTTTTGAGACGGAGTCTCGCTCTGTCACCCAGGCTGGAGTGCAGTGGTGCGATCTCGGCTCACTGCAACCTCTGCCTTCCACATTCAAGTGATTCGCCTGCCTCAGCCCCTTGAGTAGCTGGGAATACAGGTGTGGGCCACCACATCCGGCTAATTTTTTTATTTTTTTATTTTTTGTATTTTTAGTAGAGGCAGGGTCTCACAATGTTGGCCAGGCAAGTCTCAAACTCCCAACCTCAAGGGATCCCCCTACCTTGGCCTCCCAAAGTGCTAGGATTACAGGCATGAGCCCTTGTACTCAGCCTGGCAGATGGTTTTGATGCTGGTCTTGAGAAAGTGAGTGATTCTAATGATCAGGTAACATGTATTTTTGCAGTTCAGGTGGTTGCCAAATATTTGCTCTCAATACAATTGAAGGAAGTCCTTTTTGAGTTGTAAGCTGATTATTAAAAATAATTTTGATTATAGAATACTTAAATGATGTTCAAGAGGCTGAGGGGCTTTGCTATGACAAAACACCTTCCACTCTCGTAAATTTATACTAACTCTAGCTCATTGTGGCAATAAATATATATTTATCCATGGATACATGAATGAATTTTTTAAAATTCCAGCTAACTCATTAAGAGACATATTTCAAGACATACCCCCTCCAGCACCCTAGGGCATCTCACTACTGGGATCCCTTATTGACACTTCTACGAACTTAGGAGAAGCCCTTACTGCTGGCCCCCTTTCCTGGACATGCAGACTGACTGGTGGGTTTCCCCAATTTATAGACAATCTTCTATGGTTCTCCTTAGCATATTGACACTGCTCAGCTGAATTAATTAAAGGAAAAGGCCTATGTTTTTAGTGGAAATATACTGCATAAATGGCTTATTGAACAGTCAGAATTTAGTTGATCACAAACACAAAATAGTCCAATTTTTTTATTCAATCGTTGCTTTTTAAAGTACTCTGTCAAATCCCTCATCCACAACTTTCTGATCACTTGTGGCTTTTAAAAAGTAGGATCCTGTCTAACTTAAAATGAAGTCATATCCAATTTGGCAATTGACCTGTATTATTTTATTGAAACTTTCTCTCTCCCACTAAGTAGTTTATTAAGAAAAGCACATTTCAGGGCTCCTCCCACCCTCAGATGAGGCCACCAGTTCTCTAATGCAGTGGTCATCAAAATATTTGTTTATACTCCCCACCAAAGGAATGTTGAAAAACTTTGTATCCCCATACTTTAAAAAATGTGACAAATAAGTTTTTTTATTTTGATGCAAAAGCTGTAATTTTTATTGTATTGTAAATATTGGCACTTATAAATAACACTACTATAATTACTCTTAAATAAATCCACTATGCTACAGATATGGTAGTCATTTTATAACCACTGTCATGCATTTGTAATACATGGAAAAGTTCTCTCCTAACGGTGGGAAAGTTTGCAGTGCTTCTTTGCCTCCTTGGACTTGTATTTCCATTCCACTTCTCCCACAGAATTTTATCCTCTTATCTTGTTCTGCTTCAAAGTTTTTGCTAACCACCCTATCATAATTTCCTACAATAAAAATACCTCATGTAAATGTAAATGTTTTGATTTCCTATGTCTCTAAGACTGTAAGTATTTTTTTTTAAATGTATTCTGGAGTGAGTTATCAAGTGTTCTTAGGGCCAGGTAAGGTGGCTCATGCCTGTAATCCCAGCACTTGAGGAGGCTGAGGTGAGAGGATCACTTTAGGCCAGATCAACCTGTGCAGTATAGTGAGACCTCCGTCACTACAAAAAATTTTTTAAACTAGCTGGGCATGTGGTGAGTGCCTATAGTCCTGTCTACTTGGGAGGCTAATGTGGGAGGATTGCTTGAGGCTAGGAGTTGAAGGCTGCTATGAACTGTGATCATGCCACTGCACTCAGCCTGGGCAACAGAGAGAGACACCGTCTCTTAAAAAAAAAAAAAAAATTTTTAGGGCCGGGTGTAGTGGCTCATGCCTGTAAACCCAGCACTTTGGGAGGCCGAGGCAGGCAGATCACTTGAGGTCAGGAAGTTTTCGAGACCAGCCTGGCCAACATGGTGAAACCCTCTCTCTACTAAAAATACAAAAAATTAGCTAGGCATGGTGGCAGGAAACTATAATCGCAGCTACTCAGGAGGTGGAGGCAGGAGAATCGCTTGAACCCAGGAGGAGGTGGAGGTGGCAGTGAGCTGAGATCACGCCACTGCACTCCAGCCTGGCAACAGAGTGAGGCTCTGCCTCAAAATATACATATATATTTAAATTTTAAATAAATAATTATTAAACATGAAAAATAAAAGTTTGTTAGAAGTTTATTTTAGGCAGCCTCCAACTTTTCCCTCCAGTCCTGTCCCACCCATGGTGCTGGCAGGCACAGTGCAGCAAGTTCTGGGCAAGGAGCTTCTTTCTCTTTGGGAATGGAAGTGAATGGTGGCTGGTGTGGAGGAGCCCCCGATGTGGGCCAAAGAGCTGCACCTCAGTTCTTTCCCAGGTGGCTACCTTCTTCCACAGGCCGCTTGACTTCTTTTAGTCTCTGTTTCCTACCCTTGTAAACTGGGGTTAATATAACATGTGCCCTGTTTCCCTCAGAGTTGTAGAAAGCTTCACCCAATATAATGCAAAAGTGCTTTGTAAGCATTAAAAACAAAAATACCATTGTTAGTCAGTGTTTTGTGTAAGAGGGAAATGTCCTTTCTGAAATTTGGCATCAGAGGCCTGGAATTTACACTGCAGTTTTATCTGACCTGTTTGGTATTGCTTTAGCCTTATCTGTATCCAAGATATTAAAGTACATTTATTTTTCTAAAGAAAATTATAAGGATCTTAATGATCCTTGAGGTAATCTTAAAAATAAAATTAAAAGAATTCTTAATAATCCTAAATGATTCAGTGATCACTCGAGTGAGAAGTTAGCTCTGGGTCAGTCCCCAGCCAGGACCTGGAAACCAGGGAAGGTGTATTACCAGCTAGTCAACCAGGAGTGAAGTTGTGAATCATGGAATCACACAACCAGGCAGCTTCTGGTCTTAGGAGCTTCTCATTCAAGGCCCTTAGAGGAGAGGAAAGTTGGGAAGGGAGGGAGAGGAGAGAGGGAAGGAGGGAGAGAGGGAAAGAGGGAGAGAGGGAAGGAAAAAGAATGTCTTTCAAGAGTACACAGATATAAGGAAATAAGCAAGAGAGAGAAGAGGGGAAAAGAAAAACAGAAAAATGCAGCATGTGCAAAGTGCCCTCATCTTGATTCCATCAGTTAAATCCCTGGAGAGTAAACAAAGTGAGCCCTGCGCATCTGTAGTCCCAGCCCTGGGTGGGTCCCAGTGTGGAGGTGGAGGTGTGGCATGCTCTCCCCTGACAGATCCTACATCTCAGCTCCTCTTTGAAGTTGACCTGAAAGATCCTTTTTTCGGGTTTTCGATATTGCTGTGGCTATAATTTAAACTTGAAACAGGAACAAAGTGTTTTTGCTATTGAGTAACCCCTCTGTTAGAAGAGATTCTCCGCATGCAGATGGCTTCCCTCTGTTCTCCTCTTCCTGGTGGTGCATTTAGCCCCCACATTTCACACATCAAGTTTGGAAACACATTACTCTGCAGAACAAGACAACAAAACACACATCGGGACTGACTGTGGGGTCTAAACACTGACAGTACCTTTTCCCAAGCTTCTCTTTGTCCCTTCCGACCTTACTCTCTCCATTCCTGTCTCCTTTTCTTTTTCTTTTTCTTTTCTTCCTTTTTTTGGGGGGGCTTATTTTCTTTTCTTCCTTTCTTAAAAAAATTTCTTATAATGCTAATGCAGTAGTATTGTAAATATTATAAAACATTAAGAAAATACAAATAAGCAAAACCAAATCAAAATAAAAACATGAACTGCTTTATCCAAAGTTTCTCAGTTAACATTCTAGTAAAAATTCTTCCAGAATTTCCATCTACTTCTCTCTCTCTCTCCTTTCTGTCTTTCTCTTTCACTCTGTGTGTGTGTGTGTATGTGTATGTGTGTGTGTGTATGTGTAGGTAACTCTGCTAGAAATAAAGTGTCTTGAGGGTAACGACTTTCATTTTTCTCAATTTGACCCAGTTCTAAATAGAAGCTTCCTCTTGTTTTCTTCAGTAGAGATATTTAAGTTTTATCTACAAAGAGCTAACTCTTAGACCATGTAATCCAATGTGATTTTTAGGTCACAGTTACTTGAGAAGGTCAGTACTAAAGTTTTTGTTCCTGATGGTGACTTGGGGTTAAACTTTCAGGGGTGTGAATAGATGCTGAAATCAGAGCTATTTCTCTGAGCAGGCTTTTCTGATCTTGACCAATAAGGTGTGATTGAAAAGTGTGAAGTAAAGCAGACCCTCAACGAGTCCCTCATCAACTGCCCTCCTCCTCAGCTAACTCTGGCCCCTACACATTCCAAGAACCCATTGTTCTTTGTGCTACAGGAATTCTGGGAGGATTTGCAAATGGAAATGTGCCTGCTTGTAGATATCACACCAAAGCCTTGTCATTGGTGTGACGACATTGAAGGACACTGACTTGGATTAGATCATCAGTTCCTGGGAAAAGAAAAAGACCTTGACAAAGGTGTGGGTTGGGTTGGAGGAGAATTAGGGAGACTGCAGAGTTAAGGGAAGGGAAAAATGAGGAAAGATTCTGACATTATACAGTTCCTCCAATTTGATGAGTGTTCAATAGCAAGGACCAGAAACCCACTCAACTTAGTGCACACTCATACACACACACACAGAGAGGGAGGGAGGAAGGATTCCTGTAAAGATCCAATATTCTTAGAAGCTATGGGGACATGAAATAAAGTAGAGCCGGTCCTTGGCAGTTGGAAATTCAGAAAGAGTTCCTTTCTTCCTTCTCTGACTCTTTCTCTTCAGTTCCTCTATCCCCCAAGCAACACCTTCTAATCACTCACTTGGCACTTGGCCTAAAATGGTCTCAAGCTGTTATATTACAACAACCCTCTTCTAGTACCCACCACGGCTGAGAATTGTTTCTGTATCTTTTAATTCAAATTTACCAGAGTAGTGGCTCCCAAGACTGGCTTGTTATTTACATCAGTTGGGGCAATTTTTAAAGATCTAGATTTCTATGGTCTCACCCCTGAGGACTCAACCAGAATCTCCATGGAGAGAGAGTAGTAACCAGCACATCTCTGTCTTGGCAGACTCTGTCATAGCTGCTGGTTGGTTGCCCTTAGGTCAAGTGACCCTCCAAGGACACTGAGCTGTGGTTAGGGTGGAGGGGCTTCCAGAGGCACAGGGGGCCACTTTAGGGCTGTGGCTAGGGCAAACCCTTCAGTGCTCCCTTCAATTCCCTCTCTACTTGTCACTAGGGAGTTTTTAAAAAATATGTAGAAATCACATCATGCTCAGGCAGCTTCAAATCCTTTGATTGATTAGCGATCTTTTTAGATAAGGATCAAAATTCTTAATGTGGCTCACAGGGAGAGAAAGACGAGGGCAGGAACAGAGGGAAAAAAATAACTAGATAGAAGAAATAAGTTCTAGTGTTCTGTAGCACTCTAGGATGACTATAGTTAACAATAATATGCTATATAGTTTCAAACAGCTGGGAGGATATTGAATGTTCCCAACACAAAGAAATTATGTTTGAGATAATGGACATGCTACTTAGCTGGGTCTGATCACTATCCATTATATGTACTAAAACATCACCATGTACCCCACAGATATGTACAATTATTATTTGTCCACTTAAAAAATATAGCCGGGGTCAGAGGGAATATGGCTGAGGCAGGAGGATTGCTTGAGGCCAGGAATTTGAGACCAGCCTGGGCAACATAGAGAGACTCCATCTCTTAAAAAAGAAAAGGAATAAAATAAATAAATACAATTTAAAAAATAGAATGGGAAACATTAAAAGCAAAACTGGAGTCTGGAGATCTGAATGCTGGTTTGGATTCTGCGACATCTTGTCAGTCTTACAACTTCTCTGTCCTCAGCTTCTTCACTATAAAAGTATGTAGGTGGGCCAAGCATAGTGGCTTAGGCTTGTAATTCCAGCACTTTGGGAGGCCAAGGCAGGAAGATTGCTTAATCCCAGGAGTTCTAGACCAGCTTGGGCAACCTGTCTGTACAAAATATTTAAAAAATTAGTTAGGCATGGTGGTGCATGCCTGTAGTCCCAGCTACTCAGGAGGCTGAAGTGAGAGGATCACCTGAGCCCAGGAGTTCAAGATTGCAGTGAGCTACGATTGTGCCACCGCACTCCAGCCAGGGTGACGGAGCAAGACTCTATTAAAATATATATATATATATATTATATATATATAAAATATTTATCGATATAGATAAGATGATCTCTAACTCTCTCAGCTTTAATATTCTGACATTTCTTGGTCCTGTATCACAATTTTGGGGAAAGAAATCCATTCCAGGGCAAGGTAGGATTTGGCTGGTGCAACATGGGTCATGAATACATTCACCTCTTATTAATTAATGAAATGTAAAACTAAAAAATCAGTGGTAATAGAGGACTCTGTGTACAAGATCCTGACCAAACCTTGGCTTTATAGACAATAAACATGCAGACTTTTTCTGTCTTTTGATGACACAAATGATTTAAGTGAAAATCATCATTCTGAGACTATTCTTTCAAAAAGGATAATTCTAAAGCTGACTTGCCAGTGCATCCAGGTTTTAGCTTGGTGAGTATGTGGCAAATGATGAAATAATTCAGTCCTAAACAAACTGCAAGAATTGGTGCAAGCGGAAATGATGTGAAACTAACTACCAAGAGAAAATGAAAAGTTTCTATGGATGACTGGCCACATTGCAGCTCATAATAGTCATCTGTAGGGCAAATGAAATAGTGTGTCAACAATTCATTGGCTGGATGATTATAATGATACTTGTAAATTGATGAAGAGGCTTGAATTGCAATTTTTAAAGCAAGTTCAGAAATACTTCATTCATTTCCACCGAGCAATGTCCATGTCCCTGAGGTCAAAGACAGCATCCATCATTTTAGTGTACCCAAGTCCTTAACAAATTCAAACTAATCTACAGCAGTAGACTGAGGCCCGTGGTTGGATGAAAGACTGCTCAAAGACCCTTTCACCTGGTATCCCACTTGCACTTCCAAGCTGCCTCCCAGGCTTCCCGCAGTGTACTAAAATGCCTTTCTCTTCTAAAGGCCGGGCTTGGTTTCTTAGGCTCAACCTACTGAGAGATTTTATGTTCACCAAAAATGCTGTCCTTTATTGCATGGATAGGGACCGATGACTTCTGATACCTGATGCTTAATTAATCTCTGCATTTTGTGTGCTGTCATGTCATCTTACAAATACCATGATTACAAGGCTTGGAGCATTATGTCTGTCTGCCCTCTCATTATAGCAGACATCATGAGTCACTTCTGTATCTCCCACATCTACCACAGTGCTAGCACATAACTGGTTCACAATAAGTACTTAGAGAAAAAATTGTAATGATGTCTTGGGCGGAGTGACGTGGGTGAGAAGGGGAGAAGAGATAGCTACCATCTCATAAGGACTTTTTTTTTCCAAGTGTTTTTTTCCTAGGGATAGGGTCTTGCTCTGTCGCCAGTCTGGAGTGCAATGGCATGATCACGGCTCACTATAGCCTCAAACTCCTGGGCTTAGCCTCCTGAGTTGCTGGGACCAAGGTGCATGCCACCAGACCCATCTAATTTTTAAAAAATTATTATTATTATTATTTTTGGTAAAGACAGGGTCTTGTTATGTTGCCCAGGCTGGTCTTGAACTCCTGGGCTCAAGCAAACCTCCCGCCTCAGCCTCCCAAAGTTTTGGGATTATAGGCATGAGCCACTGTGCTCAGCCAGGAATTTTATTCCAATTTATTTTGTGCCACTTAAAATACTACACATTGACAATGTAAATATATCACAGTGCAATAGAATTTGAATATTAACGATTGAAACAGGAAAATGCTATGTGGGAAATATTTATCTTGAATGATGGTGCTTGAGAGAAAGAAAACAAACTGGTTTAAATAAAGGACAGTGAAGAAAAACCTTCTGAAGATAATGCATACCTCCTGAGTGATTTTAGGGGTTGCTCACACTCCACCCAGGTCTAGTTAAATTTCAAAGCACATGGCCTTCTTTTCCTAGGCATGCCCATTCTTATGTGTTCCCATTCTGTATGGGATAATTTGTAGGCTGATGGGGTAGGTAGAGAGCATGTAGAAGAGAGATTGAGAATAAAAGATTGCCTTGAGGGGTCTGAGCAAATTGGAAGAGAAAAGAAGAAGAGGAACAGTTATGGCTTGAACTGTGTCTCCCCCCACCACCAAATTCATATGTTGAAACACAGGGTGTTAAGCCCAGTATTTCAGCATGTGACCTTATGTGGAAACAAGTTTGTTGCAGATGTAATCAGTTAAGTTGAAATTTGGAAGGGCTTCGATCCAATATGACTGTTGTCTTCATAAAAAGGGAATATTTGGACATGGAGACACGTACACAGGAAGACTGCCATGTGAACATGAAGACAACCTTCTATAAGCCAAGGAGAGAAGCATGGAACAGATTCTTCCCTCACAGCCCTCGGAAGGAACCAACCCGCCAACATCTTGATCTCAGACTCCCTGTGCTACTGTGAGGCAGTCAATCTCTCTTTAAGTCACCCTGTTTGTGGTACTTCGCTATGGCAGCCCTAGCAAACTAATGCAGGAATGACAGAGAATGTGTGTGTACATGTCAAAGAATGATTTACTGAGACAGAACTAATTGAATCGTGGGCTGTGAAATAGCAGGTCTGAGGACAACAGCTAGTGCTAGACAGTTCAGAGGAGGAAAAAAGGTGAGAAGATATTGACTCTGTTCCTGGCACTAGCCTGCAGATGAGATGCTGATTGGAACAGCTCTCTGTAGGAGGAGGAGAGATGTTTGTACTCAGTGGGTCTTTCTGATTTGTCAGATATTTGAAAGCAGAGTGGCCACGTAGCCACAACACGGAAATTGCTGGACAGGCAGACTACTGCTAATCCGTGGCCCTGCATCCTCTGTGACTCTTGGAAGGCTGTAAAAGCAGGAATCTGTGGGAAATAATATTGGTGGCTATAATCTAGGTGGGTGCACATGTGTGCTGTGTGGTGTGTGGGCATGGAATTTAAACTTTTGCCACATCTGACATTGTATTTTAATGCAAACTCCTAAAGGGTTTGTAACTGTGGCTGTACCACTCTCTTGGCATAACATCCTATGCAAAGTTAGAAGATAGTTTTTCTTTGTGATAATAATTTTATCCTTTTAAGCTTGGTGAAAGGAGACATACTTTTGAAAGTTATATTTTTAAGCCAATAGTAAATGTACAAAGCCTGCATTTACATCTACTGAAATCTTTGAGACATGCTTCTGTTTATTTCTTAGAATATAAACATTTTAATATAAAAAACTTCAATATAAAAATGGAACCCAACAGTAACCAAGAAATAATAATGAGTGTTTTCAAAGCACTTTCACATATACCATTTTACTTGACCCTTACGAGATCCCTGTGGGATTGTCAAAGTAGATCTTGCTGTCCCTCCCTTACAGATGAAGAAAACAGACTTGTAGAGTTTAAGTAAATGCCCTAATCACACGGGTAGAGAGTAGCAAAAACAAAACTAGAACCTTGGCTAGTTTCAGTGGCTCATGTCTGTAATCCCAGTAAATTGGGAGGCCAAGGCTGGAGGATCACTTGAGCCCAGGAGTTCGAAACCACCCTGGGCAACATGGCAAAACCCTGACTCTACAAAAAATGCAAAAATTAGCTGGGTGTGGTGGCGCACATCTGTAGTCCCAGCTACTTGGGAAACAGGTGGAAGGATCCCTTGAGCCCGGGAGGTGGAGGTTGCAGTGAGCTGAGATCGTGCCACTGCACTCCAGCGAGGGCAACTGCACTTCAGCCTGGGCTACAGAGCGAGACCCTGTCTCAAATAAATAAATAAATAAATAAATAAATAAATAAATAAATAAACCTTTAGAACCTAGTTCTTTCCATCTCCAATTCAATATTCTTTATCATTAACTAAATATTTTAAAATTTAAGAAACAACAGAAAATAATACCACAAGGTTTAAGGTCTTAGGTTTTTTTAATTGTCTAACTATGCCCTATTTGTCATCAAGGTATTTATCATAAAAAGCCTATGAAATCTTAATAGAAATCCAATTGCTAAGTATGCAATTAGTTTTCTATGTAGAAAAAAAATGTGGACTCTGGAAATTGCAGAACTGGTTTGAATATCTCTAATTTGGGCACGTTATTTTACATCATCAAACTTCTATTTTTTTCAGCTGTGGAATATAAATGGTAACACCTGCCTTATAAGCTCCAACAAGATAAGATACATTAAATATTTAATATAGTTCCTGGTACTAAATAGGCCTTAATAAATGTATTGTGAATAAGAGAGTATTTGGAGGCTTAGTGTGCAAAGAACACGTTTTCCCTCAAGCAAATGTCTAGGATCAAGGTCAAAACCATAATATGCACCCATGAGCTGCATTCACACCCACACAGGGCTGCTGCTGGCCAGTGAGTGCACTTACTTCCCACTTACTTGTTAGAACTAAATGGGGTAGAACATTCCTCTCCCTCAAAGGGGCACATTTCTCTCTGGTTTGTCGTGTGGCAGGCTTCTTAGGACTCTCTGCCCTTCGCTGACACAAGGAGAGTTTTGCATGTAGGAAGAAAGAACAATTTGCTATAAAAATCTCTGCTGTGGATCAGAGAAGGCTATTTACTACAAAAGGAGCAAAATTAGATGACTTCTTTAATCTCATCCGATGATTTTCTCCTTTTCATTTTTGGAAGCACTCTTATAATCCCATTTTCTAGCAGCACAGGATTAACCTTGGCACTATCCGTAGTTTTGCCATCATAAACAATGTTTGCTGGGCGTGAGTGTTCTGGCTGAGCCTTTTTAATTTCAGAATTCCATTTTATCTGAACCCCTTACATATGGATGAATGCTGTGTAGTTTACAAAGTGTTTAATGTCACTTTGCCTACTGAATGCGTCCAGCTCTAAATTTTATTATTTTTTATTTATTTATTTTTGAGACAGAGTCTTGCTCGGTTTCCCAGGCTGGAGTGCAGTGGTGCAGTCTCAGCTCACTGCAACCTCCGCCTCCTGGGTTCAAGTGATTCTCCTGCCTAAGCCTCCCGAGTAGCTGGGATTACAGGTGTGCTCCACCACACCTGGCTAATTTGTGTATTTCTGGTAGAGACGGGGTTTCACCATGTTGGCCAGGCTGGTATCGAACTCCTGGCTTCAAGTGATCCACCTGCCTCAGCCTCCCGAAGTGCTGAGATTACAGGTGTGAGCCAATGTGCCCAGCCCAGCTCTATGTTTTAGTTCACGGAATTTTAGAGCTGGACAGATTCAGTAGGCATTGGCAGACATTTTCTATAAAGGCCAGGTAGTAAATATTTTAGGCTTTGCAGGTCTTACAGTTTCTGTCTGCTGCAACTACTCAGCTCTGCCCTTCTAGCATAAAAACAGCCATAGACAATATGGAAACAAATGGGCATGGTTATGTTCCAATAAAACTTTACTTATGGACATTGAAATTTGAATTTCATTTAAATTTCACATGACACAGAATAATATTCTTTTTTTGATTTTTGCCCATCATTTTAAAAAATGTAAAAAAAAATTAGCTTACAAGCCATAAAAATAGGCATAATTTGCCTACCCCTGAATTAGAAGCTTTTATTCATAGAATCAGTGTTGGATTTGTAGGAGATCTCATAGATCCTCTCAAAGCTTTTCTTTTTATAGCTGGGATTCTGGGCACAGAGAAATTCCATACTTTCCCTAAGGTCATACAGCTAGTGAGTTATGGACACAAAACTACAATATCCATCTCCTGATTCTTAAATCAAAATTTCTTTTTACCATGTAATTGGTTCAATAATCACCACGACTTATGCACATCCAGGAAAGCATCTACGATGAACTTGCAATTAACCTGTGGACATAAATGTCTGTCTCCAAATTAGCTGTACTTGGAGAGACTTTGCAAAGTCACTTCTGCAGTTGTGTTACTTGCATCCTACTATTAAGGTCAAAGAGATCACACGTGAGACCACTCTCTTGTGGCTTACACTGTTACTTAAATTGAATATTACAATTTTTGAGCTAACAGGGTTCTTGGAGATTTTCTTGGCTCCCATTATCAAATTATATAAGGGAAATTGAGGCCCAGAGAGTCTAAATGAACTGCCCCAGATCACTCATTGGCAGGATCAAAGCCAGGGCTTTAGATTCCCACTACAGAACTCTTCTGATTGCACCATGTAGCCTGACACACTAGTTAATGGAAAAAAAAAATTAGTCATCATTAAAGCATGTCTTTTGTGTTAAAGTCCAGGGCTAAAATACAATAATTATTAATTACCAGCTCATTTTTATGAAGGAGGAACTATACTAGACATGTATAAATTATATAATTAAATGCTTTTCTTATTTATCTCCATTTTTACAGATCAAGAAGCTGAGGCTTGAGTTTACAATAATTTATTTCATGTTGCTAGTGATAGAGCCACAGTTCAAATCTACTTTTCTCTTTAAAACTTGAGCTCTTTTCACTTTCCATATCCCCTCTGTTGAGTGCTTTTGTTTAAAGCCACGGAAACTGCAATTGAAAATGGCATAAATTATAAAAAGAATTTAACAGGGCAGAGGATTGAGAAGGGGGAAATTCAACTTCTAATGTCAAGCAAAGCCTCTGTGATTTCCTGGCTCTCTCTTCCCTGGCTTGTCGCCTAAGATCTCAGGCTGGCTTCACATGGCCAAACGCGTCCCCATTCTCCCCTAGTATGTGAAGAGATGAAACCAAGTCATCTATTGAACAAATGTCCCTGATCCCTGGGGCTCTGATTGGACCAGCCTCTGAGTGATGGGTTCATAGACTGAGAATAAGATTAACCCTCAAAGCTCATCCCTAGAACTAGGGGTGCAGTCTAATAATGGAGGGAAAAGGTGCTTCCTCTGGAAACGAAAATCTAAAAAGTCTGTTAGAAAAAGAAGGGAAAAATCGACTGAATTTATTTTTACCACTTCCATATCCAATTTACATTTTTTTCAGTGACAGGGTTATCAATTTTTCTCTTCTTTCCTCTGTCAATGAAAAAAATGTAAACTGGATATGGAAGTGGTAAAATAAATTCATTGACAGGGTCAAGGGCATAGAAATGGCAGCATAAACCTTAGTGGTGATGTATTTGACTGCTTTCTATAAGGTGATAGGAGAAGAATTACTCAAAGTGAGTTATGCATACCACCTTAAACAAGCATCTTTGGATACTTGTCTGCACATTTTGGCATTGTTAAATAAATGCAGGTACTAGCCTATACAGGCAGTACCTTTCCAAAAGTTATTGGAGCTTTCCTGGTGGCTGAATCTGCATTTTCCAGGGAGAATGTAAAGGGACGAATCCTGATCTTTATAATCCAAATTCAAAATCCTCCTTGTCTGCCCTGATCCAGTGTCAGTATCTCAGACATCCCTCCCCCTTCCCTTTAATGGTAACACTTATCACCACCTGCTGTGGTGACTGCTTACATGTCCAGCTCCTCCACTGGATTTTGATCTCCTTAGGGAAGAACCATTTTTACCCACGTTTGACCCTCAACGTGGAATGACATCACACCCTCAGGAAGAGAATGAATGCAACCATATGAACAGCGCTAGCTCTCCAGAGGGGGCTGGGCTTGAGCCCGTGGGACACTGCCCAGGTCATTTAGCTCCTTTTAACCTCCCCTTCAGCAAAACAAGTAAGTTAACAACAACTTCATAGGATTGCCAATAAAGCGTGTTATAAAATGTAAAATGATGAAAATGATATCTTGTTCCGTTTTTTCATTGGTTCAGGGATGCACATGCTTCCAAATTTAAACATCTCTGAAATTGAAATCTGTCCTACAATCACGTATAAGTATGCATCACAGTGTAATTGGCAGGCAGGGTTTTTTTTGTTTGTTTTTTGGTTTTTTTTTCTGTGTTAGTGTCAAATAAAATACTGGTGCATCTTATAAGCAAAAGTGGCTAATATCCAATGAAATATTCTCTCTCTCTCTATCCATGCAGTATTCTGCCTCTGACAAATGTCCCCAAACTGTGTAAGAATCAACTACCTTATTTGTCAACCTCAAAATATTCCCTCTACAGCCCTCATAGCATCCTGGTTGCTTTTAAAAACTTTTTATTCATCTTACACAGATAAAACGTAGGCTAGGCACGGTGGCTCATGCCTGTGATCTCAGCACACTGAGAGGCTGAGGCAGGCAGATCACTTGAGGTCAGGCGTTAGAGGCCAGCCTGGCCAACATGGTGAAATCCTGTCTCTACTAAAAATACAAAAATTAGCTGGGCCTGGTGGCACATGCCTATAATGCCAGCTACTCTGGAGGCTAAGGCACAAGAATAGCTTGAACCCAGGAGGTGGAGGATGCAGTGAGCTGAGGTCCAGCCACTGCACTCCAGCCTGGGTGACAGAGTGAGACTCTGTCTCAAAAAAAGAAAAAAAAAGTAAAATTTACATTTTAAATGTACCCAAACCTTTCTGGAAAGTATTTGTATTTTGATTTCCACATACACTATTATAGTTACAGAATTTAGTACAGTACTTAATCTTATTTGTCTTTACTTTCTATTCCAATCTTTCCCAACCCCTCATAAAAAGCTTTATGTAAGGGGAAGAACGTTGCGGTGTTTTGGAAAGAATAATTTCAGTTTTAGTCCTGTTTTGTCACTAATTAGCTACATATCTAATCTCTCTGTCATCTGCGAAATGAGGATGCTAATATTTTCCTAACAATTATGCAGCACCAAATGAGATCATATATGTGGATGTTTTCTTAAATTACTATATTCTGGCCAGGTGTGATGGCTCACACCTGTGATTTCAGTGCTTTGGGAAGCCAAGACAAGTGAATCGCTTGAGACCAAGAGTTTGAGACCAGCCTGGGCAACACAGCAAGACCTAGTGTCTCCAAAAAATAATTAGCTGGGTGTGGCAGCATGTGCCTGTAGTCCTAGCTACTTGGGAGGCTGAGGTGGGAGGATCGCTTGAGTCCAGGAGTTTGATGCTGCAGTGAGCTATGATTGTGCCAGCGCACTCCAGCCTGGGTGACACAGCAAGACCCTGTCTCAAATAAATAAATAAATAAATTACTATGTTCTAGAATGATGAATAGGTAGATCTCCATTCTCTCCCCACTCTCAGCCCCCCACCCCACCCCCATAATTTTACCAATCCTGGACAGCTTCCAAAGACAACACTTCAGAAGAAAGTGTGTCTTCTAAGGTGCATTTTATTACTTCCTATAGTCATCCACCTGATCACTGGGATGATTTCTGCTCTCCAAACATCTCCAGGGCAAGGAAAACAAAGCCACTAATTGTTACAGTTGACTGCATCCAGTTTCCAGTAAGGATGTGAACTCCATTGCTTTAAATGTCAGGGTCCTCTGACTTTGCCCATTCCTGCAGGAACTGCTTCCTTTGCTACAGCCTGCTACGGGAGGCTTTTCTTCATATTTTCAAGACAGTACAAGCTTTAACTTGAGATTGTTTCTTTTAATGTTACTTACCAGAGACAAACTCCTTTTTATCTGTGCTGTTAAAGTAGTAATCATTTGTGGTTTTCGTTTCCTTTCTTTTCTTTTTTTTTTTTAAGCGACAAAATCTTTTTGCTTTCCCCTATTTTGCACACAACCAAAACTGCACTTGTCTTTGCTTGGTTTAGGCTTAAATTATGGAGTGGGAGTGGGGTGGACATTAGGACATTAATAGATATTTAGTTCCCACTCACATCGCCTCGTCTCTGTGGGCCTCTCACAACAATCTGAAAAGATTTAGTGTTCTATGTTTGAGTTGAGGGCACTGAGATTTGTCAGAAATCATAGGATCAGAACTAGACCCAGATTTTGTAATTCTGGAAGCTAAATCTCATGAGCACAGACCCCCTAACTTTTTGTTTTCGATTTCCAATTTTGGTTTTGTCTATAAGGAAAAGGGCTGGTGGGGGTGGGGAGCGGGCTGAAAAGAACGGTATTTGAGCAGGCATTTGGCATTATACTTTTAATTCTCTTAAACCAGACCTCCTCTTCTCCTTTCTGTTATCACTTCATTTCATGTTTTATTCCTGAAAGCGAACTTGTCGGCGGATCATTTTCCTTTACATCTTTCTGGAACTGTTCCAGATTCTTATGGCATTACAAAAAAAGTATCTGCCTAAAGGCGTTCTATAAAGCAGACAGCCTTAGAGAAGGTGTGGGTATAAATTACATGAATGAGTTAATACAAAACTGCTAATAAAATCTGTGACATGGGAAAAGGCAGAGGGTATAATTTGCTGCAGTTATTTAGTTCCAGCTACAAAAACTAAAGATACACACCCACACCCACACACACATATATATAAATATATATGTATATGTTATTTCTTTAGACTACAAAAGTAAGAGAGACTTACCTAAAGACGGAAAAAAAATCTCAACGTTGAGAATTTGTTTGTATAAGCTCACAAAGAAAAAACTTCTTTTTGACTTTAGAGTGTGTTTTTCTTGGAAGATGAAATAAGATTACAGTCTCCACTGGTCAAACTTTGTG
Organism: Homo sapiens; assembly: GCF_000001405.40. Classification (NCBI taxonomy): domain Eukaryota; kingdom Metazoa; phylum Chordata; class Mammalia; order Primates; family Hominidae; genus Homo; species Homo sapiens. Next base: position 73,094,309 of record NC_000008.11, on the reverse strand, counting down.
GTTAGAGTTTATAAGATAAAATTCTTATAATGTATTAAATCTTCTTCATTTCACAATGTGTTTTGTATGGTTGATTACCGTATTGTTTCACTACTTTTGTAGTCAAGTTTTTCATTTCTACTTTTGTTAACTTTTCTCTCTGATGAATAAAGAAAATTCCTCTGTAAATCCTTATATGAGAAAGAAAGAAAGTCTATGAAATTAATTTGATTTCTTAGGTTCGCAGATGCAAAAAACGTTATATTCCTGGTTTCACATAAAAACCATATTAGGGTAAATGATTTAAGAACATAAAATGAAAATTCCAGCATAAATTTGGGTGAACAAAAAGAGTGGTGCAGAAAACGTAACACATTTGGAGAGAAAGGGAGAAGAAAATATATATATTAAAAGTTAGGCAAGCATTTTATTAAAGTGAAAGTTCTAAAATATCAGTACACAGAGTTTTTAGGGGGAGAAATTGGTTTATCAGAAAACAGAGCCCCGTTATTTTATTTATTCTTCCCACCATTCACAAATTGCCTCCTCGTGAAGCGAAGTGGCATTTTCCTGGGGCAGAAGAGTCCCATTATAAATGCAGCAGAAAGAAAGGATGCTTCTTTGGACTTATCTCCTAGCTTCTCTGCGGCCTGCGGGGACTGAGAGGGTGGGCGAGCTGGTGTCCACTTTGTATTTGAATGAGCTTTCCCGGGCGAAGGCGGGGTGGCCCGCGCAGAGTGCTGCTGAGACACGTTTGGTGCCCATCGAGTGCTCTTGGTCTCATGGCTTTAGAGTGAAAATGCCCGCTCGTTAATGTGTCCCCAGGCGTTAGAAGTACAGTTTAGAGCCAGGAAATGTGGCCTCCCCCGCCGGGCTCCTGGCTACGCCCCGGCACCCCACCCCGACCCCCGCCCCGCCAGCACCTGCTTTTCCGCTCCCGCGCCCCGGAGGTCCCCGGGCTGGAGCTGGGGCGCGAGCTGGCAGCGGGGAGTGGGTGGCGCCCGGACCGTCGATTGCGGGCCCGTCCCGGGAACTGCAGCGCCCTCCCCACCTGGGCAGGGCAGCCCCGCCACCCGCCCGGGCCTCGACGGGCGCGCCGCCAGGGCTGGGGAGGGGCGGCGCGGAGGGCGGGGGCCGGGCGCAGGGCAGGGCCCGGCTGTGCCTCGCCGGCCGCTCGGGCAGCTCCCGGGCCGCGGCCAGCCGAGGATCAGAGCGCTTGCCCCGGGGGTCTGTCGCGTCGCAGGCGCCGCCGGAGCCCTGGCCATGAGGACCCTGTGGATGGCGCTGTGCGCGCTGTCGCGGCTGTGGCCCGGGGCCCAGGCCGGCTGCGCCGAGGCCGGGCGCTGCTGTCCCGGCCGGGACCCCGCCTGCTTCGCCCGCGGCTGGAGGCTGGACAGGGTCTACGGGACGTGTTTCTGCGACCAAGCCTGTCGCTTCACCGGGGACTGCTGCTTCGACTACGACAGGGCGTGCCCAGGTGGGTGGTCAGGCCGAGAGTGGGGCGCCGGCCGTTAGCCTGCAACCAACGGGCACAGGGCAGGGCGCTGTGCCAAGGACCTCAGTCCCTGAGCCAGGTGTCCTCCAGACCCTTTATCCCCACCCATCCCCACCACCGCCATCCAGGTACGCCCGGCTCCGTTCATCCTAGGGTCTCCCAGTCCCCTGCTAGACATCGAAGTGTCCCCCCACCCCCAAGACAGACCAGAGCCCGGATGGAAGGGCTGGATCCCGCTGTTCTCCAGCGGGATGGAAGGGAGCCGAGAGACGAAATCTCCGACTCAGAAACTCCAGCTGGATAGGGCCACCTCTGGCCGGCAGAGATGGCACTGACAGATAAGGGGCATGCCCCTGGGCCAGGCTCCACCACCTTCATTCTGTCAACCCTCGGGGATCTTTGGGGCTGGTGAGGGGTGATGAGGGCAGGATTGTGTAATCTTCCCACTTTGTGCCAAGGGCGTGCTCTGGGAAGGTATTAATACTTTCTTCTGGAGAGCAAGGTCTTAAAAATCTGAAGATGTCCTCATCTCTGGACCCCAAAATGTAGAACAGCCTCTTTCTCCTAGGAGGTGTACAGTATGTTCTTGGAATTTAATTTTCTCTGTACAGCATGACAAGGATTTTATCTCGAGGTCCCTATTATGTTGTAATCTTGCTGGTTTTCCTTTAGGGTCAGTCTTTTTCAACTTTAAATTTCCCACAGTATCTCACAGTTCCTTGTCCCCGTAAGGGCTCAATAAAAGCTGGTTTAATTGAATTAAAAGATAAAGGAACAAATGATGAGTACAGCCTTGAGGAACAAGGTGTACCTGAGAGAAGCCAGCCATGGAAGTGGAAGTCGCCCTGCTCCTGTTAATCACATCATCCCCAAAGCCACACAGATATTAGGGTTCGAGCTGAAGGATCCCGACATGTGGGAGCCTCAGCATTTTCTGGGGCTATGCCATTCCCTGGGCAACCGGATACCCAGTGGCGGGGAGCACCCTCCTGCCTCTGTGCTGTTTGAAGAGGGCTTCAACCCGTGGCCAGGCCCGATGCTGAAAGAACACAGTTGAAAGCATTAAGATTTTTTGACCCTGGTTGAAAGCTAATGATTTACCTGTGAATATTGATATTATTTTTGATAAAGCTTTTTGATAAGCTTCTTTCCCTTTCTGGCTCTAAGTTCAGAGTATTTTACTACTAAAGTAAGATGGAAGAGTCAGCTATTTAGGAAATGCAGTGCCCTTGAGCCAGGTAACTCCAGCCCCTCCTCACAGCATCCTAAACTGTCGGCCTCATTTCCCTGCATAACTCAAGCAAAGCCTCTCTCTCATGAGGGGCTTGCATACATTTTAAAGGTAATTATGGAATTCCTGTGACCCAGCTAATGTCCCCTGATCTGTGGTAAGCGCAGGGATAGAGAAGTGACAAAGATGCAGTCTCTGCTCTCTAGGACTTTCTACTCTAGCTGGGCAACCTGTGCAAGCTCCTGTTCGACACACTTAGCACTGAAATAGTTGATCCAGGAGCTGACCTGGAAGGAAGCACTTAAAAGACCCAAGGAATTCAAGGAAGACTCACCTGAGGAAGTAATGGGCGAGCCTGGGCCTGGAGAATGAGGAAGAGGCCTGCTGGAGGAGAGAGAGGCAGGCTGTAGGAGGGAAGCCCAATGTCACAGTCCAGTAGTTACTGTGGGCATCACCTGCTTGTGCCAGGCCCTGTGCTAGGCCCTGAGGCCAAAATGGTGAACAGGACAGATGCTGGAGGCAGCCAGATCTGGAGAGATTCAGGCCCGTAAGAGGGATGAGGAGAGACAAGGAGAATGTCTTGAGAAGAACTTGCTTTCTAGTGAGACCTGACAGCGCTCCCAGGAATTGGAAAACCCTGTCTTTATTTGGTCAAAAAGAAATTGCTTATTTTCAGTCTAGGCGGTAGAATAGTGAGACAAAGAGCCTATGGTTTTGGAGTGGGGATTTAGTGGGTAAGTATGGAAGCGGTGACATGGCCTGCTGTCTTGTGAAGCTCTCAGAAATCACTGTAAGTGTGTGCCCCAGAGAAGAGCTGTGAGTGGGGGAAAAGGAGATGGTGTCAGATTGAATTTTAAAAGGAGCATATTCTGAAGCCCTCAATACCCTGTGGCAGAGTCAACAGAGGACCTTGCAGGCCTAGAAGGAAGCAGGTGGGGGACTGAAAAGCTCCGTGTTGAGAAATTCCCTGTGCCTGAAGTTTCTTGCGAAGGGAGGAGGAAAACAAAGACAATTGGAAGGTGGCCACTTGGTGGGACTGAGCCTGCCCCTCCGAGGGTGAGAGCAGAAGGCCCGGAGCCGAGAGGCCCAGCCTGCTCAGCCCTGGACCCATGCCACAACCATGCCGACTGTGGCTCCTGGGCAGGGCGGTCACCGCCTGCCTCCCGGGCTCAGAGCTGACCTGGCAGCTGGAAGCTGGTTCGGGGCAACTCCTGGAATGCAGCCTTCCCTCTCACAGATTCTAAGTCTCAAATATTTGTTTTTTATTTGTGATTTTTTTTAATCCCAGAAGTAACCCGAATGCCTCAATTTTGCCTCTAAAGTCAGAATCCTGGGTTCAGCCTTTACCCTGGTGCTGTTTGGCTTTGTGACTTTGGAGAAGTCACCCTCGTGGGGCCTAAAGTACCTCATTAAAGCGGAATGATACTGCCAGGCAGCAGTGACTCATGCCTATAATCCCAGCACAGTGGGAGGCCAAGGCAGATGGATTGCCTGAGCTCAGGAGTTTGAGACCAGCCTGGCCAACATGGCGAAACCCTATTTCTACTAAAAAGACAAAAATTAGCTGGGTGTGGTGGTGCCCTTGTAGTCCTAGCTACCCAGAAGGCTGAGGTGGGAGGATCACCTGAGCCCAGGAGGTAGAGACTACAGTGAGTTGTGGTTGTGACCATGCCACTGCACTTCAGCCTGGGCCACAGAGTAAGACCCTGTCTCAAAAAAAAGTAGGGGCAGGGGAGATGAAACCACTGTGTGGGACTGTGGAGTTGACAGAAGGAGGCTATGCCTGGCAAGCCCAGAGCACTGCACCTGGCATGTGGTAGACATTTAGGTAGCAAATGTACTGTTGGTTGGCTCTTAGCACTGGTCGACAGCGGAGAATATTTCATTTGATTAAATATTTACATCATAATTTTCTGACAACATATTGCTATAATTTGTATTCGTTAATATTAAATCATAAATACATTTTATTCAACTCACACCATGTGCCAGATACTTAATACTTTGTCTCATTTAATCCTCCCAACAATTTTTTTTTTTTTTTTGAGACGGAGTCTCATTCACTCTATCACCCAGGCTGGAGTACACTGGCGTGATCTTGGCTCATTGCAACCCCCGCCTACCAGGTTCAAGCGATTCTCCTGCCTCAGCTTCCTGAGTAGCTGGGATTACAGGCACCTGCCACCATGCCCGGCTAATTTTTTTGTAATTTAAGTAGAAACAAGTTTTCACCATGTTGGCCAGGCTGGTTTCAATCTCCTGACCTCAAGTGATCCACCTGCCTTGGCCTCCCAAAGTGTTAGGATTACAGGTGTGAGCTTACCATGCCCAGCCATCCTAACAATTGTTAAGAAAGGCAGGTCAGGTCCACAAACCCATATGACAATCCCAATCTAAAAAGTGCTAACATTTGAAAGCTTTTTCATAACTCATTTGGTGGCAAAAGTCTCACCTGACTTGCACTGATAGAAGGATATTGATCATCTTTGTTTATATTTTGCCTCAAAAATATTAATATATTTTGCAAGGATCTGCTCCAGACCCTGCTGAGTAGAGGGGGACACCCCAAATAAGGTACATAGACTGTATTCCCTTTCTAAGATCCAGGAAGTCCTGAGTACTGAGACTCAACTGCCTCAAGCATTTGGGAAAAGAACCTGGTGACCTATACTAGCATTTTTACAGACAGAACAGCTAAGGCTTTCCAAGGGTTTCCATTACTCAAGCTAACACCAATGAGCAGAGCTGAGATCTGAAGTGCCTGATTTCAGACTGCCAATTGCCACATATATTTGCCAATTTATGGCTATTACTTATTCCTAGATAAATCAGGTTTCAGCATCTTAGAACCCCCAGTTACTCTATACTCATAGAACCATTCTGCCTCTTAGACTCTCTTCTTCTCTCTTTTTTTTTCTTTTTGAGATGGGATCTGATTCTGTTGCCTAGGCTGGAGTGCAGTGGCGTGATCTCAGCTCATTGCAACCTCCACACTTCTGCTTCACAGGTTCAAGTCCATCTTCCCACCTCAGCTCCCGGAGTAGCTGGGACTGCAGACGTGTGCTGCCAAGCCTGGCTATTTTTTGTGGAGACGAAGTTTCCCCATGTTGCCCAAGCTGGTCTCCAATTCCTAGGCTCAAGCAATCTGCCTGCCTTGGCCTCCCAACATGCTGGGATTGTAGGTGTGAGCCAGGGTGCCTGGCCCTCTTTTCCTTCTTACCCATTATTTTACCTATTGTTGCTGCCTAAAGCCTTTTTTGACTGATATTACATTCAATGTGAATGGAAAATGTAACTGAGTCAGTGTAACTAAGCATGCTTTACTTCTATTCCTTCTGATTTTTTCATCTTGATAAATGCATTATTATTATTGTTATTATGTGGCTAAGAGATGAAATACTGGCATTTCTTTTTCTAAGTAAAAAGACTTTCTCAGGTAAAAACTAAAATGTTATTGAATCTATACAATTACTAAACTGTCAAAGACATCTGTTCTGGAATGATCTCAGGAAATCTCCTTATGACAATGGCATGAGTTTCAACACCAAGGGAGCATCACAGCTCCCTTCCCACCTCCTCTAAGAAAGGGATGGAAAATTCTCCACTGGCTGTGCCTTACCAGGGATGGGGAAAAGTAGAGTAGGGGAACAGATCCAAGTTTCCCTGCCCTGGAAGAACTTCTTGGAAAACTTGCTTATGAGGTGGATAACATCCCAATCTCTGATTCTCCAGCTGGGTTCCTAGAATTTGCATTTTCTAAGATCATAGAACAGTAGTTGCATTAGATCATTGATTGGCAGCTTAAGGAGAGGGTAATAATTAACCCAAGTGAAGCAGGACAAACATTGAATAGCCTATATGGGCTGGTGTCTTCTCCTAGATTTATGGAGAGTCTAGGAAACAAACTAGCCAAAGTCTGATGACATCATATCTGGAGGGAAAGAGGCACCATGCTTGAAAATATGGGCTCCAAACTCACCCAAAGGAAAGATGCCAGAGTCTACGATGATTTAGAGAGTTGAGGCTTTACAGGAACCAGAACAGTCTGAGAGACATCGCCTTTGGCTTTGAAGAAAAAAAACGAGCGGGGCCTGACTGGAGCCAGTATTCAAATGGACTTGACTTAGCAGAATTTGGCTGCGGCCCTGGGTGAGCAGTGAAGGAGGGTCAAGTTGTTAACACTTCACATTTCCTCCATACCAGGCGCTCTCCCAAGCACTTCACAGTTATTAACTTACTTGGATCCCTCAACCCGCTGATGTTAGTCCTCATTTTGGTCTCGTTTTACATACGAGGTAAGCAAGGCACAGACAGGTTGGGTAACTTGTCCAAAGTCACACCACTAATAACTGGTGTAGCGAGATTTGAACCCAGGTCATCCGGATCCAGAGGCCATACGTCAAAACATGATGTTTTTCTGCCTCAGAGAAATGAGGTCTTATGAGAAGCAGTGTGCTTTGCGGGGTAGGCCCCACATAAACACCAACAGAGTGAGCAAGGCTTCTCCCTCCATCTACTCAGGGCTCCTCGAGGGCAGAGTGTGTCTTGCCTGTCTGCATAAACTCCAATGGCTATCATGATGCTACTTAATAATGTTTGTCAAAAGAATGTGAGCAGTCGTCCCACCCATCCCCACCAGGTGATGTTATCCATGGCTTCAGACGGCACCGCCATCCAGGGTAGAGCCACATTTCCTCTATAAAAGATTTTCTTTCCTTAACTACAAAATATATGTTTGTTGCAGAAAATTTGGAAAATACAGAAATGCACAAAACAAGAAGGCAACTCACCTGGAAACCTGTTACCCAGAAAGAAAAAGTACTATTATCTTTTTTATTCATATCTTTTTTTCTCCTGGGTTACATAGTATATAAAATTCTATTTATCAAATGACACAGCCCATGTCATCTTGCTAGTACTTCAGGAACTAGCCAGTAAATGTCTCAAAAGGAAAAAAAACCCCTTTGGGGGCCAGATAACGTGGTTTCTGCAAGAGAGGGAGAAAAGTCTTGATCATTTTATTTGAGCTTTCTGAGGGAGTAATAGGCACTTGGGGAATGTAGTCTCATTTGGCTTTCAGAGAAGCTTTGACAAGGTTCTACGGAAAGAGGAATACACATGGAGAAAAAGAAAGGAAGATGATGGCCGGGCACGGTGGCTCATGCCTGTAATCCCAGCACTTCGGGAGGCCAAGGTGGAAGGATCACCTGAAGTCAGGAGTTCGAGACCAGCCTGACCAACATGGCAAAACCCCATCTCTACTAAAAATACAAAAAATTAGCCAGGCAGGGAGGTGCGCTCCTATAATCCCAGCTACTCGGGAGGCTGAAGCATGAGAATCTCTTGAACTCAGGAGGCGGAGGTTGCAGTGAGTCGAGATCACGCCATTGCACTCCAGCGTGGGTGACAGAGCAAGACTCCGTCTCCAAAAAAAAAAAGAAAAGGGAGATGATATATATTTAAATTTGTGTCACTATGAGGTGTGCATGTGTGGGTGTTGGGGGATAATAGGGCTGTTTTATTTTTCTTCCACAGAATGTGAAGAAACAATAGCTATGCATAAATGGGTACTGCTGTGGGTACGGTGTAAGAACATTTCCTTAGGAATGATTAGGACTATTTGAACTTAACGATGTGAGGGAGAAAGCACTTGTTTGTGGGTGGCCTTAAACTTTTAGATGGCAAAAAGCCAATAGGCAGGGCTAGATTACAAAGGAGAGTGCTTGAGTCTCTGTGATTAACCAAGGAGACACTGCTACATGAAAACAAGAACAAGGCCTCACCTCGAAGGAAAAATAGTCCAAACTCTCTTTATAAAATGAATGGCTCTGGCTGTCGGCTCATTTTGTTGTCTCTGTGTGCATGTATTTGACATCACCTAGAAAAGCATTTGAAAAAATATATATATTTTTAAATGACCCTTTGGTACCTAAAGGCTGAGAATAGGGTGTCTTGCTCTGGCTGGCACAACTCCTCGAGCTGCGAACAGACCTGGAGAAAGTCCAGTGGTAACTCCGAGATGAGAAGTGCCTAGAAAGATGGGTCCAAAAGCAGAAGACATGACCTTGGAGAGTCTGGCTGGGAGGAAAGGAGACCTCCCCAAACCATGAGTGGCACAGACCATGTCAGACCATGAGTGGCATAGAAAAGGTAAGCATGGATTTTTTTTTTTTTCACCATATTCTGAAATTCTTGAGTGAGGGAAATTTGGATCAAATGAAAGGAAATGCCATTTTGTGCCACAGATAATAAAAGTAAAGAAGCTTGTTACTTTCAAAATGTGGTCCTGGCAGGAGATATAAATAGATCAGAATGGATCTAAAGGACTTGTAGCTGCCAGGAGAAGCTTGGACCTACCTGATCTTAAGGCACAGAAAACAATGCTCCTTCTGATGGACACCCTTGGGGCCATTGCTGCCAGGAGAGCCCACACTCTGGGCCAGGCTAAGAATTCCCATGGGTTTGGCTGTGGGGGCTTCTGATTCACTCGTCTCCTTCCACCCCACTTCCTTCCTTTGCTGGAGCCTCCTTCAGCATTTTGGCTTCTAACTAATGATATGAGCAGATCAGAGTCTGTTTCAATGTAGAACATTATCTAGGGAGGAGGGGAAACATGCCCAATGCCATTTCATTCATTCATTCAATGAATATTATTAAGCACCTACCATGTGCCAAGCACCAGGAATGAAATAGAAAACTATCATGATCCTCAGGGGCATCAATAATAAACACAACAAATGAATAAGTAATTATGAATTATGGCAATGCTACAAGGTGAGGAACACCAAGCTCTGAGAGGAAATAAGTGTGTGTGTGTGTGTGTGTGTGTGTGTGTGTGTGTGTGTGTGTGTGTGTCTGTGTAGTGGGGCTAGGCGAAGACTAGAAAAAGCTGGCCAGAAAAAGACTCCCTGAAGAGGAAGTAGTTAGTCTGGGAGTTAAAGGGTGAGTGGGACCCAGCCATGCCCAGTGTAGGGAGAATATTCCCAGCAGAGTAAAAATGTGTACAACGGTCCCAGGGTGGGAAAGAGCTTGGTGTGTTCAAGGGGTAAAGAGGCCCATGTGGCTGAACTTGGAGCAGAGGTGGGCGGGGAAGTGCAGGTGGAAGTGGAAGGTCAGGCAGATGCCAGGTCACACAGGAACAGAACCTTGTAGGTCACAGCAGGGAGTTCAGATGTCAGATGAAATCCAAAGGAAATGAGGGAGTTTAAGTCATTTATACTTTTAAAAAATTAGTGATACATCTTTTAAAGTAATTGTACTTGGACGTGACTGGCTATCTCCATTAGGACTGTGAAAATGTGCTGCACTCTTGTGTGTGATTCATTACTGAGATATATAACTTATTCTCCTTTGGCTGTGGTAGGAATCTCTGATAACTGGAAAGGTCTTGAGAAAGGGGGACCAGTTGGTAAATGGGCAAGGACTTGATAATTTCTTGCACTCTGAATCTACATCCATTGTCTCACTCTCCAATGAGCTGAAAGCCAGGGGTGCCCCCCAGACCTTCAGCAGAGCTTTTAGCTTTTTTTATTTTCTGTCTGTGCTCTCTTCTGTCTCCCTCTCTGACTCTGTTCTCCACTCCTGTATGGTGCTTGAGATCACCTCACAAATAAATTACTTGCATTTAAATCCATGTCTCACAGGCTGCTTCTGGGGAGACCCAACCTGAATATTAGCTTGAGTTTAAACAAAGAAGAAAAGAAAACAGCAAGCTTACTGAGCTTCCTGGCACCCATTAAATCTAGGCTTTCTTCTCCTAAAAGGGGTGGATGATGTCATCAAATCCTAACTCTGAAGCAACTGAGAAGCTGTGACAAACTTGGAGTCAAAGGCCACCATGCCGCTCCTAGGTGCCACAGTCTATCGGCTCCATTAACAGCTGGTGAAACTCAAGTGAAGATTGAGAAGGTCAGATTGTAAAAAGAATATTTTGATATGCTGTGAATAGATGTGAGTTAGATAAGCTAGTGGGAAAGGGGACATGAATACTATTGGCATCGTCCAAAAGGAAATCTGTGTCAGGCAGCTGTAATAAATGACTTGAAATAAATCTGTCAGAGGTTTCCGTACTTCCCTTAACCTCCATGACCAAGATCTCTTGTGATCTATGATGGCTTGCAATCCAAATAATCAAAAGTTCACAAGCTAACCAACAATAGAATCTTTGGTGCAGTATAGGAATAAATACTTCTTAATTTATTTAATCTTCCGACGCAAAATATTTTGTGAAACACCTCTTTATTCCTATAATTCTGAGTGAGTGTTTTTTATTTTGTCTCATAATGAAGCTATTGAGATGTCATTGTTCTGGACCCTACAACTTTCTGATTCTCTTTATGGAGCTTTTAAAATCATGGATTGGAAAAACAGGATATAGTGTTTTGCTAAGGACAAACTTTAACGAATAGGAGCAACTTGATGCAATGATTGATTCTGTAATTTTGAGGACTTCAACTGTGAGACCAAACCGAATACAAGAAACAAATACTAGACAAGAGACACATATGACGATGGAATCCTGGGAGGCTAAGTTCAGTCAGAAAACCCTCCCCAGTGTCATCTTTTACCATAAGGACCAAGTCTAATTCAAGGCCATATTACTAAGTTCTGAGTTAATGCTATGGCAAAATTGTATTTTATAGTGATGTCCAAATGTTAATCTTTGAAACAAGTGCATTCTTTTTATGCAATATTAAGTGTTGTTCAAGCCCAACACCTCACAACAGGACTAGCTAGACTCAAGGCTGAAGGTGGAAGAAAAGAGGCATTGAAATAATGAAGGATAGAAGGAGTCCTTCTCAATCAGCTCGCAGCCTAGGAGATCTCTTTAAATGCTTTTTGGTTTGATGGGCCAATGAAATTATGAAATCAAGAAAATAAAAAGGGAAGGGCTAACAAGAGCCAACAAAAGCAGGAAGTGACCTGTTAGTGTTTTTCCAAAAGATGTATACATGGCAGATATTGGGAATGAACTGTAACGTGGCTTATTCTGGCTTCTTTAGGTAGTTGACATGTGATACCTGTGGGTATTTCATTGATGAATGAAAGCATGTTTTAAACTAGTATGGAAATTTTAAAATTACTGACATGTTTATGTTGCATGGGACCCTTTTTATGTCAGGGGTAGCTATGCACTGGCAAATCACATGTCCTCCAAAAACCGTGAATGCAGAAGTTCAAGTCAAGCTTTCAAAGAAGACAGAGTGCTAATTCTTGTGGGAAACATTATGAATTAGAAAGTGTGAGGATGATAGGAAAGCGGATCACACTTCAAGGGGAAAAAAATGTTTGGCATCTAGGTCATGGGCATGTCTTCTGTCTTCTGGTTCTTTCCTTATATTTAATTTTAAATCCTGAAATAATTCAATTTAAAAGTTGATTACAGTCTGAGATACATTAAAACTTTCAATGAGAAAGTTAAACGTGACGCCATATTGATTTTATGGTCATGGTGAGGAAATTGCATTTTTAAATTACATCTTCAGATTTGTTAAGTGGACTTCACAATCAAGGAAGGAGAATGGCTTTAGTTGTCCATCAGGGGAATCCCAGTATGTATTGCTGGACTCCAGGGAGCAGCCCAGTGCACGGCTGTTTGCTGAGAAACCAGCTGAGCCCCACACCGACCAAATCATGTGGAAAAGCATAGACCAACAGCACAAACAAGACTCCAGGCCCAGATTCTTGGCCTGACACTGCCTTTTCATGGGTGACCGTGAATACTCTTTATCTCTCTGGGCCCTGGTGGCTCATCTCTAAACTTCAGCCCTCATAGTTCATGAGTCTACAAGCCATGGAGAAAGAAAATAGAGTAAACAGGAGAAGCTTAGAGTATAGGGGTCCCTGTGCATGGCCCTAAGCCCTGTTTCTTATGAAGACACATTTGCTGAGAAGAATTGACCTGAGTAGGTGATGGGATTGTTGGTGGGTGAAGTACATTTTCTTTTTTATACTTTTTTTTTTGTTGTTTATGTTGTCTATGATGAGAATGTCTTGTTATAATAAAAATGTTATGGGCAGGGGCAGATAAAATTAATATCAAGGAAAAACAAAAGCAAATATCTGATCTCAGCCCAGGGAGTATGAGAAATTCCCCTGAAAGCATCCGTCTCATCTCCTTGGGTGTGTTTCCCTGGATCAGACCCACATTTAGGATCCCAGGGTATCCAGCTACTTCTAAGGGGTACCAGGTTATCAATTCACCATCGGGGTGGGCAGGTGGAATCAGTGTCATCTGGGACCTGCTGAGGCTTTGTGTGCGTCTCCTGATACAGGGCCTGGGGCCAGGCAAAGTTTACATGGAGCTAAACTCAGCTGTTTGTGTTGGCGGGAACAGCCTGCCAGCCTGGCGGGATTTACTCAGGTGAGCGTCCTATTGTGCTGTTTTTCAGCTCGCCCGTGCTTCGTGGGGGAATGGAGCCCCTGGAGTGGTTGTGCAGACCAGTGCAAGCCTACAACCCGTGTGCGGAGGCGCTCGGTGCAGCAGGAGCCTCAGAACGGCGGGGCGCCCTGCCCACCCCTGGAAGAGAGAGCTGGCTGCCTGGAGTACTCCACCCCGCAGGGCCAGGACTGCGGGCACACCTATGGTACTGATGTTTTCATGGTTGCTGCCTTTGTTATCTGTGATGACTTTTTGACCACTTCATCCTACAAAAGGCCATATGCTGTGCAGGGAAGGTTCCATGCACCACAGGGAGTGGTATGGGCCAGGCTGCCCAAAGTAGATAGGAAGCTCAGGAAATGCTTAATAAAGGAATTATGGCCAGCTGTGCAGACGCCTCCCTTTCCCTCACTTCCCTTGGTGTGTTTTATAATCCGATGGCCCATTCTCATTGTGCACGGACTCAGTAATGAAATAAACCGCATGCTTGTGGTTTTGAGTGAACTCAATCAAGCTGGTGATAAAGGACTTTAGATAGGAGGATGACATTTCACACAGCACAGTAAGAGTCCAGGAAGTATAACGCTATTTCACCTTCCACTGCAATTCCTGTTTCATTATGCACACTCACGCATGTGGAAAAATCGTGGAAAAATCACAGAATTCTAAACAATGATAAAGTGATTCTTTTATTATTATTATTATTTTTGAGACAGAGTCTCGCTCTGTCACCCAGGCTGGAGGGCAGTGGCATGATCTCGGCTCACTGCAAGCTCTGCCTCCTGGGTTCACGCCATTCTTCTGCCTCAGCCTCCCGAGTAGCTGGGACTACAGGCGCCTGCCACCACGCCCGGCTAATTTTTTGTATTTTTTAGTAGAGACGGGGTTTCACTGTGCTAGCCAGGATGGTCTCGATCTCCTGACCTTGTGATCCACCCGCCTCAGCCTCCCAAAGTGCTGGGATTACAGGCATGAGCCACTGCGCCCGGCCTTTTATTATTATTTTTTAATGATTCGTTTTACCTGCCCCTCCTCTCAAGACTGGATTGGGGCTAATGTAATTTGAAAAGATCACTCTGGTTTTGGAGTGGCCAATGGAGGGGCCAGGAATCGGCTCATTAATGAGCCAGAGACCATACAAGGCTCACAGAGAAATAAATGAAAAAGCTGATGTGTTGATCTGCATTGAATCCAATAGGGCAAAACACTGACTTCTCAGGATAGCAAAAACCATATGTTTCTCATAGGAACGTGGAAATTTCATGTCAACACAATCCTTGTCAAGCCATTTTGTTTCTTCTTTTTTTTCACACACAAATATTTATTGAGAGTCTACTTGATGCCAGGTGCTGGGCTGGCGCTGGGGTCACGATGGTTGATGTGGAGAAAAGTTGATGTGGAGCCTGCTGTCAGGTAGATCACAGCCTAGTGAGAGGGGTGCAATTATCAGATAATCCAGGGAATTAATGGATTTACAGCTGCAGTAATTGGTGCAGCTGGTAGCAAACGAGTGAGAGGTGCAGGGAGCTCTCAGCGGGTGTAATCAGGTGATTCCCCTCGGTCTTGGGGGAGAAGGAGGAGGAGGGGCTTTCCTGGAGATGGAGCTGAGGTATGTGGGGCTGAGGTGTGTGGGGCTGAGGTATGTGGGGCTGAGGTATGTGGGGCTGAGGTCTGTAGAGCTGCCCAGGCAGGCAGACTAGTGTGGTTAAACCTGATGGCCAGGTGTAGAGGGTTTGAGGGATTTGGGAGCTGATCAAGGGAAAAGCTATATCCATGAGAGGCAGTAGCACAGCGAAGTTTACTGGGCTGTGCTTGGACAGGGCTGCATGAGAGAGGACGTCCTCACAGCATGAGACTGTTCAGAGGCTTATGGTGGGCTGGGGAGGAGGGCACAGCAACTCCTGGGGGAGAGGGAGATTGGAAAGGGGCCTTAAATGTCAAGGTGAGGTCATCCAGCAGCACAGTGGGGAGTCTTTTGGTCAGAGACCTCAGAAGGGCAGCAGCATCTTGGGGTCTGATAACACAAGGCCTATCAGTGGCCAACAGATGCTGGGTATAGTTTCACAGGTGTGCAGGCAGGCAGGCCCTAATGGCTAAAAATCTGCCTGTTTGTCTATTTAAAAACAGTTGCATGTATAAAAAATTTGAGTTTTGTGCCAGCATGTTTGTGAGCTAAAGGGTCTCAGCCTAGGGTGAGGAATAAGCATCTTTGGCTCTTTTATGTAACATGGGGGAGCACAAGGCCTGCATGCGATTGGCAAAGGAAGGTCGGCATGTGGGGCGCACAGAGAACACCCTATTTGGGATTCTGGGCTTTATCTTAAGAGCCATTGGGGTGTTCTTTGCCGGGGAGAAGATCACTGTGGTAGTGGAGTGGCAAATGGAGGGGCCAGAGTGTTGTTCCCCCATTGATACGGTGGTCATATTAAGGTCACAGGGAGGTCATTCAGTGCTTCAGACGTGGTTGCTCACAGACACAGCCATAGAACAAAATTACGCTCAGTCACTTTGCAGAGACAGTACACAAACTGCTCGGGGAGGAAGACACTGTAGGACATTATGGATGTTTTTGGTGGATCTTAAAAGCTAGCGCCAACCTATCTGGAAAAGCAGCCCACCTACTCCTGTGCCATGCCTGACTGCTAGAGGGTTCCTTCAGCACATCGGGCTCTTCAGTGGGGCACCAGGCCATCGCACTCACCTTCTCAGCCCTGGGTCTCTACACCAGGACAATGCAGGAAGTTGTTAGAGACTGTGTCTTAACATATCTGTACTGAACAGCCTCCTTCCCTACTATCATAAAATAAAAGATGTCAGCTTGGGAAGAGAGGAGAAATCTCTACTCGAGGTAGGGCGGCTGGCATTTGCAGTCCTGACTTTGGTCCCCAGCATTCCCCTCCTGCTGGAGATGTCTTGGTGATGATTACTCCTGTCACAAGCTAGTTGGGGAAGACAGGACCCCTCCAGCAACCCTGTCTGATGATTCCTAACGGGTGGTCCTGGATCAGCAGCATCAGGATCTGGTTCCTCAGCCCCACCCAGACCCATGGGATCATAATCCCTGCATGTGGGCCCAGCACTCTGCATTCTAGCAAGGCTTCCAGGGGCTTCGGATGCTCACTGGAGTTTGAGAGCCACTGCTGTAGCCCAAGCGTGACAGAGGCCCCTCTGTCATAGCTGGGTCACCTAATCAGCACTTTCCTGAAGGCAGAAGTTCCCAGAGTATCCTCTTTTATTAGAATAGTTGTGCAAGAAAAGGGATTAGTAGGAAAATATGGGGTAAATCAGACAGTTTTCTCTACCAAAGAACTTTTCAGAGCCTTTATTATGTGGATCTGCATTTTCATTCCATAAGAGAGAGAGAGGATTTGCAGTGTCTTCCCACTTAATTTGATCATATGATCCCCTTTTCTATGGAGCGTCCCACTAAAATCATTCATGTGCTGTGGAATGATCTTTGAAAAATGATGGCTTACTAGAGGAAAACAAGAGGGACATGAGAGGCAATCACGTAAACATCCAATTTCGTGGATTCTCCATGGGCCCCAGGCCCTGTTTGGCTCCACGCACTAAGCATTCACTTATGTGTTTCATTAACTTAACACTCACTGAGCACCTCCTGTGTGTGCCAGCACTGTGCTAGGTTTTAGAGATCCAAACTTGATTAACAAACATATCACAGCTAAATAGAACTCACGGTGGTGAGCTCTGGGATAGAAGGAAACATAGGTTGGCGTGGGAGCATGGAGAAGAAGCCCACACTCAACCTGGAGGCTCTCATCCTGCTTCATGGTCACCTGTGTCCCTGTTACTGCCTTCCACCCCCACTAGACTTCCTGTTCGCAGATCAGGCGCCTTTGAGGCGCGGCACACGAATCCCTCATGTTTGCATAGCAGAGAGATCTTACAGGCATCATTGGTTCAGCCTTCATAGCAACCCCGTGAAGGAGTGTATTCATTTTCTACGGCTGCTGCTACAGATTACCCCAAATTTAGTGGCTTAAAACAACACAGATTAGGCCGGGTGTGCTGGCTCATGCCTGTAATCCCAGCACTTTGGGAGGTCGAGGTGAGTGGATCACCTGAGGTCAGGAGTTCGAGACCAGACTGACCAACATGGTGAAACCCCATCTCTACTAAAAATAAAATATTAGCTGGGTGTGGTGGCATATACCTGTAATCTTACCTACTTGGGAGGCTGAGGCAGGAGAATTGCTTGAACCTGGGAGGTGGAGGTTGCAGTGAGCCAAGATTGTGCCATTGCACTCCAGTCTGGGCAACAAGAGCGAAACTCTGTCTCAAAAAAACAAAACAAAAAACCCCACAGATTTATGATCTTACATTTCTGAAGATCAGAATCTGACATGGGTTTCCCCAGGCAAAAATGAAGGTGTCAGCTGGGCTACAGGCCTTTCTGGAGGCTCTAGGGGAGACTCTTCTTCCTTGCCTTTTCCACCTTCCAGAGGCTGCCCACATCCTTTCCTCACTGCCGCCGTCCTCCATCCTCATAGCTAGCAACAATGCATTTCTCGGTGCCTTTCTTCCGTTGCCACATCTTTTTTTTTTTCTTTTCATATAAGATGGAGTCTTGCCCTGTTGCCCAGGCTGGAGTGCAGTGGTGTGATCATGGCTCACTGCAACCTCTGCCTCCCAGGTTCAAGCGATTCTCCTGCCACAGCCTCCCGAGTAGCTGGGATTACAGGCGCGCACCAACACACCCGGCTAATTTTTGTATTTTTAGTAGAGATGGGGTTTCGCCCTGCTGGCCAAGTTCTGACCAGCTCTTTCTTAGGATCCTGTGATTACATTGGGTCCACCTGGAAAACCCAGGCTATGCTTCCTATTTTAAGGTCAGCTGAGCAGCAACCTTAATTCCACCTGTAACCTTAATTCTTTGTTCCCATGTAATATAACATATTCACAGATTCTGGGGATCAGGACATGGACATTCTTTGGGGGCCACAATTCTGCCTCCACAGAGAGGTAGGACAGAGTCATTATCCTTGGTTTACACCTGAGGACACTGGAGTTCTGAGAGGTGACAGCACGTGTGAAGGACTACTGGAACTAAAACCTGGATCTCCCGGCTCTAAGTCTTATGGGATTTTCCCACCTCAATAGTGTTTTGCTATTAACTGTCATCATTACAGCTAAAATTGTAATTACAGATTCTTGTAACTAAGTAGAAATATAAATGCCCGTGAAGCTAGTGAAGGAAACATGATCCCTGAAGCTCTCTTATTAATGACTGAGTAGCTATTTCCTTTTTCCTGTTTCATTTAATGCATACCATAATTATATTTTTATTATAAAAACAAATTTAAAAAGCCACATTACTGAATGTGTTGCACATCATTGACAATTGTTTATATATATGTGTTTTCCTCCTAAAAGGAGATCAATGTGCATTATTATAAACCATATGCCTCTAGGTAGATATTATTTGTCAATTTTTCATTTTACTCTCTTCTGTACTATAGACCAGTGATCCCAGGCCTGCTTTTGTGACACCCCATTGTGTCAGAGGGCGTTATGAAATTCTCAAAGCAAATTTAATTTACTTTCATGTTCAAAGTAAGTATATGCAATGCCCTGCTTTTAGAAGTGGAAGTTGTTGTAAAACCAAACAATGGGAGGCTGATAGAACGCCAGAAACATTGGCAAATCGCCTGTGAACAAAGAATATATTGCACTTGAATACTGTTGCCAGGAAGGGGAACTTAGATTTATTGGGGGCCTTTGTCCCAGGGATGCTGGGTTACGTGCTTCCGCACATTAGCAGAAGTGTGGCGGGAGGCAAAAATAATTTCTAAGTTATTTCATTACTTAAGTAATGAAAAGTGAATTTGGGGGGGGTGTATTAAAAAGTGATGCTGGTTCTGGGACCTCCAGGCAGTCTGGCTCATGTGAGAGGGACCTTGGCAATAGAATGTGCCACCACCAAGCCCAAGGCCTGGGGACAGCCCTGGGTACCTGGCTTGCTCTTAGGATGCACCCTAATCCCAAGAGCATGAAACTGAGCTTGATAGAAAGTCCTGAAAAACAGATGGGCCAAGCTTGGTGGCAGATGCCTGTAATCCTAGCACTTTGGGAAGCCAAGGCAGAAGGATTGCTTGGGCCCCAGAAGACCAGCCTGGAAAACAGAGTGAGACCCCATCTCTACCACAAACAGAAAATGGAAAACAAAAATGCAAACCCCCAAGCCCTCAGAAGATAGCTTCTGTGCTGGGTCCTTGCTTAGTCACTTACTACTTATTTTCCCTTCATTTAACCTCGGTGAGCCTCAGTTTTCTGATGAATGAAATTGGTATAACACCCTTTTACAAAGTTTTTGTTGAAGGTAACACATGATGTGAAATTACTTTGTAAATGAGCAGGCTATACACATACCAGGGGCCATGGTACCCAGAGGGTGACCCTGCACCCACTGTGTGCCCTCCCTGGCCTCCTTACCTCTCTCATGGACTGAGGTGACTCCAGATACAAGGGGCTAAAAGTTTCTCTTTTCCTTTCTTAAATCTGACTTCACATAGAGCATAATGATTCGTGACAGAAAGGGAAAATAAAGCCAAATTTAAATAATTCATGGGAAAGATGCTGCAAACAGTACTGGAACTTTGTCATCTATATTATTACAGAGGCAGTGGAGTGCCGCCCTGAGGAGTTTGATTTCGGAGACGTTGCCTGGCT
The DNA here is from genome assembly GCF_000001405.40 of Homo sapiens. Taxonomy (NCBI): domain Eukaryota; kingdom Metazoa; phylum Chordata; class Mammalia; order Primates; family Hominidae; genus Homo; species Homo sapiens. The sequence goes on along the minus strand of NC_000008.11, from coordinate 73,074,533 downwards.
GTGCTATATTTAGATGTGAGCCTTAAACACATTTCTTAACCTCTCTGTGCCATAATTTTCTTGTCTGTGAAATGGGGAAATAATAGGATCTATCTCAAGAGGCTTGTGAGAATTAAATAAATTAATACCTGAAAAGTGACTTAGAGTTGTCCCTGGAAACTTAGAAGTGCGTATTTTTATTATTATAGAACCTTTTCCAAGAATTTTGTATCAGAAACTAGAATCATATATTTATGTTTTCCTTCCACTTCATAGCCTCTTTTTCTGAGCTATACATTAAGTACCTTGCCTTTGAACTTTTGTAATGATATATGCAGTACAAATTTGATTACATAAATATCTGAGCTAAAGAATCCCCAAAAAATTACAGGTGGACTTGTGTAATGCTGCATGGATTTAGCAGTAAATTGATTCTTCACTTAGTGAAGAAACACATATGTGTGTCTGAAGAACAGAAATGAAAATGTATGGGAGAATTAAATCCTTTAGATGTTTGTGTTTCTGATAATTAGGTCTCAGAGAAACAGAGAGGGATCCTGATATACATGCACTCTCTTGTTCTTTCTAATTCTGTCTGTAGATCTTAGAAATGCAAACGCTACAGTCACATTTAGAAAACAATTAAACATGTCAGTGCAGCAAAAAAGAGCCACACAGGAACAAGTGGCTACCCGGTATTAGGCAGCTGCTCTTGTCTGTTTTTTTTTGTTTTTGTTTTTGTTTTTTTTTTTTGAGATGGTCTTACTCTGTTGCCCAGGCTGCAGTGCAGTGGTGTGATCTCGGCTCACTGCAGCCCCCACCTCCTGGGTTCAAGTGATTTTCCCAGCCTCCCGAACAGATGGGTCTATGGCCGAATGCCACAAAATCTGGCTCATTTTTGTAAAATTTTTAGTAGAGACAGGGTTTCACCATGTTGGCCAGGCTGGTCTTGATCTCCTGGCCTCAAGTGAGCTGCCTGCCTTGGGCTTCCAAAGTGCTGGGATTACAGGCATGAGCCACTGTGCCTGGCCTTTTGTCTTAAATTCCCTAGTAATACAAAAATAACTCCTCATTAAGAAAAGCTCAAAAAGAGTTAAGGTTTGTCATCTTGGGATAGTAAAGAGACAGGTAAAATCAACATGTAGGCTTCAAGCATCTATTTTGCAACCAGTATCCTCACATTGTTGAGTTCATGTTGATGATGACTTTGGCGTCTCATAAGTTGATATCAGCTTGTATCTACCCTTCCTGGAATCGCGCAGTTTCTGAAACAGAGGTAGAGGACTGCTGAGCCATCTTGGCTGCAAGGCTCAGTATAGGAACGGAAGACTGCAGGGAAGTAGGGCCTGTGTGTCTTGGCTGCAAGCCCATGACCTCATTCATTCACTCACTGGCCCATTTATTCCTTGCACAAATATTTATTGAGTGTGTAAATGTGTGAAGCTATAGTGATGGACAAGGCAAAACCCTGCCTTCCTCAAGATGACAACAGAGTCAGTCCAGGAGACTGACACCTATAGGTGTTATTATAGCAACAAATGCCTCCCTAGACTTAGTGATGAGGTAGAGAGGAGACACACAAACACAATAGAATTAAAGTGAGCAGAGACAGGAGGAAGGATTCTTGGTGCCATTTTTTTTTCTCTGACCCAGAGCATCAGAGTTGGGGGAGGGTTGTGGGGAGGAAGAGGGAAAAGAAGGGGACCACTGAAGACTTTCTTTCCCTGAGCTGGTGTGGGGACAATGCTGTGCAGGCTGGCACTGGGCAGCCACATTGATACTATGTGGTGGGCAGAGCTTCCATGAACTTTTCCTGCTGTGGTTACCTGAGGCTTGGGGAAGACTCACCTTCTTTCCTCCTCTGCTTCTTCTGCCTTTTTCTTTTTGAGACGGAGTTTCACTCTTTTGCTCAGGCTGGAGTGCAGGGGCGCGATGTCGGCTCACTGAAACCTCCGCCTCCCGGGTTCAAGTGATTCTCCTGCCTCAGCCTCCTGAGTAGCTGGGATTACAGGCACTTGCCACCACGCCCGGCTAATTTTTGTATTTTTAGTAGAGACAGGGTTTTGCCATGTTGGCCAGGCTGATTTTGAACTCCTGACCTCAGATGATCCACCCACCATGGCCTCCCACACTGCTGGGATTACAGGCATGAGCCAACACGCCAGCTGCTTTTTTCCTTTCTCATTTTTTTCTCTGTTTGTCTGTTTTCTCTCCTTCCATCCGCTTTTACTCTCTTTTGTCTTCTCTCTATCCTTCTTTGTTTCCTTTCTATTCTTTTATTATCTTATTTCTCCCTTTCTTTCTCTATTTCTCTTCCTTTCATTTTTGAAACCTCCTCTTCTCTTCATGCTCTCTATTATCTCACTTTTTCCCTTGTTCCCCTTCTGACCCCCATCTTCCTTTCCTTCTGGTTTTTCCTCCTGGCCCCTCTCCTTCCTCTCACACAGTTTTATTACTGCAGACAAATGTGCTTGTCAAAGGCCTGCAGGCCCCCTCCCTACCGATCTGTGTGCACACACATCTTTATTGAATTTGTAACTTGGCCTCATTTCACACCTTGATGGTGTGCCGTAGCCCTGTGAGTTTAGGAATGGAGACCCTTAGACAGGTACAAAACCAAAATTGGGAAACGATGGTCTGAGTACTTTGGCTCCCTGAATTCAACAGAAATCTCCCTTTTCCAGTTCCTGCCTTTATAACTACCTCTGCATTCAACAAGGAGAGAACACGACAAGCTACGTCTCCACACTGGTCTACACACACAGAGGATGCTGGGTAATTTCGTGTTTTTTTTTTTTTTTAATCATGTTTTTCAATTGTATAGTCAAGTCAATGCAAGAGGGTCAACTTGGTTTATGTTTTCTTCTTCTTTCTACTTGCTCTTTGACTTTGGCTAAAATATGGACTCTTCATCAGAGTTGGGAAAATACTTGTCCCCTCCTGGTTTTTGTGGAGCTATAAAGATATATCTACCTCTTAGGTCCAATCTTCAACAAGAAACAAACTATATACAAATGAGATTATTTTGTGAGCTTATTTTATCAATCATACTAAGGATGCTTCTCTTACAGTCTTTATGGGACGTTAGACTTCAGCACCACCTCTGTTTGGTGAATTTGAAAGTGACACACACTTCAACTCAGAGGTTTCTTATGGAAACCTATTGGTACAGGCTGGAAGTCACCTTCACGCTCAGCTGAAATCCATTCTTCTGCTGTCAGATAAGGGATACCAGACAGCTGCACGCTCAGGTCCCCACACTGCCCTCACTAGCATAAGACCTTGAACAACTTGTTCCACCTCAGTTTTTTCTTCCTAAAAAATGAGACTGTTAATAACCTACCACATGAGGTTGGTATGAGCATTTAATGAGAAAATAACATTGAAGAGATGCCTGAGGCTGGGCCTGGTTGCTCATACCTGTAACCTCAGTGCCTTGGGAGGCTGGAGCAGGAGGATTGCTTGAGCCCAGGGGTTTGAGACCAGCCAGGGCAACATAGTGAGAACCCCATCTCTATGAAAAATAAATACTTTTTTAAAAAGAGCTGTCTGGGCTTAGCTCTCTGAAATTGATTGAAGCCACATTGTAGGATTTCTTACCTCAATAACTAAAGATACTTGTTACCTTTAGTTACTAATTAGCTGTACCTATCATTCTTAAAGATCTTTAAAGCAGATTCTCCAAACACTTCCCATTTATAACATATTGCAACTCATAATTGTATGGGTAAGAAATTAGCCCATGGAACTGAAAATGCCACAAGTTTCTGTTACAATACTCGGAGATTTTACTATGTCTTGTTTCCCTGAAGAATTGGAAAACTGCACTGAAGTACAAATTTCTAAAATATTCCTCATGTCTGGATGTTCCCCTGGGCTTTCAGTGTCCAGTCACATATAATGTTAGAGTTTTCCGCAGCTCAGTTTAAGGTGACACTAACTTCTGTCAGAAAAGTGTGTCTCAGCCTCCCACTTCTGCTTTCACCTGCGATGCCCAATGTAACTGTGATAATTGACTTCAAGTCAAAACTCATCATCATTACTCCAGACCATACAAGTGAGGTGGGTGGAGAGGGTGGGGAAGATCCCGGGTACTTTCGTGGAGCAGAACAGCAGAGGTGCTGACCTAGGTGTTAAGGGCTAGCCCTCCTGGGCTCACATTTTTAGGGTTCTCAGGCTCAAGCAAGTGCTTGTTCAATTTATAGAATTCCTTTAGATCAGCAAAATTATCAAGGACTGGGTTTCTACAAAAACCTGGACTTCTGTGCACAATTTAGTGATCTGATTAGACAGGATACAGGATATCCAAACTTCTGCACATTTATATTGCCCAGAGAGCTCAATGATGGACTGAAAAAGGGCACAAAGGTTCTTTGTGATTATCAGTAATATTTCACCATGCTTCAGGGAATGAGAAACCTTAAAGGTGATTGACACGTAACTTGTGAAGATGTACTCACTACCTGCTCCAGTCGGCCAAATGCCCTTGGAGGTGACAGGCTTTCTAAGACTTTCTACAGCTTTAGGCCACTGCTCATTACAGCAAGTGTCATTGTTACTTCTTTTGCTGTAGATACTGTATGGAGTTTAAGACAGAGTCCTTGACTCCTCACTGTGCTCTGGAAAACTGGCCCTTGACTAGATGGATGCAGTATCTCCGAGAGGGATACACGGTGTGTGTGGATTGTCAGCCTCCAGCTATGAACTCTGTGAGCCTTCGTTGTTCTGGAGATGGCCTGGACTCCGATGGGTAAGAATGGAAATTAACTGAAGTACTTTTCTTGTCACTCATTCTGAGAAATCTGTCCTCTCCATGTCCAGACAGCTGACCAGTATGTAACATATCAAGGGATGACTGGGAAGTCAAAACAGTAGGTGAGGAGGACCATCCTCTGGCACTGCCTGGGGCCAGGGCTCCAGTTCCCACTATGGAACCCACAGGCCCTATACACCAGCAGTTAATATGGGTCCATTTGGACATTGGGGGCTGGGAGTGGTGGCTCATGCCTGTAATCCCAGCACTTTGGGAGGCCGAGGTGGGTAGACTGCTTGAGCTCAGGAGTTGGGACCAGCCTGGACAACATGGTAAAACCCCATGTCTACAAAAAATAAAAAATTAGCCTGGCATGGTGGCGCATGCCTGTAGTCTCAGCTACTGGGGAGGATCACTTGAGTCCAGGAGGCGGAGGTTGCAGTGATCCAAGATTGCACCACTGCACTCTGGCATGGGTGATAGAGCCAGACTCTGTCTCCAGAAGAAAAAAAAAAAGGATATTGGAGTTTAGATCACATTCCCAAATGATCACCAAAAACCTGATCACTCCAAAGTGGTGTTCTGAAGATCACTAGAATCAGAATCTCGTGAGATGGAGATGTAAAATGTGCAGATTCCTGAACCTCATTTCCGACTAACTGAATCACTCTTTGGAGGTGGATTTTTAAAAATGTCTTAGGTCAGGATCCAGAAAACCTTTTCTGTAAAGGGCCAGAGAGTAGATATTTTTGACTTTGCAGGCTGTGTGGTCTCTGTGACAACCCCTCAACTCTGACTTTGTAGCAGGAAAACAGTCACAGACACTATGCAAACCTTGGATTTGTTCTAACAAAACTTTATTTATGGACCCTAAAATTTGAATTTCGTATAATTTTCATGTGTCACAAAATATCATTATTGTTTTGATTTTAACACTTTAAAACATAAAAATTATTCTTAACTCACAGTCCAGACACAAAGAAGGGGTAGGCCGGCTTTGGCCTCTACGGGGTCCTAGTTTGGGGACCCCTGCCCAGGTAATTCATACCCACGATGAAGTTTCAGAACTGTTGCTCAATGGGGCTTCTTCATAAAACCCTGACTGAGACAGTGGTGGGGTCACCTCTGCGGTATAATAATCTTATATAAATCTGTAGATTTCTCTGAAATAATTGACTCCAAAAACATTTTACAGTCATGCACCTGTATCCCAGTTCTGCACTTATTTAGTGTTTAAATTTGATAACACTATACAAAACTAAAAGAAGAGTCAACTTCGTGCTGGGCAACTATTGGGCAAAGACTAATTTAGGTCACACATAGATTATGGTTTTCAGTATGTCAGGTGTAACTGGTAGAAATACAGATTAAAAGGTAAAATATGGGCCTTTCCAGTCAATTATTATTCCTGTAGAATGTTTTCATATTTAATAACTAGAATTTATGTTTATTAGTCACTAGTGCCTCATGGCCTCCATTGAGCACACCATAAGAACAATAAAGTGGGTAAGGAATTTATATCAAATAGAAAATATTTACATAATATTTTTCTGAATACCTCATCCATGTTTTGGTTTTAAATGAATTTATAATTTAATTTGTACCCATATAGTATTTAAACCCTGGCTGAGGTAGCAGTGACTTTAAAAATAATAATTTTAATAATCTGGCTTTGTTCTTTTCAGCTCTCTCATTGTTTTTTCATTATGAAATCAGAGTTGGAAAGCAGTAAAAGAGATCATTTAGTTCAGACCTCCCAGTTTAAATACACATAGAACAGTCAGCCATTTTCCTTTATGCAGCACTTGTGCTCAGATAGAACGGGAAAAGCAAATACAGTAACCCCAAGTTACTCTGTCAACATGAGGGTGTCCTAAAGTAGCAATGAATTAAAACTTGCTTTGACAGAAACTAAACAAGGGAAACTCTGTTTGTGATCATTAAAAAAAAAATTGGGGAACCGGGTGCAGTGGGTCATGTTTCTAATCCCAGCGTGAGCCAGGAGGCCGAGGCAGGAGGATCCCTTGCACCCAGGAGTTTGAGATCAGCTTGGCAACACAGTTAAACTCCATCCCTACAAATAATTTTTCTTTATAAAAATTAGCCAGACGTGGTGGCATGCACCTGTGGACCCAGCCTCCCAAGACCATAGGCGTGTGCCACCATGTCTGGCTAATTAGAAAAAAAAAAAAACTATATATATATATATATAGTAGAGACGGGGTTTCACTATATTGCTCAGGCTGTGATCAGTTTTTTTTAACTCCGAGTTTTAATTCTGTAAATTAGACCTTTCTTCGGTATGCTTTTAGTGTAACTAACACTTTCGAAATATCGTTTCAGAAATCAGACTCTCCATTGGCAAGCAATTGGTAATCCTCGGTGTCAAGGAACTTGGAAAAAAGTTCGGCGAGTAGACCAGTGTTCTTGTCCAGCTGTTCACAGTTTTATTTTTATATAGATGGTGATATAAATATTTCCAAATGCATTTGTAAACATTCTAAATATTCTCAAGTCATGTTCAATGTTTCCTAAACCTTCAATTTTGGCCAAAGTCCCCAAACACATCATTGCCACACTCTGAAGTAGAGAAAGAAAATTTAGGGGCCAGTTCTCAAGGAACACAGGTCCTTTATTTTTATTTTAACTAAGTTGAAGACCCACTCAAAAAGCTCTTGTGGTTTTATGTTCTTGACCTTTCAACTGGAGTCCTCTCATTCAGCAGGTGGCCCGTGAGACACAGAATACATGTCTGTTTGCTAAAGTAAAATTACTGTAACTCAGTCCGATTATTGGTGACGGAAGTGTCATTTAAGGGGATCTATGTTTTGAACCTTGCAGTCTATTTTATAATCTTTTAAAAGTTTCTCACTTTAAAACATGTATACAGGTATGCACACTCTACACATATATTTCCATATATTTAATATTCCATAAATTCTGAAATAATTTCAAGCAAATTATCACAAATAATTTTTCCACAGGGCAAATTATTTAAAATTTTAGTAAGCATTCTGTAATGAAAAACCAAGTTATACTAAAAACATTTTTTGAAGAAGAAATTTTTTTTTTGCTTAAGAAGTGAAAGGATCAAATGCTCATTGTAGGTCAATGGGAGTTCTTTTAAATGTTATAATTTTCATGAAAAGAAATGTTGACACCAGTGAATGAAACAATTGCTTTCATTCTGAAAATTCTACCACCATTTGCATCTAAGATTATTTCCAAGGCTTAAAGCCTGAAGCTGAATAAAATAATCTTTCAGAGTCCAGCTTCAAGTTTAGTTGATGTAAGCTCACTATTTTTTTCCTACCGCATGCATTTTCTAATGTTTGGGGTGGATGGTGTGTCGGTTATGGAAGGCATAGACGTCATTACAGGTGCTACGATCTCACACACACACAAGGAAATGTTAGTCTCCTTATTTTATGATTGGAAAATCAATGACCTAGAGGCAAAATGGCATGTTTAAGGACCTGGGATGACAAGTCATTCTGCAGTCAGCCACAGAGCCAAATTTGGACTCCTCAACCAGAACTCCATGAAAAGCCTGACTTTGCCAAACACTGTGCTGGAAAAGCTAAGCCCCTTTCATTTGTGAAGTAAATTTTAAATTCAAGATATTTAGTTTAGAGAATTGAGTCTTGAGATGTAAACTACATGAGATTTCTTTGGTTTCAATTGAATAATATTCACTAACAAATGATTTACTAAAATACGTATTTCTTGGTCCTTATCATGTAATGACAGATTCACAACAGCAATAAGGATGGAGATTTCCCCAATAATTAATAACACCGAGAGTAGCAATATTTTTTACTGTATTTTCATTTAATTGTCAAAGTTGTTTTTGTGGAAAATTAAATTCTTCAGAAATTAATAATAAAATATGTGAGTCTCATCAAGGCTAGCAACTTTAAGTCAGTATTAACATTTTCATACTGTTTCTAACATTTATTAAGCTAGATTTTTGAAGCTATGTCTGGGTAATTTCCAATGTTACTTAAAAGTTTTTTTTTCTTTGAGACAGAGTCTCACTCTGTTGCCCAGGCTGGAGTGCAGTGGCCCCATCTCGGCTCACTGCAAGCTCCGCCTCCCGGGTTCACGCCATTCTTCTGCCTCAGCCTCCCAAGTAGCTGGGACTACAGGCGCCGTCATCACGCCTGGCTAATTTTTTGTTTTTTTTTTTTAGTAGAGACAGGGTTTCACTGTGTTAGCCAGGGTGGTCTCGATCTCCTGACCTCGTGATCCACCCACCTCGGCCTCCCAAGGTGCTGGGATTATGGGCGTGAGCCACTGCGCCTGGCCTGTTACTTAAAATTTTTATACTAGTAAATAAACTTTTTGTTCACATTTATAAAAGCTCTATATTTGTTTGACTAGAAAATAACCCAAATTTTCTGGACCAGTCAGAGAATGATAAAATTTCACCAAAAATAAAACAAAAAAATCCTTCAGAACTGATAGGTATAGGTACAACAACTACTAATAGCAATAAAGCAATGGTGCTTTTATAGTTCCGATATGTGTTATAACATTTAACATAATTGAGGTGTATAAAATAAATTTTTCACCTTATGCATTTAATTTTTGGTGGATGACCAGTAATTGCTTTCTTATTGAAGTTAAATTTTTGTTATTTCTATTCTTGAGAAAATTTTATGGGCTAGAGGAGTTAACTGTTAAATAACAGTTTTGAAAAGCTTGTTATTAATTTTAGCAAAGCCCAAGGGAAATAGTTCAGAACTGAAACATGTAGTCCAAGTGATGAATGAAAAACCAAAAGTTTTTATTTTCAAATTTAAAAATCAAAGTATATAAGACCTCTTGGCACTCTTTTTTAATAAGTACCTTAGTCTTAGGGCCCTATCCCCAGGCACTCTAAAAAGATTTACGAACTCTAAAATCCCTTAATAGACTGATTTTCAAAAGTGCTCATGGAAAATAATTCGAACAAAAATAAATACAGCCACCAGGAAAGAAGGGAAAAGAAGCAAGGGATAATGGCCATTTTTGAAGAGAAAAGTGAAAAACAAGTGAAGGAAAAAAAGAATAGAAAAAGGAATAAGGTAACTATAATCACAGTATTCTTTTTGGAGTTTTGCTTTGGTTTTTATTCGAGAATGTTACAATTAAGCATAAACCGCAACAGCAATAATTTAAAGTGTTTGGTTATCATCTGGCATAAAAATTTCAGTTAGCTATCTTTTCTAGATGTGCACAAAATTGATGTTAATAAAACTGGTTCCTGCCCTCTAAGAATATTCTAGTGAAGGTTCATACAAACAACCACAAGTTGGCTTAGAAAACAAACACCTGGGCCTTCTGAGGTCCAAGCAATCAGACAAAGAGCACCGTGAGGGAGGTCACACTCTAGGTCAGGGTGAAAGACAGACAGACACACGTTTACCCTCTCTCCTTCCTCATATCCCACTGAAGAGACACGATTCACAGAAGAGAATAAGTCCACAGCAGATGAGAAGTGAGGTGGGCAGAATCAGCCTACAGTTCGAATAATTTTTTTTACGATTGAAAGCAAATGATAACCTATGATAGATGAACCAGAATAAAGGGGCCATATCCTTTAATACGGGGTACAGAAGAAGCTGGAATCAGAGATGAGAGCCATTCTTGGTGGGGCAGTCCCACCAAGCACCAAAGGATGAATAAAAAGACTCTCAGCCCTAGAGACAAATTTGTGAAATTGAAAATGAAGGATAAAGAAAAGACCATATAACCTTCCAGAGAGAGAACAACAGATTACCTGTAAAGGAACAGGAGTCCCCATGAAGACAGCACTCTTCTCATCAGCATCAGTGCATGCTTAACATCTAACAGAAGAAAGCCTCCAAGCTCTGAGGGAAAATGAATGTGAAACTAACATTCGATAGCAGCCATCACTAATAAAGTGTGAAAGTAACATACAGACTTTTAAAAGCACAAGGATCGGAAGCTTTATTAAAAGGTCCTAAGCAGGACATTCTTTTTTCTGGTTAAACATGGCAGGTTGGACACATATATTTATGTCCCAATTCCCAATAAAATTACAGTTAAGGGATTTTCAAAGCCATCCCCCCACCAAAACAACAACAAAGCCCATATATAATGAGGAGTTCAAGAGAGAAAACGCAGAAGAGATGGCCACATTTCAGGACCAGAAAAGATGGCTACTAAAATCGGAGGAGAAAGCCAAACACCTAGATCTACGGGTGAATTTGAGTAAGCAAGGTAATTTCTAGCACTCTGGAAAGGCTCTGGAACTGAAGGTTCCAGGTATTTCCTTCAATGGAATGAATGGCTGATGGTTGGTCTAAGAAGTCAGAGCTTTAGATTCCCTCCCCCATGCTGCGGGTCAACAGCCTGACAGAAGGTTCAGTCTATGGAGGAGTTTGGATTGGAAACACCAGTCACAAGGACAGAATGAAGCCTGAATGAAAGTCTCTATTCTGACTGGTGACCCCTGGTTCCCTTTTCCATGTGCTCTGAGAATATTGCAAGCAGGGATAGATATGGCACTCCTTCACTCCCTCACTGCCACTCCTCTCATCCCTACCCACCAGTTTGTTAGATTCCTCTCTAAGGAAGTGGATTATCCAAGAGAAATGACAATAGGTGTTGACAGTTGAGGATCCCCTAATGAAAGAGCCATGTCTGTGTCTAATCACTACAGGCATATCGCTACCTGGATGTCTTTGTTCAGCCTGCTATATGAAAAAAAAAAAAAATACCATAGATTGGGTGGTTTAAAAAACAAACATTTATTTCTCACAGCTCTGGAGGCTGGAAAGTCCAAGATTAAGGTACCAGTAGATCTGATGTCCGGTGAGGGCCCTCTCCTTGGTTTGGAGATGGATGCCTTCTCGCTGTCTTCACATTGCAGGGAGAGAGACAGAGGGAGAGAAAGAGAGAGAAGAGAGAGAGATGGGACAGGTGAGAGAAAGAGGAGAGCAAGCACGGAAAGCTTTTTCATGTCCCTTCTTATAAGGGCACTAATTTTATCATCAGGGCTCTATCCTCATGACTTAATTACCTCCCAAAGGCCCATCTCCAACTCCAAGTTCCATCATATTTGAGATAAAGGTTTGAACATATGAATTTTGCGGGGACACAACCATGCAGTTCATAACATTTGACATGTCCTATCAGTGCTCACAGAACTTGAATCAGCTTTTTTAAGTATTACTTATTTATTTAGAGATGGTAACTTGCTATGTTGTCCAGATTGGTCTCAAACTCCTGGACTCAAGTGATCCTCCCACCTCAGCCTCCCAAGTCACTGGGATTATAGACATGAACCACCTCATCTGGTTTCAATCAACTTTTTTGTTCTTACCCATAAATATAAATGGACAGCACAGGACAACCAGACATTTGAGAAAAACCACTAGCAAGAGCAACCAAAATTAAACATCAACAAACAAGCAATATAACAAAACTCAGAGGAAATAAATCACTGATCGCTACCAGGAACAGAAGAGATTAAATGATAAATCATGGAATAAGGACAGGATGCTCTAAAAAAGGAATATTTAAAGCTCTTGAAGATTAAAAAGTTTAATAGTCATACATAAATGTTATGAAAATTTATAACATAAAGCTTAATGCCATTTTCCCCAGAAAGTAAACAAACAAATTAAAGAGACAGAAATTAGGAGGTAAAATATAAGGACATTTGAGAATCAGTCAAAAAGATACAACACCTGAATAATGGGAGCACGTCAAAGCCTACTGAGTGCCAGGCTCCTTAGTTTACAAAGAAAGGCTGGCCCAGTACGGTGGCTCACGCCTATAATCCCAGCACAGTGGGAGGCCAACGAGGGTGGATCACTTGAGCCCAGGAATTTGAGACCAGCCTGGGCAACATGGCGAGGCCTCTGTCTCTACAAAAGTTTTTTTTTTTTTCTTTTTATTATACTTTAAGTTCTAGGGTACACGTGCACAACGTGCAGGTTTGTTACATATGTATACATGTGCCATGTTGGTTTGCTGCACCCATTAACTCGTCATTTACATTAGATATTTCTCCTAATGCTATCCCTCCCTCCTCCCCCTACCCCACGAAAGGCCCCGGTGTGTGATGTTCCCCGACCTAGGTCCAGGTGTTCTCATTGTTCAATTCCCACCTATGAGTGAGAACATGCGGTGTTTGGTTTTCTGTCCTTGGGATAGTTTGCTCAGAATGATGGTTTCCAGCTTCATCCATGTCCCTACAAAGGACATGAACTCATCCTTTTTTATGGCTGCATAGTATTCCATGGTGTATATGTGCCACATTTCTTAATCCAGTCTATCATTGATGGACATTTGGGTTGGTTCCAAGTCTTTGTTATTGTGAATAGTGCCACAATAAACATACACGTGCATGTGTCTTTATAGTAGCATAATTTGCAATCCTTTGGGTATATACCCAGTAATGGGATGGCTGGGTCAAATGGTATTTCTAGTTCTAGATCCCTGAGGAATCACCACACTGTCCTCCACAATGGTTGAACTAGTTTACAGTCCCACCAACAGTGTAAAAGTGTTCCTCTTTCTCCACATCCTCTCCAGCATCTGTTGTTTCCTGACTTTTTAATGATCGCCATTCTAACTGGTGTGAGATGATACCTCATTGTGGTTTTGATTTGCATTTGTCTGATGGCCAGTGATGATGAGTATTTTTTCATGTGTCTGTTGGCTGCATAAATGTCTTCCTTTGAGAAGTGTCTGTTCATGTCCTTTGCCCACTTTTTGATGGGGTTGAATTTTTTTTTTTTAATTTGTTTAAGTTCTTTGTAGATTCTGGATATTAGCCCTTTGTCAGATGGGTAGATGGCAAAAATTTTCTCCCATTCTGTAGGTTGCCTGTTCACTCTGATGGTAGTTTCTTTTGCTGTGTGGAAGCTCTTTAGTTTAATTAGATCCCATTTGTCTAGTTTGGCTTTAGTTGCCATTGCTTTTGGTGTTTTAGTCATGAAGTCCTTGCCCATGCCTATGTCCTGAATGGTATTGCCTAAGTTTTCTTCTAGGGTTTTTATGGTTTTAGATCTAACATTTAATTCTTTAATCCATCTTGAATTAATTTTTATATACGGTGTAAGGAAGGGATCCAGTTTTAGCTTTCTACATATGGCTAGCCAGTTTTCCCAGCACCATTTATTAAATAGGGAATCCTTTCCCCATTGCTTCTTTTTGTCAGGTTTGTCAAAGATCAGATGGTTGTAGATGTGTGGTGTTATTTCTGAGGCCTCTGTTCTGTTCCATTGGTCTGTATCTCTGTTTTGGTACCAGTACCATGTTGTTTTGGTTACTGTGGCCTTGTACTATAGTTTGAAGTCAGGTAGCATGATGCCTCCAGCTTTGTTCTTTTTGCTTAGGATTGTCTTGACAATGTGGGCTTTTTTTTGGTTCCATATAAACTTTAAAGTAGTTTTTTCCAATTCTGTGAAGAAAGCCATTGGTAGCTTGATGGGGATGGTATTGAATCTATAAATTACCTTGGGCAGTATGGCCATTTTCACGATACTGATTCTTCCTATCCATGAGCATGGAATGTCCTTCCGTTTGTTTGTATCCTCTTTTATTTCATTGAGCAGTGGTTTGAGGTTCCCCTTGAAGAGGTCCTTCACATCCCTTGTAAGTTGTATTCCTAAGTATTTTATTCTCTTTGTAGCAATTGTGAATGGGAGTTCACTCATGATTTGGCTGTTTGTCTGTTATTGGTGTATAGGGATGCTTATGATTTTTGCACATTGATTTTGTATCCTGAGACTTTGCTGAAGTTGCTTATCAGCTTAAGGAGATTTTGGGCTGAGACAATGGGGTTTTCTAAATATACAATCATGTCATCTGCAAACAGGGACAATTTGACTTCTTCTTGTCCTAATTGAATACCCTTTATTTCTTTCTCTTGCCTGATTGCCCTGGCCAGAACTTCCAACACTATTGAATAGGTGTGGTGAGAGAGGGCATCCCTGTCTTGGGCCAGTTTTCAAATGGAATGCTTCCAGTTTTTGCCCATTCAGTATGATATTGGTTGTGGGTTTGTCATAAATAGATCTTATTATTTTGAGATACATTCCATCAATGCCTAGTTTATTGAGAGTTTTTAGCATGAAGCACTGTTAAATTTTGTCAAAGGTCTTTTCTGCATCTATTGAGATAATCAAGTGGTTTTTGTCTTTGGTTCTGTTTATGTGATGGATTACGTTTATTGATTTGCATATGTTGAACCAGCCTTGCATCCCAGGGATGAAGCCAACTTGATCGTGGTGGATAAGCTTTTAGATGTGCTGTTGGATTTGGTGTGCCAGTATTTTATTGAGGGTTTTTGCATCGATGTTCATCAGGGATATTGGTCTAAAATTCTCTTTTTTTGTTGTGTCTCTGCCCGGCTTTGGTATCAGGATGATACTGGCCTCAAAAAATGAGTTAGGGAGGATTCCCTCTTTTTCTATTGATTGGAATAGTTTCAGAAGGAATGGTACCAGCCCATCTTTGTACCTCTGGTAGAATTTGGCTGTGAATCCATCTGGTCCTGGGCTTTTTTTAGTTGGTAGGCTATTAATTATTGCCTCAATTTCAGAGCCTGTTATTGGTCTATTCAGGGATTCAACTTTTTCCTGGTTTAGTCTTGGGAGGGTGTATCTGTCCAGGAATTTATCCATTTCTTCTAGATTTTCTAGTTCATTTGTGTAGAGGTGTTTATAGTATTCTCTGATGGTAGTTTGTAGTTCTGTGGGATCGGTGGTGATATCCCCTTTATCATTTTTTATTGCATCTATTTGATTCTTCTCTCTTTTCTTCTTTATTAGTCTTGCTAGCGGTCTATCAATTTTGTTGTTTTTTTCAAAAAACCAGCTCCTGGATTCATTTATTTTTTTAAGGGTTTTTTGTGTCCCTATCTCCTTCAACTCTGCTCTGATCTTAGTTATGTCTTGCCTTCTTCTAGCTTTTGAATTTGTTTGCTCTTGCTTCTCTAATTCTTTTAATTGTGATGTTAGGGTGTCAATTTTAGATCTCTCCCTGCTTTCTCTTGGTGGGCATTTAGTGCTATAAATTTTCCTCTACACACTGCTTTAAACGTGTCCCAGAGATTCTGGTATGTTGTGTCTTTGTTCTCATTGGTTTCAAAGAACATCTTTATTTCTACCTTCATTTAGTTATTTACCCAGCAGTCATTCAGGAGCAGGTTGTTCAGTTTCCATGTAGTTGTGCAGTTTTGAGTGAGTTTCTGAATCCTGAGTTCTAATTTGATTGCACTGTGGTCTGAGAGACAGTTTGTTGTGATTTCTGTTCTTTTACATTTGCTGAGGAGTGCTTTACTTCCAACTATGTGGTCAATTTTGGAATAAGTGCGATGTGGTGCTGAGAAGAATGTATATTCTGTTGATTTGGGGTGGAGAGTTCTGTAGATGTCTATTAGGTCTGCTTGTTGCAGAGCTGAGTTCAAGTCCTGGATATCCTTGTTAACCTTCTGTCTCATTGATCTGTCTAATATTGACAGTGGGGTGTTAAAGTCTCTCATTATTATTGTGTGGGAGTCTAAGTCTCTCTGTAGGTCTCTGAGAACTTGCTTTATGAATCTGGGTGCTCCTGTATTGGGTGCATATATATTTAGGATAGTTAGCTCTTCTTGTTGAATTGATCCCTTTACCATTATGTAATGGCCTTGTCTCTTTTGATCTTTGTTGGTTTAAAGTGTTTTATCAGAGACTAGGATTGCAACCCCTGCTTTTTTTGCCTTTCCATTTGCTTGGTAGATCTTCCTCCATCCCTTTATTTTGAGCCTATGTGTGTCTCTGCACGTGAGATGGGTCTCCTGAATACAGCACACTGACAGCTCTTGACTCTATCCAATTTGCCAGTCTGTGTCTTTTAATTGGGGCATTTAGCCCATTTACATTTAAGTTTAGTATTGTTATTTGTGAATTTGATCCTGTTATTATGATGTTAGCTGGTTATTTTGCCCATTAGTTGATGCAGTTTCTTCCTAGCATCGATGGTTTTTACAATTTGGCATGTTTTTGCAGTGGCTGGTACTGGTTGTTTCTTCCCATGTTTAGTGCTTTCTTCAGGAGCTCTTGTAAGGCAGGCCTGGTGGTGACAAAATCTCTCAGCATTTGCTTGTCTGTAAAGGATTTTATTTCTCCTTCACTTATGAAGCTTGGTTTGGCTGGATATGAAATTCTGGGTTGAAAATTCTTTTCTTTAAGAATGTTGAATATTGGCCCCCACTCTCTTCTGGCTTGCAGAGTTTCTGCCGAGAGATCTGCTGTTAGTCTGATGGGCTTCCCTTTGTGGTTAACCCTACATTTCTCTCTGGCTGCCCTTAACAGTTTTTCCTTCATTTCAACCTTGGTGAATCTGACAATTATGTGTCTCAGGGTTGCTCTTCTCGAGGAGTTATCTTTTCGTGTTCTCTGTAATTCCCAATTTGAATGTTGGCCTGCCTTGCTAGGTTGGGGAAGTTCTCCTGGATAATATCCTGAAAAGTGTTTTCCAGCTTGGTTCCATTCTCCTTGTCACTTTCATGTACACCAATCAAACGTAGATTTGGTCTTTTCACATAGTCCTATATTTCTTGGAGGCTTTGTTCATTTATTTTTACTCTTTTTTTCTCTAAACTTCTCGCTTTATTTCATTAATCTTTAATCACTGATACCCTTTCTTCCACTTGATCGAATCGGCTATTGAAGCTTGTGCATGCATCACGTAGTTCTTGTGCCATGGCTTTCAGCTCCATCAGGTCATTTAAGGTCTTCTCTACACTGTTTATTCTAGTTTGCCACTCGTCTAATCTTTCTTCAAAGTTTTTAGCTTCCTTGCAATGGGTTCAAACATCCTCCTTTAGCTCAGATGAGTTTGTTATTACCAAACTTCTGAAGCCTACTTCTGTCAACTTGTCAAAGTCATTCTCCGTCCAGCTTTGTTCCGTTGCTGGTGAGGAGCTGTGATCCTTTGGAGGAGAAGAGACGCTCTGGTTTTTAGAATTTTCAGCTTTTCTGCTCTGGTCTCTCCCCATCTTTGTGGTTTTATCTACCTTTGGTCTTTGATGATGGTGACCTACAGATGGGGTTTTGGTATGGATGTCCTTTTTGTTGATGTTGATGCTATTCCTTTCTGTTTGTTAGTTTTTCTTCTAACAGTCAGGTCCCTCAGCTGCAGGTCTATTGGAGTTTGCTGGAGGTCCACTCCAGATCCTGTTTGCCTGGGTATTACCAGCGGAGGCTGCTGAACAGCAAATATTGCTGCCTGATCCTTCCTCTGGAAGCTTCGTCCCAGAGAGGCACCCGCCTGTATGAGGTGTCAGTAGGCCTCTACTGGGAGGTGTCTCCCAGTTAGGCTACAAAGGGGTCAGGGACCCACTTGAGGAGGCAGTCTGTCCAGTTCTCAGAGCTCAAACACCATGTTGGGAGAACCACTGGTCTCTTCAGAGCTGTCAGACAAGGACGTTTAAGACTGCAGAGGTTTAGGCCGAGGTGGGCAGTTCACAAGGTCAGGAGATCGAGACTATCCTGGCTAACACGGTGAAACCCTGTCTCTACTAAAAATACAAAAAATTAGCCAGGTGTGGTGGTGGGTGCCTGTAGTCCCAGATACTCGGGAGGCTGAGGCAGCAGAATGGCATGAACTCAGGAGGCGGGGCTGGCAGTGAGCTGAAATCGCGCCACTGCATCCAGCTTGGGTGACAGAGTGAGACTGTCTCAAAAAAAAAAAAAAAAAAAAGACTGTAGAGGTTTCTGCTGCCTTTTGTTCAGCTATGCCCTGGCTCCAGTGGTGGAGTCTACAGAGGCAGGCAGGCCTTGGTGAGCTGTGGTGGGCTCCACCCAGTTGGAGCTTCCCAGCCACTTTGTTTACTTACTCAAGCCTCAGTAATGGCAGGCGCCCCTCCCCCAGCCAGGTTGCCACCTCACAGTTCGATCTGGGACTGCTGTGGTAGCAGTATGCAAGGCTCCGTGGGTGTGGGACCAGCTGAGCCAGGTGTGGGATATAATCTCCTGGTGTGCCGTTTGCTGAGACCATTGGAAAAGCCCAGTATTTAGGCGGCAGTGTCCTGACTTTCCAGGTACAGTCTGACATGGCTTCCCTTGGCTAAGAAAGGGAAATCCCCTGACCCCTTGCACTTCCCGGGTGAGGTGATGCCCCAGGCTGCTTCAGCTCACCTGCCGTGGGCTGCACCCACTGTCCAACCAGTCCCAATGAAATGAACCAGGTACCTCAGTTGGAAATGCGGAAATCACCCGTCTTCTGCGTCAATCACGCTGGGAGCTGCAGACCAGAGCTGTTCTTATTCGGCCATCTTGGAATGGACCAAAAGTTTAAAAAATCAGCTGTGTGTGGTGGTGCGTGCTTGCGGTCTCAGCTACTTGGGAGGCTGAGGCAGAAGGATCACTTGAGCCCAAGAGGTCAAGACTGCAGCAAGCTGTGATTACATCACTGCACTCCAGCCTAGGTGACAGAGCAAGAACTTATCTCAAAAAATAAAAATAAAAAATAAAAAAAGGTTCACAACAAGGCATCTTACCATGAAATTCCAGATTATCAGATACCCAAGAATCTAAAATATTCCAGAGAGAAAAAAGTAGGTCATGTGCAAATAATCAGTAATTAGAATTGCATCAGAATATTTATGTAAAGCAACATTTGAAACTAGAAGACAACAGAGCAATGCCTTTAAAATTCGGAAGGAAAATGTTTTCCAAACTAAAATTCTATATCCTATAAAATTATTATTCAAATGTAAGGCAGAATAAGGATTTTTTCAGACATGCAAGATATGAGTTTTCCATTCTCTGTGCTTTTTCTGTGAAGGTACAGGAGGAGGTGCTCTATCTAAACAGGAGTGTAAACCAAGCAAGAGGGTCCAGGTAATAAGGAACACAACCTGGGAGAGAAATGAGGATCCCCAGAGTGCAGACGAAGGGCAATGTAAGCCTGACAGCTTGCAGCAGGCCTGCAGAGCAGCCAGACTACCTGGGAGCAGGGGCAGGGATGGCTCCAAAAAACAATGCAATCCGAAGGAGGGCCTACATCTTTCATTATGTTCTGAGATTTTCAATTTGGTTGGAGAATTTGGAGATGAATAAGTGACATGTACATAGAAACTACACAGCTCAGGTGTAAAGAACAATTACAGAGTTAACATAATATGAACACTTACTACTGATTCAACAAAAACTGGCATAAACATGCTGAAGGAACTGGGGAGGAGAAGCACATGTGTGAGTGCAATGTGTGTATGTGAGGTGTGGCCGGGCACAGCATCCCATATAGAGGAGGTCAATAAGATATTATCTCTGGCCAGGCGCGGTGACTCAACGCTTGTAATCCCAGCACTTTGGGAGGCTGAGGTGGGTGGATCGCTTGAGTCCAGGAGATGGAGACCAGTCTGGGCAACGTGGTGAAACCCTGTGTCCTTAAAAACAAAACAAAACAAAACAAAAAACGGTCGTGGTGATGCACACCTGTGGTCCCAGCTACTCAGGAGGCTGAGGTGGGAGAATTGCTTGAGCCGGGGAGGCAGAGGTTGCAGTGAGCTGAGATTGCACCACTGCACTCCAGCCTGGGCAACAGAGCAAGACCCTGTCTCTAATATTAATAATAATAATCATAATATAATATCTCAAACTGAAAAACAACAAACAGCAGTAAGAGCATGTTTTTAACAAATACAAAAATCAATAGCTAAGGGAAGAGCTAAAAGAGTTGAGAATGGTGGCTTTTAGGAAGCACCAAAGGGTAGTGAAAGGGAAGCGTGTTTTGCATTTTAAGCCATGTGGAACTATTTCAGTTTTAAAAGTGTGAACATGTACTACTTTCATAAAACTGGAAATAAAAGTTTCAGGATGAAACTGAAAATAAAAACATGATCAAAATATGAAGCTTAAATGTGGCATGATCCTGAGCTATTGAGGGGGGAAACAGAGAACATTAATTTCCTTTGACACTTTAGTTGTATGAATTTTGTAATATAGGATTACATTTTTAATGAGTCAACCACACTTCTAGGAACTAATGTGAATAATATACTATATAATCATAATACAGGTTTATTGGTTTCTGACTTTTTAGAATCTACCCACACATAAAGCACAAAAAATTATAATTAGTGGACAGACTGTGTATGAATGGTGAAACCAAAACAAAACAAACCAACCAACCAACTAACCAACCAACCAACCGCTTGACAATGAAATAGTCATAGCTAACAAAATGAGTGAGTGTTAACATTGGGGACTGCAGATTTCTAATTTCCCCATCTTACTCAGTAAAGCCAAGGAATTCCGTCTAAAGTCAATGGCATAAGAAAGAGTACCTTAAGCAAGTAAAAGGAGAGTAACATTGAACAAAGCATGGGAGGTGCATGGGGAAGGAGGAGGAGGAGGGAGTGTGAGGAAGCTAAACGTCTCATCTTCATCTCAGGGAGTTACTGTAATAGGTTTCAAAAAAAAAAAATTAAAAAGCTGGGCATGGTGGCTCACTCCTGTAATCCCAGCACTCGGGGAGGCCAAGGTGGGTGGATTGCTTGAGTCCAGGAGGCAGAGGTTGCAGTGAGTCATTGCACCACTGCACTCCAACCTGGGTGACAGAGCAAGACCCTGTCTCAAAACAAAACAAAACCAAAAAAAACATAAAAAAGAAAGGAATGATCCAGAAATATAGAAAAGACTCTTTAAAAGGGAACTCAAGGGAAGCCGACTGAGGTGTGTTTTGCCTCTGTGCTTCTGCTGTGCTTCATACACATACAGCATGTAGGGGTCACACTGTGCCACAATTGAGAGGCCCCTGGGATGTGTTAAGTGTTAAACACATGTTTAACCTACTTCCTATTCAAAATTCCAAATATATAATACAGAGATCATTTTTCTTTTCAAAATTGCTCATCACAGGATTCCTTTGAATAACAGCTCATCAAAGTTGTTGTGGTAACCACTTGGTAAAAGTAAAAAGGGCTGGAATGGCTGGGCGTGGTGGCTCATGCCTGTAATCCCAGCACTTTGGGAGGCCGAGGTGAGACGATGGCTTGAGGCCAGGAGTTCAAGACCAGCCTGGGCAACATGGCAAGACCCTGTCTCCACTAAAAATACAAAAAAATTAGCTGGGTGTGGTGGCAAGCACCTGTGGTCCCAGTTACTTGGGAGGCTGAGGAGGAGAATCACTTGAATCCAGCAGTCAGAGGGTGCAGTGAGCAGAGATCGTGCCACTGCAGTCCAGCCTGGGCGACAGTGTGAGACTGTCTCAAAAAAACAAAAACAAAAAAAAGAAAAAGTAAGGCTTGGGGCTTGGGATAAGAGGAACATCAACCTGCTTGATGCCATGCCAACTGATCTATAACCAGACACAGAGGAAAAAGCATCTCTGAAATAATGAATAATACTTCTACTGTAGGTGCATTTGGGTGAATTCCCATACATTCTACTATCTGCTGCAGCTGCAGAGCTCCACGGGTATCGAGATCACAGGCCTAGGCTTCTTTATAACAAGCATATCAACATGTATAGAATAAAAGGGAAAAGAATTCTACCTGAATAATGAAAAGTTTTAATTGTGGACTATCAGCAAATAAAGTTCTGTCACTTACCAAATCAATTTTGGGCAAGTCAAAATAACTGAAGCTTGATTCCTTATCTATTACATGCAATTAACAATACCACTTTGCCTGTTACTACTACCATTCTGCTAATTAATAATACCATTCATCAAAGTTCTGCAAGAATTAAATGAGATAATCCATGCAAAGCAAAACACTATACAAATCTGGGCTAAAACAGATGTGAGTTCCTTGAGGACTTACGTAGAAAGGGAAAAATTATGTATCTCTTTAAATTATGACTTGTAAATATCATCAAAACATTGCAAAATTATTACTCTTTTCCTTCGAGAGTTGTAGGTCATATAAACCATTGCATTTCTTGAGTCAAACTGTCACTTTTTTTTTTTGCTCTTTCAATATAGGATACATTTAAATGAAACTTAATGTCATTTTGACATATGAAGGGGTGTGCGTGCGTGCGTGTGTGTGTGTGTGTGTGTGTGTGTGTGTGTGTGTGTGTTGGGAGTAAGTTGAAAAAAATAAAAGCACTTTATGTGCCAGTTATCAATATAATGGCTCTCAGCTCCAAATCCACCCTTCTCTGCCCTGCTTTGTGATAGATGGACATGGGCTGGACTCTGTAAACATCTGTTGACACAATGATCATTAAGCTTTACCAACAGAGGGCTTTGGAGGGTCTCTGGAGTGAAAGGACAGGAAGACCATTCCCTTCCAGTCCTGGTCCTATCATTATTATTCAGGGGGGGAGTGATGTGGATGAGTTCCAGTTGCCCCCAGGCCACCTTTCCACCCAGCCACACCCTCCTGGGCTGCTGTTCCAGGTTAGCACCACCTGTGCCCTCTGGCCAGTTTCTTCCCCGCTGTGGGCTGTGGTCCAGGTGTAGGAAGGTCCTCTCTTTGAAGAGGTCTGAATCTTAGCCTTGGAGGAAAGGGGGTCCTATACTTCTTACTTCCATTATTGTCTTCTCTTCCTCAGCAAGGGGGCCAGAAGTCAAAGCCCAAGGACACATTGAGATGGGAATAATTAAATGAGGACACTGAAAGACTATACTCTTAGGGGGAGACTGAACCAGAAGTCACCTCAAACCCTCCCTTAAGGCTCAAGGAACTGGGCAGCACTGAATGGGACTAAGAGGTCATTGGCAGTCAGCTATCCTGTCTATTTGTAGCCCAAATTCTCATCACCAGGCTGATCTTGGAAAACCAACCTGTTAATTTATAAGTGGTTCCATACTTGGAAACTTCCAAAACTGGAAAAAAAGCCAAGAGAATTAAAAGAAGTTCCCAGATTCAGAAGTAATTTAACTGCTTGCCAGAACAAGGTCCAATGAATTTTAAAGGAAGGAAACACACTCTAGAATTCCACAGCAAAGGTCAGGAAACTATAACCTGTGGCTAAATCCAGCCTGTTTGTTGTTGTAAATATAGTTTTATTGGAACACAGCCATACCCACTCATTTATATATTGCCTATGGCTAATTTGAGGCAGAGTATACAGACTGTATGGCCCGCAAAGCCTAAAATATGTACTATCTGGCTCTTTACAGAAGAAGTTTGCCACGCACCTTCTGGCTTAGACCGTTAACATTTGATATAATTATTGATGTGGTTGGATTTAGGTGTACCATTTTATTTCTTCTGTTTGTCCCTGTGATTTTGTTTTTGTTTCACTACTTTTTGTTTCTGGGTTTATTAGTATTCCAAATAGAGTAATTTAGTATTCTATTGGCTATCTATCTATATTTTTGAAAAAATTCTTGCTCTAGGAATTAACAATATTCATACCTAACTTTTCATGGTTGACCCTTGCTGTCGAGTTCTAGATTGTGCTTCCTTCCTTTAAAATTCACTGGCCCTTGTTCTGGCAGGCAAGAGTTCATATTATTTCTAAAATCACACTTCATTGTGAAATGTAAAAGTCTAGCAGCCAGAAACTGGAAACAACTCTGGGACTAGGCATACACACGGACAATGGACGAGCTTCTGTGACAATAGAACTCTCACCCAGACCCTCTGCAGCAACCACTCCTGGAAGCCAAACCACAATCTCCCCAGTGATCCATTCAGAATGGTCAAGACTTACTCAGTTACTGCCATCATCCCAACATTTTGCTCCCTCTTCCAACATGGGACCAATCAGAGAAAGCCAAATAGGTTCCCCAAAGCAATCCTGTAAGACACCTGCAGTGAGCTGATCAGCCTCCAGCTTCCTCATGCCAACACCCTCCAAGCAGAGCATTCCTGAACCTTGCCCCTTTCCCCCCACTATAAACCTATCTGCCTCTGAGTCTGCTAAACACAAGAGATCGTGGCTGATTCCTTTGCTACCGCAAGCTCTGAATAAAAAGTCTGTTTTTCTCATGTTTGGTCTTCAATTATTTTTACACTTCAAACGCTCATCAACAGCGTAAATTATTAATAGAATCATGTAGTGGATTAGTGTAGAAATAAAAATAAACAAGCTACAGCTACAATTTGAATTGTACAAACATGCTGATTGAAAGATGGCAAAGAATACGTACAGCATTTCACTTAATTTCCTTAACTGTCATGAGTCCAAAAGAACAAAAGATACTGTTTCACTTTGAAAAGTTGAGGCAGGAGGATTTCTTGAGGCCAGGAATTAAAGACAAGCCCAGGCAACAAAGCGAGACCATGTCTCTATTTAAAAAAAATAAAATAAAATAAAAAGTTAAAAATGGTAATTCTCCCAGGCTTTGTAGATTCGTCCTGACTTGGGCATTCCTTCAGCGCTTAGCCAGGTCACCTAAATTCTGCTTTAGCTTCCACCTCCTACTTCTGTGGAGCCTAAAGATCAGTCAGAGGTGCAGGCCTAGAGTCCTCTCAGGTCTTTTCCAAAAATGTGTCCAGTGTTAGGCATGTGTGTGGCCTTCCGGACTACCTAGTACAGACAAGGGCCCTTCTGAGCCTTCTCTCTCCCACGTATCTTCCTCCCAGTTATTTCCTTTCCAAGTTTTTTGGTCTGTTTGCTGCTTGCCCCGTTTGCCGTCCCCAGCCCCAGATGGCTGCAGGTAATGCTTCTGATAAGCACTGTGAGGCTGTTCTAGTGTGGAGGGGGCAAAACAAAGGCAACCCTCTGAGCTGAACCTTCAGGAACTGCCAGGCAGGTCAAAGCACACCCACATTTCTGTGAGAGCAAGATCTGTATTGCCCGTTCTGGTATCAAGATGCACTAGGAGCACAGGCCACTGTCCTCTCAGCTGTTGCCTGGCTGGGAGACAGGGCATGGTAGGCACGTAAGCAAAACCACAAAAACTCTTTTACCAAAGCTAAATAGCCTTTTCATTAAGCATTCCTCTGGTTGTTGTTTTTATTAGTAGAGATCCAAAAAGTTGATCTTAAGTTTTTGCTAGCAATGGTTGCTTCAGTGGAGGGACAGATCTTTGGAGCTCCCCATTTTGCTATTTTTGGTGATGTCACTATATAAGATTTTAAAATGATTAACTTTTATAAATAGAGGATATGTTAGTGGCTGTCAGGATTTGGGGAAAGAGAGGTATGTGTGCTTACAAAAGAGCAATGTGAGGGATCCTCATGGTGGTGGATGTATGAACACAAGTGATAATACTGTTTAGATCTAAATACACAGAATACTAAACTGGGGAAATAAGTTGAATGGATTGTATCAATATCAATATCCTGGTGGTGATACACTATAGTTTTACAAAATATTAATATTTGGGGAAACAGGGCCAAGTGTACAGAGATCTCTATATTATGTCTTACAATTGCATGTGA
Organism: Homo sapiens; assembly: GCF_000001405.40. Taxonomy (NCBI): domain Eukaryota; kingdom Metazoa; phylum Chordata; class Mammalia; order Primates; family Hominidae; genus Homo; species Homo sapiens. The sequence continues at coordinate 73,048,506 of NC_000008.11, read as the reverse complement.
ATTTACATTACCTCAACAGAAATTCTGACTAAAAAGAATTCAGGGGCCAGGGCTCAGTGGCTCATGCCTGTGATCCCAACACCTTGGGAGGTTGAGGTGGATGGATCTCTTGAGCCCAGGAGTTTGTGACCAACCTGGGAAACATGGAGAAGCCCTATTTCTACAAAGAAATACAAAAATTAGCTGGGAGTGGCAGCACATGCCTGTAGTCCCAGCTACTTGTGAGGCCAAGGTAGGACAATCACCTGAGCCCAGGAAGTAGAGGCTGCAGTGAGCTGTGATTGTGCCACTGCACTCCAGGCTGGGCAATGAAGTGAGACCCTGTCTCAAAACAAAACAAAACCAAAAAAAAGGATTCAAAAAAATACTCAGACTGGAGAAGATGAGGTTTTAGGAATATATTACCCAACTTATTTTGCTTACAATTTCTCTTTTTTTGTATCCACAAGTTATGTGATAAAAATCTTATGTTTAAATACATCTAAAATAGCTCTTCTAATAAGTAAAATTCAAAATAAGAAAGCACCATACTATAATTGATACCGATTTTTCTTTTCTAGTTGTGTGTGTGAAATAACAGGACATCTTACAATTAATGGCAACTTAGATTTGATGATCTATAGCAGGTGTTTGGAATGAGGTTGACTTAACAAGTCTATTTTGGCTCATGATGCCAGCCTTGGCACTAATCATCAAAATATCTCCAATAAATAGTGCAGTATCTTGTGGTGTAACAAGATAAAGGAGTCAGGAAGTATATGGTACTCATCCATGTTTCTGTTTATATATAGGATAACAAATTCAGGAACAATGGGAAAGTAATATATGAAACCTTAATAGGAAATACAATAGAGATTACAAAACACCACCATTTGATTTTTTATGCAAATACTTCAATATTCCAATATTTTTACTCACTTGCTAAATAAAGCACATGACTCGAAATGCTAAATAATTCTGTTAGTCTAAATCTTTTAAAGAATAAAATGTTGGTGAAAAACCAAAATTGTTTAGTAAGGTATGTATGACCTTGTTTATTATCTATCATAGACATCAAGATGATCATAGTTAATACCAATTTAAGCTTTACAGAATACTGTTTTAGGCCCAATATTGATATATTAAATGAAGGTATCAGAGAATCTTGTATTTATGGCATCAGGTTATAAAGATCTATTCAAAACCATTTTTGTCAAAGTTTAAACACTGGAACAAAAGTCAAATTGTTTCTAAATGAGACACAAAATGATTCTTGCTAATAGTACAAATTTTGTCCCATGGGTAATACTATTGTCTTTTTCTTTTTTAAAAAAATTATTTCGATTTTTATTTTAGATTCAGGAAACACATGGGCAGGTTTGTTAGCTGAGTATACTGTGTGATGTTGAGGTTTGGGGTACGTATGATCCTGTCACCCAGGTAGTGAGCACAGTCCCCAGTAGGTAAGTTTTTCAGCTCTTGCTCCCGCTCCCCACCCTACCTCCCCAGTGTCTATTATTCCCATGGGTACTCAGGTATTACTATTTTCAAGTTTTTTTCTTTACATGAAACTACTGAAAGCAAAAGTATGTCATGCTTATAGGTTACTCTGTACATTTATCATTCTATTAATAAACATCTTAAGTAATTAAGTAGTATATTAAGGCCATAAACCAAGTCATTATCTTCTATCAAAGGACTACTGTTATTCAATCATCTAGAAAATTCATTTTAGGCAGGACGCAGTGGCTCACGTCTGTAATCTCAGCACTTTGGGAGGCCGAGGTGGGTGGATCATGAAGTCAGGAGTTGGAGAACATCCTGACCAGCATGGTGAAACCCCGCCTCTACTAAAAATACAAAAATTAGCTGGGCGTGGTGGTGTGTGCCTGTAATCCCAGCTACTCAGGAGGCTGAGGCAGGAGAATCACTTGAACCTGGGAGGCAGAGGTTGCAGTGAGCTGAAATTGCGCCACTGCACTCCAGCCTGGGCAACAGAGAGAAACTCTGTCTTAAAAAAAAAGAAATTCATTTTAATGGGTTACGTTACAGGGTTGAGGTCAGCCTACAGACACAAAATAGGTTAACTGGAATTTTTTTTTTTTCGTATCAGGTTTTAATTTTTTCATTGGAACAGGATTTGGGGGTGGGGATACTAAATGTGGCAGGGTTCAACAAATTTACATTTTATCAAAATAAGGTTCTTAAAGAATACAATGATAGCATATGCTTTAACTCTGGTAGCACAAACCCTCATTAATTGATGGTCACAGAAAAATACTGTAATGCTTTAAACAAAAGTTTTAAATTACATCAATGACACAAGTTTCAAACAAAATGCAGTGATCAAAATACTTAACTGTCCTTTCATCAAGCTTTTACAAACACAATCAGTCTTCGCTGTCTGAGGAAATCAGTTTTAGTTTCTTCATGGTCCTCCATCTGTCTTTTAACATGACACTTGTCCGGTTGTTGAATTTATAATGCAACAGTATTTTAGACCAGTTTCCCTCTCCATATTTCCTCACGCCAGATCTCAAATTCTTGTCTTCTTCCCAAAGCCATGCCTTTTGATAAAAAGTAAAACAGTTATTTACAGAAACAATTATTCAAAAAGAAAATACCTACTATAAATGCCAGTTTTAAAAAATCAAAATAATGCTTAGTTTCTTAAAGACGGAAGACTTCTCTAAACATTTCTTAGATTTTTAAAAGATTTTACATTTATCGTAACATTTTTAGGGGTCATTATTATTACTGTTCATTTTATGTAAGCTCAGCTGCCCAAGATCAGATAGCTAGAAAGTGGCAGTGCTACATGTCAACTGAATTTGTCTGACTTTAAGCCCACACTGTCTCTTAAAATGCTCTTCTACAATTGTTAATAGTTGTATTTATTATCCTCCAAATCTCCAAATAGGCTTTGTGAATGTTTAGTAGTTCACTAATGAACTCAGTGAAAAACCTGTTCTGCCTATGGTAGGGGAAGTATTACACACCCATATAAAACTCAAATCTTGTCTAAAATAGACTTTCAAAAATACAACTAACATAAACTAATTAAAAACATTTAATTTTATGCTGGGAGAAAATTCCTAAACATTTTTAAAAATCAAATTTAATACTATACACAGAAAAATTACTGATACTTGGCATTTGCTACAGGCAACTAACTAATTATTCCTTCTGTTGGCATGCTGAAAGAGCAATTTGACCATCTGCGTGGTTATTTACTGTGTCTAGACTACAAGAAATTCTCCAGCACTTCAGATTTTCTTTAAAAACCCGGTTCATCAACCCACACTCATTCAGATGGCTGCTATCAAAAAAACACAAAATAAGTGTTGGTGAGGATATGGATAAATTGGAACCTGTGTGCACTAGTGGTGGGAATGTAAAATTATAGCACCACTATGGAAAACAGTATGACAGTTACCCAAAAAATTTTTTAAAAGGACTACCATATGATCCAGCAATTCCACTTCTGGGTACATATCTAAAAGAGTCGAGAGCAGGGACCTGAAGAGGTATTTGTACATCCATGTTCATAGCAGCATTATTCACAATAGTTAAAATGTGGATGCAACCCAACTGTCCATCAACTGATAAATGGATAAACAAAATTATATTATATATTATACTTATATAATTCAGCCTTAAAAAGGAAGTTCTGACGCATTCTAGAACATGGATAAACCTTGAGGACATTAGGTTAGACAGAAAAAGAAAAATACTATGCTACTTCTGATATGAGGTGCCTAGAATAGTCCAACTCATAAACAGAAAGTAGAATGATGGTGGCAAGGGGGCTGGGAGGATGGAAATGGACTTACTGTTTAAGGAGTACGGTTTCAGTTTTGTAAGAGGAAGAGTGCTATTGATAGATGGTAGTGATGGTAGCACAATATGAATATATTTAATGCTACCAAACTGTACACTTAAAAATAGTTAAAATGGCAAATGGTAAATTTTATATCATGTGTACTTTACTATAATCGAAGAAAAAAAAATCCAGTTCAATTGTCTAATGCAATATTAGAAAGAATTCAAGGTGGCCTGAAGAATACAAACATGACATGAGAACCATCTCGTGTATGACTCAGTACCAAAAAGTTGGCAGTGACCGTAACCAAACCCATGCAGAAGTTTGTTTGAGCTACCTTAAACCTGATCCCCTGTTCTTGCTATTCCTCTGCTTTGTGACTTAAATCCAAGATACGAACCTGGTCTCTTCTGTACGTGCTTTTGCTTTTGTTTGTCTGCAGCACACCTATCGGCAACTGTGCTGCTTACAAGTACATGGCTATTCAATCGCTAGACAAAGGCTGACAGCCTCCTATGACCATCTATTACTGCCTGACTCGGCCTTCACTCCTACAAAACCTCACTACACTGCTTGTCATTAACTGACAAAAACCAAGAGATGCATTAATAAATTTTTCATGTGTGGGGTGACTGATTAAAAGCACTTCAACAGTGGGTTATTAATCTTTGGGGTCATATAAATCTTACAGACGTACTCCACAGAAAAGTATAGTATCTAAAATTTCATATACAAATTTGGGGGCCACATAAACTCTCTTTAAAGAGCCTATCAACTCCATGGTCTCCAAGTTAAGCATTTCTGTTCTTTCAAAAACTTGCCATATACGTTATTCAGCTTTAAAAAGTAGTTTGTGGTTTAGACAAATTTCATACACATATACAGCATTGTTTTCTTGTTCTTATCTGAGCTGTAGTATTTTTAATAAGGTGCACAGATGACGTTTGATACAATACAAAAGCCCCTTTCTTTCAAGAAATGACCAATGTTTTCTGAATCCTATTTGGGGTCCTGGGTGCAGTATGTTTAAGCAGTATTTTCCCATGTATCATCTATAGCAGGGGACAGCAAGCCACTGCCAAAACCCAGCCCAAGGCTGGTTTTCTACAGCCCCGGAGCTAAGAACCATATTAAAATTTAAGTCATTTAAAAAATATATTTAAAATATGTAACAGAAACTATGTATGTGAAATATACATAAAATACATTAGTAATAAATATATTATAAATCTTGCTCTTTATAGAAAAATTTTGCTCACCCCTAACCTAGAGGAAAGTAGTAATGTTGTCAGTATAGATTAACTGAAAACTAACAGTGTTTAGCATTAAGTATTTTATTTTTTTCTTCTATTGAAAAAGAGTAACTTTAGCTTGATATAGTGTTATTTCATGGTTGATTATGCCTTGATTGTTTTGCTTGATCTGAATGTTTTCAGTCTTTGCTTAATTTTACCTGTGACTGAAAGAGTTTTGAAAACATCATACAGAATAAGCTATCGTCTGGCAAGTAAGGAAAGCTGTAATTTTTAAGTTTAGAGGTTCAAGTGGCCTAGTAGTCATTGGTACCAACTTCTACTTTCTATAGCTAGAGTTTAATGAGTGACACAACTGACCTGTGTCAGATCAGAAAGAAAACATAAGGGCAGTACAATTTCATAAAGTCTACTATTGTGCTTAAAACTTTCCATTTCCTCATTTTATACATTTAACTGATTGTACCAGATTCCACTGATAGTAATAATTAAGGGAAGAGTTTAAGATGATGTATTTCTGGACATTAAACCCATACAACCCATTTCCTTTGTTTTATTGTCATTTGTCTTTTATTTTCTCAAAAAATCAAATACAAAATCTTAACAACCCCAGCCATGCCAATAGCCTGAAAAGATACAAAGAGCACATAACAAATTAAAACACACCAATCTTTTTCTTTCCCAAGGCTAGAGATTACATAACTCAGATCTGCACTGTATATCCATTCTAAAGAACAAATAATGCTTTTTAATGCCTTAAAATGATACTACGAATAGTAAAAGAAAATACTGCTACAGTATTTCTCATTACATACTGTTTATGGAAAACAGTTTGAAAGGCATTTACTTTTCTTCTTTAATGGAATAAGTTTATAAAAGGAGGGCTCTTTAATTCTGATGAGGAAGGAAGAAATATCTTTAACAGACCAATGCAGCAAAAGAAAACTGTCCAAGTAGACATGGGCTATTGCCGTAAGTTTTTTTTTTTAAAAACCTCAATACAAAATAAAATTAAGTCTGTCACTTATCTTCTAAAACAAGTATTTTAACAAAAGGCCAACAACGGAAAGCTAAAAAATAAAACCAGGCCCTTGTGATATCCACAGAATTCTTTTTTGGCATAGGAAATGGTGATAGATATTATCACTGATTATGTGGTCGATATCCTATATTTCGTTTTGAATAGAAGAGAAACAACTGTTTTCCTCATATATATCTGTAAATAACACCTCATTTGGAATGGCTGCTGGAAGAACTATAGGGAAAGATCAGTTATATGTATAAGACAGAGACTTCTGGTTTCCAATCTAACATGTGAAGAGCTTGGAAATCATCACTACAGTCCCCAGAAGAAAAAAGCTGTTGAACAAACTGAAACTCAGTAACTCTTCTTAGATACATCAAAGAACAAATGTCACAGGGCAAACTGCTGTCCTGAAAACTAAAGAGAGAGAGAGGCAGATTGAGAAAATCACAAGAATTACTGGGGACAGAAAGGCCAGGAGCAGAAGCTCACAGCTGGAGCCAATACTGGTAGGAGCAATTAACTGTGACTGAGGAACTGATGGAGGATCCGTGTGGATAAGCTTCAGAGTTAAAAACTCCAAGGGCCCAGTTTCAGAGGGACTCACAAACTTTTGTGAGTTTTATCTCCAGGAGCCCCCCCAGGTCTCAGGGTAAAGATTACACAAAAATTCCTTCCTGCTTCTGACAGGCGGAGGGAAAAAGTAGCCATTTTGAAATACTCCCCAATTAGAAATACTCCCCATTTCAAAATAAATGAGGAAAGCGTTCTGGTCTTCTTAACAAAATCCTTTCCTCAAGAGAAACTAATTTTGCCAGAACCTAACCAACTGAGGTTTTACCAGAACCTAACTTACCTGTGGAAATACTCAACTCCACCCCTCTCTAGCCTTCATGTCTCACCCAAGGGGTGGTGGGCTGAGAAGCACTTATGAAGGTCACAGCCTAGGACACAGGCTTACTAAAAGAAGGAGAACTATGCACAGGACTCCAGAACGCTTCACCTCCCCTTACCTTACCACTACATTAGTCAGGATCCTGGGCGTTATAGTTGAAAGAGGTCCCTCAGATTCTTATTAAAAAGCAGTCTCTAGGGAAACCCAGAGACAACAAGAGAGACAAAAACAGGACACTAAAGGAAATTTTAGCCTTTGACACCTACAGCTACAAACGGTAACTCCTAGACAGATAAACATAAAACCTCACATTAAAGGATCATTTATCTCATTTCCTTTTACCTGATATATCATGTCTAGCTATCAGCAAAATATTATAAACATGCTAAAAAGCAAAAAACACAGTCTGAAGAGACAAAGCAAGCACCAGGACCACACTCAAGATATGGCACAGATTTTGAAATTGTCAGACTTGGAATTTAAAATGATTATGATCAATATGTCAAAGGATTTAATGGAAAAAGTGGACAACATGCAAGAACAGATGGGTAAATGTAAATGGAGAGATGAAAACTCTAAGAAAGAACCAAAGGGAAATGCCAGAAATCAACATGGTAACAGAAATGAACAATGCCTCTGATGGGCTCATAAGCAGATTAAACACAGCTGAAGAAAGAATCAGTACATTTGAAGATATATTAATAGAAAGTTCTCAAACTGAAAAGTAAACAGAAAAAAGAATGAAAAAGATAAAGGAATAACTAAGAACAGTGGGACAATCTTAAAAGGTGTAACATTTGGAATCATAATGGGAACACCAGAAGAAGAAGGAAAGGAACAAAAGAAAGATTTGAAGTAATAATGGCTGAGCATTTTCCAAAACTAAAGACAGACACCAAACTACAGATTCAGGAAGCTCAGAAAATACCAAGCAGGATAAATAACAAACTATATACATGTACATCATATTCAAACTGCAAAAAAAATCCAGCACAAAACATATGCATGACTGTGGTCACATATGGTAGCATAAGGTTAGCATTTCCCTCTTCTCCTTTGGGAATTCACCCAAAAGCAACAAGAAATAAAATCCCAAACTCTGAAAAAAGTTAAGAGAAATTTACAACCTGAACCATAATGTAGGTAGAAAGGGTATAAATAATCAGTGCAACTTAGGTGTATGAAAAAGCAACTCTGTCTACAGATCTCAGGAAGTGTGTGCCATCTGTTTTTCTAATGAAAATACCCTGAGGTACACCCCCTAAATCTCTGGTCAGCAACAGCAGGAGCTCCCCTCAACCTACTAAAGGCCAGAGATGGCAAGGCTAAAAAAGGGAATCACAAAGGCAAGTAATATGTGTAGGAAGCAAATGAAAAGTAGAAGTTGCTTGCTATGTTCACTGGGGGAGAAATGAAGGGTAACATAACTTTGAGTCACAGAAGATATTCCGAGTAGCGTGCAACTTGACACTATCTGCAGCACCTCAGTATGAACTATTTGCAATTAGCTTGTCAAAAAAAAAAAAAAAAAGGCACCTTCGAGTAAGAAAACGGTTCCAGCCACAAAAGAAAACAAGGGCCTGACTGGGTGCAGTAGCTCATGCCTACAGTCCCAGCACTTTTGGAGCCCAAGGTGGGAGGATCACTCGAGCCAAGTAATTCAAGACCAGCCTGGGCAACATTGTGAGACACCATCTCTACAAAAAAAAGGGGGAAACACACACACACACACACACACACACACACACACACACACACACACCACAAAAACAAAGACCAGATTTATCCATCTGCTGTGAACAACTAGACAATCAAAAAATACATAAAATAATGGTTTCAGACACTGGACAGATGGCACAAGACTATAGTCACTGAAAGGGGAAGCAAATGAATCAAGCCCTAAATTGACCCACCTTAATAAAATTTTGTGATCAAATGGTATCTTTTCTTTGTTTTTAAGTAAAGAAAACTCTTTTTACACTGGATCCCTGTTAGGAAAATTTAAACATCAAAGCTTATAATGTGGAGTTAAGTCCCACCTTACATCTAATAAACAGATTTTATGATAGTATCACAATAATTCCAAACAGATGTCAGTACCAACACCCAACTTAAGACTTTTTAAATATGGGTGAAGTATTTCATTTTGAATAGGCTGATTAGTCACCTATCTAAGACGGCAAAATAAAAGATGGCAAAGGGCAAATATTTTACACTCAAAATTTTGGGGAGGTTGAACAGAAATAATCACAATTATTCAAGTTATAACTTTAATGTCCATAAGCGTTATTCGAATTTTAAAAAACCAAATACCTGTCTTTTTCTAGCTCGATGTTTTTCAGGAGTTACCGGCTGACTCTTTGAAACAGGTATTCTGCTTTCAGTGGCTCTTCTGCTTTCTTTTTTCTTTTTTGTACCTAAAAGTAGAAAAATAATGTCATAAATATTGATTTACATTAAAGAAAAAAGAGCAATTATATTTTTAATGATTATAATGAAATTCCTTTTCTAAGCTATTCTAAGAAAAAGTACATGTTTAACTTTTTCCTTCAAATCTGGAAGCAGTATGGTATAGTGCAAAGATCAGCCTTTGAAATCAGAGGGGGAGTGTTTTGAGTCTTGATTCTTTTATATGTCTTTAAATAAATCATTTCACATCCCTGAACCTGTCTTTCCATTATCTGTTTAAAAAAAAAGGAAAAATATTTATTGCATAGGATCGTTGAAATTTTCTTACGATAATGTTTTAGGAGTACTAAGAAGCATAATCCTTTCCTCACTCCTTCTTTCTTATTCATAGTCAGTTTGGTAAGACAAATATATGTAACTGAAAAGAAACAGAACTGTAATTACTGAAAAATGATAATTGTTTAGGCAGAAAACCTAAGAGAATCTACAAATAGAATTAAAAGATCAGTAAGATCAATACACAAAAAGGATTTCATTCATTAGCAATAGGATTTCTATTCATTAGCAACAAACAGTTAAAATAATTTAATTAAAACAATATAAAGATACTATTTACAATAGCCACAAAAAAATCTAACATTCTTAGAGGTAACTTTTTTTTTTTAAGAGATAGGGTCTCTCTCTTTTGCCTAGGCTGAAGTGCAGTGGTATGATCACAGCTCAAACTCCTGGGCTCAAGTGATACTTCTGCCTTATCCTCCCTCACCTCAGCCTCCTGAGTAGCTGGTACTAGAGGCACCGGCCGCCATGCCCGACTAATTTTTTAAAATTTTTTTGTAAAGACATGGTTTCACTATATTGCACAGGCTGGTCTCTTAATTCCTGGGCTCAAGTAATCCTCCTGCCTTGGCCTCCCAAAGTGCTGGAATTACAGGTATGAGCCATCAGGTCATGGCCTCTTAGATAACTTTATCAAAAGTGATACATTTGTATGTAGTAAATTATAAAGCTTTACTATGTATATAAAACATGTTATGAGAAGCTTTATCTATCTATCTACCTATCTACTTACCTACCTACCTACCTACTGCTGGCCTTCTATATTCGCAGGTTCCACATCTGTGGATTCAACCAACCTTGGAATAAAATATTCGGGGGGAAAAATATATATATGTTTTATATATATATAATATTTATATATATTATATATTATATCATATTTATATATATTATATATCATATTTATATATATTATATATCATATTTATATATTATATATTATATATATTATTATACTATATATTATATATAATATATATATTATTATACTATATATTATATATAATATATATATTATACTATATAATATTATATATAATATATATTTCATACTATATAATATATATTATATATAATATAATATTATACTATATAATATATATTATATATAATATAATATTATTATACATATAATATATATTATATATGTTATATATAATATATAATATATATAATAAATTTATGATATGTTATATATATTATATATAAAAAATATATATATTTTCCCCCCCGAATATTTTATTCCAAGGTTCCAAGGTTTATATATTTTATTCCAAATATATAAATTTATTATATATAAATATATTTAATATATTTTATATGTTAATATAACATATATAATATATATTATATATTATATATAAAAATTTATATGTATTTTCCCCCCAAATATTTTATTCCAAGGTTGGTTGAATCCACAGATGTGGAATCTGTGAATATAGAGGGCCAACAGTTAGGTAGGTAGGTAGGTAAGTAGATAGGTAGATAAGATAGATAAAGCTTCTCATAACATGTTTTATATACATAGTAAAGCTTTATAATTATATATAAATTATTATATTATAATTATATATAAATTATATTATATAATATATATTATTATATTATATATTATAATATAAATTATTATATATTATAATATATAAATTATTAATTATATAGTATATATGGGGTTTTATATAATATATGATATATATTATATGTAGTATAATTATTATATATATTATAATTATATATTATGTACATTATATATTATATATATTATATATTATATTACATATAAACCATACTGTGGGCCATTAAACAAATCTTTAAAAAAAAATCTATGAAGCATATTCACAGACTGAAATAGAATTAAACTAAAAATCAGTAACAGAAAGATATTTGGAAATTAAACAACTTCCCTCATAGGTCATATATATATAATATATTATATATAAATATATATTATATATATTTATATATAACTACAATAATAAAAGTGATACAAATAAAAAATATAGTCTAACAATTATTTACTACAATTTAGTTATTTATCATTTACATTGTTTTAGTTACTGTAAGTAATTTGGGGATGAGTTAAAGCATGTGGTAGGCGGGTGCACAGGTCTATATGCAAAGACTATGCCATTTTATGTAAGGGACTTGAGCATTTGAGAATTCTGGTATCCCTGCTGTGGGGGCGGGGGGATGGGTCCTGGAACCAATACCCTGTGAAAACCAAGGGATGACTGTATATATAAAAACATGTTAGAGAAATGTATTTTGTTCATGCACAGGAAACTTAATGTAATGGTGTCAGTTCTCTGCAAAATCATCTATTGTTAACAATGCAATTTCACATAAAAATCTCAACAGGGTTCTTCGTATAGTTTAACAAAATTATTCTAAAATTATGTGTTAAGACAGGTAGTCCACTATTGGCTCTGAGCACCCCTGCAATTCCTGTTGAATGTAGAAAAGCCTTATTCATCTCCTGAAATAGTGCATTTTCTATAGCCAGTCAGATAGGCAATTAAGCAGGTCAAGGAAACCACAACATGATGACCAGGCCAACTGCTCTCTCCTGGGAGAGGGTACTGGCTTGTTTGCTATTTGTTACAATGTTTTGTTGCTTACTCAAAAAGCACTGGGCCCTTGGCTCTGAGTTTTCCTCAGCTGAAATATAACTTACTGCCTTCGCAGCATCCATTTAGGCCTGTTGCATAGTCCACCGGACTTGGGGTAGGGAAATCTGAACAACTACATCAATGCCATGTTGTTTGCTATAATAATCTGTCTTACTCTAACTCATTAAGTCACTAAGTCTTGTTGTCTACCTTTTGTATCTATAAAGTAGCAGCAGGTTTACTGCTTATAAAGCCCTATGGCTAGGTTTTTTCCCTGACAATATGGAACACCAAAACACCAGAATAGTCAAGATACTCTTGAAAAACAATAAGATTACCCTACTACAAACATGGGATGTTGACATATATGGGATTTTGACATATATACTGGGTGTGTTCCAGTCAGGAAAATGGAAACCACACTAGCTCTGATGGAGAGATTTTAGCATTAGGAGAAATGTTTAAACAGGTGCTAGGGGACTAAAATAGCAAAAAGCAAATAATCACATAAATGTAAAGACAAATTCATAATTATATTTGGGAGATTTATCACTTTTCTAATTGATACAACAATAGACAGGAAATGAGTACATATATAGAATACCTGAACAGCATTATTAAAAACTTGACCTAATTGACATTTTAAAACACTTCATTCAACAATGCCAGAATTCACGTTCTTCTCTGTGCACATCCAAATGGACCAAAATAAACCATACTGTGGGCCATAAAACAAATCTTAAAAAAAAAAAAATCTACGAAGCATATTCACAGACTGAAATAGAATTAAACTAAAAATCAGTAACAGAAAGATATTTGGAAATTAAACAACTTCCCTCATAGGTCAGTAAAAAAGTCTCTACAAAAATGAAAAAGTATTTTGAACTGAAAATCCAACATGGGAAAACAATGCTACAACTATTGATTATATAAAATATAACCAAGAAAATTTGGGGATTGGTGGAAGAAATTTTTGCTAAGGTCAATCAACAGACTAAAGTTGATTAACTAAAGTTGAATGACCTCTTAAAGCATTTCATATTCTTTATTTTACACAGATCATAAAGGTTACTGATAGATTTCTTGTGAAACCACCTTTATCTGAAGTACTGAATCCTTCAGTTTTACATATTAAAAATTAAATGTAAATATATTTTAAAGTAACATATGTAACTTGATGACATTTTTCTAAAATTTGATTTGCTTTCAATCTATACATTCTTCTACTGAGGTAGTCCATCTAAGCAATTAAAAGCCTGGGCTCTGGAGTCAGACTGTCTGATTTCAAATTTTGGCTCCTGTTCTATTCATACACTGTGTAACCAAAGGCATTTTATTTACCTTTTTAAGTCTCAGCTTCCTCATCTGTATAATGGAGATGATAAAAAAAAAAAGCACTAATCTCATAAGGTTGTTTTGAGGATTGAATGCATTTACCTATAAAAAGCTTTCAACTCAAATATTAATAATTTCACTCAATGCTGGTGAGTTTTTCTGCACTGATGAAATCTGGATGATTTGGCTTTTTCTTTCAAGTTTTCTGAATTAACTTGATTTTTTTTCCCTAAGCATATGTCAATTTTACAACACAAAAATTAGTTTTTGAAAAAAAGGTTAGGGCTGGGAGCAGTGGCTCATGCCTGTAATCTCAGCACAATTACAGCAAGCAGATTGCTTGAGTTTGGGAGTTAGAGACCTGCAGGGGCAACATGCCAAACCCCACCTCTACAAAAAACACAAAAAGGCCGGGTGTGGTGGCTCACGCCTGTAATCCCAGCACTTTGGGGAGGCCGAGGTGGGCGGATTGCCTGAGGTTAGGAGTTCCAGACCAGCCTGGCCAACATGGCGAAACCCCGTCTCTACTAAAAATACAAAAATCTGCCGGGTGTGGTGGCACACTCCTGTAATCCCAGCTACTCAGGAGGCTGAGGCAGGAGAATTGCTTGAAACCTGGAAATGGAGGTTGCAGTGAGCCGAGATTGATCCACCACACTCCAGCCAGGGTGACAGTGCAAGACCCCATCTCAAAACAAACAAACAAACAAACAAACAAAAAAATAGCAGGGTGTGGCGGCATGTGCCTGTGGTCCCAGCTACTTGGAAGGCTGAGGTGGGAGGATCAACTGAGCCTGGGAAGGTAGATGCTACAGTGAGCCAAGATCTCACCACTGCACTGCATTCCAGCCTGGGCAACAAAGTAAGACTCTGTCTCCAAAAACAGAAAAAGAAGAGAAAAAAAGGTTTAGCACAAACAAAATTATTAGCCTCAAACTATAAAGAGGGGGTACCTGGGTACCACTGAAGTACACTGAATTTTTTTAAGAAAACGTACTTATTACTGACACCTAATAAAATGTGCTAAAACTCAAAGACCTTATAGACTCAATAGCCACAGTCACTGTCAAGCCAGTTTGCAAAGAGTTTATAGTCTTCGAGTTTGCTGATAAACCATGTTTTCTCTTTTTTGAGACAGTCTCGCTCTGTCACACAGGCTGGAGTGCAACCTCCACCTCCTAGGTTCAAGCTGGATTCTCGTGCCTCAGCCTCCTGAGTAGCTGGCATTACAGGCAGGCACCACCATGCCTGGCTAATTTTTTCTATTTTTAGTAGAAACGGGGTTTCGCCATGTTGCCAAGGCTGGTCTCAAACTCCTGAGCTCTTCAGGCAATCCACCTGCCTCAGCGTCCCAAAGTGCTAGGACTATAGGCGTGAGCCACTGCGCCTGGCCTACATTTCCTTTTCTTTGAATTTCATACTATGAAATTAAAACCCTAGGAAAATGCTCACATTATTCTCATTTAAAATGATTCCCAGCCGTCTTGCAGCAATAGGTATAGAAAACCAATCTTGGAACTCCACCAACATTAAGCACATAACTTTACTGAGTTTCCGTTTTCTCATCTTTAAAAATGGGAATGATATCTATGAATGTAAATATTTTAGAACTCTATTTACAAATATTTGCTAATGGTTGCCATGTCATCAGCCATCAGGTATGAACAAATTTATTCTATAATATTTACTGCAGGCCTATCATTTGCCTGGCACCAAGATGGTACCTTATGAGCATGGAGAAATAAACCTAATTTCATTATGTCTATTATTTTTATCAATAAGTATTTAGGTTTAGATCCATATTAAAAATCTCAGGGGGGAGGGGGGAGGGATAGCATTAGGAGATATACCTAATGCTAAATGACGAGTTAATGGGTGCAGCACACCAACATGGCACATGTATACATATGTAACAAACCTGCACGTTGTGAACATGTACCCTAAAACTTAAAGTATAAAAAAAAAAAATCTCAGTATCAGTTCAGTACCTAAAATATTACTGTGGGGTCAATAAACATTTGTTAAATGACTACATACCAAAAAGAAACTTGTAATTTGCTAAGTCAACGCTCTCAGACTTTATTAAACGTAACTACTGTGAATAACAAGAATCAACTGTACTTAATGTTTCTGAAAAGTAACTACAGTCACGGATTGCTTTACAAGGGGGATATGTTCTGAGAAATGGGGCGTTGGGTGATTTTGTCCTTATGTGAACATTATTAAGAGTACACTTACACAAACATACATATATATATATATATTCATATAGAAAACCCACGGTTCCCAGTACCATTGCTAATTATCAATCATTTCCCCTACTTGATATGCAATGCCAATATCAAGTGCCACATTATCAAGTTTCCATATGTGCTCCATTACATTATTACAGGACCACCATCCTATATGCAATGCAGTCTGTCTTTGACTGAAATGTCATGATGTGGCATATGACTATACTTGAAGTTGCTGAACACAGTGAAGGTAGAAAAGCAGTGTACCACCATAGCAAAAGAACCCTAAGCTAGACAGTCAAAATAGCTAACTTTCTAAATTAAACACTATCTCAATTAACTCTATGAAGTCAAGACTTTGTGCTTCAGTTTTCTGAAGTGTGTGTTTTTTTGCTATAGTGGTAAAGTCAATGGCTGGATTGTTTGAGGACACATCAATTCTCCCCTTCTAAAACTGTTATAACAGTACTCACTTTGAGGAGTTCCTACTCTTCTTTCTTTCTTATTAAGGTCTTGTTGCTGGGTTCCATGTTGCAACTTAGATAAGAAAAGATTCTTGTGAGACCTAAAATAAAACAGGAAAGTTTGTAATTGGCTCCAGAAAGATAGTAAGGCAATGGAAAACAGGTAAATGATTTGCCTTAATCTGTTCTAGGATCTTCTATTAATACTTTGGCCTACTTCCTTTGGTGCTCTCCCTGCTTAGTACCCCATCTTAACCTGTGGCCTCTTAAGATTTCTGTTGCCTGTCTCATCTTTCTCCATCTCATCTACTCCGCAGAAATCAAGATGTTTTTTGATGTCTCAGAAGAAGCAGGCAAAAAAAAGAAAAGACAAGACTCTTTCGGCCTTCCAATTAGATACATCAAGGAAAAAAATCCTTAAACTACAAAGTATTAGCTTTCATTCTCTCTTATGGCTTTTATTTCCCCAAAGACGGATTCCAAAATTCCTTTACATAATGGCAGGTATCACTTGATTATCTTTACAGCTTCCAAAAAGAGTTTTGAAAGGTAAGGCTGTTTGGAAACACAGGATGTGGCATCATTTTTTTTGAAAACTCTGCCAAATTGGTATTATATTAATCCAATTTTATGAAG
This sequence comes from Homo sapiens, assembly GCF_000001405.40. Lineage (NCBI taxonomy): Eukaryota > Metazoa > Chordata > Mammalia > Primates > Hominidae > Homo > Homo sapiens. The sequence continues at coordinate 73,031,506 of NC_000008.11, read as the reverse complement.
GAGCAAACTAAGATTCAAAAAGCAGTTCACCTAAGCTTAGGCAGCTGTATTATCTCCACCTAAAATGTAGGTTATTTTAGCTATACTTTTATCCCTATAGATACTCTAGGTGACCAGCCATCCTTTCTCTCTTCCCCTCTGTCCCTCCTTCCTAAGACTTTCTATTGTCCTTTCTAGAATGTCATTCTCAATCTCTTCACCCATTCCTCTCCGCTCTTTGCCTTGTCTAAAATCTAGCTTTCCCCTGGGGACAATGTTTCTCTCCTTGGTAGCCTTCTCAAGTAGAGATTGGCTTAATCTTCCACCCTCCATAAACTATAGGACTCCAGAGACAGCAGTTTTCATTTCCTAATGAATGCCACTTTCAAGATCCTGCTTCCATAGAAACTTCAGCCTTGAGGATTCATGCCACTGAGATGTATCACCTTCAATCATTCTTCACAGCCATTTACCATCCTTCCAAGCACTTCTTCATCATTCACAGATCTTTCTCTACACCTAAGTGCTGCTATTATGAATTATTTCAGTGTTCTCACAGACAATTCATATACCATCTTGGCCTCTCAGTTCCTCATGTCCAATCACCTCCTCCACATGAAGTCAGCCACCTCCTCCCCATGGTTCCACTTGTGATCCCAACTGCTCTATGTTAGAAATCATTCATGCAGACTTTCTGCCCTCGGGACAGGTTGTATTGTCTGTCACAGCGATTCTATTAGATCAAATAAAGTTTTTCAAGTAACTTTCATAAAATTGGCATGGGGCATTCATTAGAAATGTAATTGCCATCCCCTTCCTGCCCCAGTATCATATCTTTGTTTCTGTGACAGAGAAGTGTTTACTAAACATCTGTTTTAAGCTCAAGAACTCCCTATATGTGTATTCCAATAATGGCTTTGTAGAAACAATGTGAAACAACCCAGTCTCAGAGCAGGTCTCTACAGTTTGGAATTTCAAGATGTCTCAGAGTCGTGACTATCTGTTGGGCTAACTAGGACCCTGAGATATTCTTTCAATTGTACCATTTATGTGGTAGTTTTTATTAGGTCTGCATGAATTGCTTCAATCAAAGATTTGAAAGACAAAGAAGAAAAACGTCAATTTACTTCACCTCAATAAGGATACTGTACCCTCTGAGGATTCAGTTACCGCAGACTGTTTGTCACTAACACTTTAAAAGAAGAAAAAATTTGTAAGAATGTAAACAAAAGAAACTTTTCATAAGGATAGTACTTTCCACATAGTCAAGGCATATTTCAATTTATAAAAAAATAACTTTGGAAAGAAACCTTGGTAACATCGGGACATATACAGTCCATTACAACATGGCTAATTCTTGTCCAGACATGCTTATAAGAGGTATTAAACCAAGTTTCTCCAAACATAAGCATAATTAATGGTGTAGTCAAGCATTTATAACACTCTTTCAAAAACTCTTCTACGGCACTTTATTTCCATGAATTCAAGTTTTAAAAACTGCTTTATTAAGGTATAATTGATACATAAAAAGCATGGCACATGTTTAAAGTATACAATTTGATGGGTTCAATTTTAATTTCTGGTTCTCCCCACCAGTCTCCAATTGAACTTTTGGGAATCGATTAAGTTCCCGTTTGTTATAGTTAAAATGGTTTCCACATACACACAGCATGACTATTTACACCTCCATGCTTTCACTAGTAATATTCCTCTCTCCTAAAATGATATTTCCTCTTCTATCCATCTGTAAAAATCTTAACCATCCTACAAAAGCCCCTGTTCAAGACTACTACCTCCATGAAGCTGTCCATCTCAACTATTTCAACACTGTGTTAGATATTTTAAGTAATCTAGAGATGATTTAAAGTATATGGGAGGATGTGTGTAGGTTGTATACAAATATTACACCCCCTTTTTTTTTTTGACAGGGTCTCGCCGAGGGTCACCGGAGTGCAGTGGCACAAACACAGCTTACTGCAGACCTGCCGGGCTCAAACAATCCTCTCACCTAAGCCTCTTAAGTAGTTGGCACTACAGGCATGCACCACCAAGACTGGTTAATTTTTGTAAAGACAAGGTTCTGCCATGTTGCCTAGGCTGGTCTCAAACTCCTGGGCTCAAGTGATCCTCCTGCCTCAGCCTTTCAAAGTGCTGGGATTACAGGTGTGAGCCACTGTTCCTGGCTATTACACCATTTTTGTAAGACACTTGAGCATCCATGGATTTTGGTATTCATGAAGGATGGATGTCCTAGGACTAATCCCCTTCAAACACCAAGGAACAACTGTATAAGCTTTATCAGAGCAAAATATTTATTTCATCTAGTCTTCATAACATGGAGGTTTCCATTTTTCTAGGATTTGTCTGACCTCACAATCACACTTCTGATTCTATACTTGCTTTACTTGAATCCTTACTGGTAACTGTCATGACACTGGTGGTTTGATGCTTTATTTGCCCTGGTTCTGCTTCCACGATGGTTTTGGTATTTGCTCGATTCTTGATCTTTACCCTGTTTCTGGTTTTAGTTTTGTTCCCTGTAACTAGTGTACAGCAAGTTCTAATGTATGCCTGGTAATGAATGAGGCAACAAGGATACCAAGCTAATTAAGATGCTTCAAAGCTAAGTAAGAACCTTCAAATAATTCTCAATCTATTGAAAGAATCAGGTAAACAAATAAGTTACCAACGAAGATAAGTCCTTTTATAGAGATGTATGCTATGAAAGCACAGAAGTAACAACTCTGATTACAGAGCTGGGCAAGACTTCATATAGGTGATCTCTGAGATAGACTGAATGGCAAGGAAGAGCTTGCCTTGGAGAGAATAAAATGATAGGAATTCAAATAGAAGGAACAAAGCTTCTGTGCTGCTAGAAAGTACCATGTATGTGGACAGGGAGGAGTTCATGCTTAGGGATAAGACTGTATGTAAAAAAAAAAAAAAAAAAAAAAAATGGGTCTACGTAAGGCTTTATAAGCCATGCCAATAAATTCTGACTCATCTAGTAGGAAATAGGAGCCAAAAGGTTTTTAAGCTGGGAGTGATCTAAAGAGATTTATTTTTGTGGAAGCTAACTCTAGAAGTTATGTCAAGGATGGATTTGAATGGTACAAAGCTATATAGATAAAAATAGATTGGAGAAGCATTTCTGAGGTGCGGTTCCTAATACTTGGAGAGCAGCTGGATGTGTGAGGTTAAAGAGAGGCAGGGTGTAGAGAGGCAAATGAGAACATGAAGAGTTCTGTTTGGTACACATGGATTGCACTGTGTTTGTGTCTAGGAGAGCATCTGAAATAAGTGGGTAGCACTATATAAGGAGAGTCCATAGGAAGTGTGCTCATGATTATCTGTAAGAACCATGGTATTAGCAATATTATCATGAGCAGGATGGCTTGGCCACAAGAATGTACTGGGTATTAGTATCATTCAACTTTGATTTTTGAAACAAAAGGAAGTAATTGGGCCAATAAAAATGGAATCTCTACTTCTTAAATTGGAGTTTAGAAAAAAGTACATCAATGTGAAATAAGACTTTAGTACAGCCTTTGGAGAGATGAACCCCTGAGGAACAAGTCATGCTTTGACAGGCAGGAACAATAGGAGGGGCCACTATAAGATGACAGAACCTCAGTCCTAAGATGTGACAAATGCAGTGTAGATCCAACTTGAACCCCAATCTCCACCTCTAAATAAGTAGTTAAGATGGGGTCCCTGCAACACTTAGGTCATGGTCCCAAGAAGAAAGTAATATTACATCCATTTCCAAATATACCCATCCAGAGACCACAGAGATTTGATTATCTGGCCTTGGTTTAAGGGTAGAAGAACAGAGAAAACAGACCATGGGTTCAACAGAAAAGAAGATCTTTATAATGTTAAGAGTTATATCTTTCTCAATAGGGGAAGATACTTAAGCTTCTAAAACAAAAGACAACAATCACCCCTGAAAATCCCTAAAGAAAAAATAATTTTGGAGACTTAACAACTATCTCTCAATATATAGGACTGACACAACTTGTTTTCCTCCAGTATTAAAGCAAATCACTATTTCTTCAGTTGAGCACCAGATGAAGCAGTGAGCTTATGCTTAGAGAAGATATATGAATAATATCTTAAAATACTAGACTCTTAGTACAGTGAAACATGAATCACATAATGAGAACATGTAGAATCTAAACACAACTAAGGGGCACAGGAGTCCAACCTCACCCTTGTTCCTAAGCATACCCCAAGAATGGTAAACTATCCACATTATTTAAACTGTAATATTTTCTTATTCTCTACTTTTGCTTAGCATATATAATTTGCACAAGTCATGAAATAACTCTACAGTACTTCAAATACCTAAATGTTAATCATCAGCAAGATAACATGCTACTCAATAATTATTTTTAATAAAAAGACATATCAATTTTACATAAAGACAGAACATTCATAAAACAAAAAATATACAAATTGATTAAATTACAAACCTTTTTCTTGTATCCAAATTAGCTTCAGTTTCCATTTCAACATCATTACCACTAGGTTTATCTTGAGAAGTTATTGTTCTTGTCCTTTTGCTTTCTACTACTTTTGCCGCTGCCTTAAAAAACGTGCGTGGAGGTAGAAGGATAGGAAGAAATGCATTAAGCCATTTTAAACAAATAGCATTAAATTAAGCCTTGTAATTCTTTGATAGTCATAGCTAATGTATCTGTTCACAGGCCAATGAAGGGCACTGTGTTGTTATTTTCACCAATAATTATGACACTGCCAGCAGCTACATTAGCTATCTGCTTGGTTTATCAGCGTTACGAAGGTGGTCTTTCCTTGTAAATATATTTGATAGACAAAATGCTCTCTAGGCAATTTTAAGAGAAAAGGCTGCATGAAAAAAAAAAAAAATAAAAATTCTAGATATTTTCAAATAAAAACTATCTCAAATCAATCAAGATGCTCCACTATAACACTGTCAACTTAAAAATTTGGAGGCCAAGACAGAAAATAAAATGTTATTAGAAAAATTTTATTGTTGTTTGTTTTGAGACAGGGTCTCACTCTGTCACCCAGGCTGGAGTGCAGTGGCACAATCACAGCTCACTGCAGCCTCAACCTCCTGGGCTCAGGTGATTTCCCACATCAGCCTCCTAGGTAGCTGGGACTACAGGCATGCGCCACTATGCCTGGCTAAATTTTTGTAATTTTTTTGTAGAGACGGGGTTTTGCCATGTTGCCCAGGCTGGTCTCAAACTCCTGGGCTCAAGCGATCCACCCATTTTGGCTTCCCAAAGTGCTGGGATTACAGGCGTGAGTTACCGCGCCTGACTAGAAATGTGTTTTTTTTTGAGACAAGTCTCACTTTGTCACCCAGGCTGGAGTGCAGTGGTTCAATCTCAGCTCACTACAGCCTCAACCTCCTGGGTTCAAGCAATCCTTCTGCCTCAGCCGCCACAAGTAGCTGGGACTACAGGCGTGTGCCACTATGTCTGGCTAAATTTTTCTATTTTTTCGGTAGAGATGGGGTTTTGCCATGTTGCCCAGGCTGGTCTCAAACTCCTGGGATCAAGCGATCTACCCATTTCGGCCTCCCAAAGTGCTGGGATTACAGGCATGAGCCACTGCGCCTGACCAGAAATGTCTTTTTTTTGAGACAGGGTCTCATTTTGTCACCCAGGCTGGAGTGCAGTGGCTCAACCTCAGCTCACTACAGCCTCAACTCCCCAAAGTAGCTGGGACTACAGGTGTATGCCACCATGCCCAGCTTTTTTTTTTTTTTTTTTTTTTTTTTGAGACAGAGTCTCACTGTCGCCCAGGCTGGAGTGCAGTGGCGCAATCTCAGCTCACTGCAAGCTCTGCCTCCCAGGTTCATGCCATTCTCCTGCTTCAGCCTCCTGAGTAGCTGGGACTACAGGCACCTGCCACCACACCCAGCTAATTTTTTTGTATTTTCTTAGGAGAGACGGGGTTTCACCATGTTAGCCACCTGACCGTGTGATCCGCCTGACCGTGTGATTCACCTGCCTTGGCCTCCCAAAGTGCTGGGATTACAGGCGTGAGCCACCGCGCCCGGCCCAGCTAATTTTTTTGTATTTTTTTGTAGATAAGGGGTTTCACCATGTCGCCCAGGCTAGTCTCGAACTCCTGAAACTTGGCCTCCCAAAGTGCTAGCATTACAGGCATGAGCCACCGCGCCTGGCCTAGAAAAATTTTAAAAGGCCCTTCTTTAATACAATTCTATTTTTCCCCAAAAATATGTTTAAAAAGTCTTTAAAATTTACTTAAATTAAAATATTTGCTTTTGCCTATTTCTTATTTTTAATTCATTCTAAGTTTTCCCTTCAACTTTTTCTTTTGAAAATTTCCCCAAACTAATTTTGAAAAGTTACAAAAGTACATATCACTCATAAATCTTTTAATTAGGTCCACAAAATGTAACATTTTACCACACCTTTCTACAAAACCACAATGAAAAATTCTGATTAATTTTAAAGGATTTCTATTTCAAGTATTCTCCTTTATTATAACGTTTCCTTTAAGTCTATTATTAGTCACTCTTGAATAATATGTATACCTTCATTAGAAAGGTTGATGATTTTTCACTTAGCACATAATTCACATAACTCTTAATTTTCTCCATCATGTGGTTGTAGCTGAAGTGTTGAAAAAAGGAATGAAATGTATCTTTCTGAGAGATTATCATAAGCAATTTGCTTTTGAAAGGCTAAAGAAAACAGAAGAAATATATTAACATAAATCACACAAAGTTACAGATACAACGATTTTTGTCACATATTATTTAATTGAAAAGAAATCACTTTACAAACTCAAGAGACACAGATATTTTTAAAATTAAGTTTTAAATGGCATGCCAATGTACCTTTTTCTGACTTCTTCTGGCCTCTCCTCATTTTAAAAAATATTTTACATTTTAGACAGATTCAAAAAGATATGTATTATAAACCAGAGTATCCATTACCCAGTTTCAGAAATAAAACATAATCAATATGGTTAAAATCCCTGTTTACTACCATAATCTGATTGTATTCCCTTTCCTCTCCTAACTGTAACCATTACCCTGAATTTAGAATTCACCATTCCCAGGAATTCCTTTACTTGCACTACATATGTATGTATCCACAAATATGTAGCATTGCTTAGCATGGTTTTAACTCTACAAATAGTGTTGTACGATGCGTATTCTTTTGAAACTTGCTATATTTCACTCAACTCTATGTTTACAACATTTATCCATGCTGATTTGATATTCCTAGAAGTAGTTATTTTTGCCATTGTAAAGTACTACACTGATCAAAAACATCACTTATTCATCCATTCTTCATGCCTATTGAGGGATTTAGGCTACTTGCAATTATTGTATCGCTCTTCAACATTTTTCTACATTATCTTCTGTGCATTGTATGTGTTTTTCTTGGACAGTAGCTTTTTCAATGCTGGCTGCACAATAAAAAAAGTAGAACTTTAAAAAAATTCTTAGGCTCAATCCCAGAGCAACTGTCTCAGGAAGGCCTTGGTTTTTTGTTGCCTTTAAACTTCATGGCTTTTAAAATATGCAGTTAAAAGTGAAACCAGCTATTCTAAGGTATTGTCTAGAAGTGGAATTGCTGGAATGCATGCTTAAAATATTTTGCTAAAATGATCTCCCAAAGAAGTACCAATTTACAGTCTTGAAAGGAAGTTATGGCAGGCAGTACAATCATTTCTCAATTTGTTGAGACAACTGTTGATATTCTAAGACATTTTAATTGATGCCAGTCTGAGGCATGGAAAGTGGTATTTCAATATAGTACTTAATATTGCCCTAATGAGGCAACATTAATACTAGTGAGGTCAAGTACTTATCTTAACCTCTTAATATTTCCTGGCCATTAAGTTTTCCTCTTCTGGGAGGTATAAGCAGAGTAGAATTTTCAGTAGTCTCATAGTGCTATGGAGAAAATATTAAGGGTAGAAAACCCAACAGACATATCAGGCTATTGGCTGAAATTTCTGGAGGGTTATACCCCAGGTACAGGGTTAAATTAGAGATAGACAAAGCCTTGCCAAAACTGCCCAACCTACTCTCTACTAGGCCCAGGTTCCTTACTGGATTAAGGTAGTCACTCTCCAACTCTATCTACTAACATTATCAAGGGAAGGTGCTCAATCTGATTATTCATCAGGGAAACAAATTAAAATCCAACAGGATAGCACTACATATTTGCCTGAATGGCTAAAATGAAAACCCAGATACAAGGTGTGTGGAGCAACTAGAATTCTTTCACACTACTGGAGGAACTGACATAACTACTTTGGAGAACAGTTTGGCAATATCTACTAAAACTGAGTATGTACACATCTTATGACTAATCAGTTCTACTCTTCATATAAACCCAAAAGAAATGCATATATTTGTTCCACAAAATGTATGGGGGAAAAAATTACACCTGTACTGAACACATACAGATTTTTTGTATCTTTTTGTTCCTAAACAGTACAACTATTTACATTGTGTAAGTTATTATACATAATCTAGAGATGATTTAAACTATACAGGAGGATGTACATATGTTATATGCAAATACTATACTATTTTATTATTTATTTATTTTTAGAGACAGCGTCTCTCTCTGTTGCTTAGGCTGGAGCGCAGTGGCAGCGTTATAGCTCACTGCAGCCTTGACTTCCTAGGCTCAAGCAATCTTCCCACCTCAGGACTACAGTATTGCGCCACCACACCTGGCTAATTTTTAATTTTTTTGTAGAGAACAGGGTCTCGCTGTGTTGCCCAGGCTGCTCTTGAACTACTGACCTCAAATGATCCTCCTGCTTCAGCCTCCTAAAGTACTGGTATTATAGGCATGAGCTATTGCACCGGGCCTCTTTTTACTTTTTTAATATGACTACTGGAAAATTGTATTTATTTTTCATTATTTATTATTCCTTCTTTTTGGAGAGATGAGGATCTCTCCATGTTGCCCAGGCTGGTCTCGAATGCCTGAGCTCAAGAGATCCTCCCACCTCAGCCTCCCAAAGTGCTGGAATTATAGGTGTAAGCTACTGCGTCCAGCTTATTAGAAAATTTTAAATCACATATGTGACTTGCGTAGTTTTTCTGTTGCACGGTATTATTCTATACTGTTTAAAAGATAAAGCATTTCTTTTCTCCTCCAATTTTCTTTCAGTTTTCCTCACTCTACATAAACACTTCTAAAATTCTATGGTTTTAATTTAAATAATTACCATATGAGAATTTGGATCACCAAATATTCTTTCAAAGACTTCTTCTGCTTCTTTAAAGTTGCCATTTTCCATACAAACAGCTATAGCCTAAAAGATGAAAAATACCAACCTTAGACTGCGTTTATAAATACCCAATAGTTATTTAATTATTAAGATAACTCAGGTAAGTCTGAAATCCTCTGTTGAGAACATTTTTATGTAGCTTAATAATTTTAATTTGATAAAAGATATAAAATTATTTTTCAAAGACAAAATAAGTGTCGCTTGAAATGACATGAAAAATTTGCACTGGTCCCATGCACATTTATTCATAAATGCCCAGCATTCTATCTCTAATTTAGACCAAATGAAAAGTATGTATTAATAAATAAATTAGAAGCCATACCACACACATTTAGGACCCACCTAAATATTAATTTTGAGTAAAAGGGAAATGAGAGGAGGTAGATGATGTTTGTGATGATTAGGATACATAAAATTTGCTAGTCAGATCCCTGGAAAATATCTAATACACACCTAAGAAGCTAGATGTTTTTTAATGATCATTTTTTTCATGCATTGGCATTTTTGGTAACGTGGTAAGTAAGACAGGACCACTTACCATTTGGGTAGCTATGTAAACTTGGTAAGCTACTTAACCTCTTGGTGTCCCAGTTACCTTATATGTAAAATGGTGGAAACAATAGTACCTATTTCATAGGATTGTTATGAGGATGTAAGAGTTTTATGTGAAAGAGTTTAGAACAGTGCCTGGCAAATAGTAAGGAATATATTAAATGTTTGCTATAAACTTTGTCACCCATTTGATTTTACAGTAGTGTATTAAGAAAGACTTGCTTTCTCTAGCAGCCTAAAAGATTGCAATAACATGACAAATCTCTTTGCTCTGGGTTGAATTCATAAAGGAAGCAGTCGTTTTTCTGCCTATTTTCTTTTCCTCAGGTCCTAATTCTACTTGACAATCACCACACTAATTCTTGGGAAGGTGGGGAATGACTTGGATTTTCTTTTATCCAACCTGAAAAGAAATTTTTAAAATTCTCAAAAGAGAAAAAGTTTATTTAACTAAGAAAGTACCTAGTATTTGCTTTGACTGCTAGCTATTGTATCTTTGAATGACGTTTTGGGCTACTTACTGTCTACTAAAATTCTCCCTACTTGGTTAAAATTTTATATATTCTTGATTACAAAAATCTAAAATTTACCATTAATTAAAAATAGTATCTACTTTTTACATAATCTTTAAGCATCAATTGAGAGTGCACAAACCCCTGGTTTTTAAATTTTCCACAACATAGAGGCAACATATGCTTAAGTATGGCACATTAAGTTCCAGCCCCCAGTGCTCATGTTAAGACTATAAACCAAAGGTCAAATTTCTGAAGAGAAACAATACATTAAATTTTACTACTGCTCAACTTCTACTAGGTTCCTCTTAATTTCTTTTAAATGTTATTTTCTAGAAATATAATAAGCATAAAAGTAATTTATTCATACCTGAATTTTAATTAAATTCTGTATTTCTTCATGAAGTTTGTCATGTTCCTTTTCAATTGAACCCCAAATCATCAGGGCTGATTCCAAGGGTGTAATTCGTTCATCATTTTCAAACTGTGCATCTTTTAAAAACAGAACAAAAATAAGTAACTCAGAAAGCTAAGTAGAACTTTGTCAGTTTTTAATAATGCATTCCTTTAAATATTTACTGAGTGTATACTATGTGCTAGGTACTCTTCTTGTTTATACCAGTTTAGAAGTGATTTTATTTTCTAAGTTAATTTGCTCATTAAGATCAATTTCAAATAGAAAAAGGTTGATGAGATTACAAACATTTGAAGATTTTCTTTACAAAAACATGAATTTTAAGAACGAAAGTAAACTATTTTACATAACATGTCATAGCAACAGAATTCTTAAGTGGTTCCTAAGTCTAATGCATTATAACAAACCTCAAGACAGGCCAGTTTTCTCACCTATAAAATGGTGAGAATAAATACTATCTCACAGAATTTATGTGAATATATAATGAGATAATAGTTGTACTATTATTAAGCTTTCCTAAAAGAGTTGTGATCAAGTTATTCAGAACAAAGACTCACAACAGCTGATAACTAATTAGCAAATTACACAGCAACAACCCATTCGGACATTCAAGAGCCTTCATGATAATGTCTTACATGTCTAGCATCTACAGTCTACAATTCATTCAATAAATATTTATTGATCACTCAGTATATATAGGCACTCGCCTAAAAACTTGGAATGGCTCAGTAAGACAAAATCCTGCTCTTATGATACGCACATGCTAATGAGAAATAAATACAGTTTCAGAGTAGTAAACAATACAGTTTCAGAGTAGTAAACAATATAGTTTCAGAGTAGTAAGGGCTAGAAGAAAGAAAAAAGGTTCTGGAAATGAAGAATGGTAGGGGAGAGGGAAGCTCTTTCAGACAGGTTAAAGACCTCTCTGAAGAAGTGACAGTGGAGCTGAGAACAGCGTAATGTGAAGCAGAAGGAACAGTCACACAAAGATCTGGAAGAAAAACATTCCAGAGGGAATGGCAAGTGCAAAGGTCCTGAGGAGGAGTTTGATGTTCAAAGGGCAGGAAGAGCCAGGTGGGGGCGTGTGCCTGTAGTCTCAGCTACTTGGGAGGCTGAGGTGGGAGGACTGCTTGAGCCAGGAGTCTGAGGCTCAGTGAGCGATGATGACACCACAGCCTTCCAGCGTGACCTTGTCTTGAAAAAACAAATACAAAGGGCAGGAGGAAGGTCGGTGGGCAAGTTGGATGCATACTCTTAGAAAGATGATGGAAAAGGCAAGTAGTTGTCTGTTTTGGAACTTATTTTGAATGTAGAATAGAACCTGCTAATGGACTGCATGTAGAGCATGAGGAAAAAATGGAGGACTCTTGGGTTTTAATAATTGGATAAATGGTGCTAACATTTACTATCATAGGAAGCCTGGGTGAGGACCAAGTTTATGAAGTTGTATATGGAAATCAAGAGTCTATTATCCAGGTAAACTATAGTTTATTTTCAAAATAATGCTAATGTTTTCATTTTATCTAGACTACCTTCCCCCCACCCCCACACCACATCTGAGGATGTGGATAGACTACCATTTTTATACTTTCTTTCTGACAAAATCTAGCAATTCTTACAGGCATAGTGCAAACAGCACCTCTTTCTTGAATGCTGTCCTTACCCCAGCAGCTAAGAGACTAGGAAATGTCCTTTCTCTAAATCTCCTGTATGTGCTTGCTTTGGCAGCAAATATATAAAAATTGGAAGAATGCAGAGATTAGCATGGCCCCTCGAGAAGGATGACACAAAAATTCATGAGCACTGCATTAATTAAAAAGAAACTCTTGTATCATTATTCATTTTTTAATGCCTTGCAGTACTTTATACTTACCTCAACAACCCTATTAGCTTTTACAGTGTCTTGAAGACAAAAAACTTCTTACTCTATAATGCATATTTCAAATTTTGGGGGGCAGAAGCCACTTAAGTGTATTTTTCTAAATCCCTGTAATTCCTAGCACAGTTGTAGTTCCATAGCAAGTATGCAACAAATAAGCATAATAAAGAGAATTTTTTATTTTTATTTTTACTTATTTATTTTTTGAGGCAGTGCTTTGCTCTTTTGACCAGGCTGGAGTGAAGTGACGCGATCTCGGCTTACTGCAACCTCCGCCCCCTGGGTTCAAGCGATTCTGCTGTTTCAGTCTCCCAAGTAGCTGGGATTACAGGTGCCCACCACCACGCCAGGCTAATTTTTGTACTTTTAGTAGAGACGGGGTTTTGCCATGTTGGCCAGGCTGGTCTCGAACTCCTGACCTCAGGTGATCCACCCGCCTCAGCCTCCCAAAGTGCTGGGATTACAGGCGTGAGCCACCAAGCCCGACCGAATAAAGAGAATTTTAAATAGCACATCCTTTTTTCCTTGAAAAACCAGAGTGAGCATGCAGTTTAAATATTCGTAGTTTCAAATATTTTTACTTTATTTCCTGTTGTCCTCTCCAAATTGTTTTTCCAACATTTTAGATATAAAAATATATTCATTCACATACTAAGTCTCTTTATATTCCAGGTTCTGTGTCAGGTACTTAAGATACAAACATGAAAAAAAAAGTTCCTGACCTTGTGGAACTCACATCCTAGCTATGGAAGAAGACATGCAGACAAACCAATATAACTGGTACTTTAATGGAATTGTGCATTATGCCAATGGTTCTCAATGTTTGCTATACCTCAGAAACATCTGAAGAGCTTTTGAAAAATATTGATGCATGGCCAGGCGCGGTGGCTCACGCCTGTAATCCCAGCACTTTGGGAGGCCAAGGCAGGCGGATCACGAGATCCGCCAATCAAGAAATTGAGACCATCCTGGCCAACATGGTGAAACCCTGTCTCTACTAATAATAGAAAAATTAGTCAGGCATGGTGGCGCACGCCTGTAGTCCCAGCTACTCATGAGGCTGAGGCAGAAGAATCGCTTGAACCCGGGAGGCGGAGGTTGCAGTGAGCCAAGATGGCGTCACTGTACTCCAGCCTGGTGACAGAGTGAGACTCTGTCTCAAAAAAAAAAAAAAGAAAAAAAATATTGATGCCTATACCCATCTCCCAGAGATTAAATTCTCAAGCAGAGTCTAGTGTATTTGAGGAACATGGTATTAACTCTAAGTAGGAATAGCAGAAGTGAATCCCTCATGAAACAGAAGTCATCCAAATTGGGGCATTAAGGATAAACAGATGATAACTAAGTGTAGACTACAAGGATGGGAAGGAGAACACTTCAGGAAAATGGAGCAGCATAAGGTAAGAAAGAGGTGTACAAAAGATATTCATGCTAGTAACTAACACTGAGTGTCAGGCACTGTGGCACTTGTTTTATACAGTAAGATCTGAGAGCTAGAGAGGTCACACACCAAGCAAGTAGTACAAGCAGACACCAAGACACTTAAATATCACTTACTGTGCCTCAAAAGTAGTGAAATGAAAATGCAAAGGTAGACTGCCTAATTTTTCTTCCTCATTTTTCATCTGCTTGCTTTCTTTCAAGAGCTAATTTCAACACACATTTTCAAATAAGTATTTCTTGACTGACATTACTTAACCCTTCTCACTTATCTGCCTTCCTTCTTATAAATGTGACATAGAGAAAAATGTATGTTAGATCTTAGCTTCAAAAAATTTACAGTATAGACATTCACTTCCAGGTGGGATGTAGTATACTGCAGCAAACAAAACACTCACACTACAGCTAGAAAACAGTTAGATAAACTCCAAAATCACATTGCTAAAGACATGGGATAGCCATGGAAGCAATGAAAATGAGATGAACTAAAATTCCAGAGAGAATCCCTTCTGAGGTGAGCTGCCGATTTGCTGATTTTGGATAAGGCTGAGGATCCAGTGCACTCCAGCCAGAGAGACTTTACTGGAGAAAGACAAATAAGAACAGCTTCTGGTGGTTTCCTTGGGGCTGGCACGTCGACTGGAAACTAGAGAAACTGCAAACATGATTGGCTTTTCTCCACAGGACATGTGCTGAGTTCCACGGCAATGCAATAGGCTGCAGTGGAAAGGCACATTAAGTCTCCCAGAGTTTTGGGAGGCCTAGGCGGGAGGATCACTTAAGGCAAGGAGTTCAAGACCAGCCTGGACAACATGAGACCTCGTCTCTACAAAAAATTAAAAAATTAACTGGGCCTGATGGTGCACCTGTAGTCCTAGCTACTCAGGAGGCTGAGGCAGGAGGATCACTTGAGCTCAAGAGTTTGAGTCTGCAATAAACTATGATGGCACCACTGCATTCCAGCCTGGGCCAGAGAGACACCCTGGCTAAAAAAAAAAAAAAAAGCTTAAAGTTCCATAAGAGGAGGATGACAAGCATTTCCCCTTTAAGATATCTGCTGTATTTCAGAGCTACGTGGGGGTCTACAGCCACATCACCCCAAACATGTCCAATCTTGTCAAACCTATGTGGGGTAGGAGACTAAACCCAATATGGTAGCTACTAGCCATACATGATTACTGCACAGCTACTAGCCATACATGATTACTGCACAGCTAAAATATGGCTAGTTTGAATTGAGATGCACCTTAAGTATAAAGTACACATGAGATTTCAAAGACTTACTCCAAAAAAAGGTAAAATATCTCATTTGATTTTTTTTAAGAGATGGGGGCCTTGCTGTGCTGCCCAGGTTGGGGTGCAGTGGTGTGATCATAGCTCACTGCAGCCTTAAACTCGTGGGCTCAAGTGATCCACCCACCTCAGCCTCCCAGAGCTGGGATTACAGGTGTGAGCCATGTGCCTGGCCTTACTAACATTTTTTACACTGACTACTTGTTGACATAGTGTTTGAGAAATATTGAGTTAAATAAGATTATCAAAATTAATTCCACCTATTTTAATTATCATTATTATTTTTTAGCTACACCTGCTGGAATGGGAATTTCTAAATTTCATGACAGGATTTCATTCTGTCACTCAGGCTGAAGTGAAGTGGCACAATCACAGCTAACCACAGCCTCAACCTCCTGGGCTCAAACGATCCTACCTCAGTCTCCAGAGGACCACACGTGGTTAACTTTTTATTTTTATTTTTTTTTGTATTTTTAGTAGAGACGGGGTTTCACCACGTTAGCAAGGATGGTCTTTATTGCCTGGCCTCGTGATCCGCTCACCTCGGCCTCCCAAAGTGCTGGGATTACAGGCGTGAATCACCACGCCCAGCCAATTTTTTAAATTTTTTGTAGAGACAGGGTCTCGCTATGTTGCCTAGGCTGGTGTCAAATTCTTAGGCTCAAGCGATCCTCCTGTCTAGGCCTCCCAAAGTACTGGGATTACAGGTGTGAGTCACTATGCCTGGCCTACTTTTCTTAACATAGCTATTAGAAAATTTTAAATTAGACATGTGGCTCACATATCTCTATTAGGCAGTGCCACTATAGAGCAAAATTAAAAAAAAAAAAAAAAAAGCAAAAGGGTTATGTATAGCCAAAAATCCAATACATAAAATTTTAAATGCTGCCTCAGTTTAGTGCATTATGGTGAAATACATTGATTCTTGACAGCTGACCCTGGCCTATTATATCTAGGATATATCCAAAAGAGTATCCTGGTAAATTCCAAGATTAAACCATGAGATCACACATAAAATCTGGATTCCCCCCTGCCTTTTTTGGAGAAAAGGTTATCCAGGAAGCAACTAAGATGTGCTGAACAACTGCTATGTGTAAAGCACTGCCAGGCACTTTAGAATACTTTTCCACCTTAATGTAGAAAACAACCCTGTTAACAACAGTGTCAACTTATAGTCTGCATGGTCTGGAATTCTGCTCCAGCCTGCTACTTCTCCAGCAACTGGCCCAGGCCTACCTATGGCTCTGTCTCTTTCACAACTATTCTGCCTCTATCTAGTTCTATCCATTTATGGTCCTGGCACCAACTCCAGACCTACCCTCACCCCCCAAACAAAGCAGACTACATCAGCCAGAGATACTTTAGTGAAGGCCTTGACAGTGGTGCTAATACACTGGGATTTTATGTAAGACAACACTTCAATAAGCAAGCAGTTTTATGTAAGTACTGCCCACTACTCAGGATTGTTGGAAAAGTATTTTGTAAATTATAAAAACCAATCTAAATACAAAATTATTTCCATCAAATAGCCTTTTAAAATGACCATGTTGTAAATACCAGCCATTACTGATAAACTGAATCAGCCTTGCCCATTACAATCTAAAATGGAACTACAGAGACAAGGGAGAGAGATTACAGCTATAAACTGTACTTCTTACGTAAGCGCTGGCATCAAGTTCAAATAAAAGGTTTCAAATATAATAGTTGCCAGTAAAAACAGAGTGTGTATGATTGGAGTCACCACAAAGTTAGCAAATAGAGTCAATGAAACACACTTCCCCAAGAGTAGCATCAGAATCACCTGGGAATTTATTAGAAATGTATATTTCAGAGCCCCATACCCATCCTACTGAATCTGAAACTCATGAGAGTTAGGGAGACTCAGCACTATGTTTTTTTTTTTTTAATAAGCCCTTTAAGTAATTCTGGAGCAGGCTAAAGTTTGAGAACCAATGTTCTAAGATGACAGGGACTACATTTCTTTTACTTGCTTTAGATATGACTGTATGTGTACACACACACACACACCACCCCCCCACACCCCTATGCACCAGACACTTGTAGGCAAACTTCCCCCAAAAACGTCTGTTTCTTCCCATTGTCTTACATTAGAAACAGATTGAAATATTTCCAATATAAAATAAAAAAACATATTTACCAAGGGTTTTTCCTGCTGCAATTCTTGTCAAAAACTGACATATGTATATCGTTCTCAACTGGCAAGCTGTTAGACTGGATAGTCCATGAATAATAGCTAAAAAAGAAAAAAAGTAAATTTTATTAAAATCAAACTTGATCCAGTAGTGCCACTGTGTGGTTTGTTGAGTAATAGGCTACAAACATATTGTAAAAATTATCATAAATTTAGAGTTGTACATTTAAGATCTGATTAAAATTCAGAACAAAAAAAAAGAATAGCAATGAAGACATTTCTTACAAAATATAACTTTCACATGTAGAATAAAAATTGTTGAAAATTCTTTCACAAGTAGCAGTCTACATTAACAAAAAAGATTTAGATACAAATTGTAAAATGTGTAAAATCATTGGTTGGAAACTTATACCTAGAAACATTTCATATAATAGAAAATATTTTATATTATTTCTATCTAGGTTTCAGTTAAGTGAGTCTGTTTAGCTTACAAAGTTTAAAACCTATTAATATTAACCTCCCCAAACTTGAATGCCCACCCAGATGTTGAGTCAGGCAGTGATTACATACAATACCAAGTAAGCCATACTCCTGGACCACAGTGAGCTTTTTACCATGTAGCAATGAGACAAGCGATTGAACTACTGAAGTAAAAATGTTGTGAAAACTTTAAAAAGACAAGTACAGAATGCTTTGGAAGCATATAACAAGAAATCTGTGTGTTTAAGTATCTTCTGCACAGAGGAGGTGTCAGGGAAGGCTTCTCTGAGGAAATAATGTCTAACCTAAGACCTGAAGGTGCCACTACTACCATTATACCTAACCCAGGGCTTGGTTGGTGTATATATAAAAAACTTAAATAACTAGCAAACTGAAAAGCAATTCTGTAGCAATTAAGCATATAAGACGAATATATTTTTACCCAATTTCCTCCCTCAATTCTAACATAATCTTATGCTACACCAGAGATTATCTGGACCATACACAGTCATAATAGAATTTAACAGGATTTTAAGAGAGCACAAAATTTATATAGAATTTAAACACAAGCCATTCAATATTTACTGAACATCTACTGCCAGCCTGTGTTAGGAGGTGATGACTTCAGATAGCCAGTCTCTGCCCCCATGAAGGTTTTAATCTGAGAAGACACAATTAAACAAAAAGTTATGTAAGTAACTAATTAAAATTTTAATGAGTACCACGAAGGATAGGTGCAGACATACCTCATTTTATTGTGCTTTGCAGATTGCATGTTTTTTACAAATTGAAAGTTTACCGCAGCCCAGCTTGAGCCAAGTCTAACGGCACCTTTTTTTTTTTTTGAGACAGAGTCACGCTCTGTCGCCCAGGCTGGAGTGCAATGGTGCATCTCCACTCACTGCAAGCTCCGCCTCCCAGGTTCATGCCATTCTTCTGCCTCAGCCTCCCGCATAGCTGGGACTACAGGCGCCCACCACCAAGGCTGGCTAATTTTTTTTGTATTTTTTTAGTAGAGACGGGGTTTCACCATGTTAGCCAGGATGGTCTCGATCTCCTGACCTCGTGATCTGCCCGCCTCAGCCTCCCAAAGTGCTGGGATTACAGGCATGAGCCACCGCGTCTGGCTCATTTTTCTAACAGTACCTGTACCTGTCACATTTTGATAATTCTTGCAATATTTCAAACTTTTTCATTATTATTATATCTGTATGGTGGTCTGTGATCAATAATCTCTGATGTTACTATTGTAAAGGTTCTGGAGTACCACAAATCATGCCCATAAGACACAAACTTATTCCATAAATATTGTGTGTGTTCTAACTGCTCCACTGACCAGCCCTTCCCCTTACTCCCTCTCTTCAGGCCTCCTTATCTCCTGAAACACAACAAGATTGAAATTAGGCCAATGAGTAACTCTACATGCCCTCCAAGTGTTTCAGTGAAAGGAAGAGTTGCAAGTCATTCACTTTAAATCAAAAGCTAGAAATGATTAAGCTTAGTGAGGAAAGGATGTCAAATGCCATGATAGGCTGAAACATAGGCCTCTTGTGTCTAACAGCCAAGTTGTTAATACAAAGGAAAAGTTCTCAAAGGAAATTAAAAGTTCTAATCCACTGAACACATAAATGATAAGAAAGTAAAAGAGCCTATTGCTCATATGGAGAAAGTTTGACTTGGATAGAAAAAAAAAAATCAAACCAGCCACAACATTCCTTTAAGCCACAGCCTAATCCAGAGCAAGTCTAAGAAGGCTGACAGAGGTAAGAAAATTGCAAAAGAAAAGTTGGAAGCTAGCAGAGGTTGTTGGTTCATGAGGTTTAAGAAAAGAAGCCATCTCTGTGACATAGAAGTGCAAGGTGAAGCAGCAAGTGCTGAAGTAAAAGCTACAAGTTATTGAGAAGATCTAGCTACAATCACAAATGAAGGTGGTTACACTAAACAACTGATTTTGTTTTTTTGTGAGACAGAGTCTCGCCGTGTCACCCAGGTTGAAGGGCAGTGGTGTGACCTCAGCTCACTGCAGCCTCCACCTCCCAGGCTCAAGTGATTGATTCTCGTGCCTCAGCCTCCTGAGTAGCTGGGATTACAGATGTGTGCCACAATGCCCAGCTAATTTTTGTATTTTTAGTAGAGATGGGGTTTCGCCATGTTGGCCAGGCTGGTGTCTCAAACTCCTGACCTCAAGTGATCCAACTGCCTTGGCCTTCCAAAGGGCTGGGATTACAGGTGTGAGCCACTGTATCCAGCCAACAACAGATTTTCATTGTAGATGAAACAGCCTCATATTAGAAGAAGATGTCATAGAGAACTTTCATAGCCAGAGAGAAGTCAATGCCTAACTTTAATATTTCAAAGGACAGGCTGACTCTCCTTAGGGACTAATGCTGCTGGTGACTTTAAGTTAAACCCATTGCCCATTTCTCATTCTGAAAATCTTAAGGCCCTTCAAATGATATATCAACTTTGCCTGTGCTCTAGAAATGGAACAAGATGACAGTGCCTCTGTTTACACCATGGTTTACTGAATATTTTAAGCCCATTATTGAGATCTACTGCTTGGAAAAAAGATTCCTTTCAAAATACCATTGCTCATTGATAATGCGCCTAACCACTCAAGAGCTCTGAGGGAGACGTACATACAAGGAAATTACTGTTGCTTTCATGCCTGATAACACAACATCCATTCTGCATCCCATGTATCTATTGTTCTGTCTCCCTGTCCCAGCCTTACAAGTAACTGTGAAATAACCAATCTTCTTTTTGTTCTGTTTCAGCTTCCTTAAGTCCTTACTGTCTATAAAGCCAACCCCCAACTGCTCAATTCATTGAGCACTTATTTTATGGAATAAAGTATTACCTGAATCCAGAATCACAATAAAGCCAAGTGAGGTCTTTAAACTAAACTTAGTTGTAAACAAGATCGGGGTGCTAGGTGTACTCATTGTTACTAGAGTTAGGTTGCTTCTGTGCCCTTTTATCTGACAGAGTAAGGAAATACATATTTGTATAGTAACCTATGTCTACACATGCATATGCAAATATTTCTAAGTCATCTATACCTACATGAGCTAAACAGTTCATACTGATGTCTCCAACTCTAAGAGAACTCTAAGAGAATTCTGAGGAACTAGCTTCATTCCAGGATTTAATTTTCTACTTAATGTTAATTATCCCTGGCTCCAGTGTTAACCGCAATACAGAGGAAAGATCCTTGAACTGGAAGATAAAGGATGGGGCTGAAACACTCCCTTTTAACCTATCAGTACCTTAAAACTAAGATTATTTGCCTAACTCACAGGATTATGGTGAAGATGAAATGTGTCAAAATGTCTAAGAATTCTATTAAATAGCATAATTATAGTATTATAAATATATACTTGCACAGTAATTTTAGCGCCAACTATGAATGAAGTACCAGAACATCTTTCTGTTGTTTTTCAAAAAGCTACACTAGGCCAGGCGCGGTGGCTCATACCTGTAATCTTACAGCTGCGGGTGGTGGTGCACGCCTGCAGACCCAGCTACTCCAGAAGCTGAAGCGGGAGGATACCTGAGCCTGAGGAGGTCGAGCCTGCAGTGAGCTGTGATGGCGCCACTACACTCTCCAGCCTGGGTGACAGTGAGACCCCATCTTGGGACGGGGGCGGGGTGCAGCAGATTTCATGAACAGTTTCATTCATTCATTTATTTATTCATACAGGGTATCACTCTGTTACCCAGGCAGGACTGTAGTGGCACGATCTCGACTCACTGCAACCTCTGCCTCTTGGGTTCAAGCGATCCTCCCACCTCAGGCTCCCAAGTAGCTGGGACTTGCAGGCATGTGGCCAACATTTACTTTTATTCTGAGACTACACAGAATAAAAGTAACTGCTGTAGAGCCAGCAGGCCAAATGAGATTTAATAGCTCACAAATTAACATAAAACACTGATGCCTCGGGGGTTACTGGAGGCCACAGGGACTGCTGAATATTACTACAGGAATACCTGAGTAGAAAGCGCCAAAAGAGACAAAGGTACTGGGTTGAGTGGAACTGTATACATTTTAACTCATTTAATGCTTGCATCAAACCTAAACAGGGTCTTATTTTCATTTTATCGAAGAGGAAATCAATCTGAGAAAAACTCAGGTGCTGACAACGGGCGAACCGGGATTCGAACAAAGTTCAGCCCGGAGCCTCGGACTCCCAGCTAATCGGCCGCAGCAGCCCCTCCCTCGGCGACGTAGGGAACCAGCCCTCTGCCGCGCACCACGGAGCCCGCATCCGCCCCCCGCGTAGTCCCGGCCCGGACGCGGTCTGCACTCACCCTCTGCGCTGTTGCGGGTCCTGCGGAAGTCCTCGGAGCGGCCGTCGCGGAAAGCTCGGCAAAGAGAGAGGCAGAGGAAATCGAGCATCCAGCCGGCAGCCACGGCCTCGGCCTCGGCCACCAGGCCCGCGTCCTCCTCCTCCTCCTCCTCCTCCTCGGGGGCCCCCACCTGCACCTGGCACTCGAGCAGTTCCTGGCATTCGAACTGCTCCTCGTCGTTTCTCTCTGTTTCTGCCATCTGCTCCTCAGTAGGGTCGGCATCCCTACCATCCGCACAGCCCCGCGGGCTCGGGGCCGCTGAGGAAACATCCTCCGCCATGTTAAATGGCTCGCTTGGGTACTGCCCCTTCAGGCGCCGAGCAACGATTGGCTCGCATTCGAGGGCTCGGGGCGTGGCCGCGGAGAGTCTCTTCCGCCGGCGGGACATGGGCGAGCGGTTCAAGCCTGGCTTCTGATTGGCCGACACCTGTTCCGGCTTCTGATTGGCCGACACCTGTTCCTGCCTCTGGGCGTTGAATTTGCCGCCAGTCTAGGGCAGGGCTTTGTAGGTAAACCGGACGACTCCATACTGAGCGAGGAGCGAGATTAGGATAGGAGGAGGCAGCTTTATCTTCCTTATTCCTTGTAAAATGCAACCTTGACTGGAACAACAACACGGTTATTTAAAATGAAAACGCATTTGCCTGCAGCCTATTTCAGAAAGAGATGGGTAATGAGAACTTGTCACTATTAGACAAGCGTAACACTTTTAAACCCTAGTTTTCATCTAACAGTTACTACGTGATCACGAACAACAACTATTACAACTGACAATATCCATGCTTCTCCAACCTTAAGATGCATCAGAATCAGCCTGGGGGCTTGCTAAAACACAAATTGCCGGGCTCCACTCCCAGAATTCCTGTTCTGCTGGTCTAGCTTGGGATCCTTGAATTTGAAAGTCCAACGCTACTTGGCTGGGCACCACATTTTGAGATCAGTGCTCTAGAAAGAGTATACTATAATGGAAATGTATCTCAATCAAGGTTTGAGATCGACTATAGAATGCAGTTTGTAGAAAACAAGTGAATGCTTATTTTGAATTTTGAAACTTAGCACAAAAAGAAATTCTAAATGGGGATGGGTGGTCTGGTTATTGTTTTTGTTTTTTGTTTGTTTTTTTTTTTTCCTTTGAGACAGGATTTCGCTCTGTTGCTCAGGCTGGTCTCCAACTCCTGGCTTCAAGTTATCCTCCTGCCAAAGTGCTGGGTTTACAGGCCTGAGCCACAACGCCTGGCTCCGTTTTCTGTTCCTTGATGTGGGTTCACTTTATGAAAATTCACTGAACATCGTTTATGCACTTTTCAGTATGTGTGTCATAATTGAATAAAAAGTTTATTTTAAAAGCCTTTCTGTTTATAACGCATCCAGCATCATCAAAGCCTTTCCACATTTTCACACACTTCTTGTTATTGTCTTTAAGGTGGTACAGTTTAAGTGTTGAGTAACTAAGGCACTGTATTCTAGTATTAAGAATGCTTAGGTTGGAATATTCCCTACCAGTTACTCACTAGCTGTGTGACCTTGGGTAAATTACGTGTCAGTTTTCTTGTCCGTATAATGTGAATAATAATAATACCTGCACGATTAAAGGGCTTGGTAAATGTAAAGAGTTTAAAACAGCCGGGCGCAGTGGCTCACACCTGTAATCCCAGCACTTTGGGAGGCTGAGGCGGGCGGATCACCTGAGGTCAGGAGTTCGAGACCAGCCTCAACATGGAGAAACCTCGTCTCTACTAAAAATACAAAATTAGGCGGGTGTGGTGGTGCATGCCTGTGATCCCAGCTACTCGGGAGGCTGAGGCAGGATAATTGCTTGAACCCGGGAGGCGGAGATTGCGGTGAGCCGAGATCGGGCCACTGCACTCCAGCCTGGGCAACAAGAGCGAAACTCCGTCTCAAAAAAAAAAAAAAAAAGAGTTTAAAACGAAACCTCACCAGGCACAGTGGCTCACTTTGTAATCCCAGCACTTTGGGATGCCAAGGTGGGAGGATTACTGGAGCCCAGGAGTTTGAGGCCAGCCTGGGCAACATAGTGAGATCTCATCTCTACCGAAAAAAAAAAAAAAAAAAGCCAGGGAAATAGTAAGTGCTCAATTAGTATTAGCAGGAAGAGCAGAATATTTGTGCTGCCAGGAAAAATGATGATGCATCAGAAGAGATCTCTTCTTCAGGCTCTAATTGTCCCATGGGAAGTAAGGTCTGTTTTGAAATAATACAGTGGAATGGGGATAGAGGCTAAGGGAATAAGGGTTACAGCACATTATGAACCTAGTATTATGGACTGCATATTTGTTTTCTCCCCAGATTTACATGCCGAAGCCCTAACCCCCAATGGGATGGTATTGGGAGGTAGTGCCTTTGTGCTGGAGTGGGTTAGGAAAGAGAATCCTGTGTGATTTTGGTGATTTAAAAATCATCCCTTGAGTAAAATTATGTTTCTTGCATGAGTTCATGGAGTAAGACTCGCAAGTATAGTTGACTTTACCTCATTTAATGGGACTGTTATGAGGGGAGAGATTCAATCTGTTTTGTGATGATCCTAAGAGCACAACCTGAAACCAAAGTTTGAAGGTTTGGGGTGGCAGATTTGACTTCATATCCCACATGGTTCCTAACCATTCAGGCTTTCCCACAATAAAGTGCCGATTTCTACTGCCAGGTACTGATTTCTCACCACTGGAATCATTAATGATCCTGTGATCATGGTATCTCCCCTGCCAGGTAAGTATACATCTATGATTCTGGATGCCAGTAGTCAGAGATACTGTGGAAAGATTCCCATAAAGCCTAGATGACATTCCCCATGCTGTTGCATTTCCCAAGACTGTTTTTGATTTGGACTATTTCCTAAACAACACTTTGAAATCTATAAGTTTCCTAAATTCTTATGTCTACCATATTAAATAATTGTGTTTTAACCCATATTTTAGTCTATCCCATTGCTAATATAAGCTAATGGTCTCATTATGAATTATATACATTGCTTTATTTTTGCATTTATAAATGTCTCGTGAATATCCAAACTACATATGTACTTTTGAAACATCCTTTATTGAGTACCTATTATGTGAAATGTACTGCGCTAGGATGGTGCATGGTAAATATAAAGATACTACTCCTCTCCATAAAGAATTATAGACCAGTTGGTAAGACAAGCAACACACACACACATTGTACATAAACATCAGACTAATGAGTGATGCTAACAGTAACCTTAATAGGAGTTTGGTGGGGGTGCAACCACCCAACGGGTTCACCTTGCTCACTGCCTAGACAGGCTGATTTATCAAGACAGGGGAATCGCAATAGAGAAAGAGTAATTCATGCAGACCCGGCTGTGTGGGAGACCAGAGTTTTATTATTACTCAAATCAATCTCCCCGAAAACTCGAGGATTGGTGTTTTTAAGGATAATTTGGTGGGTAGGGGACCACTGAGTCAGGAGTGATAATTGGTCGGGTCAGAGATGAAATCGTAAGGAGTCAAAACTGTCCTCTTGCACTGAGTCACTTTCTGGGTGGAGGCCACAAGACTAGATGAGCCTGTTTATTGATCTGGGTGGTGCCAGCTGATGCATTGAGTGCAGGGTCTGCAAAATATCTCAAGCACTGATCTTAGGTTTTACAATAGTGATTTTATTCCCAGGAGCCATTTGGGGAGGTTTACAATCTTGCAGCCTCCAGTTTCATGACTGCTAAACCATAACTTCTAATCTTGTAGCTAATTTGTTAGTCCTGCAAAGGCAGTCTAGTCCCCAGGCAGGAAGGGGGTTTGTTTGGGGGAAAGCACCGTTATATTCTTTGTTTCCAAGCTAAACTATAAACTAAGTTCCTCCCAAAGTTAGTTTGGCCTACACCTAGGAATGGACAGCTTGAATGTTAGAAGAAAGGTAGTATCGGTTAGGTCAGACCTCTTTCACTGTAATTTCTCAGTTATGATTTTTGCAAAGGCGGTTTCATAGGGAGAGTGTCTAAGCCAGTGGGATTTCATTAAAAAGGTTTGAACAGAGATGCGGAGGGGAAGTACCTGGGTATGAACTGATTTTTTTTTAAAGTAAATTTTACAGGGCCTAAAACACTAGTTTCGCTATCCTCATAAATAGTTCTCAACCCCGACCGCACGTCGTATGTTCTCAGTTGGCTGAGTTATACTTTGTATTCACTAAATCAGAATTTCTAAGGGCAAGGCTCAAGCATATGTGTTTTTCAAAGTATCTCTAGGCGATTCCAGTATAGAACCAGGGTCGCTAGCTACCAAACCATACAAATAAAATGAACCACTCCATTTCGAGGTAGTGGACATAGTATATAATAATGATAAAGAAGCACACTCCTACTCATGAAGACTTCCTCCCTTTTCAGAATCAATAAGGTAATGCTCAAGGACTGAAGGAATGTTTTGAGTTTAAAGCAAAGCAGGTTTCAGGAAGAGAAACATTATCTTAGGCAGTTCTAATCGTTTAGAGCTTTTAACGTATTTAAAAGATCTTTGTAGCCTCTTGAGACTTTTTTAAGTTGTTTTATGCATTACAGGATCCGTGTGTAGCCTGGGTCTGACAGAATACAGAATACAGGCACTGTGATGGTGCGGGCTCACTCTGCAAGAAAATGCAGTTAGTTGAAAACTGGAACCCAGGACTGACTTTCCATGGTCAGTTTGTTTGATCGTTTTGTTAAAAAAAAAAAAAAAAAAAAACAAGGCAGAGTGCGGTAGCTCATGCCTGTAATCCCAGCGGTTTGAGAGGCCAAGGCGGGCGGATCGCCTGAGGTCGGGAGTTCGAGACCAGCCTGACCAACATGGAGAAACTCTGTCTTTACTAAAAATACAAAATTAGCCAGGCGTGGTGGCGCATGTCTGTAATCCCAGCTACCCGGGAGGCTGAGGCAGGAGAATCGCTTGAACCCAGGAGGCGGAGGTTGAGGTGAGCCGAGATTGCACCATTGCACTCCAGCCTGGGCAACCAGAGTGAAACTCCGTCTCAAAAAAACAAAAAACAGACAAAAAACCTTCTAGTGTATGCCGTTAACAAGTCCCTGATTAGCCACTATTTTTAATAAAACACATCTCCCAAAAGCAAAAGCAATAAAATTGTGTGTGAGTAAAAGAATATGACTACAAACAGCTGGGGACCTAGGGGAAGAATCCCGTTTCCACCCCCTAGAAATAAACCAATGCCCAATAAAACAACGTACCCTGGTGATGTTTTCTACCCTTGAATAGAGAAATAACAGGAAGCGCCTTGACCTTGACAGCCCTAAGAAAGAAAACCATGAACAGCCTCTACTTTTTGAAGCAGCATACGAACCACATATATGTAATTTTTAATTTTCTAGGAGCCACATTAAAAAGCATAGAAAGAAACAGGTGAAGTTAATTTTAATCTTATAAATATATTCCAACTATTATTTCAACATGTAATTTTAAAACTTGGATATTTTACTTAAAAAAACAGTTTTCAAAATCCTGTGTGTATCTTACACTTACACACATCTCAGTTTGGAGTAGCCACATTTCAGGTGCTCAAATAGCCAAGTATGACTGGTAGCTATCATACTGGACAGCACAATCCCATGCAGTTAGGATTTCAGGCTCTGGAGTCAGAGTTCTAGATATGAATTTTTCTTTCTTTCTTTCTCGCTTTCTCTTTCTTTCTTTTTTCTTTTCTTTCTTTCTTTCTCTCTTTCTTTCCCTCCTTCCTCCCTCCCTCCCTCCTTTCCTTCCCCGTCTCCCTCCCTCTCTCCCTCCCTCTCTCTTTCTTCTTTTCTCTTCTCTTTTTTTCTTTTGTTTTCTTTTCTTTCTTGATTAGTCTTGTTCTGTTGCCCAGATTGGAGTGCAGTGGCACCATCTTGGCTCACTGCAAACTCCACCTCCCGGTTCAACTGATTCTTCTGCCTTGGCCTCCCAAGTAGCTGGGATTATAGGGGCCCCCACCACGCCGGGCTAATTTTTGTATTTTTAGTAGAGACAGGGTTTCACCGTGTTGACCATGCTGGTCTCGAACTCCTGACCTCAAGTGATCCTCCTGCCTCAGCCTCCCAAAGTGCTAGGATTACAGGCATGAGCCACCGTGCCCAGCCTAGGTTTGAATTCTTTCTCCACCAATTTCTCTTTACCCTTGAGCAAATCGATTAGACACTTTACTCCTATGTTCTTATTTGTAAGGTAAGAATAACAACACCTACTTTAAAGAGGTGTTTGGTGGTTGAAGGACTCAATGAATAGTTGTGGTTGTTGATAGTCTTATCCAGTGTTATCTTTCCACTATACCAAGTGAAAATCTAACTCATCTGAATGTTTGCATTTAATCTACCTCTTTCACTGAGTAGCTTTGTGTGATTGTGGGGATGATTCTTTACCTCTCTATGCCTCTTTCTTTATCTGTCTCATTGGAAATAATGGTTCCAAACTCAGAGGATTGACATCAGAGTTAAATGGAAAAATACATCCGAAAGTGCTCTGTAAACTGGCAACAGTCATTTTTAAAGTGGAACTAGAGCCATTGATAGATGGCATGATTTGTGACTTAAAAACAATTGGGATTGCAGGGGTGGTTATGTGATTGTGTAAAAACTCAGAATTGTACCCCTAAAATGGTTGGATTTTCCTGCTTGTAGGTTATCCTCAATCTGATTTTTAAGAAAAAACAATTTGGGGGATTCCTGTTTTTAAAAGGTAGAAGTTTTCTTTTCTATGGACTTCTCAGAGCTTTAAATACACTAATGTGGATCATGAATTTCTGAGTGAAACATGTCCCATAATTGATCACTGCACTCCTTTTTTTGCAGAACATCCTATATAATTATCGTACTCCGGGAACCATAGGTTCTTGACCACTGAAAGCTTCACTGAAAAATCACTAATGTAAGGCAGACTGATTAACAGAAGAAAAGGCATACAAATTTATTTAATGTGTGTACATGGGAGCCTTAAGAATGAAGACCCAACATCCTGAGCCACAGTAAAGAATACAGACTCAGAGGGTGGCCAGAAACAGGTTATGTTGATAAATCAGCAGGTGATGAGGGAGAAAGTAACAATCTTGGCTAGCAAAGGTGGCCTTGTTATGTAAATGAAACCTCCCTTGGAGAGAATAGATGGTAAATGTTTCTTTTCAGACTTTTAAAACGGTCAAACACTCAGCCTCTCCTGGATTCAAGAAAGGCATAGAAAGGGGAGGGGGCATGGCGGCATTAATGGAAATTCTCTACAGATGCATATTTTCCCCACAAAAGACAGCTTTGCAAGGCCACTTCTATTTGCTGGCCAGGTGGCAGCCATTTCAAAATATGTCAAAGAAATATATTTTGGGGTAAAATATTTTGATTTCCTTCAATAGCAACAAACACAATTTGAGAAATGCTGCTGTAAACTACCAGGCAAATATATGCAGCTAACAGTTATTAAGTTTATTCCATGATATCTAAAGATTATAGAAGACTCAGATCACTTGACCCATTTGATCATGCCCTCCTCCTGGATGCGTTTTCTTTATTTGACTTACAGGATAACATCCTTTGCTGGTATTCTTCACACCTCACTAGCCACTTCTTAGTATTCCTTGCTGACTATATCTCTTCTTGCTAAACTCTAAATGTTGTAGTGTCCTTAACCTCAGCCTTTGAACTTCATTCCCTAGTTGATCTTATCTATTCTCTCTGTTTAATATCATCTAGATCCTGTTGAGACCCAAACATAAACCTCCCTCTCTAAAATTTCTGCTGAGCACCCCCACATCACTGCTTGGATTTTTGTGCATCTAAATTGACAAGTCCAAATATAACCCATACCCCATCAAACTAGACCACGCTTGTCCAACTCATGGCCTGTGGGTGGCATGCAGCCCAGGACAGCTTTGAGTGCGGCCCAACAAATTCATAAACCTTATTAAAACATATGAGATTATTTTGTGTTTTTTAAAGCTCATCAGCTATTGTTAGTGTTACTGTATTTTATGTGTGGCCCAAGACAATTCTTCTTCCAATGTGGCCCAGGGAAGCAAAATGATTGGACACCACTGAACTAGACCTTACCTCATCTTTCCCATCACAGTCAATGGCACTGCCATTCACTTAGCCAATTAATTGGGCCAAAGACACAAATTTCATCTTTGATTCCTTTTTTTATTTCACACATCAGATCTAGTCCTTCAACAGCTTTGGTCAGCTCTACCTTCAAAATAGATCCATAATCTGACTATTTACCATGATCTGCATCTCCACCCTCAGCCAAGTGACCCTCATGTCTCATATGGCCCACATAGTAGCCTCACAATAGCTCTCCTTGCTTCCACTCTTGCCCTGACATGGTCTTTTTTTTTTTTTTTTTTTTTTTTTTTTTGAGCCAGAGTCTTGCTCTGTCACCCAGGCTGGAGTGCAGTGGCACAGTCTCGGCTCACTACAACCTCTACCTCTTGGGTTCAAGCAATTCTCCTGCCTCAGCCTCCCAAGTAGCTGGGATTACAGGCACCTGCCACCACACCTGGCTAATTTTTGTATTTTTAGTAGAGATGGGGGTTTCACCATGTTGGCCAGGCTGGTCTCGAACTCCTGACCTCAGGTGATCCATCCACCTTGGCCTCCCAAAGTGCTAGGATTATAGGCATGAGCCACTGCACCCAGCGATTTTTTGCACAATAATCTGAATGGCCTTTCTAAAATGTAAATCACAACTTGTCATTCGCCTCCTCAAAACCTACCATGATATGTGATCATTTTTAGAATAAAACCCAAACTCTTTATTAAAGACTACAGGGCCTTACGTGATATTTTCCCTACCTAGTTTTTAACCATATCTATTAAAAATTCTGTCTGTTGCCACCACTGCTATAGCCATTCTGGCCTTCTTGCTATTCCTCAAATAGGTTAAGCTTGTTCCTGTTCCAGGGTCGTTGCACTTGCTTTGACTTGATTGTTTTCTCCAATATTTGTATTGCTCCCTGCCAACCCATTTCATTCAAATGTCACCTTTCTTCAGAGATACTTTCTTTGACTATTTAAATATTTTCTATCTGCAGTACTCTACATAGCATGTTTCACTAACTGATGGTATTTTAGTTTTCTCTTTGTCAGTCTCATTAAAAAACAAGATACGCTAAGGAAGGCATTTTTGTCTGTGTTGTCTACTACCGTATCCCCATGGCTAGAAAACTGCTTATCATGTGGTGGACATTCAGTTGATATTGAATGAATCTGTTACATTTTTCTTAGACATGGCTAGAAGAAAATTGATACTCAAAGAGTAGAAAACATTTTTATCAATGAAATTCCTTATAGATTTGAAAACATCAGCTATTAAGAACTCAATAGTACTCTCAGATTTGCTGTTTATCCACAAAAAACAGAACCTTCAGTTTCTATCTTTGCCCCCTTTCCCAATAGGAGGGCAGACCAAGTCCTCTGAGACAGATACTAATGATGATAATGATAATGATCATATCAACCACACTGTTTTAGTCTAATTGAGCTGCTATAACAAAATGCCACAGACTGGGACATTTATAAACAATAAAAATGTATTGCTCAAAGTTCTGGAGGCTGGAAAGTCTAAGATCAAGGCACTGATTGTTGAGGTGTTGGTGACAGCCTGTTCTGTTTTTCGAAGATGGTATTTTCTTTTTGTGTTTTTAATTGGCAGAAGGGGCAAGGCAGGAGTTCCCTTCGACTTTTTTTTTTTTTCTTTTTTTGAATAGACCAGGGTCTTGCTATGTTTCCTAGGCTGGTCACAAACTCCTGGGCTCGAGTGACCCTACTTCCTCAGCCTCCCCAATTGCTGGGATTATAGAAATGAGCCACTGTACCCAGCCCAACCTCTTTTATAAGGACACTAATTCCATATACAAGGGTGATGTTCTCATGACTTAATCAGTTCCCAAAAGGCTCTAACTCTTTTTTTTTTGGAGACAGAGTCTTGCTCTGTTGCCCAGGCTGGAGTGCAGTGGCATAATCTCAGATCACTGCAAGCTCTGCCTCTCAGGTTCATGCCATTCTCCTGCCTCAGCCTCCCGAGTAGCTGGGACTACAGGTGCCCACCACCACACCCGGCTGATTTGTTTGTATTTTTAGTAGAGATGGGGTTTCACCGTGTTAGCCAGGATTGTCTTGATCTCCTGACCTCGTGATCCACCTGCCTTGGCCTCCCAAAGTGCTGGGATTACAGGCGTGAGCCACAGCACCCAGCCTGCCCTAACTCTTAATATATCATGCTGGATATTCTGTTCCAACATATGAATTTGAGGGTGACACCACAATTCAGACCATACTGCATACTTAGCATTTATTGCATGTATAATAGTTGCCAGCAACTTTCTCTCTCTCTCTCTTTTTTTTTTTTTTTTTTTTTTTTGAGACAGAGTTTCACTCTTGTTGCCCAGGCTGGAGTGCAATGGCGTGATCTCGGCTCACCACAACCTTCACCTCCCGGGTTCAAGGGATTCTCCTGCCTTAGGCTCCCAAGTAGCTGGGATTACAGGCATGTGCCACCACGCCTAGCTAATTTTGTATTCTTAGTAAAGATGGGTTTTCTCCATGTTGGTCAGGCTGGTCTCAAACTCCCAACCTCAGGTGATCCTCCCACCTTGGCCTCCCAAAGTGCCGGGATTACAGGCGTGAGCCACCGCGCCCGGCCA
Organism: Homo sapiens; assembly: GCF_000001405.40. NCBI lineage: Eukaryota > Metazoa > Chordata > Mammalia > Primates > Hominidae > Homo > Homo sapiens. Next base: position 72,998,540 of record NC_000008.11, on the reverse strand, counting down.
GGTGACAGCAACTTTCTAACTGTACCATATGTATTAACTCATTTAATCTTCATAGCAAGTTTATCAGGTAGATATTACTATTATCTTATAATTTTGTAAAGGATGAACCTGCAGCACAGAGAGGGTTATTAAATCACCTGAGGTTGGAAAGTGAGAAAGCTAGTTAGCAAGTTAGGGACACACAACTTGAAACCAGACACTCAGATTCCACATTTTCACTCACGTCTGTGTGAAGAGACCACCAAACAGGCTTTGTGTGATCAATAAAGGTTTTTAATCACCTGGGTGCAGGCGGGCTGAGTCCAAAAAGAGAGTCAGCGAAGGCAGATAGGGTAGGGCCGTTTTATAAGATTTGGGTAGGTAAAGGAAAATTACAGTCAAAGGGGTGTTGTTCTCTGGTGGGCAGGAGTGGGGGTCACAAGGTGCTCAGTAGGGGAGCTTTTGAGCTAGGATGAGCCAGGAGAAGGAACTTCACAAGATAATGTCATCACTTAAGGCAAGGACTGGCCATTTTCACTTCTTTTGTGGTGGAATGTCATCAGTTAAGGCAAGGACCGGCCATTTTCGCTTCTTTTGTGGTGGAATGTCATCAGTTAAGGCAAGGAACAGGCCATCTGGATGTATACGTGCAGGTCACAGGGGATATGATGGCTTAGCTTGGGCTCAGAGGCCTGACACACATTATTCTCTTTTCTCCCAATAAGGCCTCCCCAAGGGGAGTAGACATTAGCCAGAGTTCATGTTCCTCGTCTCTGTTCCTTACGGCTGGAGATCCATCTCCTCTTTCTGCTAAATACTTAAAGCCAGAAGCTCTCTTGCATATCAACTTTTGTAGATAAGTGCGTGGGTGTATGAAGCAGGGCTGCCAGATCCTCCCATTTAATGACTTAGGATGTCACACACAGCATGATAAATTATTCTTCGTCACAACAGGATTATTTCAGATGGAAAAGGATAATATTTTGTCTTATTTTAGAGAAGGTTCACGATCCAGAAAAAATATTTTTAACTTGTCTCAGGTCACAGTTGTTGGAATCAGGAGCAAATCTTATTAATAGCTTCTGATGCCAAGGGACAATGAAGTTTTGCATGTAAGAGGATGCTCAAGTTCTGGCCAGTTAAATCTCTGAAAAGAGACAAGAGGACCACTCTCAGCCCCGTTGTGAACCTGGCTGGGGGTCTTAGAAAGCCACGAGGAAGGGGCATTGTGGAGTTCAAGTGCATCAGCAGCAGCAAGTGATTGGTTTATAGGGGTGCTTCTTGTGGTGCTTAGAATTCTTCACGGGGCTTCATCTACATATCATATCGCATTCAGAGCAGGGAGTGACTGCAGGTCCCGCTACTCAGATATGTGACCTTAGACAAGCTAGCAACCTCTTTGCCTTGGTTTCCTTCTTTGTAAAAGGGAGGTCATGATAGAAGATATTGCATAGAGTTGCTGTGAGGATTCAATGATTTAAAGAAAGCACTTATAAGTGCTCAATAATATCAGCTACTGCTAGTTTTCTCCATTGTCCTGGTTTTCAAACATTTTTGTACCTGATCTCTTTTGACAACTTTATCTTACCTACCTCTATTATGATTTGTGTGTGTGTGTTTTGTTTGTTTGTTTGTTTGTTTTGTTTTGTTTTTTTTGAGACAGAGTCTCACTCTGTCACCCAAGCTAGAGTGCAGTGGCACGATCTTGGCGATCTCCGCTCACTGCAACTTCCACCTCCCAGATTCAAGTGATTCTTCTGCCTCAGCCCCCTGAGTAGATGAGACTACAGGCACCTGCCATCATGCCTGGCTAATTTTTGTATTTTTTTTAAGTAGAGACAGAGTTTCACCATGTTGACCAGGCTGGTCTCGAACTCCTGACCTCAAGTGATCTGCCTGCCTCCGCCTCCCAAAGTGTTGGGATTACAGGCATGAGCCACTGCACCCGGGCCATACCTCTATTATGAAGGGACATATTTTCCCTATCAGTTTATTATTTATTTATTTTAAGAGACAGGGTCTCGTCATGTTGCCTATGCTGGTCTTGAACTAGACTCAAGCAATCCTCCCCGTTCTGACTCCCAAAGGACTGGGATTACAGGTGTGAGCCAACAGGCCCAGCCCTCCCCATCAGTTTAAATCTCAGGGTTTTGTTTTTTGCCCTGGGGAAGGGGAACATGATCTCAATAATGGGCCAATTCAACCAGCAAAAAATTGTAAAATTTGTAATTATATATATGTTATTCCATTTATTTAAAAACTTAAAGCTTTTAACACAATATCCTATATTCTGTATGAATACATATGAAGGAGAAGTATGAAAAGATTCAGGGGAAAGATGTACACCAAGCAGTGCTGCCTGCTTTTTTTTTTTTTTTTTTTTGAGACAGGGTCTTGCTCTGTTTCCCAGGCTGGAGTGCAGTGATATGATCATAGCTCATTGCAGTCTCCACCTCCTGGGCTCAAGTAATCCTCCTGTCTCAGCCTCCCAAGCAGCTGGGACTATAGATGCACACCACTATGCCCAGCTAATTATTATTATTATTATTTTGTAGAGACGATTTCTTACTATGTTGCCCAGGTTGGTCTTGAATTCCTGGGCTCAAGTGATCCTCCTGCCTCAGCCTCCCAAAGTGCTGGGATTACAGTTGTGAGCCACCCCACCCAGCTAAGCAATGCTCTCTGGAGAGGTGATAAAGGGGCTATTTTCAGGAAGTCAGGGTATAGGGGCTTCACATGTGTGTAACTGTCTTACTTTTTAAAAAAGATGTTGGAGGCCGGGCGCGGTGGCTCACGCCTGTAATACCAGCACTTTGAGAGGCCAAGGTGGGCAGATCACAAGGTCAGGAGTTTGGGACCAGCCTGGCCAGTATGGTGAAACCCTGTTTCTACTAAAAATACAACAATTAGCTGGTAGTGGTTGCAGGTGCCTGTAGTCCCAGCTACTTGGGAGGCTGAGACAGGAAAATCCCTTGAACCTGGGAGGTGGAAGTTGCAGTGAGCAGAGATCGCGCCACTGCACTCCAGCCTGGGGGACAAAGTGAGACTCCATCTCAAAATAAATAAATAAATAAAACATAAAAAAGATGTTGGTCCTACCTACTTGGGAGGCTGAGGCAGGAGGATTGGTTGACCTCAGGAGTTCTGGGTTACAGTGGGTTATGATCACACCACTGCAGTCCAGCCTGGGTGACAGAATGAGACCCTGTCTCTAAAATAAATAAATAATTAATTTTAAAACTCTGGATAAAGAAGAAAAAATGTTAAGACTTGTTAAGTTTAGGTGGCAAGTATGTATTGATTATATTATCCTCTATATCTCATATGTTTGAGATATTTTATAAAATCTTTTTGAAAATAAACATATTGAGAGTACAACTGGGCCTTAACAATTCTAAGCAACATATTTGGCTAGCATTGTCTTTCCATATTAGCCAATTCCTTGACTAAACAGACTAAATTGTCTTTGTCAGCCCTGGTGATGCATTTATTCTGCCAGTAGAGGTCACCATGCAATGAAATATTTCGTTAAACAATAGACTACGTGGTATAATGCAAAGATTTTTCAATCCTTCTTTTTCTTTAATCTATAAAATTCGTTCTTACAAGTTCACATGTAACCCCAATATGCCAAAGGGCTAAACACAAAATGGGGTGGAGGCCTGAGATCCCTGAAGCTGGTTTGAAAGCAACTGTGCAAATACAAGTAACATTTGTGACTGCGGCATATTATGTTTGCTTTTCTGGCCTTAAAAATTTCTGCTGATTTCAAAATGTAAGTTTTCTCTATTTGTTCTCCACAGAGCACCAATGTGGAATCTTTTGGAACTAAGTCTATCAGAGGGAGGTGAGGAGCATGGAGCCACCCTTTCAGAGGATGCCTTGGTGGAAAAGGCAAAGGTGGTACCCACTGGCACCCCACGCTCCCACTAGTATTCTCCTTTGCCTCCCAGAAGGGTCCTTTCAATGCTCACTCTGCATCAGGGCTGCTTTTATTTTTACTTACAAATATTCTCTTTTCTATCATAGATAATTTACCTCTCTCCTTGGATCATTTAGCATGATTTTGGTTGAAAATAGCAGAAAACCTCATTTACAATAGTTCAAATCACAAGGAGAATGTATTATATCATATAACAAGAAGGCTGGGTGTGGGTCACTGCCAATGTAGGTCAATCATTGGCTCAGCAACATCATCAAAGGCCCAGGTTCTTTTCATCTGTCCACTCTCCCCCACTCAGTGCATCCCTGCCTTCTTTTTGAATGCTCCCCTTCATCGTATAAGAAGATTGGCCAGAGAGAATTCCTCTTGCATCCTGTAGAGCAGGCATCCCCAACCCCCAGGCCGTGGACTAGTACTGGTCTGTGGCCTATTAGGAATGGGGCCCGCACAGCAGGAGGTGGACGGCAGGTGAGTGAGCAAAGCTTCATCTGTATTTACAGCCACTCCCCATCACTTGCATTACCGCCTGAGCTCCCCCTGTCAGATCAGTGTGGCATTAGATTCTCATAGGAGCGCTGTATTAGTTAGCTTTCTCTAGAGGGACAGAACTAATAGGATAGATCAGTTATATATATATGAAGTATATATGAAGGGGGGTTTATTAAGGAGTATTGACTCACACAATCGCAAGATGAAGTCCCACAATAGGCTGTCTGCAAGCTGAGGAGCAAGGAAACTTGTCTGAGTCCCAAAACCTCAAAATAGGAAGCCAAAAATACAACCTTTGTGGCCAAAGGCCCGAGAGACGCTGGCAAATCACCAGCAAGAGCACAGAAGATGTGCTTGGGCATTGTCTTCTCCCTGGGAGGCCCCTGACCAATGACCGGTGGGGCAGGAGTATGAAGTCTAGCTCCCTTGCCTTCATGGGACAGCTCTGTGGTGAAATGTACACTTCCAGAGTTCTGTGGAATCAGTGAGAGTCACCTTTGCTTGGTCTCCTCCCCTTCCCTGTCCTGCTTCCTCCACTTCCTCTCTTGTCACACCTGGGACCACTTCCATGATAAATTATTTGCACATAAATTCCCATCTTGGTGTTAAACCTGACCTAAGCCACATACCTTTAATTTGAAAAGAAATTCTCACAGGAGACCCCCAGCCAACTTCCCCTACCTCTCATTGACCACAAGAGGGTCACATGCTTATGCCTTAGCCAACTCTACCTCAAGAGAATGAGATCCCCAAAGCTGACTTAGAGAGTAATCACAGGCCATGTGTGGTGGCCCCCATCTGTAGTCCTAGCACTTTGGGAGGCCAAGGTGGGAGGATTGCTTGAAGCCAGGAGTTCCAGACTGGCTTGGTCAACATAGTGAGACCTGTCTTTAAAAAACAAAGAGAAAGAAAAGAAAAAGACCAATCATGATTTACCTCTGGAGCTGGAGCTGGGGGAGTTCAGAGTCTCCTGAAGCATATGGCTGTGGATACTGGGGGGTGAGAGATGTAGGGGTGGATATCAGGCTTTGGCCTGCAGGAGAATTGAGGCAGAAAAAGGCAACCAACAGTGCCTTTTTCTCCAGGGTCTGACTCTCCATATGGGAGGTAGCTATTCTTGCCTAAAAATGCAATAATTCTCCCCTCCCATTGAAATGATAGTTTGAGTACAGGATGCACAAGTGGAAGTAGCTGGAAGATATTGTTCATTGTCTTTTAGCTTCCAGGAATACTATAGAGAGATCTGATACATTTATAGTTTTTAATCCTTTGTTTGGAAGCTATTTTTTCCTGTCTGGGAGGTTTCATAATTTTCCCTTTATCTCTAGTCATCTGAAATGTCATGATACTGTTCTCTCATGTAGTTTTATTTTTATTTATTGTACTGGACCCTTGGTGGTTATTTTTAATCTGGAAAATTATATTATTTATTCTATCTTATATGTTGATAAATTGTGTTATTTCTGGTAATTTCTTTCTCTCCTTTTTTTTCTGTTCTCTCATTCTGGAACTCTTGATAGTCATAAAATGGCTCTCTGACTAAACATTCCAGTTTTTTAAATCCTTTCTTTCCATAAGAATCGTCTCTTGACTGGGCACGGTGGCTCATGGCTACAATCCCAGTGCTTTGGGAAGCCAAGGCAGGAGGCTCTGTTGAGGCCAGGAGCTCAAGACCAGCCTGGGCAACACAGCAAGACCCCATTTCTACAAAAAAACAATTAGCTGGGTGTGGTGGTGCATGCCTGTAATCCTAGCTACTTGAGAGACTGAGGTGGAAGGATCACCTGAGCCCAGGAGTTTGAGGCTACAGTGAGCCATGAACACACCACTGCACTCCAGCCTGAGTGATAGAGTGAGACCCTGTGTATTAGTCTATTTTCATGCTGCTATGAAGAAATACCCGAGACTGGGTAATTTATAAAGGAAGGAGGTTTAATTGACTCAGTTCTGCACGCTGGGGAGACCTCAGGGAACTTACATTCATGGTGGAAGGGGAAGCAAACACTTCCTTCTTAATATGGCAGCAGAAGAGAGAAGAATGAGAGGCAAGCAAAGGTGGAACGCCTTATAAAAACCATCAGATCTCATGAGAACTTATGATCCCAAGATCAGTATTGGGGAAACTGCCCCCATGATTCAATTACCTCACACTGGTAATTGAAGGGTCCACCACATATGGGGATTATGGGAGCTACAATTCAAGATGAGATTTGCGTGGGGACATAGCCAAACCATGTCATTCCACCCCTGGCCCCTCCCAAATCTCATGTCCTCACATTTCAAAACACAATCGTGCCTTTCCAACAGTCCCTCAAAGTCTTAGCTCATTCCAGCATTAATGTCCAAAGTCCAAGTCCAAAGTCTTACCTGAGACAAGGCAAGTCCCTCTGCCTAGGAGCCTGTAAAATCAAAAGCAAGTTAGTTACTTCCTAGATACAATGGGGGTACAGGCATTGAGTAAACATACCTATTGTAAATGGGAGAAATTGGCCAAAACAAAGGGGTTATAGGCCCCATGGAAGTCCAAATTCAATAGGGCAGTCCTCAAATCTTAATGTTCCAAAATGATCTCCTTTGACTCCATGTCTCACATCCAAGTCATGCTGATGCGAGAGGTGGGCTCCCATAGCCTGGGGCAGCTCCACCCCTATAGCTTTGCAGGGTACAGCCCCACTCCCGGCTGCTTTCACAGTTTGGCATTGAGTGTCTGCAACTTTTCCAGGTGCACAGTGCAAGCGACTGGTAGATCTATCATTCTGGGGTCTAGAGGATGGTGGCCCTCTTCTCACAGCTCTACTAGGAAGTGCCCCAGTGGAGACTCTGGGAGCTCCAACCCCACATTTCCCTTCTGTACTTCCCTAGCAGAGGTTCTCCATGAGGGCTCTGCCTGTGCAGCAGACTCCTGCCTGGACATACAGACATTTCCATACATCCTCTGAAATCTAGGCAAAGGTTCCCAGACCTCAATTCTTGTCTTCTGCCCACAAACAGGACCAACACCATGTGGAAGCTGCCAAGGTTTGGGGCTTGCACCCTCTGAAGCAATGGTCTGAGCTGTACTTTGGCCTCTTTTAGCCACGGCTGGAGCTGGAGTGACTGGGATGCAGGGCACAAAGTCCGCAGGCTGCACAGAGCAGGGGAGCCCTGAACCTGGCCCAGGAAACCATTTTTCCCTCCCAGGCCTCTGGGCCTGTGATGGGAGGGGCTGCGTTGAGGTCTCTGACATGTCCTGGAGACATTTTCCCCATTGTCTCATCAGCATTTGGCTCCTTGTTACTTATGCAAATTTCTGCAGCTGGCTTGAATTTCTCCCCAGAAAATGGGTTTTTCTTTCTGTGGCATCAACAGGCTGCACATTTGCTAAACTTTTATACTCTGCTTCCTCTTGAATGCTTTGCTGCTTAGAAATTTCTTCCACCAGATATCCTAAATCATCTCTCTCAAGTTTAAAGTTCCACAGATCTCTAGGGCAGGGACAAAATGCTGCCAGTCTCTTTGCATAGCAAGAGTCACCTTTACTCCAGTTTCCAACAAGTCTCTCATCTCCATCTGAGACCACCTATAGCCTGGACTTCATTGTCCATATCACTATCAGCATTTTGGTGAAAGCCATCAAACAAGCCTCTAGGAAGTTCCAAACTTTCCCACATTTTCCTGGCTTCTTCTGGGTCCTCCAAACTATTCCAACCTTTGTCTGTTACCCAGTTCCAAAGTCACTTCCACATTTTTGGGTATCTTTACAGCAGCTCCACACTACTCCCAGTACCACTTTACTGTATTAGTTCTCTCTCATGCTGTTAATAAAGGTATACCCAAGACTGGGTAATTTATAAAGGAAAAAGGTTTAATTGACCCAGTTTATCATGACTAGGGAGGCCTCAGGGAACTTACAATCATGGCAGACGGGGAAGCAAACATGTCCTTCTTAACATGGGCCACAGGAGAGAGAAAAATGAGAGCCAAGCAAAGGAGGAAGCCCCTTATAAAACCATCAGATCTCGTGAGAACTCACTATCATGAGAATTGCATGGGAGAAACTGCCCCCATGATTCAATTACCTTCCACCAGGTCCCTCCCACTACACATGGGGATTATGGGAACTACAATTCAAGATGAAATTTGGATGGGAACACAGCCAAATCATATGACCCTGTCTCAAAAATAAATAAATAAATAAATAAAAGGAAAGAAAAGAAAAATTGTCTTTTTATCTTTTTACTTTCTGTGAAATAGTCTCAATTTAAACATTTCTTTTGAAATCCTTATAGCTATTTTTTTAAATATCCAAGAGCTCTTTCTTTTCCTCTGAATATTCCTTTTTAAAAGTGGCTTAATGTTCTTGTTTCACAGATGTCAGATCTTTTTTTATCTTTCTCAAAGTATGTGTTATATAGTTTGTCTCTAGCCTGATTACTTCAGTGTTCCCCTCTGACTTCTTTGGTTATTTGCTTGTCTTGGTTTCTTCTTTAATATTAAATATTTTCCTCAAGTACCTCACAACCCTTGTCCATATTTGAGAATGGAACACTGAGAGGTGAGTTGGGGCCAGTTGTGGTGGCTCGCACTTGTAATCCCAGCACTTTGGGAGGCCAAGGTTGGCAGATCACTTGAGGTCACGAAGTTCGAGACAAGCCTGGCCAACATGGTGAAACCCCGTTTCTACTAAAAATACAAAAATTAGCTGGGCGTGGTGGCACATGTCTGTAGTCCCAGCTACTTGGGAGGGTGAGGCAGGAGAATCTCTTGAACCCTGGAGGCAGAGGTTGCAGTGAGCCGAGATCACACCATTGCACTCCAGCCTGGGCAACAAGAGCAAAACCCTGTCTCAAAAAAAATAAATAAATAAAAGTGAGTTGGAAGCTGTATATGTTGTTGTTGGGGCTGGTCTACTGTGGGCCATGCTGTAGAATGATTGAGAGAGACCTAGATATTTCACTGGAACCCTAACCTCTACCAATTTTTAGTATCTAGAGGTCTTTTTTTTTTTTTTGACTTGGATGGTTTCTTTGGAGAGGAACCCTTCCTGTAATTTCAGCCAGAATGCCCATGGTCTGGGAGCCAAACTGAGGGAAAGAGCTGGGGTTTAACATTCAGAATATTGACTTTCACACAAAATCTCTGTTTTTAGCACAGTGCCCTACCCTACTTCAGCTGGGCCTATGTAACTGAGGATGTGGTGGTGAATCCAGTTGTATACCTGGGGGGGCAAAGCATCTGAATTTATCTGAACTTTTTTTTTTTTTTGAGACAATGTCTTGCTCTGTCACCCAGGCATTGGTGTAGTGGTACGATCACAGCTCACCACAGCCTTGATCTCCCAGGTTCAAGTGATCCTCCCACCTCAGCTCCCACTTCAGCCTCCTAAGTAGTTGCGACTACAGGTGTATGTCACCACACCGGGCTAATTTTTAAATATTTTTGGAGAGATGGGTGTCTTGCTTTGTTGCTCAGGCTGATCTTGAATTCCTGGGCTCAAGCTAGCCTCCCAAAGTTCTGGGATTACAGGCATGAGCCACTTTGCTCAGCCTATCTGTATCTCTTTGAACCTCACACTTTATTTCTGCTTTTAGAGGTAACTGGTTTGTCTAATTTCTTAGGTTTTCTAGAGTTCTGAAGAAGAATTCCCTCATCCCTGACTTCAGTTTCACGCTTCCGTGATGTGCTAAGTTAATGACCCCTGATTCATCTACTTTCCATAATTCTGTAGACATCTGTTATCTACTGCTATTTCCCCATCTATTCTCTATGTTAGCAAGGGCTCTGTCTTTTTATTAAATCACTTATTTACTTTCATTTCGGAGGCATTGCAGAGAGGAGGTAAAAATGCGTTCACCCACCATTTTTAACCTGAATTGTTTCATTGAGTAGGGTTTTTGTTTTTGCCATATTACATATGAGAATGTTAAAGCTCAGAGAGATTAAATATCTTGACTAAGCTAGTAAGTGACAGAGAAACTAGCACTTACTCTTATAAACCTTTCTAATAGGGGATAGAAGACAATGTTATGAATATCCACAGAACAGGACAATATTAGTGATGTGACTTACGTGTTAACTACAGTTGTGAGCTGTGTAGTTTTTGGGAAAACTTTCAATTTTGCTGTGAACTTCAAGATCCATTTTCTATTTTGCCTTCCCTAACCTTTATAGGAAATTGTTAAAGCAGGGATCACTTTGAAATAACCAAGTAGAATGTACATTGTTAAATGTTTTAAACAGATCTAACAACATATTGGTTCCCAGAAAAAGTTACTTATAAGCCACTTTTTGTTAGTTTAATGTTTTTACTCCTGACTGATTAACTCAGGGTTGTTTTGTCTTAATTGACATTTGGCTTTCAATTATTAAGACATTCTATAATTTTTTATTTAAAATCCTATCTTCTCCTAGGTTTTCAGCTTTGTTTGTAATCTTTAATTAAATATAAAACATATGTTAAAATTCCAAGTGAAGTGCTGCCAAAAAATAATAAATATGAAATGTTAAAGTGAGGGACCGAATAGCCATTAAGTTTTCAGGTTTTCAGAGGAAATAGCTAAGAACCTATTCTAATTTCCCTCACCTACTTTAAGATTACACAAAAGTCCCAGATAATGGAAAAGAGGAGATTTTGTGAAAAAATTTCTTTGTACAGAACTGTTATATCATGAGCCTGTACCTCTTTATTGGAAAAGGTATGGGAGGTAGTTTCTATTTCCTTCACATCAGGTCTAATGAAGCTTCCTCAGACACCTGGTGAAGTTTCTCTTACAGGAACCTTAACTTGTGACCAAATAGTTGAAGGAGTAGTAGATGGAGAGTTACTCCTTTTCGGGAAGTACGGAGGGCAAGAAAAGAGCTCTTGCTTTGGTGGGGGTGGCTAAAAGTCACTGTTTTGTTGATTTTGTTGTGCAAAGGAGGTGTGAGCGCTCCCTATGGACCAGACATAGACAGCACTCAACTGAATCACTGTGGAGTGGTCTTGAGTCCTGACCACTAGGGCTGCCTTGAGTAGTGAAAGCACTTCAGCAGCAAGAAGCTGAAGGTGAATTCTTAGAAGCTGAGGAAGCTGTGGTTAGGAACAAGCTTTGGTAGAGAAACACCTGCAATTTATCAAGGGAGCAGAGAAGTATTGTTGGAGGATATTTTGGTAAAAACTCAACTGGTGTGTATTATAATACAAGTCTAATGCTAACCACCTGGAGTTAGTGTCAGAGACCACAGATTTAAGGGCATGCTCTCCAACAAGACTGGTCCCCAGGCTACCTGTACTTCCTACCCAAAGGACTATATATTTGAAGGTTCTCATGACCCACTCAACTGACAATTTTCTGTAATGACTCACAGAACTCAGGAAAGTGCTATACTCATGGTTACAGTTTTATTATAAAGGAAATGTATAGAGTGAGGTCTAGGGGAGAATGCAGAGCTTCTATGACCTGTCCCCATTGAGTCAAGGCAGGTTACCCTCCTAACACATGAATGTGTTCAACAGGCAGGAAGCTCCACAGAGTTTCTCTGTCTAGTTTTCGTTGGTGTTTTATCCCCTAGGCATGAATAATTAAATCAATGGCCACATCTTTGAACTCAATCTCTAGCCCCTTTCCTCTCCCTGGAGGACCAGATGGCCCAAAGTCCCAACCCTCCATTCACATGGCTGGTCTTTCTGGTGACTGGCCCCCATCTTAAAGCTACCTAGGGACTACCACAAGTCACCCCATTATCATAACAAAGGCATCTCTATCACTCAGAAAATTCCAGGATTTTTAGAAGCCCTGTGCCAGGAACCGAGGACAAAGACCATACAAATAATTATTATACAATAAAGGGTTCAGTAGGAACCTCTGAAGAGCCCAAGAAAGCACCAGGAGAGAGAGATCCATTTTTTAAACTTCTGCCAGTCCCAGAATGTGAGAAAGCAGCTGTTAATGGTAGGAGTTCAAGCAAGACCTTTGCTACTTTTTCCTTTCTTCTCTTCCAGTGTGCCAGCCCTTTAGGGGTAAAACTTAGGACCTAAAAGAAGCGAGAACAGAGAAACAGAGAACCAAGAGACAATGATGCCAACCAACAGCCTCCCACCCTCACCCCATGACCCCACCCCCACCACCACACCAGGCTGCCATTCTGAACTCAAGCTAGGGCAAGAGATATTTGGAATTAAATCAAATTCAGAGTTTTGATTAAACTTCTGGACTGAATATGCTAATTTGGCCTGTGTTTGTCCATTAAAGTGGCCATAGGACCTAAGAGTGAAGACCAGAAAAGTCAGGGAACTGTCAATAATTTTCATCAAGAGTTGAGCTGCATTATTGCGTGCTTGATACTTGCTCCTTTTGATCATAGTGATCTAGAGGGCGACTTCACCGGGGCGGGGATGCTTGCGTGTATAATCTTACTAAGAGCCAATATAAAGGCTAGGACCAAACCTATTTGTTTATGGGGCAGTGTGGGCCCAGAGTACAATTATCCACAGTAAGTAACATTTAAAAGAAAGATGGAATATAAAAAGTAGATAGGTTTTGATTATGTCGTAACCAGTGCTTTTTCAACATACCAATTTCTTTTTCTTTTTTTTTTTTTGAGATGGAGTCTCACTCTGTCACCCAGGCCAGAGTGCAGTGGCAAGATTTCAGCTCACTGCAACCTCTGCCTCCTGGGTTCAAGTGATTCTCCTGCCTCAGCCTCCCTAGTAGCTGGGATTACAGGCTTGCACCACCATGCCCAGCTGATTTTTATATTTTTAGTAGAGGTAGGGTTTTGCCATGTTGGCCAGGCTGGTCTCGAACTCCTGACCTCTTGATCCACCCGCCTCGCTCATGATCCACCTGCCTCAGCCTCCCAAAGTGCTGGGATTACAGGCGTGAGCCACTCTCGCTCTGTCGCCCAGGATAGAGTGCAGTGGCGCAATCTTGGCTCCCTGCAGCCTCCACCTCCCAGGTTCCAGCGATTCTCCTGCCTCAGCCTCCCAGGTAGCTGGGATTACAAGCATGCACCATCACACAGGGCTAATTTTTGTATTTTTAGTAGAGACAGGGTTTTGCCATGTTGGCCAGGCTGGTCTCGAACTCCTGACCTCAGGTGATCTGCCCACCTTGGCCTCCCAAAGTGCTAGGATTACAGGTGTAAGCCACCATGCCCGGACTCAATATATCAATTTCAAATGTACTTAAACACATGTTTTTGAAAATTTCTATTTAAACTAGGATTTCTCAACCTTAGAACTCTTGACATTTTAGGCCAGATAATTCTTTGTTATGGGTGCTGACCTGTGCATTGCAGGGTGTTTAACAGCATCCCTGGCCTCTATCCACTAGGTGCCAGTGTCACTCCCCCTTGGCTGTGACAACCGTAAATATCTCTAGATATTGCCAAATGTTCCTTGGGGGAGAGACCGCCCCAACTTGGGAACCACTGACTGAAAGTAATGCTTTTCTAAATCAAGGAGCTTTTGTGATTCAAATAATCATCCTCTATTTGTTTTGTAAATCTAAATGGTTGTATGTACGCTTTTTTGTTTCTTTTGAGACGGAGTTTAGCTCTTGTTGTCCAGGTATCCAGGTTGGAGTGCAATGGCACGATCTCAGCTCATCGCAACCTCTGCCTCCTGGGGGTTCAAGTGATTCTCCTGCCTCAGTCTCCCTAACAGCCGAGATTACAGGCATGTGCCACCACACCTGGCCAATTTTGTATTTTTAGTAGAGATGGGATTTCACCATGTTGGTCAGGTTGGTCTCGAACTCCCGACCTCAGGTGATCTGCCCGCCTCGGCCTCCCAAAATTCTGGGATTACAGGCATGAGCCCCCATGCCCAGCCTGTATGTATGCTCTTTAAAAGTAGGACATAGCTGCAATCCCACTTTTGTCACTGTTCTTACTTTGAAACAAATTCATAAGCCTCTTGTGGAAAATTTGTCTCACATTGGTCAAAAATCCTGACGGAATTTTGAATAGTCTTTGTTGCTTAGTAGTTATATTATTACAACGTCTTTAATCTTAATAACTGAAAACTTAAATAACCAATGCTGGCTTTTGTTTTGTGAAATATCAAATTATGATTACATTATACCAGTTTGTTATTGTTATTGGACTTTTACGTCAACAGCTTACCCAAGCAAATCCTCTTGCACTGTCTGATGCAAGGAAGAAAACTTAGGCATGGCTTGTGTGTGTGTGTGTGTGTGTGTGTGTGTGTGTGAAACTGTGTTTTTAAGAAATTTGCTATGCCTTGGAAGCTTTGACACAATAGTATTGACAAACTGTTTTGGCGACACAGATCCTTCCTTTCATATGTCTTGACAATAGTAGGAAGTTAGAGAAGCTAAGGTAGTTGGAGTGAACCCTGCCACCACTTGCTAATCCAGAGGCTTGGATCCAGAAAATTCCTTTCAACATATCAAGAGCACATTTATTTTTAGAGAGAGTTAAGTGATACATACAACTAGTTTTCATGTTTCAACATACTCTACCTCCCTTATCCCATTCATTGCTTTATTTCTGGCCAATATTTTAGTTTACTACTATATTAGAAAAAAAACTGTGAAAGGTCTGAGATTTTATACTTCTTACAAGTTAGCCTGTTACCATTTCATAGATGGTAGCAGAAGGCATGACAATTTGGGATCAGAAACAAAAGACTTTATTCCTCACAGTACAGCAAGCATGAGCATGATATTGCATTGCTCCTCCCTCTCCTCTAACTCCATTGGGGGTGATACAGATGGGTCCAGGTGGATGCTCTGCACACAATGGATTGTTACACTGAGGGACACTGAGCTTGAGGGAGCCACTGCTTTTATAGTGGGTGATAAGCAAGCCTTCTTTTTACCTTCAGGGGAGACATTGCCTCAAGATTGTTACAGACACAACCCTGAGAAATGGTCCAGCTAAAGAGCTGTCAGGATCTTGCATTCTTGGCATAAGCAGCAAGAACATGCAGGACACTTAGAACCTTTGTCTCTAAGAGGCAATTACCTCTCCCAAAAAACAACAACATGTGTATACAGTCCTTTTCAATGTGTTTTGGGCAAGCTAAACAAGTCAGTTAAAACAAACAGATAAACTAATTTGAAGCACTTTGACTTAAAGCATGTGATTTCAGTTTTCAGTGTCTTGGCCTAACCATCCATACCAACCTGGACTATCATTATTTTTCAGTCTACCTGATTTCTTACAGCCAAATGAAAGGATACAAATCAAAAAAGAATTTGGGACAAACCCTCTTTGTCCCAAAGCAGAAAGGCACTTAGCAGTAAAATGTGTGTTTGGTTAGTAGAGCCATGTATTAGTTCATTTTCATATGCTATGAATAAATACCTGAGACTGGGTAATTTATAAAGAAAAAGAGGTTTAATGGACTCACAGTTCCACATTGCTGGGGAGGCCTCACAATCATGACAGAAGGCAAAGGAGGAGCAAAGGCACATCTTACATGGCGGCAGGCAAGAAAGCATGTACAGGGGAAGCTACCCCTTATTAAACCATCAGATCTCATAAGACTTATTCACTGTCAAGAGAATATCATGAGAAAACCCATCCCCATGATTCAATTACCTCCCACTGGGGCCCTCTCATGACATGTGGGGATTATGGGAGCTATAATTCAAGATGAGATTTGGGTGAGGACACAGCCAAACCATATCAGGCCAGTTCCAGCTATGTCTGCAGGTCTTTGCAAGAGACTTAGAATGAGGAGTGTGGGCCTCTGATACTTCCTAGCAGTTTTCATTAGGCTGTGGTTGACACAGAACAGCCCTGATATTCTCAATACAATTATTTGTTTTAGATTTAAATTAGATATATTTGGATTTCATAGATTCTTTCAGGCCATTTAATAATGGAAAGATATTCCAGTATATGTTGAAAGAAATTACAATATATAGTTGCTGGGTTAATACTTATTAATAAGATAACCACTTTGTTGCAGTTTAAAGACATTGGTTAGAGTTGTTAAATAACTATTTCTTGTTTTCAACCAGAGAGGGAAAGACAGTTTTAAGAAAGTCTTACTTGAAGAAAATGAAATGATATGAATTGGAAGACAATTTTAATAGCAAGGTAGCTTTAACTATGTAAAAATAATGGGAACCACAATTTATCATTCATGGCTACATTGCAGGCACTGTGCTGAATGCTTTATGACATCATCAGGTCAATTCTCATACAATCTCTGTAATATGTCATCCACATATTCCAAATGAGGGAAACTGAGACATAGAAAGTTAAATAACCTGTCCAAAGACAGGTATCTAGTAAGTGATGGAGCTAGGATTGGAGTATATGTCCACTGATGTCAAACTTTTATTTTTTTACTCTTAGAATGACTCATTGGAATGCAAAACATATACAAATAAAATTCCAACAAAGAGACTCTAAATTTTCTATACTTAATATCTTCATTAACTGATAATCTCAGGAAGCAGGCATTTAGGCCAAGTAATTTTCTAGTTCAATGCTATCCACAGCATGGTCTACAACTGGTGCCAGTCTGTGAATGATTGATTAGTGACTCACAAAGTTCAAAGCTGAAATTAAGTGTTTAGAAACCTTATAGCATTAAATGTTGCTAAGACATCCAAGCATATAATCAGTGGACTTGTCTTGTTGAGCAAAGGTCTAGACAAGTTCGGGTGTTGAACTCAATATGGTGAATCTCATATGAACATATGGTAAGACCTGCAAACTAGTCATGCACAGCAGAGATTGGAAATAAAAAAAGAAACTGATCCTTCACCACAGATTGTTGAGGCACTGTTCTAAAATGACTTAAACATATCAATTAAGCCAATTCAAAAATTAGTCAGTGTTAACTATTTCAGAAAGATTTCTGAAAGATTATTATACATTCTTCTGGTTGCAAGAAACTATGTTACAGGTCTTGCACCAGGTCACTATGGGGTTGAAGCCTCTGTGGGTAGCAATGAATGGGGAAAGCAGAAGAAGATGGTTATGGAGCCATCATATCTAGGAGGGACAAGGTTGTTTTTGGGCTTCTGACAAGGAGTCCAAAGTGTGTGTTCAGGTGGCTGTGGAAGACTTTCCCAGGACCAGTTATAAAAGCAGGAGAATCACACAACCATAAGATTATAAACAATGGAAAGGCCAGCACAAAACAACAGGTAGGAATGATGTGATTTTCAGGAACAAGGAAAATGATCACACACAAAGGGCAAGAAACCCCAACAGAACTATGGAGGCAGGGCAGGACAAGATTCAGAGAGACAACGATAACAAGGCCATGAATTATGTTTGTAAAAGTTCCTATATAGTCAGGGGCCAGTCTCTGTAGCTTGATCTGCGGCTGGTAGGCCTGGGGATAAGTGAGGACACTGAGCTGGAGCAGGCAGTAAGAGGACAGAGAAAAAGGCAGTCAGTTCTTTCCAGGTAGAGATTGGGGTTTCTTATCACATTTTCAGTGATAAATTTTACTTAGAAAACCAGAATGATTTAAAATCTTAGTTGGATTAATTCTGCTGTCAGAGAGGATTATATATGTCTGCCTGTCTTTTTATCTATCTATGTGTCATCTATCTACCTACCTACCTACCTATCTACTTATCTGTCATCTATCAATTTATTCACTCTTCCACCTATCATCCATCCATCCATCCATCCATCCATCCATCCATCCATCCATCTATCCAATATCATTCCACAAAGTACTTACAGCAAAATAAGACATATAAGAATAACGTGATCCTGGGGTGGTGGCTCATGCCTGTAATCCCAGCACTTTGGGAGGCCAAGGCGGGTGGATCACATGAGTCCAGGAGTTCAAGACCAGCCTGGCCAACATGGCAAAACCCTGTCTCCACTAAAAATACAAAAATTAGCCAGGCGTGGCGGTGCATGTCTGTAATCTCAGCTAGTGGGGAGGCTGAGGCACGAGAATTGCTTGAACCTAGGAGGTAGAGGTTGCAGTGAGCTGAAATCATACCACTGCACTCCAGCCTGGGTGACAGAGCAAGACTGTCTCAAAAAAAAAAAAAAAAAAAAAAAAAAAAAAGGATCAGGTGAAGAAAGAAGAAATATGGTATTCTTTACCTTACTATTATGATTTTTAAATATTAACTATGTAAAACTCTGTTAATGAAAAAAGTATTAATTTCTAAAGATATGTAAAATTCAAACCATGGTACCACAAAGGGTAAGGATGTGGACTAGAAATATCCTGATAAATTCTAAGATACCAACTCATGTTTAAAACATTCCAATTGCCAACATAATTTTATTTAGTATGTCAATGGCCTGGTGAAAGTTTCTTGGTATAATTTTTGAGAGGTTGTAATACAGAAATTCTGAATAGAAATAAAAACTATCATCTAAATGTCTTCTACTAATTTGTCCAGGGGCAATTTTCTATTGAAAAAAATTTCCTATAAAGCTTTATAGCTGAATACTATATGTATTGATTCTTTAAAAATAATATTCTTACCATGCTGAATGCATCTAAACTTGATATTTATTTCAAAAGTGTTATGAAAGGATCAATAATTATGCTCTTTTAAGTTATTGCTATACAATCTTAGAATTCCAATTTGTTTTCGCTGTGTTATTTTTACTGGCTTAAGAACTGTAGATGTTCTTCATGTCAGATTCACAGGTATTTCTGTATAGGTGACCACTAATGCATTGTGACTAAAGGGTCCCCTGGAAGGGCCCATTGCTGTCCAAAGATCCCCTACTTGTCTCTCTTTACTAAGTAAGAAGGCATGTGAGAATAAGCTATAGAAATGTTTTGTCAACAACATAATACCATTTATTAAGGTGCTATGATTAGCACCTCTCAACTCATGAGATTGGATGGATGGACGCATGCATGCATGCATGATGGGTGGATAGACAGATGGATAGATAGATAACAGTTTTCTATTGTTATGTAACAAACCACTTCCAAACAGTGAATTCATGTTTTTCTTATGAATCTGCAATTTGAACAGGGCTCATAGGGGATGGCTCCTCTCTGCTCCATACAACATCAGCTTAGGTGGTTTGACTGAGGGGAGGAGGATCTGACTATAAGATGGCATACTCACATGTCTGGCTGAGTTGCCATTACTTGTTGGCTGGGATCTCAGCAAGGGTTAAAAGCCAGGGCTTTAGTTCTTCTCCATGTGGATCTCTCCCTATGGCCTGGGTTTTTCATTGTGTGGTGGCTGGGTTCGAAAGGTGAGCAACCCTCAAAAGTGCTTGCCAAGCAGAAGTTGTATTGCCCTTCATGACTTAGCCTACAGAGTCATAAAGTATCACTTCCACCACACTCTATTACAGGGTTTCTCAGCCTTAGCACTACAGACATTATGCATTATAGGATGTTTAGCAGCAGTAGCACCTGCCCCACCAGTATGACAACTAATTGTCAAATGTTCTCTAGGGGGTAAAATACCTCTGGATGAAAACTACTGCTCTATTATTTGATGCAGGCACAAAGTCCTGCCCAGGATCCAGGGGAAGAGACATAGCTTCCATCTATTTATAGGAGAATGGCAAGGTTCTGGAAGAGTATGTGATATAAGAAAGATTGTTGTGGCCATTTAAGAAAATATTGGCCAGGAGCGGTGGCTCATGCTTGTAGTCCCAGCACTTTGGGAGGCCAAGGAGGGTGGATCACGAGGTCAAGAGTTCGAGACAAGCCTGGCCAAGATGGTGAAATCCCAACTCTACTAAAAATACAAAAATTAGCCAGGCATGGTGGTGGGCACTTGAAATCCCAGCTACTCGGGAGGCTGAGGCAGGAGAATCGCTTGAACCTGGGAGGCGGAGATTGCGGTGAGCCAAGATCACGCCATGCCACTGCACTCTAGCCTAGGTGACAGAGCAAGACACAGTCTCAAAAAAAAAAAAAAAAAAAAAGGGGAAAGAAAAGAAAATACTATCTACCACAGTGACATTTTAACTAATGCTATGAACTGAATGTTGATGTCTCCCCAAATTCGTATGTTGAAACCCTAATTCCCAGTGTGACGGCATTTGGAGATGGGGACTTTAAAAGGTAATTAGGTCTTAAGGTGAAGCCCTTATGATGGGCTTGGTGATCTTATGTGAAGAGATTGGGAAGAGCACACTCTCTCTGCCATGTGAGGATAGAGCAAGAAGCTGTCCATCTGCACAGCAAAGGGCTTTCACCAGGAATTGGATCTGCCACCACTTGGATCTGATCTTAGACTTCCCAGCCTCTAGAACTCTGAGAAATAAATTTCTGCTGTTTATAAATTACCCAGTCTATGGTGTCTTGTATTCACAGCAGCCTGAACTAAATGAGACTACTAAGGAGAACAAATTTGTTTTCTTAGTATTTTCAATGCTGATTCTTAAAAATATTCCAGAGTTGTGGTACGGTCTCTGGCTCTAGAGAATTCTCATCTTATTTGCTCTTATTAAAGAGAATATTTTACTCTGAATCCACTATCTTGACAATTTTGTTGATATCTCGATTGTATGAAGCAGTACTAAGGTGAGAGCCCCTAACTAATTAAAAGACATTCTTTGTCTTTTAATCTAAGAAATTGGACCATATACCTTTATTCTGCTCCTGTTATTCCTAGTGTACAAATTTGTGATGCATATACATATCTTTTCATCAAATTTTCAATCTTCAGTGATTATTTTCCAATTTTTAGAGCTGCTTAATTCTCTCTCTGCTTCTATTGCCATATCTCCTCAAGAGATCCTTTCACTCTATCCCAAGAAATTTAACACCAGTGCCATTTTTGTGTGCTTTTTCTAGTTTATCAATGTTTCTGTGTGCAACATCAATAGAAAACAAGGGACAGGCATGGTGAGCTCACGTCTGTAATCTCAGCTCTTTCGGAGGCTAAGACAGGAGGATCACTTGGGCCCGGAAGCTTGAGACCAGCCTGGACAACATAGTAAGACCATATCTTTATTTTTTAAAAGTATGATAAAAAAACAACAAGTATTTAGGTGCTTATTTTCATATTGACAGGAAGTTTCAAGAATTCTCATTTAAGAAATAATTGAAAATAGCAGTTCTTTTTGTTAAAGTGGAGCTTAAAGCGTTGCCCAAAAATATTTTCAATTATCATTTAGAAGCCTTCCCTCCTACAGAGCTATCCCGTAAAAAATGCCCTATAGCATTTCTTCTATAATCCTTCCAGTACTACCATGACAACTCCCTGAAGAAGGTTTGGAGGGCTATAGAATGTGGGCTTTTCATTCTCAGTTTCATTTTATAAAAAGATTTTTGAAGGATATGACTTCATTTAAAAACTTGCAAAGACTTTCCATAAAAACCTATCTCATGCCTTTGGAAAATGAGGTGTCTAACATTTATTGAGTACATTCTATGTAGATTATCTCATTGACTGTTCACAACAACCCAGTGAGGTCCTTACCATCATTATCCCTATTTTACCAACAGGGAAACTTGCCTTAGCTTGCCCATCTTGCCAATAGTGGAGCTCTTATTGACTCCAGCCAGTGCAATTCTAGAGCCTGTGGGCCTCACCATTGCTCTGTACTCCCAACAGTCAAATGGAGCTAGGAGGTTGTGTATATTGTCAGGCCTGACAATATATTGTGTATATTGTCACACCACATGGTGTGCTTGGATTTTCAGGCTACTGGTGCTTGTGGTTGGCATGGGGAAGCCTGAGGGACCCAGACGAAACAAACCAGCCAGGAGCCAGATAGGTGAGTATTTTTTTTTTTCTGCTATCCTTTGATAGGCAGAATGCTACCCCTAAACTTAGTGGCTTAAAACAAAACAGTTATTTCTCATGATTCCATGGGCTGACAATGTGGGTGGTCTTGCCTGGGCTTACTCATGTGTCCACGGTAATCCACTGGCAGAGGGTTCAAGAGGACCTCACATTTCTGGCAGATGGAGTTGGCTGTCAGCAGGGTACCTTGGCCTTCTTCCATGTGGCTTCCTACCCACCAATAATTTAACCTGGCTTGCTTCTTCCAGCATGGTGGTCTTCAAGTTCCAGAAGTGTGAGAGGTAAAGCTACAAGGCCTCCTGTGGCCTCGGCTCTGGGACTTGCACAAAGTTTCTTCTGCCACATTCATTACCTTGTAGTGAGATATTGCTGTACCTCTCATCAAGAGGTGGAGACCTGTGATGGGAGGTACGGCAATATCTCATTACAAGGGAGCATAGACACAGGGAAGCCTCATGCTTTGGGGGCCACAATTACAATGGTCTATCACAGTATTTCTGTCAGTTACCTACCGCTGTATAACAAACCATCTCAAAACTTAGGGGCTTATGGTAACTGCTTTATTGCTCACAAATCTGTAGGTCAGGAACTTGGGTGCATCTTGATGGGAATAGCTTTCCTTTGCCCACAGGGTACTGGCTGGGACTGGAGGACTTGAGATGATCTCAGTCACATCCAGCACTTTAGCAGGGATGGCTCAAAAGTCTGTGAGGTGTCTGGGCCTCTCTCTTCTCATGGTATTGGCTGGGCTCATGCATATGTTGGGAGTCCTTGGTTTTCTTCATGTGGCCTCTCCTTCCACATGATGTCTCCTCCAGAACCTGTCTTCATGGCTTCTCTCTTGAGTAGGATACACTGGACTTCTTTCCATGGTAGCCAGACTCCAAAATAGCAAACACAGACACTCAAGCCTCTAAGGCCCAGGCACAGAACAGCACAGTGTCACTATCTCCCTGTCCCTTTAGTCGAAGCAAGCCATAAGGCCATCCCAGATCCAGTGGTGGACAAGTAGACCCCACCTCTTGATAGGAGGAGGAATGTGCATGTCTGGCGCTGAGAAGAGCTGTTGAAGGCTATCTTTGCAGACAATGTACCAGAGTGTTTGCCTGAATGTAAAAATACGAGAAGTTGGGGTCAAAGTGTTAGAATAGGCTGGTGGTTCTCCAAAGAGTTATATCTAATAGCCAAAATGACTCAATGTTGGAGAAGGCAGATAGACATGGCGAAAATACAAATATTTCTATCAAGTAACAAATGAAGTAGAAAGAGACAGAGGTTGAGAAAGTAGAGAGAATATGTTCTGCCTATGGCATCTTCATGCTAGGCGGCTGTGAGATGGTCAAATAGGAAAACCTGAACCTCTGTAGCCAGGGGGAATGTTTAGCTCTTGCACAGGAAGCACCAGATGGGGTCTATGTGTTTTCTCCAAAGGCATTTTGTCCTGATCAGACTAATATGGAATTTATCCTCCCACTAAATGGATGAGATCATAAAATACCCCTTCATCACCACAACTTGGGCAGAGCCCAGAAGCAGATGGCCAGACAATATGGAGGCTCTAATTAGGGAGAGAAAGCTGCAGGGCCACCAAAATAGAAGGAGACATCTTCCCTCAGTAGTAACTAACCAGTTGTAGGCATTTTTCGGAGTGTTGTGGAGGAAAATAAAGCCTTATTTTTGTGCGAGTATGTTATACAGGGTCCAGGTGAAATGCTACTGCTCCCAGGGTCTTTTTTGTTTCTTTGTTTTAACCATTCATGCCACATGGAAGTATGTTTGCTTTTTATTTTTAAAGACTTTGAACAATTTCTGATATTCATGACCCTGGCAAAACTGAAGGTGCTAAAAGTTTTCAGTTTTATGTATTCAATATTTTGTGATCCATATAGGCTCTAGTCCCAAGGGCTAGTGTTATTATGAAAACAGCAAGAACAATAATAATACACAACTGATATTTTAAAGAAATGTTTACCTTTTTCATAGTGCATTCACATTTACTTTTTTTTTTTTTTGAGACAGAGTCTCACTCTGTCATCCAGGCTGGAGTACGCTGGTGTGACCTTGGAGAACTCGGCTCACTGCAACCTCCCCCTCCCAGGTTCAAGTGATTCTCGTGCCTCAGCCACCTGAGTAGCAGGGATCACAGGTGCATGCCACCATGCCTGGCTAATTTTTGTATTTTTAGTAGAGATGGGGTTTTATCACCTTGGGGTTTCACCAAGTTGGTCAGGCTGGTCTTGAACTCCTGACCTCAGGTGATCCGCCTGCCTCGGCCTCCCAAAGTGCTGAGATTACAGGTGTGAGCCACCACGCCCAACCCACATTTACTATTGATCTTATTCTGTCTTGCTGGTGAACCTGGGTTTCTGAAGGCTCATGGAACTCTGGATAGGCCATGAAGAATCAGAAACTGTGAAACAAAATGGTGCCACTCTTGCATTAATTTCCTTTTGATTATTTGGGCATTTTATTATTTCCTTCTCTAATATAAAAGTTCACTCTTTTAGTGAAAAGCAAAAACATCATATCTGGAAGCCAAAATTTAATTAGAATCCATAAATGCTAATTTCATCTTCCTTTTATGAGAGTCATTACTTGTAGTTCCTCTGTGTGTCCCCGTTAACACACAAAATGAAAAGTAGTGGTGTTATCAGTTTCATTAGGCTTCACATTTAAAATTGTGTGTTCAAAGGTTATTAAGGTTAAGAGCCAAGGAGTAGTAGGTTCATCAGATCTGGTTTACTTATAGGTTTACTTATAAGGCAACCAGGGAGAAAAGATTGGATCCACCCCTTCCTCATAGTCCCCCTCCGGATAAGCCTGGGAGTTACTGTGGGGTGTGGCTGTAAAGATGCCCCTCGAACCCAGATTAAGAGATATTTAGCCAGGTGCAGTGGTGCATACTTGTAACCCCAGCACTTTGGGAGCCTGAGGCAGGAGGATCACTTGAGCCCAAGAGTTTGAGACTAGCTTGAGCAATATAGGGAGATCCAGTATCTACAACAAAATAAATAATTAGTCAGGCCTGGTGGTGCGGGCCTGTGGTCCCAGCTACTCAGAAGGCTGAGGTGGGAGGATCACTTGAGCCTGAGGGTGGAGGCTGCAGTGAGCCGTGATGGCAACACTGCACTCCACCCTGGTGACACAGTGAGATCCTGTCTCAAAAAATAAAATAAAAATAAAAGAAATATTCATGTCACATGAAATAGGTTCAGAGCAGATCCAGATTTTGCAAAGTCTGAGCTGTTGTCCCTTTGAGGATCTGGAAGAGGCCCTTGCAGTAAGGTGCCCTGAAGCTAAATTTGCACTAATTTTACAGAAAATGAATCCTACGTGGGCTGCAAGGGCTGCAAGGACTGGGCCCTGCAGAACAGAGAGAGGCGAATGAATGGGAGGGGGACTGCAGAGAGGAGTAAGAGGTAAGAAACAATCCCTGGAAGACTGCTGTTTTTAAATGGTTGACTTTATTTTTAATTTTCCCAAGTTTAGTCAGCACTCATAAGACCTTTAGAAAATAGCATGGCAACAACTATGTGGACACACTTCGTGTGTGGACACAAAACCCGAACAAAATGAAAAACAAAGTGAAAAATTGGAGTCTTTCTGACACCTGAATTTTTCTGCCTACAATTTGTTCTTTTTGGAAAAGAATCATAGTAAAACATTATAAATTGAAATTGGGCTACATTTTGGACATTTGTTATGGTCTCGAATTTAAAGTGAAAGAAATGACAAATTCCCAAGGACACAAAATAATTGATTCCAAAGCCTCACTCAGCCTGGTTGTCTTTCCTCACCCCGAGCCCAAGGGGGAATTCCAGGACTCTCCGCACAGCAGTGACCTCCTGGGGCCAGCGGGCTGGCCATTCGGGAAGCTGTGCACCTTAGGTGTTAAATGGGTGTTTATAGTGATAACTGGAGACAACAACATGACAGGCAGTAAAAGACACTTGTTATCTCCCACTTATTCTCTAGGCCTTAGCCCCAACGTCACTTCCTCTAAAGACATTCCCTGACCTTGCAGGATCGTCAGAGGCACATCCTTTTGCCCCGCTAGTGCCTTGTTTCTATTTTTCTTAGGCCACTCACCATCCTATGCTAATTATTCTTCCCCACTCCATGATTATCTCTAATGGTTTTTAAGTCATGAGAGATGAGGACTATGGTTTACTTATTTTTTATTTTTATTTTTTATTTTTTGAGACAAGGTCACCCTCTGTTATCCAGGCTGGAGTGCAGTATCACCCTCATGGCTCACTGCAGCTTCGATCTCCTGGGGTCAAGGGATCCTCCCACCTCAGCCTCCCAAACTGGAAGGATTATAGGCTTGAGCCACTGCACCTAGCCACTTTACTCATTTTTATTTTTATTTTTTTGAGACAGAGTCTTGCTGTCACCCAGACTGGCGTGCAGTGGTATGATCTCAGCTCACTGCAACCTCTGCTCCCCAGGTTCAAGGGATTCTTGTGCCTCAGCCACCAGAGTAGCTGGGATTACCAGCATGCACCACCACGCCCGGCTAATTTTTGTATTTGTTTCGGTAGAGATGGGTTTTGCGATGTTGGCCAGGCTGGTCTCAAACTCCTGGCCTCAAGTGATCTGGCTGCCTTGGCCTCCTAAAGGGTTGGGATTACAAGTGTGAGCCACTGCATCTGGCCTACTCATTTTTTTAAAGCCCCAGGTCCTCCTTTGGTAACTGGGGACTTTGGTAGATTAAAAAAAAAAAAAACCCCAAACTTTATGAAAGTTTTATAATTTACATAAAATAAAATGTACCAATTTTAAGGTATAGTTCCAGGGGTTTTGTCAAATGTATATACATATGAAACCAACCACCCTAGTTAACTTTTTCTTTCAGCACTTTAAATATTTCACTTCCTTCTCTTCTCACTTCTTGGGTGGCTCGTGACAAGAAGTCCATTGTAATTTTTTTTTTTTTTTTGAGTCAAGTTCTTGCTCTGTCACCCAGGCTGGAGTGCAGGGGTGTGATGCTGGGTCACTGCAGCCTCGGTCTTTTGGGCTCAAGAGATTCTCCCACCACAGCCTCTGGAGTAGCTGGGACTACAGAGGTACGCCACCATGGCTGGGTAATTTTTTGATTTTCGGTAGAGATGGGGTTTCACTGTGTTGCCCAGGCTGGTCTTGAACTCCTGGACTCAAGTGGTCTGCTCACCTCGGCCTCTCAAAGTGCTCAGATTACAAGCATGAGCCACAACGCCTGGCCCTGTAATTTTTATCATTATTCTTTTATAGGTAAGATGTTATTTTTCTTGGCTTATTTCCTGATTTTCTCCTGATCTTTGGTTTTTCCACTTTGAATATGATATGCCTACGTGTAGATTTTTTGGTATTTATCCTGCTTGGTGTTTGCTGAGATTCCTGGATCTGTGGTTTGGTGTCTGCCATTAATTTTGGAAAATTATCAGCCATTATTACTTCAAATATTTCTTCTGCTTTGTTCTCTTTTCTCCTGGTATTCCAAGTACTCATATGTTATATCTTTCCAAATTGGATTTCACTTCATGGATTTCAGTTTTGTTTCTATCTCTCTGCTTTCCGTTTGAAAAGTTTCTGTGGACACAGTTTTGAGCTCACAGAGTCTTTCTTCAGCTGTGTCCGGTCTGCCAATGAGCCTATCACAAGTATTCTACATTTCTCTTGCAGTGTTTTTGATTCCTAGCATTTCTTAATCTTTTTTAGACTTTCCATCTCTCTGCTTACCTTACCCATTTGTTTTTACATATTGTCTACTTTTTCCAGCAGAGCTCTTAATGTATTAATTATAGTTATTTAAAATTTTCTGTCTGGTAATTACAAAATCTGTGTCATATCTGATGCTGGTTCTCCTCATGCTTTGTCTCTTCAGACTGTGATTTTCTTGCTTTTTAGCATGCCTTAAATTTTTCTTTCCCTGAAATTAGGGCATGAGGTATTCGTTAATAGGAAATGAGGTAAAAGACCTTTAGTGTGAGGTTTAATGTTAATTTGGCTAGGAGTTGAGCTGTGTTTAATGTTTGCTACAGTTGCAGAAGCCAGAGGCTTCAAATTACTCTAGTGTTCTTTTTGTGGTCTTCTTTATTGTCCTTGAACTTCCTTAAGAAGTCCTCCTTATCTAGAGTCTGAGCCTTGCAGCTCTTTCAGCAGCAATCCATTGTTATTATACTGGAGGCTTGCTGAGGTGGTGGTAAAGTGTGAGGGAGGGGAAACATTCTATAATCACATAATTAATCTTAGCCTTTTACTGGTCTTATGTTCCCTAGGTTGTGCCCTTTGCAAATATTTTTCAGCTTTTTTTCTTCAATCTTAGGTGATACATTAAGGCTAGAGGGAGTAGAGTTGGATAAATGCCTTTTCTGTAGATGGGGTAAGGCTCCGGAAGGCTTTTTGCTAGAGATTTGACCTTCATTTTGGGGAATGCTCTGGACCACTCAGTGTATTTCAAAATGGTTACAATCCCCCTCCCACTGCCAGAGATATGGGGGGATCTTTCTTGGCTCTCCAATGTGAGAACCTGTTGGAGTTCTGGAAGATAAAGCCCATGAAAGTGTGTGGGTTCACCCACGACTACGGCCCACAGGAGTTTCTCACTCTCATTCTAGTCCATTCAGCTTCCATGTAAGTGTTCCTACCACTTTATGACTCCAGCGGTTTCTGCTCCAGGTCAGTAGATATTGGCTGTGATTGTCTGCATTCAGCTGTCTTTCCAGATTTGGGGGTGGCAGTTTGCTCTGTGACCTCAATTTTCTGAGGGATCCAAGAAAAGTCATTAATTTTCAGTTTGTTCCACTTTTTTCTTGTTTTGAGAATGGGAATGATGACTTACAAGCTCTTTACACATTGGACCTGAAACTGAAAGTTCTACTTGACTTTTTGTGACTATTATTATCCTGAATTCACAGATGAGAAAACTGGGGCTGTGTGATATTGCGTGACCTATCCAAAATCACTGAGCTTCCAAATGGCAGAACTGACTTCAAACCTAGATTCTCCTACTTAAATTCAGAGTTCTTTCTCTCATATCTTAGTTAACACAAAAAATGCAGTATCTGTATTCCCAGGAGTTTACAGCAGAGCTGGGGAATAAATTTGACTGATTTGGGAAATAAGTCTATGAGACTTCAGAGAAGGATGCAATTGTTTCCGGCTGGAGGGAAACTAAGAAGATCCCAATTAGTAAAAATTCAAAATAACTGAAACTATTTATTTAGCTTTTAGTTACCTTGTTGTTTATTTTCTTATTAAGTTCCTTAATGTACCAACTGAGGTCTCTAAGGCTATTTTAAACTTTATGGTACTACTTATTAGCAGATCTTGAAATAAATTTAGTGGGTATCTAAAATTTTGTAGGCCAGGCGCAGTGGCTCACGCCTGTAATCCCAGCACTTTGGGAGGCCGAGGCGGGCGGATCACAAGGTCAGGAGATCGAGACCATCTTGGCTAACATGGTGAAACCCCGTCTCTACTAAAAATACAAAAAATTAGCCCGGCGCGGTGGCGGGTGCCTGTAGTCCCAGCTACTCGGGAGGCTGAGGCAGGAGAATGGCGTGAACCCAGGAGGCGGAGCTTGCAGTGAGCCGAGATAGCGCCACTGCAGTATGGCCTGGACTAAAGAGCAAGACTCTGTCTCAAAAAAAAAAAAAAAAAAAAATTTTGTAAAACATGAAATAAAATAGTATAGAAAAATCAGTCTTGGCCGGGCATGGTGGCTCAAGCCTGTAATCCCAGCACTTTGGGAGGCCGAGGTGGGCGGATCACCTGAGGTCAGGAGTTGGAGACCAGCCTGGCCAACATGGCAAAACCCCATCTCTACTGAAAGTACAAAAATTAGCTGGACATGGTGGTGTGTGCCTGTAATTCCAGCTACTCACGAGGCTAAGGCAGGAGAATTGCTTGAACCCAGGAGGCGGAGGTTGCAGTGAGCCGAGATCATGCCATTGCACCCCAGCCTGGGCCACAGAGTGAGACTCCGTCTCGGAAAAAAAAAAAAAAAATCAGTCTTACTTAGTAAAGTTATATATTGTGTCATCAAATTTTTATGAATCTTGATATAAATATGTATCTAGTTTTGTATATATACATATGTGCTGGGTTACAATGTAAAATGTACTACATATTGTTTGGTTCTAGGACTTAGAGGTTTGTCTATTTGACCATAATGTGAATCTGTTAAACCTTTATGTGAAGATGGCAGGATTTCCATTATGCAGCTGGACCTGTTAGAGTCAGTTGTGCCAGAAGGCATAGCAGAATGGGTATGTCAAGTCCAAGTTCGGTAACTTGGAGAACTGCCTGAAGGGAATGGTCTTTGATAGTTCATTTTTTTCTACTTTGAATATAACTTGGGCTAAAGAGTCTTCATTTGAAGCATTTACTTAACTAATTATTTTCAAATACATATTTGAAAAACTAAAGGAAAAGAAAAATAATATCCTTATTTTTGGAAGGGTAAGGATCTTTGGAAAAAGAGATGAAATTTTTAGTTTTTAATTTTTAAAAAAATTGAGTCAGATTCTTGCTATCTTGCCCAGGCTGACCTTGAACTCTTGGCCTCAAGTAACCCTCCTGGCTTTGCCTTCCAAAGTGCTAGGATTACAGGTGTGAGCCACTGTGCCCAGTCAAGATGGAAATTTTAAATGAAAAAATTCAGCGTGCTGTTGGGGGCCCACTATGTTTCTTCACTTGTGGTGATGCAGCTTTCTTAGTAATAGCTAATGTTATCATACCAAGAAAATGGGCTTACTGCCTGAGGTGCCTAGAAGCCACTACTATGGCACTAGGTTTTGAGACAAGAAAGGCTTTATTTTGAGGCCATCTAGCAAGGAGGCAGGAGGTGCAGCTTGATTTCATCTCCGAAGTTTGGGGTTTGGGGTTTGGGACAAGCTTTAAGGGGTCAGAGGTCAAGGGAAATGATTTAGGAATGTGGGCTTTGCAGAGTCTGATTGGAGGGCTTTAAATTTGACCGTTTACAGTAAGATATGTTGAGGTAGATTTCAGTCCCAGATCTTCTGGGACAATGGACCCCCTCACTTCTGAAAGGTTCTGATGTTCAGGTTCTGGTCATGTCCTTGTCTTCTTGGTTCCTTGGAGAGGCATTGTTGGTCCTGGGTATTGTTAGAAGTCAAAGCTTTTTCTATTGCACATGCCTGAGTCACATGACTTGCAGTTTTGGTTCTGTTCTACCTACAAGGTAACTCAACATTGTGTTATGCACAGAGTAGGCCCAGTTTGGGCTGGTCCTGCAGTTACACTAACACCTTTATTAACACAGGGCCATATACTTCCATGTATTAAATTATTTAATACTCACATAGCCCTATGAGGTAAGGTCTATTATTACCTTCATTTTGCAGATAAGGAAACTAATTTTCAGAAAGGTTATGCAACTTGTCCAAAGTCACACAGCTGCAATAAACTGAGGCAGGACATGGACCAGGCACTGTGGATCTAGTGTATGTCCTCTGAAATCAATCCACTCCAGAGATGAGCTCTGAAGAACTGGCCCAGATAAAAGAAAGACTTTTCTAGAGCACATGGAATTGACGCTAACAAGCAAAATTTTCGTTGAGTCATTGCTATTGTTCTTAGAAATCACAGATGTTTGCTTGGGACTTTAGAGCTGATCCAAGCCAACCCTCTCATTTTTATAGACAAAGTAACCAAGATTCCAAAAACCAAATACCACAGAATCAAAACATGGTAAAAACAAGTTTTCTTTTGAAAATGACTCTAGAGTCTTAGAGAAAGAGAGTTTTAATTCCTCTTAAAGGTTCATAGTTAGGCAAAAGAATAATATTTTACATTTAGAACTGTTAAGTATTGAATGGACAAAGGAAAAAATCATGGAATCTTTCCAATTTCCCTGACAATTGAAAAGGTGTTTGAGTAAAACAGAGGTTATTAACCTTGGAATAGGTGGTTGTCTGTTGTTTTCCCTGCCCAGTTTCCATTCTGTCTTCTCTTAGGAATGATGACATCCCGATTTTTCTCAGGGAAACACCACCCTTCCATTCTGTCTGTCCCTGTGTGTTCTTGGGTGGGGATAATCTTCCCAGCCCTCAGTGACACCAGTTTGGCCAATCAGAGCTTTGCATTTCTCTGAGCACAGTGATTTGTTCAGGTTTGGGCATGACATCGAGACAATGAGACTCAAATCTGGGAATATTAAGGAGATATGCTTTTTTATTCATGTTTCCCAGAGAACACTCCTGTTGGGGAAAGCCTGCCTGAGAATGGAGCCAACACAGAGAAAGCAGAGGACATTCAAGAGCATTATTTGAGCCGCTGGATCCAACCCTGTCTAAAGCCAGAAATCCCTGTATTTTTGGATACTGGAGCCCATATAGTGTTAGTCATAGGTAGCACTTACTAAGTGCTTTGTGAGTGCCAGGCCCTGTTATAAGCTCTATATGTGGGTTATCTTGTTTGGCTCTCACAACAACCCTATTAAACAGTCACTGTTTTTATTTCACTTTTATAGATAGGAAAACTGAGATTTGTAAGGGTTAAGTTAGTTGCCCAAGGTACAAAGGTAATAAATGGTAGACAGGTATGAACTCAGGCCATCTAACTCTTGGACCTGTATTTTTAAACAGTTACATTTTTACTAGATTCTAAAGGACAGTTCTGACCCCAAAAAAGATTAAAAACCATTACCACCTGCTTTTAATGGAGACTAGCTAATGAAATTGCCTTTGCAAAGATTATGACAATGAGAGAAATCCAGCATGGCTGACTCCATCCTGCTTCTGGCCTCGCAGACCAGCTGTCTTTGCTCTTTCCTGGGTTTAAGCCAAGCTAACCATGGGAGGAATTTAGCTTATAGTTCAACTGTAAAGCAACGGTGATAACAGTCCTGCCCAACATTTTGTAAACATAATGAAAGGCTCCAAGTTTAGCATATGAGAGGGGTCTGAATTCTGCTAAGATGTAGGCATAAACAATAGCCAGCTGTTGGTCAGGAGGTTGCAAGATTTGTAACTTCCCCAATTACCCCTGTAGATAACATCACTATTGTAGATCCTAAGGCTGGTCTTTTGAGATGTTTTTCAGAATGACTCCACTCAGATTCATGACTCATGACTCTGCTGCTCCTGTAGCCCCCACCCAAAAGGCAGGCTTAGTGCACAAGGACCGTTTTCCACACTCCTATGATTGCATCCCTAACCAATCAGCAGCAGCCATTCCCCGGTCCCCTCCCCACCGAACCATCCTTGAGAAACCCTAATCTAAGCCTTCTGGGAGATTGATTTGAGGAATAACCCTGGCTTCTGTGTGACCAGTCTCACATTAATTTAACTCTTTCTTTACTGCAGTACCATGGTCTCGAATAAACTGGTTTTGTCTGTGCAGCAGCCAGGAAGACTCTGTTGGGTGATTATAAAGATTGCTCTAGATCTTTTCTGTCTCTATGACTCCATGTTGCATTCCTTTTTATCTTTTGCAAAAATGGCAGCTGTTTTCATTTTAACTTTTTGCATCTTGGTTCATCTGGATAAAGAATGTGCTTTAATCTTGTTAAAGCTATTTTTTTTTCCCCAGCAAATTTAAATTGGCCTGCTTTTTCTGTTGATGGTTAAACTATTAATAATACTTTGAGTCTGGAATTGCTTGGCCCGTCTACAAAACTGCAGCCTAAAAGGCAATGTAGACAATTTCTCAGAGCCAAGGGAATTATCCCACTACTGCTAAGTCCCTTATTTCCTACTTTGCTGCTTTCATCTATAATGGTGGAGTGGCCATTGTGATGGCAGCTCATTTTTTAAAATGGTTACATTTATGAAACTAAGAACGAAGTGGACTTGGTGCTTACAAAGAGGAAATGGCTCTTTGGAGAATAATGGTTGATTACTTGTTCAGTGAGAGCAAGTTTTTCATTTCCACAAAGAAGAATTTTTAGGCTGTTTGGGAAGTTTCTTTCAGTGCCTCAATATCTGTGAACTGCCCAGGGCAAATTCAAGCAAGTTTAAAAGGAAGTATAAGGCTCCCTCAAAATGTTCACGGGATGTGCCTTTGGAAGCAATTCTCAGCAGGCAGGTCAGTGGGAGGGAGGAAGCAGCCACTGGGATTGTGCACTGTCAGGGTCCACACCAGCATGGCACAGAGTCTGTCACCCTACCTTTCCCTGCCACTCATCTTAGTTTGGAGATATTTCCCCGAGGCTTATTCTCTGACCCTAAAACAGTGGTAAGTAGCAGGGTAGGATGTGATCAGGATGAAAGAAAAGGGAAGATGAGCCCAGATGCTCTACCCTCACCTCCATTCTTTGCATTTCTTGAGTTTAGATGACCTCTTGAAGGAAGTCAGAATATTTTACCCCAAAATATATTTCTTTGGCATATTTTGAGATGGCTGCCACAGGGCCAACAGACTAAAGTGACCCTGCAAAGCTGTTTTTTTTGTGGAGGAAATTTGCGTCTGTAGAGAAACTCTGTTAATGTAGCCAGGCCTTCCCTTGTCTGGATCTAGGAAAGATGAATTGAGAGTTTGACACCTTAAAGATGTGAAAGAAACATTTATCATGTATTCTCTCTGAAGGCTGCTACCTGTGAGCTTTCATCTACAAAACAAGGCCACCTGTGCTAGCTGAGCCTCTTCCTTTCTCCCTCCTATAACCTATCTTGCCACTAAAGCCTACTTTTGGCCACATTTTGAACGCCCATTGTTTCTGTAACCTCGAGACGGTACATAAGCTTCTTTACCCCACTGCGGAGTTGGGTCTTCATTCTGAAAACTCCTGTGTAAACATGTTAAATAAATTTCTATGCCTTTTCTCCTATTAATCAATTTGTCATGGGTAGTCACTGATTTTCAGTGAAGCTTCAGGGATCCAAGGGCCTTGGCACCCACACGCTTGCACTCCAGCTGTGGTCGTTCCCACTTTACTGCTATGATCAATTTTTTTTCTTGTCTTAAACATTTTTTTTTTTTTTGAGACAGAGTCTCACTCTGTTACCCAGGCTGGAATGCAGTAGCACCCTAACGGCTCACTGTAGGTTCAAACTCCCAGGCTCAGGTGATCTTCCTGTCTCAGCCTCCCAAGTAGCTGGGACCACAGGTGCATGCCACCACACCAGAATAATTTTCTGCTTTTTTGTAGAGATGGGTCTCACTATGTCACCCAGGCTCATCTCAAACTCCTAGGCTCAAGGATCCTCCCACCTTGGCCTCCCTGCCAGGCAAGGTGTGAGAGCCCCCAAAACAGAAAGTGATTGGCTCATGGGTAATAAGAAGAATATACTGGCAACAGTATAGGAAAGGAAAGGAAAGGAAAAGGAAAGTGTCAAGAGATAGAACACTGCAGAAGAGT
Organism: Homo sapiens; assembly: GCF_000001405.40. Lineage (NCBI taxonomy): Eukaryota > Metazoa > Chordata > Mammalia > Primates > Hominidae > Homo > Homo sapiens. The sequence continues at coordinate 72,963,166 of NC_000008.11, read as the reverse complement.
GTAGCAGGGTGCTTCAGTAAAAGAGGACTGAGCTCACTGCCATGGTGGATTTTTCCTTAGGGGTATTTATGGACCTTAAAGCGGGAATATAAGGGTAATTTGGATCATATTAGTCACATAGGTCATGATAAATGATTACATTTGTAGACATTTTGGTGACTTGACCAAAGATTGAATAATGAGTTTCAACATGCATGCATTCTGAAGATGTATAGAAATTCTAGTTACTTACAAATTTTTGGGAAAGAAGCCTGGCACCAGATACTTTAGACAATAGGAAAGTCTAATTACTTCTGAATTCTTCAGATAAGTTTTGGCTCTGGATGGTCTGCTTGATGGTCTGCTTGATTGCTACCAGGTAATCTTTGTTCTCCTCACTCCCAAAGTGCTGGGATGACAGGTGTGAACCACTGTGCTTAGCCTATTTTTTTTTTTTTTTGAGACAGTCTCACTCTGTCGCCGAGGCTGGAGTGCAGTGGTGCAATCTCACTCACTGCAAACTCTGCCTCCTGGTTTCAAGTGATTCTCCTGCCTCAGCCTCCAGAGTAGCTGGGATTACAGGCACACCACGACCACACCCGGCTAATTTTTGTATTTTTAGTAGAGACGGGGTTTTGCCATGTTGGCCAGGCTGGTCTTGAACTCCTGACCTCAGGTGATCAACCCACCTCGGCCTCCCAAAGTGCTGGGATTACAAGTGTGAGCCACCATGCCCACCCTGTTTTTTTTTTTTTTTTGAAAACAAATTACAAGCATGTGAAAAAAAATCCAAATAGTACAAAAAATTTACAGCAAAAATTATTAAATCTCCTCCCCCACCCAGCCCTGAATGTTTAGGCTGGCCTCCTTCCCAAAGGCAGCCATGATTACCATTTTTTTTTTTTTCATGTAAGAAACTGTCTTGGAGGTACTGATCTACCTTATTATTATTATTATTATTATTATTATTATTAACAGCTTCATGGAAATCCATTTTTGTTCTTAGTGTAACCACTCTCGATTAATTGACATTTAAGTTTCTTTAGTGTTGTTCTTTTAATAGATTGCAGTGAATATTCTTGTATACATATCTTATTGTGTGGAAATATTTTTTTAAAGATAAACCCCTAAAGATAAATTGCTAGGGCAAATAAAATTTTAAACTGTTAATAGACATCGTTAAATTTTTCTCCAAAGAAATTGTACCAATTTGCATTCCCATAGTGTATGAGAATGCCAGTTTCCTACACAAGGTCCAAACACTTTATGTTGTTATTTAAAACAAATCCTTGCTGTTCTAATGGGAGAAAAATATCTCATTGTTGCTCTAATTTGCATCTGATTTGAGTGAGGTTGAGCACTTTCTAGGCCCTTGGGAATTCTTTATTCTGTGTGTGTGAACTGCTTCTTTAGGACAAACTACATGCTGTCTACAAGAAATAAAGTTTGGAGTCACAGGCACAAATAGGTTGAAAGTAAAGGATGGAAAAAGACATATCATGCAAATAACAGCCATAAGAAAACTGCAGTGGCTATATCAATATCAGAAAAAAATTTATACTTTAAATGGGTGAATTGTATGTCTACACATTATACCTCAATAAAGTTTTTTTGTTGTTTTTGTTTTTGTTTTTTTTTTTAAGATGGAGCCTTGCTCTGTCACTCAGGCTGGAGTGTAGTGGCACAATCTCAGCTTACTGCAACCTCTGCCTCCCAGGTTCAAGTGATCCTCCTGCCTCAGCCTCCCGAGTAGCTGGGACTATGGGACTATGGTCGCGTGCCAACACACCTGGCTAACTTTTGTGTTTTTAGTAGAGACGAGGTTTTGCCATGTTGGCTAGGCTGTTCTCGAACTCCTGACCTCAAGTGATCCACCTGCCTCAGCCTTGCAAAGTGCTGGGATTACAGGAGTGAGCCACTGTGCCTAGCCAATATAACTATTTTTTTTAAAAAAGACCTTTGGACTCCAAATTTTCTGCATCATAAAGTGGGCTAAGGAAGTTGTCCAAACTACCAAAAAGATCATGTTCTCCAATACTCTCTTCAGATATGACTGAGGAAATGGAAAACCAAGACCTCAAAGCGGGGAGCCAAGAGTCATGGAGCACAGTAGATTGGAGAGCTGTAGAGAGCTATGTCTACGGAGCAGAACCAGGCCCTAATCAAATAATATATCCTTTTCCTAGAGTAGAGAAAATGTGCAAACATTGCCCAAAAGATTTTTGAAATTTTCACAGACTGGCAATTGCCATATGCCTATATGCCTACCATACTTCTCCATTTTGTTTTTTCTTTTTTTATTTCCTTTTTTTTTTAGATGGGGTCTCACTCTATTGCCCAGGCTGGGGTGTAGTGGCATGATCTCTGCTCACTGCAACCTCTGCCTCTGGGGCTCAAGCAATCCTCCCACCTCAGCCTCCTAAATAGCTGGGACTATAGGTGCACGCCACCTTGCCTGGCTAATTTTTGTATTTTTTTAAGAGATGGGGTTTCATCATGTAGCCCAGGCTGGTCTTGAACTCCTGGGCTTGAGCAATCCACCCACCTCAGCTTCCCAAAGTGTTGGGATTATAGGCATGAGCCACCACACCCGGTCTTCTTCACCTTTTTGAATGGCAGTGTTTACTGCAGTTATTCCATCCCTGTTCTGCCACTATATGATGGATGTGCTGGGGCAGATAACTTGCTTGGCAGTTTGTAGGCCTTCAGATCAAGTAGAGCTGCAGTTGGACCTGATGTACATTCATGAGATTATGGACCTGATGCAATGATTAGATGAGACTTTTGGGGTGTCTTGGTGAGGGGTGAGGGTATTTTCCTTCCTGGATACAAATGGATCATTTGTGGCAAAGAGGGAGAACTCTGGTGGATGATGATTTTGGTTCATGATTCTTCCTTCCCTCTCTGCTTTTGCCATGATCCACCTGGGCAAAGTATACCTTCCTTCTCAACTGACTTTTGGCTTGGTCACATGACTTGCCTTCACCCATGGTAAGTGAGCAAATATAATGTCCAATCTGAGGTTTTAAATGGACTTGCATGGTTTGGCTAGCCTCTTTCACTTCTGCCATCCACCATGGGAATGACAAGCCCTCGGTAGCCGTGCATCCAAGAATGAGATGCAGAGTCAGTCTAAATCTAGACCCACTCCCGAGTCACAGCCATCCCATTTCACCTGTGAACCTGTGAGTGAAAAAAGATATATTTGTAATTTTAGCCACTAAGATTTTGGGGAGTGTTTCACAGCATTACTACAGACCTGGTGGTGGCCCTGAGGCTAGCAATAGATCCCATTCACTCAGGCCCTGCTTGACTTCATGGAGCATCCAGATCCCATCTTTGACACCGAGAGAAGTTACCGAACAAAAGGCTGCTCTACTCCCTGCTCAGGTGTATGTGTGGGAACCAAAGGCAGGGTGGATTGGGGCCAGCTGCTTCAGGACTGGCCAGTGGAGGCCACGCCCAGCAAGATCAAATGACTTAGGTATTAAAATGTAAACATTTGAATAATGCTAAAAAATGAGAAAAATACAGTTACCATTAATTTTTTTGAAACCAAGAATAAGTACTTGATAAGCAACTAAATGAGTAAATAGTACTTATTTGACAGAAAATGTGGGGAGGAGGAGAAGAGAGAGCGCAAGAAGAGAGAGAAAGAGATATGATAATGCCACATGGCTGGAAGTTAAGGGAATTTCACATTTTAATACCTTTAAACCACTTTAAAATTTTTTCATTTTTAATTATAGTTTTAAGAAAAATGATTTTGAACAACCCCAAATATAGTGCATCTAAAAACTAATGTATATTTGAGTAGACATCACTTATAGTGGAACAGTAGACTGTAGTACATGGTTAATTTTTCTTTTACTCTTAAGATACAATAAAACATGACTAATTTTGCTGTCAAAAATGTAAAGAATAACAATAAATGAAGTTTTTATATTAAAAAAAGATCAAATGACTGAACTTTCTGAGGCATACAAAGCACAACCTAAGCGGGAAGCTCTGGAGGAAGTGGCAGAAGCGGTACTGCCGAAAACTAGTTGTGAAACGGTAGGGGCTAAAACACTTTTATAAACTGGAAATAATAATAAAAATATTTATCCACCACTATAGAGTAAAAATTGAATTAATTTCTATAATTCTCCATAGGAAATGTCACAAAACCGTAATATGAAGAAGTGTTCAAAGTTATTTTAGCCAAAAATATAGAAAGAAAACATTCTAGAGTTGTATCAGGAAGTTAACTACTACTACTAATAATAAAGTATGATACTAATTTTGTCATGTAATGTTTTGGTATTTGTCAGCTTTTTTTTTTTGAGACAAGGTCTCACTCTGATTGCCCAGGCTGGAGTGCAGAGACATGATCTTGGCTTACTGCAGCCTTGACCTCCTAGGCTCAGGTGATTCTCCCACCTCAGCCTCCCAAGTGGCTGGGACTAAAGGTGCACACCACCATGCCTGGCTAATTATTTGTATTTTTAGTAGAGATGGGATTTCGCCGTGTTGCCCAGGCTAGTCTCAAACTCCTGAGCTCAAGCTATCTGCCTGATTTGCCATCCCAAAGTGCTGGGATTCAGGCATGAGCCACTGCACCCAGCCTTGTCAGCTTTTAAAATTTGTAGTTTCGTATGATTTCTTTTTGCATTCTAAAAGTTATTTTCTTTTATATCTGATTTTGTTTCTCTTATTCTTTTTCTTAAAGGGAGCCACAATGTTATGGGAATCCTGAAACTGAGGCAGCTCTATTTAGTGAGGAGGGGAGAGCTTAGAGCTGCCAAAGCACCATGAGGTGACTGCAGATAACTCTGACCCCAAAGGTGGTAGAGCAGTGGGATCGACTGCATTTGTGTCATTGGTGTCATAGTTTGGGTGGCCAAACAGGCCACACTTGAAATTATTACTGGCACTGGAGTTTTCAGCTCCTGAACCAGTAAGTTCCTTTTATTATTTAAGCAAATGTGAGCTTTTTTTTTTTTTGTCACTTGTAATACAAAGTGTGCTAATGGAAATAATGGAGCATAATGCATATAAAATGCAATTCTCTAAAATACCACTCATTCTTTTCATTTCTCTCGGGCCTTATTCTGTCCTAGTTCAGACCCTCATTATTTCTTATCTAAATTATGAAAATAGTGTTCTTGCTTCCAAAACTCAGTTTCTAAGCTTCAATTTCTATACTATAAAATGGGTAGCAGGAGTGCCTTCCTTCTCATGTGGCCCTTGTGACTATTATATAAGATTAGGCACGTCAAGCTCCTAGCATATTTTTTATTGCATGACAAGTAAGTGCTTGGTAACATTTTCCCCCTGTCAAATTTGTCCCGTTTGCTTGAATGTCCTATTCGCTTCCTATCAGATTATGACACTCTCTTCTTCAAGAAATCTCATTATTTATTGTGTAAAGGTGGAATTCCTTAGTATAACTTTCAAGATCCTATAACCTATAACCTCAAGCCACTCTATACCTGTAATGGTTAATTTTAGGTGTCAACTTGACTGAATCAAGGAAAATCTAGAGAACTGGGAAGGCATTACTTCTGGGTGTGCCTGTGAGGGTGTTTCCAGAGGAGACTGGCAAGTGAGCTGGTGGACTGAGTGGGGAAGATCCTCTGTCAATGTGAGCTGGCACCATCCAATCAAATGGGGGCCTGAAAGAACAGGCAGAGGAGAGGTGATTTCCTCTCTCTCTTCTGGAGCTGGGATATTTCCTCTCTCTTCTTCTGTCCTTGGACATCAGAACTCTAGGTTCTTCAGGCTTTGGACCCCAAGTCTCACACCAGCACCCCCACCAATCCCTCCAGGGTCTCAGGCTTTTGGCCTTGGACTGAGACTTATACCATCGGCATCCCTGGTGCTGGGGCTTTTGGATTTGGACTGAGCCAGGCTATGAGTATCCCAAGGGCTCCAGTTTGCAGACAGCCTGTTGTGAGACTTCTCAGCTCCCTAAAAGCATGAGCCAATTCAATAAATCCCCTCTCATATGTCTACTCTGTATCTTTATCTACCCTGTTGGTCCTACCTCTGGAGAACCCTGACTAATACAGCATCTTTATGCATTCTGCAAAGTATTTGCTGCTTCTGGAACACACTGGGCACTGTTTTATTTTTAATCATGGTGCCCTTCCTTCCTTTCCTTTTTTAGCTCCCCAAAGCTCTTCAACACATATGTTGCTTCCTTGGTGAAGCCCTCTGAGGTCTCCATATCCCATTTCTACATCCTCCGCTGTGCTACTGTACTCTGCTTGCACTTTGGTCCTGGCATTTATTTTTTTTTGCCTCTATTTGTAGATGGTAATTTACAGGATATAGCTTCCTTGAGGGCAGAGGTTGCTTCTATTTCTCCTTTGTTTTTCCCACAAGACCTTGCATAGTGTAAGGAGCTCAGCCTGGTGTGCTTTAAGAAATCATTCCTCTCATGTACCTCCTAACAAGGGATGTCCCTGTTCCCTCTCAGTGTGTGTGTGTGTGTGTGTGTGTGTGTGTGTGTGTGTCTATGTGTGTGTGTGTAAAGCTTTTCTATTTAGCATAATGCTTTTGGGATGCATCCTTGCTATTCATTTTCTTTTTCTTGATTACTTTTTTTAAAAAACTGATAAAGTTTTGTATATTTATTGCATGCAACAGGATGCATTTACCTTGACTTCATTGGATCTATTCCTGCTTTCATCTTTTTGGGATATCAGTATCTCCTTTTCATTTTTCTACCCTCATTTGCCCACTTTTTCATTTAATAAATATTTATTGGGCACTATTCAGGTGCTAGAATTATGGAGATGAACAGGCAGACTAGGCTCTGCTGCATAAAATGCTTATTCTGACAGGATGAGGTGGTGGGAGTAGAAAACAAACTACAAATAAATAAAGCAAATAAATAAGCAAATAAATAAACATAAGAAAATATCTGAGTAGGAGGCCGAGTATGGTGGCTCATGCCTGTAATCCCAACACTTTGGTGGGCTGAAGTGGGAGGATCACTTGAGCCCAGGAGTTCGAGACTAGCCTGGGCCACACACAGAGACCCTGTCAATACAAAATATCAAATATAATAAATTAGCCAGGCACAGTGGTGTGTGCCTGTGGACCCAGCTACTTGGGAGGCTGAGGCAGGCAGATTGCTTGAGGCTGGGAAGTTGAGGCTGCAATGAGCTGTAATCATACCACTGCACTCCAGCCTGGGCAATAGAGGGAGACCCTGTCTCAAAGAAAAAAAAAACAAAACTCAAACAAAACAAAACAAAAAACAAGCAATGAAAAAGATTTCACAGTATGATAAGCTATGAGGGAAAATAAAGCAGAGGATGTGATAGAGCACAACATGGCTAGGATGGCCAGGAGTTGAGTGTTGACTCTGGCTTGACTCTTGCCCTCAACAGTGACTCAACTCCTCTGGTGAGGTGCACTGGAGTTGCCTTGGTGATGCCGTTTCTGGCTGCCCCAGGTCCTCCATCCCTCTCTGCACCACACCCAGTGGTGTGATCACCATCCATGGGGCCACAGAAAGGCTTGCACCCTTGAAGGAGAAGCATCCAATTGATGTTGTTGGCAGACCTCTGGTATCTGGATAAAGTCTCTAAAGGGAGGCAGTGCTTAGGACTCATGATATGCTAGACTTTCTCTTCCCTTGTGGCTTTTCCAAAATGTTGTGCAAAAGGAAAAAAAGGAAAATAAAGGAACAAAAAGACAGATGCCTTCGTGTCTTTTCTTTGTCTGTGTTTCCTGATTTGATAATAATATTGGTAATTTGTAAATTGCTTTTCCAGTTTCTCCTTTTTCTTGTGTACTTTTTTTCCCTCCATTGCACTGGCATGTGCTTTGTTCTTTCCCTAAGATAGTCACTGGAAATTGGAATTCTAGTTTGTTTGAGAAGGTCTATGTTGGCTGGGCACGGTCGCTCATACCTATAATCCCAGCACTTTGGAAGGCGGATGTGGGCGGATCACCTGAGGTTAGGAGTTTGAGACCAGCCTGGCCAACGTGGTGAAACCCCATCTCTACTAAAAATACAAAAATTGGCCAGGCATGGTGGCGCACCTTAATCCTAGCTACTAGGGAGGCTGAAGCAGGAGAATCGCTTGAACCTGAGAGGCAGAAGTTGCAGTGAGCTGAGATTGTGCCACTGCACTCCAGCCTAGGTGACATATTGAGACTCAAAAAAAAAAAAAAAAAAAGAGAAGGTCTATGTTATCTTTGGGTAATGTTGGGGAGCTGGGACCCTAGGTTAGACTTCACCCTATAGACAATGGGTTTAAGAATAGATAAAGCCAGATGGTCCTATGTGATGGAATGTAAATGTTAGAATGCCATTATTTAAAGCTGAAAAACAAAATGGGATTTTCTAATTTAAAGCTCTAGCTTCTTTGGGAAATGACTTTATAATAAGCAATATAAGGCAATTTCTTGTCGAAATCAGATGCAACATAAATTATGTTTTTTATGAATTCTGCCTAGAAAAAAATTGAATTCTTAAAATAGAAAAATATTGTCTAATGTTTTTCATTGTTTTTATTTCTTCTTTAAATCACTGGGTTTTCAGAATCAGTTTGTGTCTACCAGTAATGTATGTTCATGAAATTACACTCATCCTAACATAAGGTTTTTCAGCACAAATTAATTTATTCACACAAGTTACAGTAATTCGTTTGCTTGAGTTTCCAGGCCTTAACCTTTGCATCACATCTAGCATTTGGTTTGAGATACATTTGAGAATAATTCTGTAAGCAAGATTTGTGCTTCAGCACAAAAATGTAGATATTCAACCAACAGATGTTTAAAAATATATTATCGTAAATTGCTTGTCTCCCCCTATTACTGATTTGTCATCTGTGCTAAGTGGATATGGAGACAATTTAATGAATACAATTACCATAGACTTTAGCAAAACATAAATTTGATTCTGGAGCACCACAAATTATAAAATCTTGGAAATGAACACAGAAAGGTCATCTGGTTTGTCCTTCTTCATTCCGACAGGTTTGCACTTCTCATTACAACTGGGGGAGAATCTATCCTAATTCTGAAGACATTCTGGGAAGAAGATCTCACCAGCTCTCTCGTTATCGCTAATGTGAAACATCCGTCACTTGTGGAAAATCTGTCTGAAGGACATCTAATTTCCTCAGACTGGAGTTTATTCCCATTTCCTTTAAATGAGACTTCAGTGAGGACCACATAAGATTTCTGTTAACCAACCACTTAGAGAAACGGGATTGAAGGAGCTAGGAGTGCCTATAAAGCTCTTAGAACAGTGTCTGTCATATAATGGGCTTTCAAAGAACATTAGCTGCCATAATAGTAATGATTGTAAAATTATGGAGGGAGACATCAGGTTTTTTGTCTATCTGAATAGTTTTGGGATTAGCAGCTCTGACTGCCTGGTAGTGGTTGATTTGGGTGTTGTACCCTGAGGTTACATCCTGGGTCAGTGGCAAGGAACACATGATTAATGGCTGACATGAGTGAGGGAAGGGGGCAGGAAAGGAATGGCCACATTGCATCAACTGTCTGCCATCCTGTAATGATGACTGTAAGCTCTTTGAGGGGAGGGACCCTATCTTATTAGTCCTGTGTCCCTAGTACTTAGCACGGTGTCTAACAAAGAAGAACAAAATATGTATTGAATAATTGAATGTTGACTATCTTTAAAAAATCACTCAAGAAAATATAAGTTATTGTATGACTGATATTCCTGTCACCTAGTCTCGTGGTACACTTAAAAAAAATTTGTTCTTGAACATATTGCTATTTCTCAGGTCCACCTTCTCTGTTTCCCCTTTGCTGTTTTCTTCAATTTGGCGGAGAGGCCACTGTGACTCTCCTCTGGAGATGCTTTAAGTTCATCCAGGGTATTTGTGAGTTATAGAGGCCAGAAGTAAACCCTGTGTCTTGTGACAACCTTGAATACTGTGATGAGTTTGGCTATTTCACGCTCTGCACTGACACTTCCTGGTATCACACTGGTTTCTTATGTGAAGAATAATAATGTTTAAAGTCATGTGAGCTGTCACCACGTTCCAGCCAATCAGAGACGTTCATGCAACAATTAGCCCTGATCAGAGTCATTGACTACTTTGCCAGTGGTGCTGTAAAGTTGTTGCTGGAGGACTTGGATAAATTTTAGTTCTTAGAAGACTGCCAGAGGAGCCCTAAGGGCTGAGAAATGAAAACCCCGGGGCTGAATATGCTCAGTTTTGGCTCCAGCATTCTCTCTGCTATTCTGCAGCCGTCTGAATCACACTGTTAAACCCATCTGTTTACATGAGGTTGAATATGGAAGAAGGTGGAAAAGGAAGAAAAAATATCCTTTTTTAGTTCTCTTAGAGTAGATGCCATGCTCTTATTCCCCCTCCCACCTTCATCTTTTTTGTGGCCCAAATTGTGCACTGTAGGATTTGTTTTTCTAGGGCTGAGGGAAGAGGGTGAAGAGGGCGACTGGAGCAGAGAGAAGGGACCATATCTTGGGGTGGGAATTTTGCATTCAGCCAGGTCAACAGAGGGAAGACCTGTTTTAATTCCATTTTTCTTAGTTCAGATGGAATCTACAAGTGGATGACTCCTCCCCAACTTCTCCTAGTTATTTTCAGTTAGCTTGTTTCTCCTGATCTTTCAAAAAGAAGGAATCAGGAGATGAGCACGGTGGATAGAAGGGGGAAATTTAAGTGGGAGAGGATTTATATTTCCTTATGTGGACAGAGTGCCCTTCCCCTGAAGACTGCTGGCCCTCTGGGATGACTAAAGAATCCTACTAGCTTTTGACTGGAACAGCCGCTCCTGGCGGGGTGCGGGGTGCAGTCAAGCTTGAATGGTGTGGGTAAGGCAGGCTTTTTAAGCATCCTTTCTTCATCTATGACTTTGACCTTGAGCATTGGCCCAACGTAGAAGGGCTCCTGCAGACTGAATGAGCATGGAGCACACTGCTTCTTGTCTAATTCTCAGAATACGGGACCAAGTTACCCTGCATTACCAGTGCCCATCTCTTATGTCCATCAAAATGCATCTTTTATGTGCTTCTTCCTCTTCCAAATGAAATGACACCCAGATTGTCAATTGTTCGTGCATTCTGGCCCCTCTAATTTCAGGAAGCTGCATGGTGATATCTGAACCAGAAAGGCAGAGGGAGCAAATGGAGGAATGTGTCATAGAGCCTACAACCAGCCCTTTCTCCTTGTCACTTCTCTCCTCTCTGTCATCGGTGTAAGAGTTGACTTAGAGAGACCAGGCATTCTGCACTCACATCCATTTTGGGGCATAGATACACCGGAAATATTTTACTTAATATTTATAGACATCTCTTGTTAACTCAGGCAAGTGTCTTTGGCAACAGGAGTGGGGAACAGTTGCTGTGGAGAGCTGCAATTTTTCAGAAGGAGTCATCCTTAAAATTTTTATAGTATTATGCAAAGGTCTTTAAGGTAAAGAGTGTAATGCATAGCCCCAGTGCTCTGTTAACAAACAAAATGAAAAATTTTTTTTTTGATGAAAAGGCATCACAGCAAAGCAAGAGCCAGCACAGCTTCAATGGTCAGGTGCCCAAAATTCTGTAGCCAGGATGCCTGGCATTACTAGCTGTATAACATTGGGCATGCTATGTAACTTCTCTGTACCTTGACTTCCTCCTCTGGGGATGATAATAGTACTAGTATTATGAAGAATGAATGAACAAATGAACATATAGGACTTGGCACATTGTAAGTGCTATATCAGAGCTTGTTGAGCCAGGTGCCGTGGCTCACGCCTGTAATCCCAGCACTTTGGGAAGCCGAGGTAGGCAGATTGCTTGAGCCCAGAAGTTTGAGACCAGTCTGGGCAACTTGGCGAAACCCTGTCTCTACCAAACAAATCAAAAACAAAAACAAAAACAAAAATTAGCCAGGTGTGGTGGCATGCGCCTGTAGTCCTAGCTACTCGGGAGACTGAGGTGGGAGGATTGCTTGAGCCCAGGAGGTCGAGGCTGCAATGAACTATGATTGCGCCACTGCACTCTATCTAGCCTGGGCAACAGAGCTAAACCCTGTCTCAAAAAAAAAAAAAAAAAAAAAAAAAAAAGACTTTGTTAAATAAATAAGCCTCTTTCCTCACTATCTGTTAACCTCTTGTCTTGAAGAGACTAAATCAATGAGAAGTCTTATCACTACCTCACTGGTCAGGCAGGACTGGCCATATAATTTGTGGGGCCTAATGCAAAATAAAAATACAGGGTACATCATTCTAAAACTATTAAGAACTTCAAGATGATGACAATAGGGCATTAAATTAAGTGTAGGGTCCTTTTAAATGTCTGCACTTCCATGCAACTGCACAAGTCGCACACCCATCGAGCTGGCCCTGGTGTCAGGAATTAAGACTTAATTTACCCAACAAGGACTGTCAGGAAATGTCAGAGAGAGACTACCTCAAAACTATCTTTAAGCTTTTTGATGATCTCACCCCAGAATTTGAACAAGGTGGTTTGTGCTGAACTTTTTAAAAATATCAACCAAATGATACATCTGTTGGCTGTGTAAAAGGATTCATTTAAAAAGGAGAGTACTATCTTTCTTTTCTTTGAACAGCAATGGATCCAACTTTTATTTATTTTTCCAGATTTGGTCATTTTATTCTACACTTCCTCCAAAAGCTGCCTGCCTAAAGAGTCAGTAATGAGGTGTCAAGAAACCATGGGTTGTTGGGTGGCAGGCATGTGTGCCATGCTTCATGTTAAAGTGGCTTCATGCAGAGAAGCGAAATGACACGATGATTCATTTACACATTTATTTTCTATCTCGCTTATTCTACCAGACTGAAATGGAGAACAATGCCAGCAATTTTATAGACATTTTGACATAAAGTAAACAAGTATTTTGATGTTGAACAATTGTACAGACTACTACATGCATATAGGTATGCTGATTGGTGCAGAAATATTGAGTTGATCAACAAAACTATTAATACGAAATCACATTTCCTTTTTATGGAGTTAAAATGCAGCAGATATGGGAACATTGATACAAACACCATTAAATGGCAGAAAAAGGCATTGTAGTAACGATGCAGGATGGACAGCTGAACAAACACGAGTATGCTAACTCATATCCTGTCTACAAAACTGAAATAAGAACATTTTGTATGCAAATAGAATGAAAGAAAGCATGTTGAGGCAGGTGAATGAGACTAGACAACAAGACTTAACCACTTATGTTTAAGCTTCTATTGAGAGTTTGTATTAAAAGTATTTCAACATGGTATAAGAAGAAATGCTAATGCTATTATGTGTGTGGACAGGATAGGATAATTCAATTGAGAATTCATAAATAATGAAATACTGATTGTGCTTCTTTTTCCCTGCAGCATTCAGAGCATTCATAGACTAGTATGAAAACCCTCTAAAACACTGAAGTTAATAAAAGTCAATAATGCTTCATGCGACTGTACCTAGAAATCTAATACCATGTATAACTTAGAAATAGGAAATTGTTTTACTTACCATATACATAGCAACTTTAAGAACTATTAATTTAATGGTTAATTTCTGATACTCTATTCCTTAAGTTTAAAAAATAGTTTTGGTATTTTTAATCTGGGAAATGTTAGAGACTTAATAGAAACAAAACCTCTACAATTTGAGAAAAAATAATAATTCGTATACTAATTTGTTTTGCAGCGAAATCACCCATAATTACTCACAACAAGTTTTTTTTTTGTGCGCGTTAATTAGTGACAGTACTGAACAACTTCCTCATAAGTTTTCATGAAATTACTTTGTGAATCTCCACAGAGCTGTCCTGAGTTTAACAATAATCTTCTAATTTCAGTACTACATGTCGCATTAATAAGTTTTGGGAGTTAGACAAAGTTTTAAAAATAGGACTAGTTAACCAAAAAAGCAGTAGATAATTCAGGCTCCCCCTTCTGACCTTACACATAGACATGCCCATGTGCATACACACACAAACACATACAGCCTCCTCCACGCCAATCAACTTTTAGAGAATATACCATGCAAACTTTATTTAAGCCTTATTTAACTCATTTAGAGATTTACCTTCCTCTATTAGCTTTTTTCTGTTCTTTTCTTTCCCCTCCCTCTCCCTTCATCTCCTCATCACCCTTCGTTCCTTCCATCCTTCCATCCTTTCTTTTCCCTTCCCCACCAATGCTGGCCTTTGAAAGTCTACATATGTTAGTTTTGTAGACATCCAATTTTAATTTTTGGAGACAAAAATTAAAATAAGATGCACTTTTGAAAACTGGACCTCGGTAGTCAGGTCACCTCTGAGGTATGTACAATCTTTGACTAGTGAAAGAGCTAATGTCAGACAGGTGAAAATTCACCACAATAGCCTCCCTTTATTTTACACATGATAGTGGTGAAAGACACCATTCCAGGCAGGTCTACATTGGCAATGGAAAATAAGCAATTATATGGGAAAATCAGTAGATGTTTCTCTTTAGTTTGTTAGTAGGCAACACTTTTAAACTGAATTACTCAATGTATTTTGACTATGTAGATATGACACAGATATTTATTACAAGCCTGAAAAAACAGTTAAAAAATACTATTTCAGTATTTACGGTAAAGAATACACAGATGTAAATGATTCCAACAGTGAGCCAGTTTGACTAAAAGCGTTATTGCACTGCCTCAGACCTTTTCTGACTAGATGTTGAGTAAGCAGTTGACAGTCACTTTTGTACCATGGCCTATATACACGACACCATAACATAAGGCATTGGCATAGCAAGATGATAGAATCACAATGAGCTTTTAAATGCAGCAGACATGGGACAGTCAACATTGAGTTTTTACATAAGCTACATAGAGACAGGTATTTAATACATTTAGTGGGCTGGTGGGCAGCATAAGGCTTTATCTGAATACTATTTCATAAACTAGGAACTTTTTTTTTTGAGAAAACAGAGGAATACAGTATTTGTTAGGCTACAACTAAATAGTAATAAGATCTAAACTGTCATGCAATTATGATTTAGAACATGGATTTTTTTAAGCATCATAATAAGTTGATTTCAAGTCCAAACTAAGTAGTGTGTTATACTAAAGTTTTCATAAAATAAATAAGCAAAAAAACCCCTCAACAAACCAACCAAACAAATAAAATACCCCAAATAACCACCCGAAAACCAACCAAACAATAAAACCTCATTAAAATCAAGGTATTATTTTCCTTTTACTGATGATGGCTAGCAGATACTCTAAAAGAGAATTTTTAGTGTATTTGGAAATTCCTTTGCAGTTTCAATGCAAGAATTTCCAAGTTAGCCTGTCTTTAGCATTAGTGTTGGCTGCACCCTTCTCGTTCCACAGTGCCTATCTGCTTTGGTTGAGTAGGTGCATTTAGATAGTGTAAGGACTGTACAGCGTGCTTGCTGCATTATATGTAGTCCTTGGTCATCACCCAGCTCCACTGCTCTCGTAGAAAATAAGGGCCCTATCTAAATTTATGTGATCTGGCATTTTAAACAAATCAGAATAGAAAATGAGCCTCCCTCTTTTTTACCTTTCTTGATCAATAAGATTGACATTTAAAAAGTAAAAAAAAGTATCTGATGAAATCTATACAGATGACAATTTAGACTGGATAATCAAAACAAAATTTAATGAAAAAAAATTTTGACACCAAAAGCTTTTATTCTCATTTTATAGTTTATTCTGGCAGATAGCCAATTACAGTAAATCTAGAACCAAACTGGTTATGAATTACTTTATGAAATACATCCTTAGGTGTACAAATATTTAAATCAGAAAGATGGACCAGTTTGTTGAATATTCACATAATGACTAAGCATACTCAAATGTGTGGTAACAAGGAGGCTGTAAAAGACTCCTCAAATAGATAGTATATGTGAAGTCTTAATAATTTTAAGGGCTGGGTGTGGTGGCTCACACCTGTAATCCCAGCACTTTGGTAGGCTGAGGCAGGAGGATTGCTTGAGGCCAGGAGTTCGAGACCAGCCTGGGCAACATAGCAAGATCCTATCTCTATAAAAAAAATTAAAAAATAATTGTAGGAGAAGTGGACAAAGAATTTCTTCCTTAAGGAGAAATTTGTATTTGTCTATTAAACATTAAAAAGTTAAGGCAATTAGGTAAAAGAAATGCACTACCTAGTTTTAATAGAATGTGGTTTGTCCAAATAATGTCAATGTATTTTTAAAGCCACATGGGGTGTATATGCATAATTTATATAATAGAATATCATATGTATAATATATATAATTATACATATGTTAATTATATATATTATACATATGTATAATATATATATTATACATATGTATAATATGTATAATTTAGCAAGTAAAATGCCTTCCATTTTACGTAACAGTGAGTTATACTCACATACACACGTAAAATTTTGACTGTTTAGAAAGCCATAGAAGAATTTTAGAAGACTAAGTCATTAGCATACTAATGTGGATTGAATAATTTTTTTTGGAATACTTTTAAAAAAGAAAATCTATACCTCCTATTTGTCAGGCATTGTGCTAGGTGCTTTACTCTGTATCATCTTGCTTATGCAATTTTTTAAAAAAACCTATATTTATAAGAAAATAAAAAGTATTAATTTCAAATGATCACCTAAAAAGATTTTTACATGAAAGAATATTAGAAAAAAAGAATCCAAATGCAAATTATTTGTAATTGGATGTATAGCAAAGTACAAATTTTCAATATGGCTTTCTCTCTACGCCTAGAATCTTTTGCTAAAGTTTTGCTTAAACTGTCATTACCGTTTTGGCCCAGAACCATATAAAAACTACCAGAGCAATATCAGTTTTCCCTGATTGAACTGTTTATTACCATTGAAAATGATAAAAAGTTCGGATGACGAGGTGGGCAGATCACAAGGTCAGGAGATAGAGACCATCTTGGCTAACACGGTGAAACCCTGTCTTTACTAAAGATACAAAAAATTAGCTGGGTATGGTGGCACGTGCCTGTAGTCCCAGCTACTCGGGAGGCTGAGGCAGGAGAATCGCTTGAACCCAGGAGGCGGGGGTTGTAGTGAGCTGAGATTGTGCCACTGCACTCCAGCCTGGGCAACAGAGTAAGACTCCATCTCAAAAAAAAAAAAGAAAATGATAAAAAGGGTAATATTGGTATTTTCGTCTCTGTATTCTGCCCTGAAAACAGGCACACGAACAACCTGTTACACACACAAATTAGATGGAGAGTTTGCATTTAGGATGATGCCTAAATCCTTGTGATAAACTAGTGAATTAGGGACCACCTTTCTCACCAGCCAGCTATTTACCTTTGAAGTAAAATAACTTAATAGAGGCTTAAAACATACTTTTTTTTTTTTTTTGTCCATAATGGGGGAAAACACTATGTCATTGTTTTGTTGGTCAAATCATGTTATTATACTGTATAGAGACAATTCCTTTGTCCTCAGGCCTTGCTACGTTTTCTGACTGCTGGGACATCCTCCTGTTGCTCTTGGCTTTGGGCTTCAAGTTGTGATTACTAATGGCTCATTTGGTCTTCCCTTTGACCTGGTACCTGATATACTCTGCTCAGGGAGATTCTAGGGAAGGATTGTGGGGAGTACTGCAGACAGGAGAGGAATGATTTTTTTTTTGTATTTTTTTTATTATACTTTAAGTTGATAAAAGTCTTAATTAGCAGGATCTGAAATTTGATCACAAGAATCTGTTTCCAAACCAGGATGGTAAAACTTGACAAAAAGGGGGAGGGGAGTGTGATGGCCGAGGCATGTCTACAAATGGTTTCTATTGTACTCCAGGTACACTAGGTAATGTTAATAAGTTGCCCAATAATATTCCTTTTCAACAACTTTCTCCCACCTACCCTCACTTCTCCAAACAAAACAAATCAAGTAAGCAAACACACAAGTAACAATATCAAACAGAAAGACTTCAGATTGAAATCAAGGTGCTAAAAGCAAACATAGCCGCTATGTAGTTAAGTTAAAGGTTATTAAAAATGCTTCAGTGTGTTAACTGTACCTCATATTTGCTTAATAAACCTTCTTTATGCATTCACTGAATTTTTTTATGGTTTAATATCATACCTCTTTAAAATTGCATGAGTTTGGAACTTGGCTATTGTGTGACAAGATAGTGTCACACACTAGTTTTTGTAAGTGTTTTGTAAGTTCCGTGTTTTTCTTTTTCTCTTCTCTTTGGTTTTGAGCTAAATATTAATAGGAAAATTTTTGCTAGTTCTTTAGTGAGATTTTCATAGAATATGTACATTTTTATTAATTAATTCTAGTGATAGCATTTTGTTGGATAAGTAATTTGGGTAATACCAATATGTTTCTTTCTGCGTGTTTTCCTTACAAAAATCTTCTTGTCATGAAACATTATGATGTGAGTATAATTTACAGGTTGAAAACAGCCTAACCCATACCCAAATAAAAATGTTAGAAACATCTTGCTTTAAAGGTGGGCCAGAAATCTGGCTGTAGTAGAATATCTGGCCAGCACACACAGATGTCTAAGGGGAGTTTAGAAACCATTCTTTTTTTCCCAAGAGTCAATTCAGGGGTATTTCAGGCTCTACTTGTAATCTTCAAGTCGAATGGAAACTGTGGGTTTTGGAGTGAGTCAACCCAAATAGCCTTGTCATTACAGATCCATGATTTTTTTTTAAACCCACCATTTTGAGTTCTTATCTTGCTTCCCACTAATGGCAGAAAGGTGAAAATAGCATTTACTGTGTATCCCAAGTGTAGACTAGGGCACCGCTAAACATTCAGCTACACTTGTGATTTTGTTTTGATTTTGGAGGTAGGAATACTCTGAAAGTGCTGTGCAAAGGGTAGCAAGAGTTTTATCAAATATTTTGGAAAAAGAAAAAAAAAACCTGAGATGTAATCACTGAAAAAGCAATGGAATTGTGGTTTTGGCTAAATGCAGGGGGAACTGAAGGTGGAAAACTGAAGGTGGTTTTCAAGTCCTGGTGAAGGCATCCTTTCTTGGCCTGTACACTTCCACCTTCTCTCAGACTGACCAGTAGAGGGCACTCGACACAGGGAGTAACAAGCCGGACGGCGGAGCGCCCCTGACATCCTCTCTGAACCTGTATCTTTCCACGCTGCTCTGTCCTCACTATTCCGTGTCAGTTTCCCTGAGTTTTGATTTTGAAAGTCTATTTTAAGTGTTTGGTATACCATCCTAAGTGTGTTTTAGGTTGAAATGGAGCAAAAATAGTTAAAAGAAAAACTATGTAGCCATACTGTTGGCCAGCATTGCCCACCGCGGAGGGAAGATAAACATTGCTCAGATGGGCGTTCGGCTTTCATAAAATCAGCAGCTTGGGGTGGCATCTAGCTCAGCATACAGCCTAGGATTTAAAAAAATCAAACAGAACAGTTACGGGAGTATAAAAACGATCATTTTCAAAGTCATTTTTGGCTAGAATCCTATTCTGCTAAAGTGGGAAATGTCTTCATTCAAATACTTTGTCACTAGATTTCAGACAGCTACTGCAATTTTAAGCATGAGTGTTTAGAAACCCTATGTGGTGGAAATTCAGATTCTAGATTAGAGAATGGAAAAAAATAACTTGGGTCTGAAAGAAAATAAAAGGGAGTTACAGACATTTTCCAACAACAAACTCAAATCTACTGTCATACTATTATTAGCTTACTGCAATCCACTGGAATTGGATTTTACTTGGTACTATAACCTCTTAAATATGAAACCTCTGCTAGACTGCAAACTTGAGGGAATGAACTGTACCTAAGTTAATTTTGGGCACATAGGTGACCCTCAACATATATTTGTTGAATAAAACACTTTATCAACAACAATCTGGAAATATCTGTCAGATGATAAGAAATAATTTCTTCAGGAGAGAAAGTAGAATTGGAATTATGGCCTGAATTCTAAATTTCCTATAAATAGTAAGTATTTAGTCTAAACTTTATGCAGGTGCATGCCTATACCTAATATAAATTTTTCTGCTTAAAAACATATTTAATTTACTTACATTTTTCTTAGTCTTTCTTCTTTTATTTTGTACTTGTATCTTTGGCTGGCCTTGGATGACCTTACTATTAAAGACAGTCCCTCACTTCCCTTTATTTATATGTGTATTTACAGGTTAAAATTCTTTTAAACTTAACAAGGAAGAGATTATGGTAAATAAGGATTTATAAAATTAAGTTAGGCTGTTTTAAAAAGGCAAGTAGAAGAAATGGTCATTGAAACCACTAAAGGAGAGCATTTATGTCACTATGTCACAATAAATGCTAAACTGAGTAATATGAGGTGTTCACCAAAATTTTGGAGTTGGGACCTTTCCTCTTAGTAGGGATGGGCTTTTAAACTTTTCAATTTTAATTTAGATTTTGTGGCTTTCTTTTGCTTTCTTTCTTTTTTTCTTTTTTTGTTGTTGTGCTGTTTTGGGGGAGGGCAGTGCAGTCACAAAATCCATATGGACTTAGAGAATAAATACCTTGAGTCAAACTAAGTAGTTTTTAAATACTGAATTTTAAAAATCTTTCATTTAGAAATTGAGAGGACTAAGCAATGATTAATGATATATCCCTAAAATGTTGCCGATAGTTAATAGGAAGAAAAAGCATTAAAATGCTTTGCTTTTAATAATATAACCATCAAACACACTATTAAAACATAAACTTTTTAGCAGACTTTTCCACTAGTATTAAATTTTGCTCTAGTGACTTGTTACAGACTATAATTAGCTATTTTGACAAGCAATATATCTAATAAAAAATTATTTTTCATTTTATCATATAAGGAAAGACAACCCATAACCTCACTCAATCAGATTAACAATTTGTTATTTCAAACATGAAATCTAAACTGTGATTCAAAAATAATTTTAGATTAGACTTTATTCCATCCATCTACTTTTTAGGAAAACAGTTCTTTGGAAAATCACTTCATTTGTTTCTGTTGTGTGCTTCCCTGGCTTGATAATTGAATGGTTTTTCCATCCTCAGAAAAGACATTTTTCAGTAACCAAATCCTCAGCTTGGTTTTAAGTGGGCCAGGCAGTAAGCTCCATGAAGCCAGGGTTGTACCCTAGCACCATACAGGGATGCTCAACTAGTATTTGAACAAATGAACAGTGAAATGATTATCAAATTCAACTAGACAATATTTTTGAACTTAGAAGTATTTCTAAAGTTCTATTTGCTTTTGTTTCAGATTAAGTGTCTTCCTGCAGCCCTCTGCTTAATGAGTACGTCATGTGATATCATGAACAATGAATTCTTTTCTTTAACCAAGGAATGTATATCTTATGGTCAGAATTCCAAATTGGGAAACATATATGCAAAAGATGGTCAATGCCAGTTCTTTTATGTTTTTACCATTTGGCACCATCTACTTCTGCTTTAAACAAGCTGTGTGACTATAAATACACCTCCAGTTTTATTTACATATTTTTGATATTATTAGAAAAAAAAAAACCAAGCCTAACTAAACATACTTTCCTGTAGTATACTGGAATGCCAGACTTGAAGCCGGACGGCATGGATGAGGCCAAGTTCTATTCACCAGGGACATGTGTGAAATTGAGCAAAATGTATAACCCCTCCAGTCCTTTACTGAATATTCAAAAGGCTGTTGTGAGATAAGAAACTATAAGTACTCTATATACATATGGCTTTTTTTTGGTATTCAAATTTCAAGAGAAAATAGTTGAATTGTTGACTTTCCTAGGCCAGTGTCTACAGGAGAGTGAGACTGTTTTGAGAAGAAATTAATGGGAACAGACACTTGGCACATATTCTCCTTGTTACCAAATCTAGTTATATCAGGATAACACTTGATCAAATGCTTGCTTCAAAGCAGCTGGTTGTGTCATGGTAGAGAAATTTCTAGTAAAAATGTTTAGAGATGAATCAAGTCAATTCCGGGGACCCACTTAGCATATCATCCTTGTATGTGTGGTCTGACTCAGGACACACATTGATGCACCCATTTCTATCCTCATAGGATTGGACTCAATCTTTGACCTCAAACAATATTGTGGCAATTTGTGCTGGTTGTTAAGAGAGTCAGAAGAATCAAATTAGCCATACATGGAACTGAGTTATTTTGTAGTCATTCAAATAATCCTCACTTGTAACACGGGGTGAGTGCTCTCAGCAGCAGAAACCTCCAGTGGCCCTCAGGGAACCAATCTCTGTTCCTGCCATTCATGCAGTGCATCTCAAACTGGGGATCTATTTTTCCAGGGGATACAAAAGACGTATTTAAAGTTACACAAGTATCCATTTTACTAGTTGGTAAATAATATAAAACATTATTTTTAAAATATTTAAACATATGGAATATATAAAATTATGAAGTAAAATGCAGCATTTACATGAATTTTTTGTGTAAAACATAAGACTCCAAAAGAACTCTGTGCTTGGGACATTCCCAGACCATTCCAGGCACACATGTTTATTCTCTGCGTTAGGTGCAGTTCATGGAAAAGGCTTAGGAAGTGCTACACAAGTGCATCCTGGGAGCCTTCAGTCCCCACACTGCCTCCTTGTGAAACACCAAAGTCAAAGATGTTTCTTAGAGGAGCATTTTCTTTTTTTCCTAGCTGAAGACTTTTGGCTCAGAGGAACTAAGGAAAATGGAAGGATAAGCTTCCATGCGTTGTACTAGAAAATTCTCTAAAACTTAAAAATGTACCTTAGAATGAAGGGAAAAAAGATTTTGGGGAGGATGCTTCTAGGGAGGAATGTCTAGGATTCTTCGACTAGGCAAGCTTTCTAATATTAAACATTCTGGAGCAGTGTTGTCAGCAGAAGGCCTAACAGACATAGGAAAGGTGGGCATCAGTCAACTCTTAGCGCATTAAGACAAGTCCACTTATACAGAAAGATGAATAAAAAGAGTTGAGATTCATCAATAAGAGATGTTCGAAAATAATTGCTTTATGAGGCTATGTAAATAAAATGATTTTCATAAATTATTTGCTATGCATCTAACAGCAGATATACCTGTTTGACCTTGAAAAACTATAGACAGAAAATTCAAACACTCTATTTACAAAACTGATCAATATTTAGCTTTAGACACTGAAATAAGTATGAGTAATGTAAATATCAACGATTAGTGACCATAAACTCTTTAAGGTTATGTTTTGAAACAAACATGAAAACCAGTAAGAAATTCTAAGCACAGTGAAAAAAGAAATGTTTAAAATTATTTTTAGCAGTAGGTCTGCTTGTGTTTCAACTAAAATCAAAACCTGTTTTCTTATCTGAGATATAATGACCAGATTCTGTTAATAAAGAAATGTTTTTCTTTAAAGACTTAAATAACAGTCTAAATATTTGGGCTATTTTTTCCTTTTAAAAATAAAATAAAATTCAGAATTTTTTAATTTAAACATGAATTGTGCTTTAAATTTGGCCCAGCATCTTCCTGTTTCCCTGAATTTTACACACACACACACACACACACACAAACACACACACACACACAGACGTGTACAAAGTGCATCAGGCTGAGGCAAAATCTGGACCTTCCTGGGAGACCAAGGAATCATATTAAAGTCTTATGGGACCTTGGAAATAATTTTGTCTTGATTTTTACTGGAGCAAAACTGAGATCAAGAAAGGTTGTACAGGCTTGCCTAGAATCCCACATCTGGTGGTTGCAAATTTGGACCAGAGCCTTGATTCCTGTGAAGCAAAGTGAATTAAGATGACCTGGGTTCTAGCACAGACTTCACCAACAGGGCAATCTCTGGTCAGTGTCTTCACTGCTCTGGATTTCACCGCTCCTAGTCAAAAATGCTGAAAGTCATTTTGAACAAACAGAGTCCCAACCACCCCCTGAAAAGGTTGGAAATGCAAGGGGGTGTTTCTAGTTGCTGTAATTACAGGAGGGTGTGACTGCCATCTGTGCTCTGGGTTCTGTAATTCATATCCTGCAAAAAGAACAACTTCCTCCCACACATTGCAGTGTCCCCCCACCTCGCATCCCATGTTGAGAAATATAGGGTGACCCATTACCACGCCTGGGCTCTTTTCATAGTAACTCATCTCCCAGCCAACTCTATGAGTGGCAGCGGCAATCTCACTTAAATGACTCTGCTTTTAGTTTGTCAAGTCACTTTTTGGAATTTCCATTTTGGCATATCTGTATTCTATTTTTAGAACTTTAGTTAGGAAAGGTTATGTTATGTTGGATACAAGTGGAAAATACAGTCATCTTTAGGTGGCCAAATTTTTTAACAGAACTAATTTCCAAATGTAGACTGCCTTAAAAACATTTAATTGTATGATACAACCTTTTAAATAATTTCAGGTTTTTAAAAAATGCATTTCTGTAATCGGCTGTGGCATGACATATAACTTATTGGCAAAATTTCAAATATTTTGATATCTGGTCATTAAATCTTGCCTATGTCTATGATTTATAAATGAACCACAAATGCCACAACTAAGCAGAAGCAAAAAAGTAAAATGCAGCCTATGAATTATATCACAAATAAATAAAAAATACTGTATTCCTTTAAACAAATGTACTTTTAAGAGCTTTATAACTCAAAGCAAGATATGCGAGATGGTTTAAGGAGAGGTTGCAATTTTGCAACAGGAAGTCTGTACAGCTCCTCCAGGCAGTAGCTGTGAAGGAAATACCTGTGTCTCAGAAATTTGTTTCCATGTGTTCATGACACTTTTGCATCCAGGCCCCATTATTTACAAAGTTATGCATTTTGCAAGCTCACAGTACCTTATTCTTCATAATTATGAATGCATGCAATGACATTTCATCCTTTCATGTGAAAATTCTAAGCTTCATTGTAAAATAAACGTTAAGACTTGAAAATCGGCCTACAATTTGAAATGAAAGGATCAAAAATGTCAGACATTGCAGAATATTGGTTCCTAATAGAGCTCTTTTTATTTGTTCACTGTTCTTCAGTCATTTTTGTTGGTTTGTTACAAAATGCAGTCTTGACTCATTATTTAAACAGTACTTAAGCTAAACTGTTCATGCCATGCAAAAATAACATTTTATGCACTTTTTTTGGGGAGGGCTTCCCATTTTTTTAGTTCACAGGCATTATTAACCGCATTTTTAAGAAACAAGTTTTGTTTTGTTTTGTTTTGTTTCAATTTATTGCTTTTGTAACTAGTCACATGCTGGTTTCACGTGTGGGACAATAACCTGTGTCTCCTGGGTTGGAATGAATTTCTGGGGCAAACAAGTGATTTTCCATCTTGCACCCTTCTTGACTACTGTCCTTTTTGACTTCACTCACAGCATGGTAAATGTCTTGCCTACAGTTGTGACCTGTGTCCTGCGGGGAGGAAGAGCCCACACTGCCCTCTTCTCTTAAAGGGTCTCTCCCATCACTAGGCTTATCTGCAAAGCAATTTGGGCTGGAGTCCACCTGCTTCTCCTCCCTTGCCCCTGGGAGCTCTAAGAAGTCTTCGTCGTCACCAGTATCTATTTCAGTGAAGCTCCTCCTCTCTCTTGAAGAGAAAGGGAACAGTTTCTGCTTGGGAAACCTGGGGGACAGCCCTTTGGAAGGTCCCTGACAAGGCGCTGAAACCTCAGTGCCCAGCAAGGGTCTGTCTCCCTGGGAGGGGGTTTCTTCTAAGAGGATGGTACTGATGTGCTGCGGGGTAGTGAGCGAAAAGTCAGCTGTGGTGACTGGCAGTGGCCTGGCTGTGCTGGGCGGGGTCTGTGGTGCACTGCCTCTATTTTCCTTAAAGTTCACTTTGAGGGATCTGGACTTTAGTGGGTTGCTGCCTTTTAGAGAGCTCTTAGGACTGTCGGTGGCATTGTCAGACTGCAAAGGACTATGTAGCCCACACTGGGAGCCACTGGCATCGAGGTTCACAGTTATGTCAACTGGGGCATACTCCAGCGTGCCATCCCTGGCAGCAGGTCCTTTCTCTCTGGATAGAGTTAGAAACGGGGGGCCCCTAGCTCTTTGGTGCTCTTCTGTCCCTGGGAGGTCGGTTGGGAACTTCATCTGCAAGTGAGAGGCGGAGGGCGGCGGCAGCGGCGATCTCTCTGTCTCTGTGAAGTCGGTGGCACAGCTGGTGAAGCTGTCGATGCTGGAGGTGCTCTTCATGTCCACAATGACCTCGGTCTGTGCCACGGCCAGCTGCTCCTGTGGACACACCACTTCTTCCATTTCAATCTCTTCTTCATATGCAGATGGCCTCTCAGGCTTTTCTTGGCAGTCTGGGTTTGGGTGAGAATGAGGCTGTGTCTTGGTGATTTCATTGTATAGCATCTCCAGTTTCTGGGCACTCAGATGCTGTGGGCTGGAGGAAGACGTGTTGTTCAGCTGCTCGTGGGAGTCTTTTTGGCTAACCTCCTGGTACTTATTCTCGAAAGACTTGTTGGAGCTTGTTTCCGACAGAGCCTTCCTGGCCCACTTCCACCGGCTTGGCGACAGGTGATTATCGTCGGCGGAGTCCTTTGTGTTGGCGGACTCTCCGGCCTTCTCAACAGCCACATCTATCAGTTCCATACTTCGAGCGAAGGCATCTTTTAAGTTCATAGAAACGATGCTTCCGTTCCTTTTGGCCCGCTCAAGAGCCTCCCTCCTTTTAATTGCTTTCTCTTGGCGTTTCTGCTCCTTGTAAAACTCAGAAAAATTGTTCACAATAATTGGGATAGGAAGGGCAATAACCAGAACCCCAGCAATACAGCACAGACCTCCCACAATTTTCCCTAGTAATGTTTTAGGGTAAATGTCACCATAGCCAACAGTGGTCATGGTGATGGTGGCCCACCAAAATGATGCAGGGATACTGGTGAACTTGGTAGCATCTTCATCCTTCTCAGCAAAAAATACCAGGCTGGAAAATATCATTATCCCCATGGCCAGAAACAATATCAACAAGCCCAATTCATTGTAACTCCGCCTAAGGGTGAAACCCAGAGACTGCAGGCCTGTCGAATGCCTGGCGAGTTTCAGGATCCTGAGGATGCGCATGATTCGGAAGATCTGGACCACGCGCCTCACGTTTTGGAACTGCAGCACGCTCTTGTTGGACTCCGTCAGAAAAATGGTGACATAGTACGGCAAGATGGCCAGCAAATCAATGACATTCAGTGGGCCTTTGAAGAACTTCCATTTATTTGGTGAGGATAAGAATCGCAAAAGGTACTCCATGGTAAACCATGCAATACACACAGCCTCCACGTGTGCTAATTGGCGGTTGTCATTGAGTTGTCCAAATTCGTCCGTTTCCTGCAGCTCCGGCAGCGTATTGAGAGACAAAGCAATGGTGGAAAGCACAATGAACAGGATAGACACGATGGCCAGGATCTGGAAAAGAGAAAAGTCCAAGTCAGCAAATCCTCTTAGTTGCTTAGGCAGCTAGGAGACAGATGGGTCGGTGATTGTTTAACTAATATGGAATGCTCCAAGTTCTTCCAAGAAGATTATAAGAAGGTAATTTTACAACTTAAAATTCCCTAACTAACACAAATACTTCATTTAGAAGCCTAATGTATATTTAAATTCCATTCCCCCCTTCCGCACTCATTGTTCTTAGGAACATGTATGGGCATCCAACATTTGGATGAGGGCCACATATGGCTGGAATAGTTTTTGGGGGGAGTAATTATCTCTCCTCTCTTAGTTATCTGTATTTTTCTCTCTTAACCACCTGGTTTGTGTTTTGTTAAAGGAATTGTCTTACATGCCATGTAAGCTAGACAGAATTGGTGATCGCCAGGAATTTCATTCTACAATTAAAAATATAAACTCAGACCGACACCTGGAGAGAGAACATGGCACTCAGTACAACAATGCTTCTTCTAAGAACAGGTAATATTCATGTGGCAAGCACTGACATCAGAACCAAGTTAGTATGGCCTTTGTCCTCAGATGTGTGGACTTCTGGCCAGCATCATGTGGAAAAGGAAGATTATATGCTAACTTCAAAGAGTGCAGGAAGGTTTCATAAAGAAGAGTTTGAAGAACAACCATGATGATTTCAGTGCAGGGCTGACATTCCAGGTGGCATGATGTCAGACACGGAAGGAAAGAGGAACAGCTTAGAATGAAGTAAGGAGAGGACTAGTGACTGGGTTTTAGAGTCAGGCAGTCTGAGCTCTGACCCTGGCTTTACCACTTATTGGGTGACCTTGGGCAAGTTATTTAACCTTTCTGTCTCAAAGTACAGATCTGTTGAATAAAGGCAACAATCATAGCTACTTCGCAGCTGTTATAAAAATTACATGGTACACAGACATCACTAAATAAATGAAATGACCCAGAACTGCAGTCTGGAAGGACAAAGGCCAAGGACAGGTATGTGGAATATCTGTAAAGCCATATAGGACATAGATAGCCCAAGTGGGGATTTTCTAACCAAATCCCAGTGTTCTAGATTTATGGGGCAAGCAGAAGGATGCAGATTTGAGGGTAAGGCAAAGGAAGTGCTTCTTTGCTTAAATTGTGTATTTAGTATACTCAATTCTTGGTGGAGAAGGAAACCTCTCTTACCTAGGTTAGGTCTGGCTTGGTTTCATCTGACCTTTGCCAGTGACCTTGGTGGGAGGTGTCATTGGTTTCAGTTATCATATGTAGCACTGAGAAAAATATTCTGAAGTGACAGCTTCATTTAGAGATTGAGCATCTAGTAAACATTTCAAAGGGCAGTGATTAGACATTTTGATACCACACAACTCAGTACACATTAGATTGTTAAAAAATTAGTTTACATCAGGACTTCTTACTTCTTCCTCCCTGCATTTTCTTCTTTTTAATCTCTCTAAATTTCTCCACTTCTGGGTTATTCTCCTTTCACTTCCTCCTTTCTCCTCTTATGTCTCCTTTACTTTTTTTTTTTTTTTTTTTTGCGGGGGGTGAAGGGGGAAAGGTTTTGTTCTGTCATCCAGGCTGGAGTGCAGTGGTGCAATCTCAGCTCACTAGCTCACTGCAACCTCTGCCTCCCAGGCTCAAGTGATCCTCTGGCCTTGACCTCAGCCACCTGAGTAGCTGGGACTACAGGTATGCACCACCATGCTCAGCTAATTTTTTTTGTATTTTTAGTAGATACGGGGTTTCGCCCTGCTGCCCAGGCTGGTCTTGTGATCCACCTGCTTCGGCCTCCCAAAGTGCTGGGAGCCACTGTGCCTGGCCCCTTTATATCTTTCATTGTTTTCTTCTTCCTCTTCTTCCAGCTTCCATCTTTCCTCCTTAAATTGCTATAAAGTGAAACAACAGTATAATGCATTTCAGAATGTGTTGTAGAGTAAATAAAGATTTATGGACCTTTAACTTAAAGTGCAGTGTTTTATTATTAGTGTTTTATACTTTTTCTTAGAACTAGGTTAAATACTTTCTATCTTTTTGAGAGTACTTCAGAATTTTCTTTAAAAATATGGATCAGTGTATCACAATAGAAAAATAAAGGTCCTCTTTAACTCCTCTAAGAGGCTGTGAAGGCTAAAGTTAGAAACTCCCTTGAGAAGATTTAGATAAATCCCTGGCTAATAGATTCAGATGGTTTTAAAGGCAAGTTGGGAATGCTCACCTTGAATCCCTACCATCAGAAGCCAATGGCAGGGTAACATGTACAATATTCTGCCAGGAAAATATTCCTGAAAAATCAATGGTCAGATCCCATCCGTTCCTATGCTCTTATCATAAGGAACCAAGATATTTTTTCGGGAGGTCACGCTGTTGCTAATACATCTTTGGGCATTTTAAGTATTGGGATTACTGCCATTCTTCTTGTACTGACAATCCATACTCTAGATTTTCTATATCTAATCTGTTCATTTGTTAATTTTGAATGCATTTTACTGACATGTGTTTATCACTTCAAAGAGAGGAGAGAAGTAGAAATGCAAATGAATCCATTCTATTGCCTTCCACCTTTTGGCAAAGGATAAAGTGAAAGGTCCAAGGGGGCCTTCAGTCCTTCATTCCACAATTAGAGCTAGACTGTAGGTCACTTTACTTCTGCAGCTAATTTTGGGAAATGATGATGAAACACAATAGAGTCTTGCTGTAGTCTATTGTCTAGTTGACCACAGCTTAACAAATATGACCACTTTAACACTTGGAAATTTAGCATATGCAGAACAGGATTTAGGACACATTCTTGAAGACAAATAGTTACTAAAGGAAAAACTAATCATTCAAGCCCTTAAGCCATTCCATATTCACGTTAAAGAAAACCATAGGTACTGAAGTGCATTATTATCTTTCTCATGTTGAAATTCAATTTGTCAAAACCCATTTGCTCTCAATTTAGAGGAAGGACTTATTTTAAACATCTTGTGAAGCTTGGAGTTCTCCCAGAAAGACAGCACTTTAGATAAATGATTCAATAAATACCAAGGTGATGTGTGGTGCAATGAGCCAAATGCAAGTTTATTGTCTTATTGTAGAGTTTTTTTTAACACAATAAATATAATAAATGTGAAATTTTGCTTTAAGCTTGAGGATGCACTTCAAAACATGAATATTTACTTTATAGCAAGCTCTTATGGCACTTATGTGGCAAGCCAGGTCTCACTAACGCAGGCCTCCACAACCATTGTTTCAGCACTGACTGAGTGGTTAACTTATATACTAAAAGCTGAAAAAGCCAATGCCCTTATATAAAGGTTGGACTGCAACAAAAGCCCACCAAGAGTTTTGCCCAGGCCTTTCCTGGGCCTTGAAGCTGACAAGATAATGAAGGAATTCTTAACAGGACCTGTTTAGGATTAAACAAGTTTTATAGGGGGTCTTAGGAAACTCCCCAGGTCTTCACAAACAAGTTTTCTGGGGGTCTGAAGGAACTCCCCAAACTTCAGTGATTTAGCAGGAGACAAGGGTAACCACCCCAGCACCTGGACCCATTTAGATTAGGTAAATTTACTGAGGCTCCAGAGGAAGGTCTTCAGGACTCAGGCCTTTGTTATAGATTAAAAGAAGTTAATCACTTATGTCTTTAGATGAATGCACACTTACACGTAGACATATAGCTTAGAAGGTATATAAGCTCTGGAAAACTTTGTAATTTTGAGTTGCTCTGGGGATAATTTCCAGGCCTTCTCCCTGTACCTGGTTACAGAAATAAACTCTCTCCTTTCCCAGTTCCTCTGCATTTCATTATTGGGCCATGAGAATAAGCAGCCTCACCCTTGGTTTGGTCCGGGAACACTTAGGTATTGCTTTACTTACCACAACCATTCACAGGTTAGAATCTCACTGTCTCAGGAGTTTTTTTTGTTTGTTTGTTTTTGAGACAGTGTCTGGCTCCGTTGCCCAGGCTGGAGTGCAGTGGCACGATCTTGGCTCACTGCAACCTCCACCTCCCAGACATAAGCGATTCTTGTGCCTCAGCCTCCCAAGTAGCTGGGAATACAGGTGTGCACCACCATGCCCAGCTAATTTTTGTATTTTTAGTAGCGACAGCGTTTCACCACGTTGGCCAGGCTGGTCTCAAATGCCGGGCCTCAAGTTGATTCACCCACCTTGGCCTCTCAAAGTGGTGGGATTACAGGCATAAGTCACCATGCCCCACCTGCCTCAGGTTTTTAATCCCTTTCACCTCCAACAACTGACCTCCAGAGCTGGCAGGAGTGAACTATTTCAGCTCTAGCAAACAGAATTATGTGCAAAAATCACAAGCATTCTTATACACCAATAACAGACAAACAGAGAGCCAAATCATGAGTGAACTCCCATTCACAACTGCTTCAAAGAAAATAAAATACCTAGGAATCCAACTTACAAGGGATGTGAAGGACGTCTTCAAGGAGAACTACAAACCACTGCTCAATAAAATAAAAGAGGACACAAACAAATGGAAGAACATTCCATGCTCATGGATAGGAAGAATCAATATCGTGAAAATGGCCATACTGCCCAAGGTAATTTATAGACTCAATGCCATCCCCATCAAGCTACCAATGACTTTCTTCACAGAATTGGAAAAAACTACCTTAAAGTTCATATGGAACCAAAAAAGAGCCCCCATTGCCAAGTCAATCCTAAGCCAAAAGAACAAAGCTTGAGGCATCATGCTACCTGACTTCAAACTATACTACAAGACTACAGTAACCAAAACAGCATGGTACTGGTACCAAAACAGAGATATAGATCAATGGAACAGAACAGAGCCCTCAGAAATAATACCACACATCTACAACTATCTGATCTTTGACAAACCTGACAAAAACAAGAAATGCGGAAAGGATTCCCTATTTAACAAATGGTGCTGGGAAAACTGGCTAGCCATTAGTAGAAAGCTGAAACTGGATCCCTTCCTTACACCTTATACAAAAGTTAATTCAAGATGGATTAAAGACTTAAATGTTAGACCTAAAACCATAAAAACCCTAGAAGAAAACCTAGGCAATACCATTCAGGACATAGGCATGGGCAAGGACTTCATGTCTAAAACACCAAAAGCAATGGCAACAAAAACCAAAATTGACAAATGGGATCTAATTAAACTAAAGAGCTTCTGCACAGCAAAAGAAACTACCGTCAGAGTGAACAGGCAACCTACAGAATGAGAGAAAATTTTTGCAATCTACTCATCTGACAAAGGGCTAATATCCAGAATCTACAATGAACTCAAACAAATTTACAAGAAAAAAACAAACAACCCCATCAACAAATGGGTGAAGGATATGAACAGACACTTCTCAAAAGAAGACATTTATGCAGCCAACAGACACATGAAAAAATGCTCATCATCACTGGCCATCAGAGAAATGCAAATCAAAACCACAATGAAATACCATCTCACACCAGTTAGAATGGCGATCATTAAAAAGTCAGGAAACAGGTGCTGGAGAGGATGTGGAGAAACAGGAACACTTTTACACTGTTGGTGGGACTGTAAACTGGTTCAACCATTGTGGAAGTCAGTGTGGTGATTCCTCAGGGATCTAGAACTAGAAATACCATTTGACCCAGCCATCCCATTACTGGGTATATACCCAAAGGACTATAAATCATGCTGCTATAAAGACACATGCACACGTATGTTTATTGTGGCACTATTCACAACAGCAAAGACCTGGAACCAACCCAAATGTCCAACAATGATAGACTAGATTAAGAAAATGTGGCACATATACACCATGGAATACTATGCAGCCATAAAAAATGATGAGTTCATGTCCTTTGTAGGGACATGAAAGAAGCTGGAAACGATCATTCTCAGCAAACTATTGTAAGGACAAAAAACCAAACATTGCATGTTTTCACTCATAGGTGGGAATTGAACAATGAGAACACAGGGACACAGGAAGGGGGATATCACACACTGGGGCCTGTTGTGGGGTGGGGGGAGGGGGGAGGGATACCATTAGGAGATATACCTAATGTAAATGACGAGTTAATGGGTGCAGCACACCAACATGGCATATGTATACATATGTAACAAAGCTGCACTTTGTGCACCTGTACCCTAGAACTTAAAGTATAATAATAAAAAAAGAAATAAAAAAAACAATTATGTGTGTATACGGCCAGGGAAGTGAAGATTCCAAACAATTAACTGCGTGATGTTGGTTAAACCCTTCGGAAATTTGGATTAGGTCATCTGCAAGGTCACTTAACCTCTAACATTTGGTGATTCTCTGTCTAAACTAAAACATTTTACTAATTCCAGTCATGTCTGTCAACCAAACCCAGGACAAGTCACAGTTGATGATGTCATTTTAGTTGAACGTCCAAAGTAAATTTTTGTTACATAATGAGTAAAACATTCAAAAGAGAAGACTGAAAAATATTGCGCTGCGTATGTTCTAGGCATTTAGTTACTGGGAATAGACATTCTTTCTGGATACAACCTTTTTTCTCCCTTGAATCACCTGGATGATTACGTTATTTCTTCACTTAGACACAGACATACGCAGGATCACAGGGAGTTCAGAAGAGGGCTCCCAGCACTCGCATTAGTAGGGACCAACATTGGTTGTATTGATTTCTGTTTGTGGGAGGAAGTAAAGCAGCCGGAGACTTGCCTCAATTGAACCAGCTTGTTGATTTTAGTCCTTTGAAGATAATGGACGTTTTGTGGTGGAAAGAAGCACAGGATCAGCAATTCAAACACATGGTTCTACCTCCGCTTGCTGCATGCACAAGCCCGGTCCCTCTGTGAGCTTCAGTTCTCTCATCTGCAAAATGAGGTGCCTCATGCTTGCCTCGGCTGCCTCAGAGGGTTATTAAGGCTCATACTGGATCATGCACATGAAAGCATCCTGCCAAGTGCAGAATGTGATAAGTGTAAGAAATGCTGGAGATGTGTTTGGAAAATGCCTTTAGCCAGCATTGGGAAACAATAAAAAAAAAACTGTTTATCTCCCAGTTAAATACAATTCCAGAACTATTTAATGCTCATTTTTAACACTTTCAAACACATTCACTTAAGCAATGGTTTACATGACAAACCTAGACAATTGAATCTTTTTTTCCTTAGGACTGAACTATCTAGTTTGCCAATGTTTATTAAAGAGTTAAACTGAGGTTTCTCCAGGTGAACTTGACCTGTCTCATGTCTTAAAATATGTTTTTTATAAAACTGTGTGTGTGTGTGTGTGTGTGTGTGTGTGTGTCTGTGTGTGTGTTCCATGTAATTGAAAGTAAAGCCCCACAGGAAAGTAATAAAAGGTCATAAAAATGTAAACTTAAGAATGCTGTATATTCCATTTAATAAATGTATATTTGCAAACATAATTTGTTAAACTACCACATACACATACATACAACATCTTAGATATGTGGAGATCTAGAACAAAATAGGAAAGTGGAGGTGGCTCATGCCTGTAACCCCAGCACTTTGGGAGGCCAAGGCGCACGGATCACTTGAGGTGAGGAGTTCGAGACCAGCCTGGCCAACATGGTGAAATCTTGTCTCTACCAAAAAATAAAAATAAATTAGTCAGGTGTGGTTACGTGTGCCTGTAGTCGCAGCTACTTGGGTGACTGAAGCATGAGAATCACTTGAACCCAGGAGATGGAGATTGCAGTGAGCCGAGATTGCGTCACCATACTCCAGCCTGGGTGACAGAAGAAGACTCTGTCTCAAAAAAAAAAAAAAAAAAAGAAAGAAAGTGGAAAGAAGTCCTCACTTTTCTCCTTATCAGTTTTTAGCTCTTTGAAAAGATAATTCATGAAAACTTGAGGGAGAAAAAACAGATTTTGAATACTTGGAATGTTTTGAATTTTTACACCAGAGTATTTATGGCTCTATTCAGATTCTATAACACTCTTCTTTTTCCTGTTGGAAAAATGTTTTATTTGGTCTCAGGATAATGCTAATCATAAATCTTTTTTGAGAGGGAGGCCTTAAAGGATTCATGGAGGTTTCTACACAGAAAAGGGATAAAGGGCATTACAGACTGAGGAAAATGGTGGGCAAAGGCTTTGAAGCCCAAAAGATGATGGTTTGCTCAGAAAATTCCAAGTACTTTTGTGTGGCTGGGGGCATCCATAAAGAGGCATGACACATAGGGGTTTGTGATTATTTCAGGACTGCTGCATATAAGGGTATAGGCTGTAAACTGGTCAATTCCAGAAAGAACCCATCAAGAGACTATAACGTGAATGATGCCTCTATGTTTTGTGCAGTGCACAACTTGCACAACCAATTGCGAGAGCCTTGATTTCAGAGAATTGAGTAGTGTAGTGTGGTTGAATGCAGGCAGAGGCACAGAAAAGAGTTGGGGGTCGGTGCAGTGGCTCATGCCTGTAATCCCCGCACTTTGGGAGACCAAGTCCGGTGGGTCATCTGTGGTCAGGAGTTCAAGACCAGCCTGACCAACACAGTGAAACCCTGTCTCTACTAAACATACAAAAATTAGCCAGGCATTGTGGCATGTGCCTGTAATCCCAACTACTCAGGAGGCTGAGGCAGGAGAATTGCTTGAACCTGGGAGGTGCAGGTTGTAGTGAGCCAAGATCGCACCACTGCACTCCAGCCTGAGCAACACAGAAAGATTCCATCTCAAAAGAAAAAAAAAAAAGAAAGAAAAGAGTGGGGGTGAGACACTTCTGGAGAGTTGGATGATAGATAAATTCTGAAGGGTACTCGGTGTAGTGATGAAGAGTTTGACGCGCTTCCTTCTATAGACCAGTTTTCCTCAAGGTGTTGTCCCCAGAACAACCACATCACTCCAGCAGCACTGGCTTTATGTGGTAACTTGCTGGAAAGGCTAATTCTCCGGCCCCACTCCATGCCTCCTGGATCAGAAACTCCAAGGAAAGTCCCAGCAATCTGTGTTTTAACAAGTTCTCCAGGTGATTCTGATGCTTGCCAAAGCTTGAGGATGCTGCCGTAAGGAGTAAAAGCCATTCGAGGAATTCAGGCAAGGCAAAGCTATGCTCAGATTTGCATTTCACAAAGATTACTGACTGTAATGCATAGGACTGATGGGGGGCGCAGGGTGCAGCTGAAGATAAGACAATACATTTTTAATGCCATGGCAGCAGCAAAGGGAAAGAAGGGGATACATTATTCAAATATATATGAAGTAGAATCTCGACCCTGCTTGCTATGGAGATAGAAGGATCTAGGACTTCCCAAGTTTATGATAAAATTTACCAGGAAGATTGAGTAGCTCCAACAAATCTCCACTATTATCTTACAGATGTAGAAAGAGAGTGATCCTTGACTTAAATCATCATTTATCTTTCCAAATAATATTTATTTATGTTAAGAAAAGCTAATGGGTGCTGGGCTTAATATCTAAGTCATGGGATGATCTGTGCAGCAAACCACCATGGCACACGTTTACCTATGGAACAAACATGCATATCCTACACATGTATCCCTGAACTTAAAATAAAAGTTGGATATAAAAAAAAGAAATGATAAAATGAAAATAATACATGTGAACACATTTTAACTAGATTTTATAAGTTGAGAACAAGATAAATAAAGTTTATGTGTTCTGGAAAAAATATTTCCTCATGTTAAAGAGTATTCTAATAAGAACTTTAGGTTATGAAATTTCTCTTAAACATTTCTTTCTCTTTTTCCTTCAACATTTATTTTAAGTTGTTGGGTACATGTGCAGGATGTGCAGATTTGTTACATAGGTAAACGTGGTTTGCTGCACAGATCAACCCATCACCTAGGTATTGAGCCCAGCATCCCTTAGCTATTCTTCCTGATGCTCTCCCTCCCCCAACCCCCAGCCCT
The DNA here is from genome assembly GCF_000001405.40 of Homo sapiens. Lineage (NCBI taxonomy): Eukaryota > Metazoa > Chordata > Mammalia > Primates > Hominidae > Homo > Homo sapiens. The sequence continues at coordinate 72,926,093 of NC_000008.11, read as the reverse complement.
GACAGGCCCCAGGGTGTGTTGTTCCCCACAATGTGTCCATGTGTTCTCATCGTTCAGCTCCTACTCATAAGTAAGAACATGTGGTGTTTGTTTTTTTGTTCCTAAGTTACTTTGCTGAGGATAATGGCTCCCAGCTCCATGCATGTCCCTGCAAAGGACATGATCTCGTTCCTTTTTATGGCTGCATAGTATTCCATGGTGTATATGTACCACATTTTCTTTATCCAGTCTATCACCATTGATGGGCATTTGGGTTGATTCCATGTCTTTGCTACTGTGAATAGTGCTGCCATGAATATACTTGTGCGTGTATTTTTACAATAGAATGATTTATATTACTTTGCGTATAAACCCAGTAATGGGATTACTGGATCAAATAGTATTTCTGCCTCTAGATCTTTGAGGAATCGCCACACTGCCTTCCACAATGGTTGAACTAATTTACATGCCCACCAACTGTGAAAGCATTCCCTTTTCTCCACAATTTCGCCAGCTTGGTATCTCATTGTGGTTTTGATTTGCATTTCTTTAATGATCAGTGACGTTGAGCTTTCTCTCCATATGTTTAAACATTTCTCTTTTAAACAACAGTTCATTGGTACATGAGAAAATGATGAGATAAATACTATATTATTCACCAGACCTTTCTTCTTTTATAAAATTTTATCTTAAGTGTACATTCTGAAATCACAAAGGGAGAAGACCAGTTTAAGGACCTATTTATACTAGCTGTCCCCTGAAAGCATATTCATTTGTTGAATTATTTTTCTGCCACTCCAACTTCCAATTTCTGCAAGGAAGTTTTCTAAATTTCCAGAATTAAAGTGCCATTAAAAGCTGGCTTTGTTCCTTGGACACCTAGTCGGCTTCATCATCTCATCTATCACCATTAACAGAGAATTGCAGGGATTTATTCCCACCATTATCCCCATATCTAAAGACCATGTCCCAGCAGCTTGAAAGAAAGAAAAAACAAAAGCCATAATGCAATCATTTTTCCTTTTAATGAATCTCTGCAGTAAACCTCTTTTGAAAAGTACTTTTGGGGTCAGCATCATTAAGACCACATTACACAATGCCAGAAAATAGAATATATGGACGGCCATGCTGAAATGGAGTGGCTCTGCCAAGGGAAAGTCAGATAGGAGCCAAATCCAGCCGTGACTGCAGAGAGCTTGCGTGATCCACTTTATATCTGCTGTTATGGGAGGCTGCTATGCATTCCAGGGCCCTATGAACAGTAGTGTCTCACTGAATCTTCCGTTGCAAGCATGACAGGTGTTCTTCCTGTCATGAAGCTAAGCATCACAGACAAGGGCCTTTCATTGAGTCTTATTTAGACTGTTTGGGCAGCAACCACCAAGGACTCATAATTTGAATGGGCCCAAGCACTTCTGTATTTATTAGAGACTGAGGAGGTGTTTATTGGGCAGAGAGGCCCTTTTTTTTATAGCTGTCTGATGCGGACATTTTCTGCAATCACATAGACACATTCTATTATCTGCTCCTGGGTTCTGTTATGAGGGCTGCATAAGGCCTTGTCATTCAAAATGTGGTTCTTCAATCTTTAGCATCACCTGGGAACAGATTAGAAATGCAGAATCTCAGGCCCCACCCCAGGCCCACTGAATCAGAATCTGCATTTTAGCAAGATTCTCAAATGATTCATATGTGCATTTAAATTTGAGAGGCACTGACCTCAGACATAAATGCATGCCACTTAAAAAAAAAATCAGAATTGGAGGTTCTCCCATACAGTTTAAACCAGCGGATCTCAGTTCTGGGGACAGGAGTGGATTCTCATGGGCTATGGGGCTTTTCAACACTGTGTAGAGGTTCTGGGATGGGTGGGTGTAATTAGCTAGAAAAAAACCTTGGAGATGATGCTGACGTGGTCTCTAATTCCACCCTGACCTCCTCTCCCAGCCTGTGCTTGACAGCCATTGCTTTAAACATTTTCACATAACACAATTCAACTTGGTAGTTGAAAGAATGCTGGATTTTGAGTCGGATGACTTGACCCTCATCCTGGTTCTGTATTACTGAATTAACTGCATGACCTGAGTCAAGACACGGAGCCTGTTTCTTCATCCATAGACTGGTGCTAGTCATGACAATTACGTTTACAGAAGTAGGGTGTAGTGCTGAAATGATATAATGCATGTGAAGATGTTTTGGAAGTTAGACATTTCAGTATAAATGCCAATTTTTAATGATAATTAACTACATTTTTAAGATAAATGAACTAAAGAGTTTGGGCAGAATTATTAACTACTATATAATGTTAGGGGTAGAAGAACTTTATCCTTATTACGTCCTATTTGACATTAGTGCCTCCTTTCTTATGTAATTGCCAGTTAGCCCATTTCTGTGCATGTTGCTGACTAATTTCAATAAGTTTGGTACAGACAAATGTATAGTCTGTAAACCAAAAATAAAATTCTAAGCCCCCCAACCAATTGAATGGACCACCCCCACTCCTTGACTAAGGGCATTCTAATTTAACCTGAAAAGCTATTTCAGGTCATGATGGGAAGTGGGGGTTGGACATGCCTTATTATGTGCTCCACCCTTTGGAATTCAGGGACAGCTGACCAGCATATAACATTAAAGCAAAGACCTTAAGACTGACAAAGCAGACTCTGTAGCAGTAAGATACCAACATGACAGATAGCAGGCCCTAAAATAAATCCAAGTATTTTATCCCAAAACATATATCTTTGGCATATTTTGAAATGGCCCTACAAAACCGTCTTTTGTGGGTAAAATCTGCATTGTGTAGAGAATTCCTTTCCATTTCTAGGTCTCCCCCCAAACCCCCTTATCCAGGAGAGAATTAACAGAGTCAGGTAACTTTTTAAGTCTGATAAGAAACACAATCTATTCTTTCTGAAGCCTTCTACCTGAAGGCTTCATCTGCATAATAAAAACCTTCCTCTCCACAACCCTTTATCTTAACCCAGACAGTCCCTTTTATTGATTCCAGGTTTTTGGACAAACTCTTTCAGCCAATTGGCAATCAGGAAATCTTTGAATCCACCTATGACCTGGAAGCTCCCCCCACCCCCCAACCCCCACTGCCTGAGTTGTCCTGCCTTTCCAGACAAAACCAATGTACATCTTACATATATTGTTTGATTCAAGTCTTATGTCTCCCTAAAACATATAAAACCAAGCTGTAGCCCAACCACCTTGGGACCCATTATCAGGACCTCCTGAGGCTGTGCCATGGGCATGTCCTTAACCTTGACAAAATAAGCTTCTAAATTGATTGAGACCTGTTTCAGATCCTTTTTGGTTTACAGATCCCTTTGGGAAATCAGGATACTGGGTTGAATAGTGTAATGGTCTGAATGCTTATGTCCCTCCAAAGTTTGTGTGTTGACACTTAATCCACAATGAAATAATACTAAGAGGTGGGGCCTTTTGGGAAGTGATTGAGACAGAGAGGGTCTACACTCATGAATGGAATTTGTGCCCTCATAAGACAGGCTGAAGAGAGCATTCCTGCCTTTTCCACCATGTGAGGACACATCAGTGATGCTCCATCTTTGAAGCAAAAAGTGAGCCCTTACCAAACCCTGAATCTTCTGGAGTATTCATCATAGAATTTCCAGCCTTCAGAACTGAGAAATTAATTTCCATTGTTTATAAATTACACAGTCTAAGGTATTTTGTTATAGCAGCAGGAATGGACTAAGGCAAATGGCATCTCTCCAGAATTCTTGTACATCCAAAAGCTCAGAGTGTGATCTTATTTGGAAATGGGGTCTTTGCAGATGTCATTAGTTATGATGAGGTCATATTCAATTAGGATGGGCCCTAAATCCAATGACCAGTGTCCTTATAAGAAGGCCATGAGAGACACAGAGAGGCCCACAGAGGGCAGATAGCCATGTAACAACAGAGGCAGAGATTGGAGTGGTATTGCTACAAGCCAGGATTGTCAGCAACCAGCAAAATCTAAAAAAAGGCAAGGAAGGATTCTTTTCTAGCACATTCAGAAGAAGCACAGCCCTGTCCACACCTTGGTTTTAGACTTCTAGCTTCCAGAACTGTGAGAGAGTACCTTTCTTAGCCTGAGGAAATGAATATGGCCAGGTTATATTATTCAGTGAGAAGGTCCAGACTTTAATGAGAGATAGAGCTAAGAACACTCACAGAGCCATTTCATACATTCCTTTCAAAAGTAAATCTAATGTCATTTGAAAAGGAGAGGAAAGTCATAGGGGTTTGGAACCTTAGTCAGCAGGAAAACCAGTTTAATTTGGAGAAACTAAGTTGTATTTACTGCTGGAAGTAAATAGTTACGATTTGTTAAATAGGTAATTAACACCTGCATTCTAAACCGCAGCCCAGGACAAGTTAGAACATGTGGTCCCAGAAGCTGTAAAAATCACTTACACCAGTGGAATACGGGAGAAATATAAATAAGGAAATACTACAAAATAACATATTAAAACAGTTAGGTTTAGCAACAAGAAATTTCTTTGATGTTAGGAAATTTAAAAACCAATTTTTAAAACACTTCCTCTAGTGGTAGTCTGTAAGTTAAAGGTGCTAAGGACTCCTCATCCTGTTGCCTAGATAAACCCATGTTTACATCCGAAACACCAGTAAGTTTAACTATGTACCATACCTCATCTCTCTGCTATTCAGCTCCTAGTAAAAGCAGGTCCTGCTGAAATGTGGTGGCAGTTACCTATGTGTGGCTCATCAGAACAGCATTTTTTCACATTGTGGGTAGCAATCCATTGGTGGGTTATAAATCAATTTAATAGTCTTAATCAGCATTTTTTAAAAAAAGTAGAATAGAACAGATGAGAGTAGAATAGAAAACATAAGAAAGGGTAAACAGTGTTTTGTAAAATGTTTGTTGATGTTTGCATGTGTATACTAAGCCATATTCCTACCCCAAATGATGATAATAATAGTAATTATTATATTAAATTATAATAATTATTACACTTTGATGATTCATATGAAGGTAACATGATCCCAATGTTTCTCAAGCTGAACTTTGGATAATTTCACTCAATAAGAGAGAAGGTAGCCTACCTTCCGCGCTCTGCAAAAAGGGACAGAACTCTCGCTCTTTTGACATAACTTTAGCTTAGGACTTCTACAACTTATCTACCTGTTATACCCCTGTGTATACCTTATCTATAGTTTCTGTGTTACGGTCCTATTGGTCCTTTCTTAGCTCTAACATTTGTATTTTTGATCTTTTATTGACTGCTTTTTGTATTCTGTTGTTATTTGGGTTTTGAATAAAGTAGTTTACTTCATAATATTTCCTAGGATATAAGTTGGGGGTTGATACATTTTCATTAATCACTAGCAAAGCTACTTAGTACTTAAATCTTCATCATAAGAAAATGCCATATATTAAATTACACCTGGTCTTTAGTGCTACATTAGGACAGTATTTTTGTTATTATTTTATATTTTGAGACAGTGTCTGGCTCTGTTACCCAGGCTGGAGTGTGGTGGCATAATCGAGGGTCACTGTGACCTCCACCTTCTGGGCTCAAGCCATCCTCCCACCTCAGCCTCAGTATCCTGAGTAGCTGGGACTACAGGTGCACACCACCATGGCCAGCTAATATATATATATATAGATAGATAGATAGATAGATAGATAGATAGATATAGTGGAGAGGGGGTTTTGCCATGTTGCCCAGGCTGGTCAAGTGATTTGCCTGCCTTGACCTCCCAAAGTGCTGGGATTATAGGCACGAGCCACTGTGCCTGGCCAGGACATTATTTTAAACTTCTGATGAAATCCTTCAATATTTAAGCAAAGTTAACATTATTGATAGACTATTGATTGATATTGGTTTCTAAATATGTGGGTTTTTTTCATTATATGATTTGTCTCAAAATAAGAAAAAAGACCCAATTTTTGATTAAGTAAATGTTTATTGAGCTTACATGACTTGAGATCTAGTGATCTTACATGACTTAAGTTATATATAACTTAAGTAATTAATTTTAAAATAATTGACTCAATAGTTTTAAACTATAATATTAGCTTATAGGTCACATTTTGGATTCAAATCTCAATTCTATTGCTCATCTGGCTACGAGGCATCTACTCTTCAGGTAATAGAGGTGATAGCATTGAGATTAGAGCTTAAATATATCTAGTACCTCGTAAGTGCTTTTAAATAGTGGCTAACATTACTGCATATATTCAACAAATAGTCTTCATAGATGAAGACATATGTCTGCAATAATATCTGATTATCAAAGCAAAATTTAACCACCATTGATATTTAGTCTACAGATAAAAATACACCGAGCATATTATGACAAATGTCCAGATAATTTTCACATATAGCCTAAACATTTTCATGTTTAAATTTCTTACTTCCTATGTAGAAGTTTAAAATATTTCTGTAATTTCAAGCTAGGGATCCTCACTTGGTCGAATGCAATCAGTTTGTCAGTGATAGACCTACATATGGTCACTCCATCATAGCCTGTGGCCATGCCTTATTTCCTGTAGCCTGTCAAATATTCATCAGCTGCAAAGGGGAGGTGGCAGGTCATGTCTGAAGGCTACCACACAAATCTTCTCTTCTGATGATGGAAAAAACAGTGGTTGTTCAGAAGCCTATCTTCTGTGTGGTACACAACTATTTTGAATCAGTCCCAGTTTAAAAACTACCCATTACCCCCACCCTCCCAAAAGTCTTTCTTAATCTCCATAGTGAGAATCACTTCCTTCTGTGGTTTTCAGGAGCCTAGGGGCTCTTTAGATGTGCCTTGTGGGGGCCACTGCTGAGAGAAGGAGAAGACTTAGTGGGCAGGGCTATGGGAACTCCACTTCGGCCACGAACCAGGTGGAGCTGTTCCTCCGTATAGTGCTGAAGATGCTTAAATATGTAAAGAAGTGAAAAATTCTCATAGAAACACCTTAATGCTATGGTGTAACATACGCATGCATATAAATACATGCATTTACATATATAAACAGATGTATATCTCCTTTGGAGATGATAATACTGATAAATATTGCTAGCTGTGCTTGAAGATATGGTGAAAAAGACCTGTGGGTGCCCAAAAGCCCTTTCCATTCTATTTACTTACAGATAGATGGTATTTTATTTGTGGCCACAGCTGTTGTTTGCAGAGTTGGTCACTGAGCACAGTGTTGTCTTTTAGACTTCTAGGTTTTCTAAATGCCAGACTAGTTTTGTATATGCCGGGAATCTAAAATTTGACCTCCTAAAACAGGCAGAGGGCATGACTAAACACATTATATTACAATAGCACATAAAACTGCAACCCAATGAGCCCTGGCTGCCACTGGCCAGCTGCACCACATTAAATGGCCTCTAGGAGGCTGAAAGCTTTGTGCACCAGGAGAGACTGAATCATTGATTTTCTCCTACTATTGGAGTAATATTTTATGCTTTTGAATCATTTATATAAACATAATAAAATATACAAAATTCATTTTGCCACATTATTTATAAATTAGTTTAGAATTCCTCAAAAAGGGGAATTTTAGGAATTTTCCCAGATCTGAGTACTTATCTTAAATGCCTATTGAATATGTGTTATTTTCATCAAATTTTTATTTATGCAAATGCAATCCAACAAATACTATCTGTGGCCCTTAGGCTTTCTTTATCTTATTTTCTAAGACATTAAGCTTAGCAAAACAAATTCTAAGCTTTCTACATAAATAAAGGAGTTAACATAATAATAATAAAAAATATGCCCAGTGTCATTCCCACAACCCCATTCTCTCATTGCTTAAATAGTGTTTGCTTCTGAAAGTCTAAGTAGACAAGAGAACAAAGCACAGACAGATGATGACTTAGCACTGCTACAGAAGACACAACTTTTATGCTGCTTGATCTTTTTGCTTTAAAGTTCTCATCCTAATGATATGGTTGGGAGATTGTCAGGTACCACAGATTTGGCAGATAAATAAAGAACACCAAAATTCACAGTAGAAATAGGCTGAAAGGAACTAATTTTCTCTCTGTAAAATCATGACTAGGTAGGTTGAAAATAAGAATATAATTGCCTGTTTGCATATTGGCATTCCTGATCAGCCTGGGAAACACTGTGGGGCAAGTTTTATTTACCTTGGATACCCTTCAGCCTGCTTCCCCTTCTCTCTACACCTTTCACACCTCTTTGGGTCCTTTCTCTTCCCTGTCAAAATATCTGCCCAAGCAACCATTGCCTTCACCTCCTGTTCTACCAACCTGATATCACTATGAGAGTCAGATTATATCTTGACCCATCAGTAGAATTCCATCTTCATCAGTAGAATTTCAGGCAATGGAGATATTTTTGATTAGTGGGGGCTTTTAAATTATACCGCAAAAACATTCACCTATTATACCTAGTTGTAAAGCTGATATTACTGGAAAATATATTTTGGTATAAGGGACCACCATTCTTTTAAAAATTTACCACTTAAATTATATATAACCATCTTTTTCCTTTCCCAATTTCAACACCATTGACAGAATACAAATTGTTTGAACTGAAACCAAAATACTATGTCATGTCACATACAATTGCCAATTAAGAGTATTTTAAATGGAGTTGATTTACTGACTAGGTCTCAGGCTTTTAACTCTGGATTTTTTTCTAATTTTCAATAAAATAACCATATGTTCATTTAATAACAGCATAAATTCTCTATTATTCATATTGTCTCCTTTGCCTTTTTAAAACATCTGAACATTATAATAAGGGTGATATCTCACATATTAATGATTACTTTTAGTCAACTGATTATAGTATTTACTTTCTCATTCCACTGGAAGTTTATTTGGTGCTAAATTCAACCTTTTGATCCTTGTTTCTCTTTGCTGTACATGAGTTTATTTCACTTTGATTTATTCACTCTTTAAATCATTTCTCAACTTTAGTACTCATCGAAAAAGCCTCACAAGGAAATGATTTCCTTCTCAGATTAATGATTTACTGTTGTTTATGTCTAGAAACTGATAGGGACAGAAGGCAAGGAAATTCTGGGTGGAAGAGGGTGGGTCTGCAGTGAGGGACCCTCAAGCCCAAAAGCCTGATACTGTGGCCCAAAATGATAAATTCCATCCCTGTTTTCCAGCTCGAATGTTGCCTTTTCTCAAACCACCCATGGTCTGCCCCATCTCCCATCGTGTGCCCATAAAAATGCCAGGCTCAGCTGACAGAGAGAGGAGAAGCAGCTGGACATTGGAGACTAAGGTTGGACACTGGAGAGAAGCAGCTTGACTTCAGAGGGACAACTTGATGATGTAGCTTTAGAGAGAAGTGTGGCTGGGGATGGCCAAACTTCATGGGAAGAATACCTTCCTGCTCTGTCCCCTTTTTAGCTCCCCTTCCTGCTGAGAGCCACTTTCATTAACAATAAAATCTCCCACATTTACCATCTTCATTCAATTCATTCATGTGACCTCATTCCTCCTGGATGCCAGATAAGAACTTGGGTGCCAGGAGTGCAGATGCAAAAGGCTGTCACGCTGAACCTACACTGAGCTATTAACACTTAAGCTGTCCACAGACAGTAAAGTTAAAACAGCACTGTAGCACTCCTTCTGGGGCTTCAGGGGTTACAGACACCACCCTCAGATGCTGCTGCAGGGCCCCCATGGAGTTTTGCTCCTGCTGGTGCCTAAAAGCTCTCACCCTGGCTCCTCTCACCTGTGCTCCCCGTCCCGTGAGGGGGTGGAACACAGCGGGACCAAGCAAGTGGAGTCTGCTCCTGCCACCAGTGAAGCAGCTGGCTAGTTCCAGCATCTGTGCACTCCAGTTCCTGCCCACGAAGGGGTCAGGGAAATATCCTGCCTCAAAAATCTCCCTTATAATCAATAATCTTTTATATTTAACCAACCTTTTCCAAAAGCATGTGGGAGAAAAAGTGATTTAAAATTAACCCTTAATATAAACAAATTAATATCATTTTTTGCACAAGATATCAGTGAGCTCCCAAGATCTCCTGGATCCACTCCATGGATCTCCTGGCTTAGAAATGGTCTCCTGAGACCAGTTCCACATTTCCAAATTCTTCAGTGATATTTTCACTTACAAATCAATTGGTCCCTCTAGCCTTATAAATAGTTGAAAAAGGAAACTCATGATGTTGCTTTCTACTCTACCTTCCTGCAAAGAATCCTTTCAGATTTTTCTTTTCTTTTCTTTTTGAGACGGATTCTTACTCTGTTGCCCAGGCTGGAGTGCAGTGGCACAATCTCTGCTCACTGCAAGCTCCGCCTCCCGGGTTCATGCCATTCTCCTGCCTCAGCCTCCTGAGTAGCTGGGACTACAGGCACCCACCACCATTCCTGGCTAATTTTTTGTATTTTTAAGAGAGACGGGGTTTCACCGCGTTAGCCAGGATGGTATTGATCTCCTGACCTCATGATCCGCCCGCCTCAGCCTCCCAAAGTGCTGGGATTACAGGTATGAGCCACCGTGCCCGGCAGCAGATTTTTCTATTTCTGTTAAAAATACTGCCTTTATTTCATTTTTCCACTTGGAAATTAAAGTTTTCCCCCCCAGTTCTAATATTCTATGTCTGTGTCTATGTTTATGTTCAGCTCTTCTTCCATAAGCTCTACATCGAACTCCCTAAATTTGATTCATTCATCCTTTACAAATTTTTTCCCCAATCCCTACCTCCTTCCCCCTCCCATGTTAATTAAGAAGCTTAACTTCTCATTCCCAAACAATAGGATTAGCCTTCTAACTGGTTCAAGTGCCTCCAGTCTTGCTTGTTTTCTGTTTGGGATAGAGTGGATGTGGAGGAAGAGGGAATTCAAAAAGTGAAGGGTGCTTTCCATTGTCCTTATCTGTTTCATTCTCCCTGCAGCTTCTTCCTATTGTTTTAAAGATCAGTCATGCTCGGCGCAGTGGCTCATGCCTGTAATCCCAGCACTTTGGGAGGCCGATCATGGAGTCAGGAGTTTGGGGCGGATCACAAGGTTAAGAGTTTGAGAACAGCCTGACCGACATGGTGAAACGCCGTCTCTAATAAAAATACAAAAAAAATTAGCGGGGCATGGTGGTGCATGCCTGTAATCCCAGCTACTCAGGAGGCTGAGGCAGGAGAATCACTTCAACACAGGAGGTGGAGGTTGTAGTGAGCCAAGATCCTGCCACTGCACTCCAGCCTGGACGACAGAATGAGACTCTGTCTCAAAAAAAAAAAAAAAAGAAGATTAGTCATTTATCTTATCTTTCCTGCTGGATTACAACTCCTCAATCGTCAGGATATGTCTGATTGAGATCTGTTTACTTTACAACACTTAACACAATGCTTATACTTAGGTGCTTCATGAATAAACTCTAATCAGTAATATTCATGAATTTATTTTTAATATTAAGTCTGTATCTCAATAGTTGGCTGAATTCTCAACACCAATGTATCGTCCATTAAATTGTTTTAAATTCTTTCATCCTGTCTTCTCCCTTAGATCAAAGTATCCTGTTTAGATCTGAGGTGTAATCACTTTTGTGTCATTCAGTTGCACTTTCAGATATGCAGACTGTCTTACTTTAACTCCAAATTCTACATGGAACCTAAAACCAAACCACATAAACTATTGCATTCAAACAACCCAACTGAGAACTATTTCTTCTAAAGCCATTAAGAGTTTTCAATCATAAGTAAGCATGGCTAGGAAATTTAGAAAGTTTAAACTGAGAATCCAAAGTGTTTTAACTAATAAAACAAAAAAAGTAATATTGTCATCTCCCTATGTAGTTTTATTTTCTCCTAAATTTCATTTTCCTTCATCCTCCTATGGTTTGGATGTTTGTGTCCCCACTAAATTCATATGTTGCAATCATAAGCCCCAAGGTGACTGTATTAGAATGGGGGAATGCTTTGGGAGGTGATTAGGTCTTGAAGGTAGAGCCCACATCAATGGGATGAGTACCCTTATAAAAGAGGCCCAGGAGAGATCACATGTGAGGACACAGTGAGAAGGTACCATCTACAAACAAAGAAATGAGCCCTCACCAGACACTAAATCTGCTGGTGTCTTGATCTTGGACTTCCTAGCCTCAAGAACTGTGAGAAATAAATTTCTGTCATTTATAAGTTACTCAGTATATGGTATTTGTTGCAGCAGCCTGAATGTACTAAGACACATCCTTTTCCCCATTTCTCCTTTCTGAACTCTTTCTCCTAGTCAAAACTTAGGAAAGTACAATATTCAAAGTACAATCTCAACATCAACCAACTGACATGTCACAAGAGAGAATTCAAACAATGATATATTCATGAAATGTTTGTTGAAAAGTGTCATATCTGGAGAACCAAAGTAACATCTGAGTACTGCAGAAGAGATACGAACATCTGATCTGATAAGACCAGGTCTGATCCTGGAACTCCAGACTGGCTGGGAAGTGTCTGTCAAGGGCAACCAGAGACATTTAGAATGATCAGCCCCTTGGCTCCTGGCTTCTGAGTTGAGAGTGCATTGTGGCCCTCTGTCTCATCCATCCTCGGAATGCCAGTGTTCAATCAACAGACACTGTGGATTGAGATGAGAGGAATGTAGGACTCCAGGGACCTTGCACCTAGCCTGGTATTTGCCTCACCCAAGTACAGCTACTTATTGCAGTACCCTCAAAAGTACCTTGGTATTTCTATAAGGGAGAATAGCAATCCTGTGCTTCAGTTATTACATAAATAGTTGAATACATATGATATTTTCTTTTAAAAATGTAATCTCCTGAAGGGAAGACTCTGTATCTTACAACCATACTGTCCATATCCAACACATTTCAAATGATAATGAGATCATTATTGTTCCTGAAATAAATTATGATAGAAATCTATGAAGTGAGAGTTGCTCTCACCAGTAGGTGTCTCTGTTCGATCATGCTCTGCCCCTAACTTGCCCAGGGTTCTCCTGGAAATATTGATGTTACATAAAAGGCACCTTTTCTTTAGAAACTGTATATTTTATATAGAAGAGATAAAATAACTTATCTTTTTACTTATATTCACTTTAGCTCTGAGTTTGGCCTTGCTTCACAGAACTGGTTGCTGAAAATGTTGGAGTGCATTTTCAAGATAAACCCCCTTTCACCTTTTGGTACTTAAATTAGCTTTGTTGCTAAGCTTTATCTCACACAGATCAGAGGTGCATTTCTGAGCAAAACAGCAACAACTAAGCTTCTAGGTATGTGAAGCTGCTCAAAGGTAAAAATCTTTCTCCGAAACATTTATTCCCTTGCCCGTAAAATGAAGCCCTGGGTTGAGCATCCCTTGGGATAATCTCAGGTGTTAATTACTGAGTGATGGTATAGGTAACAGTTAAGTATGCAGCCTCTGGCTCCAGGCTATGTGGGTCCAAATCCTGGCACTGCCTCTCATTACCTGATTGATCTTCTTTGAGCTACTTACTCATTTTGCACTTCAGTTTCTTCATATATAAAAGGAGGATACTGATAATCCTAGTACTACATGATAAAGTTGTTGTAGAGGTTAAATTATCTAAACTGCTCAGAACACTGCAAGACATAATAGATTATATACATCTTTTACATATATAGGATATATAAACCCTATATATCATATTATATATTACTCATATATATATATATATATATATATATATGAATAAAAGCTAGTTACCACTTTGTATAGCTGAACTGAGGCACTAAGGTTACTGTAGGGAATATGTGCACCTTTTTTGTGACTTGTCTCATAAAGGCTATGAATGTTGGAATGGATGTAAATCTTGTGGCCTTTTCCCTGAAGTTAGTTATTTCATCCACCTCATGTATTTTCATAAGTGGAGAGCCGCCAGTCATCTTCTGAACACCTGAGAGGTTTTCCACTCCCCACAACACAGGAAACCCCTTTCCATGTGGAGTTGGGTTACACATTTTGGGTTGTTACAAACACAACTTCAGAAATGAAGACAGTGACATAAATTGGGAAGGAATCATGTGAAAATGACCCACATGAAGATGCACACAACTTTTGATGACAAAGCCCAGGAGCTAGCCTGGTTTTTTAAACAAGTTTGATTAGAATATAAAGTGAATGACGTGAGATATTTAATAGTGACAACTAAACACTTAAATTAATCAGCTCATGCCAGACTCTTAACCACATTTTAAGGTTGGTACCATTATTACCCTTGGTTGTAGAAGGGGAAACAGAAAGACAATGGTTAAGGTCCATGCACAGTGCTAAATACTTGACATGTGTTAGTTCCTGTTGTCCTTGCCTCTACCTACCAGGTGATACTGTTGTTCTCATTATACAAAACAGGAAACTGAGGCACAAAGAGATTAAGTAAATTGTCCATAGCTACTAGGTGGCCTAGCTGGGATTTGAACCCAGCCAGTCTGGCTCTAGAGATGGCCCTGTGAAAAGAAGGAATTAGTGCAGTAGTTCTCAAACTTGAGATGGCACAATAAGAATCACCCGCTGCAAGTCAGCCCATTGAGATGATGCTGAACATTGGAGACTACCATGACAGCTGGAAAGTCCTGGCTAAAAAGGCAGTGTTGGCCTTTTATTTGAAGGCCATAATGGGACCTGGCTCTAGTTTGATCAATGATGTCATGGTACAGTCTTGGCTAAAACGATTCATTTGGTGCCTCACTTCCCTTATCTGTTCAATGCTATTTCCAGGTGAAAGGCTTTGAATGGTGTGTGCCCCTGCACGCATGTGCATGTGTGTATAGGAGTGTGTGCTTCTCTGCATGTGTGTTCGGACAAATAAAGCTTGTTTCATTTGAGGGCAAAGGCCCTAACACAGATCATGTAAAATGTCCTCACAAAGATAAATGAATCCTGAGTACCAATCCCAAATCTGTGTGTTCTCTCTGATAGTGAAGGGAAGGCAAGGCTGCTTTCAAATCCACAAAAGTCATTGAGAAGACCCTGAAATGGGATCTAGTGATGCAGACTGTTGTCGGAATTCCTGCTCGATAGAGACCTTATAATGCTGTAAATGGGAAAATGAATTCTCCAAGTGAATACACATGCAATGCAGAAAATTGCTACTGATGCTATATAGAGTTTAATTCCTTTTCAAAAAAGCCTTGAGAACAGAATAAACACATTATACTTGGATGGTGTATTCAAGAAGTCTCCTCTATAGGAAATGACTTTAGGATTATTATTTTCCCTTTCCTTCAGCAGTGTCTGACAATGCACGATAAAGAACTAGAATGGAGCATCCAAATTCAGACCCTGAAGGTCTTTTTGTTATACTTCAAACCATGGCATGAGGCAAACTCAAATTTCAATCGTCAGAATACTCTTTTAACTTTGTTCTCATGCTCCTGCCCTGCAGTGTTTTTAATGAGAAGTATTTGCATATTAAATAGTGAGCCATATCTGGCAACTTCTCTCAACCTGTTATAATTTTGCTTTTATCCCTGCCCTTCTAATGAAACGCTTGTCTCAGGGGTCACTGATCCTAACTTGTCCCTGAATTCAATGTCACTTTACAGTCCTTACCTTTATTGACTCTTTGGTAGAATTTTACTCCACTGACCACTTCCAGTAGAGTTTCTTCAAGCCTCTCTTCCCTTGAATTCCATAATGCTATGGCACTCTCTTCATTTTCCTCTTACCTTCCTGGTTACTTTTCAATCTCTATTGTGTATGCCCTTTATGTATCCCTTCAATGTTGGTGTTTTTTTCTACACTCTTATCACCATTTCCTCCAGTGGTTCCTGGTATCGTCTATGCATTGGTGGTTCTCAAATCCACCTTTGATGGTTCTATGCATTGGTGGTTCTCAAATCTACATTTCCAGGGTAGATGACATTACTAATCCCACCAACACTATCCCACTACCGGCACTACCACCACTGCCACCAATAAAGATTGATTGAGGCTAAGTGCCTTACAAAGATTATTTCATTTATTTCTCTCAATAGCCTATGAAGTAGGTAACATTATTAACAGATTTTTATAATGAAGAAATTAAAGCTCAGAAAGGCTTAGCAATGTAATGTGTACAAGCCCACACAACTCATAAGCGACTTGAGCCTTGGTCTCCTCTGACGTGAAAGTCCACGTTGTTATGACTGTTGTATATGCCAACATGTGAGGACTACCAACAAGAGGAGTCACACAGATGATTGGGATCTCTCTCCTTAGCTCCAGATCTGTCAAGTCAAGTGGCAGCTGAATATTTCCCCTAAGATGTCCCATGGGTACTTTTCACTCAAACATACCTCAAATAGAATTCACCATCTTTCCTCTGGCACTAAATCTATTCCTCCTCCATGTGTCACAGCTTAGGGGAAGGTCCCACCATCCCGTAGTGATGCAAGCATCCTTGATTCCTCATCTCTTCTTCCCTTATCATCCAATCAGTCCCCAAAGCCCAACCAATCGACCTCTTAAATATCTCTCATACCTCCACATTACTCTTCATCCTTTTTGCCACTACCTGAGTGTGGGACTGCCATCATTTCCCCCCCAGATTCATGCCCAAACCTTGGAACTGTCTTTCCTCCCATTTCTTGCTCCTCGAGTACATCCACCATGTTGTAACCATCATCTCTTTAATACTCCCATCACCTCTAATCTTCCCATTGTTCTCACCATAAAGCTTGCACTCCTGACGTGGATTACAAGGCACTGTGTGATCTTGTCCTGCCGAACTCTACAGATTCTCCCTCACCTTTTGCCCCTGTGCCTTCCTGCCGCTCCTCTCCTCCACACCATGCTCCAGAATCCCTCTCCCTTCCTCTCACATGCAATGTTCTCTCTTGTCTGTGAGTTTTTGCATACTTTGGTCCCTTTGCCTGATGTGTTCTTCTTCCCCCTTCTCCCTTGATTAACTCTCCTCATTGGGTTGACATCTTAGAGCACATGTCCTGTGGGACCACGTGTCACCTGGGACACATGAGCTACACCAATGTGAGCCCACAGCTCTCTGTGCCTTCCCTATCAGAACACTTACCACATGGAGTTGCCCTGGATTATTTGCTGTTGTTTTTGGCTCATTAGTCTCTAAGGTTTGCAAGGACAGTGGCCATATCCACATCAATTAAAAAAAAATCCTTCTATCCCCAGGACTTGGTACATGACCAGTGCTTAATAAATATTGTTGACTGTCTGACTACACCTGGAATTCCAATCTTGCTGAAACTGTCTGAAAAATGGCTGGGAAGAAAAATAGCAACTTGTTACTCTGCTGTATGGCCACATGTGTCAAAACCAAGTTTGAATCAGCCCTTGGTTCAAGTCTATTTTTGTCATGTGGGTCCCCTGGGTCAGGGAGTTTCTGTAAGCCAGGCCCCACTCTATGGGAAGGAGATAATCTTTTAAAGGGTCTTCCTTGCAATGCTGATTACTCTTCCAAGGAAGCAGAGGGATGTGTGAGGTGCTCTGACTCAGCTCCTGCGCTCCTGCTGCTCTGCAGCTGTTGCCTTTGTCTAAACCACATCTCGTTGGCATCTTCTTTCCAACAAAATAATGTGAAAACACCTTAGCCAGGCTGTTTATAATTTTATCCCATACTTACCTTTCCAGTCTCATCTACTTTCCCTGCCCAGCTATGCTTCTTTTCCTATACTATGCTATGAGCTGTTGGAAGGAAGAAACTATGTTTCATTCATTGACCCATCCATTCATTCATCAAGTACTAATCAGTCCACCAATTAACTGAGCAGTATTGTGGGCCAGGTACTGGAATAAATAGGTGAACAAAATCAGACATGGCTCCTGTTCTAATGTTGGGGAGATAGATAATAGTAAAATAATCAATAAATGAGTTGATTTACAACTGAAATCAGTTCTATAAAGGAAACACTGAGGTTCTATGCAATAAACATGACCAACCTAAACTAGAAGGTCAGGGATGCTTCTGTGAGGAACTGATGCTTAAGATGAAGGAAAAGAAAGAGTTAAATTAAGTATAAAATGGGGAGAAAAGTTTATATTCCTTCATAGTTCAAAGATCTCTCCAGTGCATGCACAAAAGAGGAGCTCAATAAATATCTGCTGAAAGAATCAGGCAAGGTGAAAAAAAATACCCAAGAAAAAGTCAGTTTAGACATTTTCTTAGAGGAAGAATAACCAAACTATGCATACAATATGATTCAAAAGGTTGAAATTTTCAGGATGTGCCAGAAGAAGAGATAAATGGTCTTTGTTCAAGTGGAGGATGACAGTTCTTGTAGACAAGTGTACAGCTTTTTTCCTTAACTCAAAAAGGAAAAAATAAATTGGAAGTTAAATGTAAGAACTTATTAATTCAGGTTGTAAAACTTATTATATAACACTTAGGGTATATTAAGGCTATAAACTTCTAAATTTGTCCATTGGGTTCACAGACAGTAGGGAGGCCACCTTCAGCTACCTCTGACTCTAAATGACTAAACATAGGGACATAGAGGCAGAGAGAGAGTTACTGATGCTTTCGAGCCTACATTTGGCAAGGTCTGACTGCAGAAACTTTTAAACACAGCTTTGATTTTCTATTTGCAAACATTTTTGTGTTAGAGAATCCAAATATGTCTCTGTATTCCTTCTAGGTTGAATTCTCCTTTTAGGTTGCATGAAGCCTTTAGGGAGGGGCTTCAAGCAGTATCTGCTCTGCTGAGCATACCATGAGCCTTGGATTGACTTTATCTGTTCCATCCATCTTCTTCTTTGCATAGTGTACAGCTCTTCTTCTTCCTCTTCCTCTTCCTCCTCCTCCTTCTACTTTTAAATAGTTGTGTGTGCGTGTGAGTGTGGTTTTTTGTTTTTGTTTTTGTTTTTTGTTTTTTGAGATGGAGTCTTGCTCTGTCCCTAGGCTGGAGTGCAGTGGCATGATCTTGGCTCACTGCAACATCTGCTTCCTGGGTTCAAGTGATTTTCCTGCCTCAGACTCCCGAGTAGCTGGAACTACAGGCGTGTGCCACCATGCCCAGCTAATTTTTGTAATTTTAGTAGAGACGGGGTTTCACCATGTTGGCCAGGATGGTCTTGATCTCTTGACCTCGTGATCCACCTCCCTTGGCCTCCCAAAGTGCTGGGATTACAGGTGTGCGCCAACGTGCACAGCCTTAAATAGTTTTTAAAGGTTGCAACTTGGTTTTATTTATCAAGGATACTTCATGGTTGGTTAATTCTTCATAAATAAAAGTAGCAAGAAACACACACTTATCAGTAAGTACCTATTTTTACTTCCAAGCAAATAAACATTGATTTATTTCTCTGCTATTAATGGAAATGTTCTTATGGCAGTACTGATTGTACCACACCTAAGGTTAGAATATGAGGAGATACATCTTTGTAGTCATAGACACCCATGGTCTTAATTGCCCAGTGCGTCCTACAAGGACAGGTAATACAAGGTCACAACTGGTAGCTCTGCTGGCAAAACTGTGATATTTATAATGGAAAACTTAACATTAATTAGAAAGCAATCAAATGACAAGGCAGTCATTGCTGTCGGGAAAGATATATTTTAAAAAGTCAAAACATTGTGAGTCACTCTCTTACGATGCAATTCTCTATTTTGGCTCCACCACGTTAATTTGCAAACCAACTTCTACTCTAAGAGAGGAAATGATTTTTTACATAAAATCACCAAAGCAGCTTTCTTTCACCATATAGTTTAAATTTTACAGAGTATCTTTTAAACTATTTTTAAACCATTGAACACTTTGGTTGTAAAAGAAATGGAAATAAATACTTTTTTCAAAATTATAAATTCTCTTGTTTAATGTGAGCTAATCCCAGGACTGATGAAGGTGACCCAAACCTCTTCTGGAAGTGTTTTTGATACTAGCCAGAATCATAAGATCTATAGGGGACTGAAAAGCAAAAGATTCATTGGCTTCTTAAAATAGGAGTTTTAGATTAGAAACTATACATGGCTAAATAAATTAAACCATCAGAAATGAATTGTTTTTAGTGGAAAAGAGCAAAAGGCACAAGGCCTGGGTCTCACTTTGCTATGTATTTCTTCCTCCCCTAAAGCTTCCTTAAATATAGCAAACAGTTTTACTTATGTGCAAAAGCAAAGACTAAGATATTCATCTGAAAATGAAAATGGCAGCTTTCGAGCTGCTTGACAAATTAACAAAAATGTTGAGAAGAAGACAGAAAACCGAATTTTGGCTTACTTCAGATAATAGAGGAGAAAGTCTTATTCAGGGTGAATCCAATGGGTTTGGCTTGAAATTGTCCCTGCTATGGGCAGTGACCCTGAGGGATTCTAAACTCCTTCATGGGCACCCTTGATCTACATCCCAAACATCTTAGATGAATTCCTGATGGTCTGGTGGCATTTGGTAAGCATGGTCTACTGCATGAGTTCTGGATGGACTGAAATAATCAGTTTCCCCAACGTTCTTGGTGGGTTCAGAGTTAAAGTCAGGCTTTTGGAAAACACTGGGCATCTGACTGAAAGCCTTTTTGCTAGAAGGAAGCCTGCCTCTTACCCACAGCAGTTGAAGTGCTCTACTTGCTAACAGACAGTCAATGGCATTGCAATACTCGTGCTCCCCGACTATCAGAAACAAATGCCCACAGCAGAGGAAGGACTGCAGTCGGCTGCACCGAGTGACCCCTCCACCCTGCTTAAGTGCCATTACTCTTCTTGTACTGAAAGCTTTCTTCCTCATAAAATTGCCTCATGCCATTAAAATTCACTTAACTTTCTAACCCTCTTATAATTTTAGTGCACAAATATTTCTATAAAGTTCTGAATTTCATGTTTATTTTCTGCAATTGCACTTCCAAGTGTCTTTCCTTAAGTTCCATCTGAATGGCCAAACTGAAGTAGAGAGCTGTGGAATTCTGGGAACTGGGGATATTTTAGGTGGCCAGACTAAAGGGGCAAAAAGGACAGGAGAAAATCCTTGATAAAACTCTGTTAATTCAGCCTATGAGTACATTTCATCACTTGGCTCACTCAGTCTGCGGTGAGCTTTAAAAATATTCAATTACCTTCATTTTCAGAGGTCGAGCTTAGCTTCTAAGAGATTTTGATAAACTTTTAAAGACTTTGGTCCTTAGGTCATAACCATTTGATAGATAGGAGCAGGAACACTGAAGGTGAAGTCAGTACTTAGCAGGTGTTTCATGGTTAAAAGATCATCATGATCATCATCATTCTCCAGATCTTGTGGAAGAGTTCACTTATAGCTGTCTCTCATCCATCCATCCAGCTATACATCACCCAATACAAGGTACAAGGAACACAAAAGTGAATAAGACAAGGTTCCTGTTTCCTGGATACTGTATTCTTGTGCAAAGGATGGAGGGAAGAAGGGAAGAATGGAGGAGGGAAGGAGGCAAGTAAGGGCAGAGAGGGGTGGGGAGGCATTTGAGCAAGGGATGATAATATGGAGTAATAAATTTTCAAGTAGATGTTTATGTAAAGTGCTATGGGAACACTAATGAAGAAACATTTAAAAAAATAAAACGTTGTGCACATGTACCCTAAAACTTAAAGTATAATAAAAAAATTAAAAAAATAAAAAAACATTTAAACACCAAATCTACTTAGAGGCAACCACCTAAGCTAATTTAATTTGTATATATCTTTCTTTCTCTTGTCTAATTGTTAAATAATTTCTTTTTTGTTCTTTTTCTTTTTTAAAATGTCCAACTTTTAAGTTCAGGGGTACACGTGTGGGATGTGCAGGCTTGTCACATAGGTAAACATGTGCCATGGTAGTTTGCTGCACAGATCAACCCATCACCCAGGTATTAGTCCCAGCACCCACAAGTTATTCTTCCTGATCCTCTCCCTCCTTCTACCCCCTGTGTTAAAAAAATTTCAGGATGTCCAAATCTGTTTCAAAGTGCAGAGGAAAAATGGGGTGAAGTTAATATTATACAGAAAAGTGAATAACTTTCAAAGAGTCTAAAACGATCTATACACACTTTAAAAATCATGTAGCTATGCATCTGAATAATGCTATACTTATCTGTAAGCACATTGATGAAAGTGATTGGTGATGCAGCCAACTTCTATATACAAGAGTAAGGCATTTAGATAAAGATAGTAATAGATGAAAATAGAAAAAAGATGGTATAAAAATAAAAAACGAGAAAGGAAAATGTTTCAATTACTCTACTTCTCAAACACCTTTAAAAAATAACCCAGAGATCTATTTTTACTTATACTACTCAAATGGGAGTAAGGCAGCTTTGGACTGTGGTTATTTGTTTATATTTCTGCACGGTTTTATCTCCCCTTTAGCATGGAGTCTCGTCAAGGGCAAAAAGTTGTGTCTTGTCCATTTAAGTACTCCATAAAATTAAGCTTTTTTGAATAAAGAAATATTTTTCCTTCTAAAACCTAGGTAATCCACCTAGAAGAAGTAGAAGGAGAAAGTTATATGTTATTGACATGATGAAAATGGAGGTATCTGGCTTCCTAGATGTCCATCTTTCATGGGAAAGAACATCTTTCCGTAGATGACATTGGATTTAGAGTTATTGGAATATTTGAGAGGTTATTTCCAACAGCTTGAACCTCACTCTCTGGCCAGGAACTGGCATAATTTCCCTTAAGTCATTTATTTTATTTATTTATTTATTTTTGAGCCAAGGTCTCACTCTGTCACCCAGGCTGGGGTGCACTGGCACAATCATAGCTCACTGCAGCCTTGACCTCCTGGGCTCAAGAGATCCTCCTGCCTTAGCCTCTCCAGTAGCTAGAACTACAGGCATGCACCATCATGTCCAGCCAGTTGAATTCTTAGGTTGTCCAGCCAGCGACAGACAAGAGTTGGAGCACAAATGCCCCAGCTTCCTTCCTTGTGTGGGTGGTCAATTCTGACCTCCACCTACCAGCAGTCCCTGCCAGGACTCAACCTCAAACACCCACAGTAAAGACCTGGTCCTCAACACACCCAGTATCAGGCTCTTTCCCTTCGCTAATCACCTACTAGTGCTACCAGGGATCACCTCTCAAATAAACCACTTGTCCTCACATCTTTGTTTCAGGATCTGTTCCTGGGACAACTCAAGAGTTTCAGTGTTTGCCTTCAAAACAATCTTAAACAAAAAGAACTTCAGACTAGATGGGTGAATACAACTAGAATGTTTACTTTCTGAATTACTTCAAATTCCGTACTCAAAGAAACTCAAAGTTTAGAATTAGAAATAAAATAGAGGTTATCCAGAACCACCCTTATTTCTGAAGATAAATCAGTAAGAGCTTTGAATAAGGTTACAGGTAGTGAGTAGCAAATCTGGGACCAAATCTCTGATTTCCCATCTTATTGTTTAGACATTTTTCCACTATATATTTCTTCACAGATGGAGGAAAAATAAGATGCAGGGAAAGAAATATGCCAATTTTCCTTACTAGTCAACTGTCAGACAAAATCACAGAACAAGTCAGTAATACTATCTTGAATACTAAAAGTAGATATCACTAATATCCTTAAGTCATATTATCTCCTAAAAGCTGAATAAGTCCCTCCTACAGCAATTGGATTACTCATTCAGTTGTTCATTTAATGATTATTTTATGAACTTCAGCTACAGATTAGGCAATAGGCCTTATCAGAGTGAAATAATAGACATTTTCTCCATTGATAAAATATTTGGTCAAATCTAGCTCAAACCCCAGGAGAGTTCAATATCCATGTAGCATACCCTTCTAATGCCCTAGCATTTCAGTTTCTGAACCTTCTTAACTTGAATTACCTCCCAATTCATCTGTCCACATCCATTTCCCCACCAGGACCCTGCTATGACCTGGCACTACTCCAGATCTGAAATCTCAAACTCTAAAACTCCATCCTCTGATCACAGCTTCATATCTCTCTGGCTTTCCCTTCACTCTCCATCCACAACACCTATCTTTGGCTCTTCATCATGGTCCTTTGTTCCTTAAGTCCTTTCTATTTAGGCCCTTTTAGCTTCATTTCCTTCTTCATTCAGTCTAGACTCCATTGTTTTGCCAACACTTCAATTTCATTACACCCTTGTCTATGTGCCACCCCCACCTTGCCATAGATTAATCTAACCATTTGTCATTTTTAAGTCCTATACTTGGTCCATGGACCACTGCTGAAGAAATTTGCCCTACCATGCTGACTAACGTTAGGAAAATCTCAAAGAACAGAGTCTTGGCTGAGCCCTTCACATTACTGAATGGTCCTGTCTCACTTGTTGAGTACTTCCCTTTTCTGCTATAACTTCCCTGCTCTCCTCAAGACATCAGCTCAAACCTATCTCCTCTATTCACTGGTGACATTGTTTTCTACTTCAACAGAAAACAAAGCACCAGGCTTAAAGTAGCTCAAATTCCTACCCTGCTTCTCCAATATAAAATTATCTGCATTTGATGGTCATTGCTGATGGGAATGCAAAATAGTGCAGCCTCCACAGAAGGGAGTTTGGCAGCATCCAGCAAAAGTGCATATACCTTGACTCAGCAAACCCACTTCTAGGAATCTAACCCAGAGATAAAATGGCAAACACACACACAAGCCTATTAATTCTAGCACTGTTGTGAGAAGAAAAGATTGTAAATGACCCAAATGTTTTTCAGGACCATAAACTATGGCTCATCCAAAATGGAGCACTGTGCAGCTGTACAAAAGAAATTAGGATCTTCATAGATTATAGTGGAGTGATCTTTGGTATTCACTAAGTGAAAAAAGCAAGGTATAGAAGAAAGTCATAATGTACTGCTTTTGGTGCAGAAAAGGTGGTAAAAATATGAATCTATATACATTCTTTTTTATATTTTCAAAAGGAATAATGTGTAGCTCTTTGACTCTTACATATTGACTACTGCCTGGATATCCCAAGGCAGGGTTTCGTCTCTTTATTTGAAACCCTGCTACTGTTTCTTGCCAGTCACTGCTAAAATGTGCCCAACATTGTTACTGCCCTCAGATAGTCTGCCACCTCCCCCTCACTGTACTGTTAGAGTCATCTCCTGCAGTAAGTCTATGCCTCCCACTGGATCCCAGCTTGCTATTCTTCCTTGCCTGGCTGGTGGTGTTCCCACGGGTCTCTGGCCTGCTGCTTCCAGAGTGGAGGAGTGCAGAGGGCCCAAATCATGAAATAATGATGGTTTCAAAAGCTACCACGTCTTTGCTATTGTGAATAGTGCTGCAGTGAACCTGAGTGTGTGTGTATTTTGGTAGAATGATTTATTTGGGTATATACCCAGTAATAAGATTGCTGGGTCAATTGGTAGCTCTGTTTTAAGCTCTTTGAGAAACTTTCAAACTGCTTTCCACAGAGACTGAACCAATTACATTCCTACCAATGTTGTATAAGTGTTCCTTTTTCTCTTCAGCCTTCCTAATATTGGTTAATATTTGACTTTTTAATAATATCCACTCTGACTGGTGTGAGACGGTATCTCACTGTAGTTTTTATTTGAATTTCTCAGATGATTAGTAATGATGAGCATTCTTCATGTTTGTTGGACACTTGTATGTCTTCTTTTGAGAAGTGCCTGTTCATGTCTTTTGCCCATTTTTTATGGGCTATTTGTTTTTTGCTTATTGATTTTGTTTAAGATCCTCATAGATTCTGGGTATTAGATCTTTGTCAGATGCATAGTTTGTGAATATCTTCTCCCATTCTGTATGTTGCCTGTTTATTCTGCTGATAGTTTCTTTTGCTGTGCTGAAGCTCTTTAGTTTAATTAAGTTCCACATGTCAATTTTTGTTTATGTCACAATTGCTTTTGGGGACTTAGCCAAAAATTCTTTGCCAAGGCTGACATTGAGAGGGGTATTTCCTGGGTTTTCTCTTAGGATTTTTATTGTTTGAGTTCTTACACTTAAACCTTTAATCCATATTGAGCTAATTTATATAAATGATGACAGTTTGGGGTCCAGTTTTATTCTTCTGCATATGGCTAGTCAGTTATCCCTGAAACATTTATTGAATAGGGAGTTCTTTCCTTATTTCTTGTTTTTGTCAGCTTTGTCAAAGTCAGATGTTTGTAAGTATGTAGCTTTACTTCTGGGATCTCTATTCTGTTCCATTGTTCTATGTGTCTGTTTTTGTATCAGACCCTGCTGTTTTGATTACTGCAGCCTTGTAGTATAGTTTGAAGTCAGGTAGCATGATGCCTCTGGCTTTGTTCTTTTTGCTTAGGATTGCTTTGGCTATTCAGGCTGTTTTTGTTTTGTTTTGTTTTGAGATGGGGTCTCACTATGTTGCCCAAGCTGGTCTTGAACTTCTGGGTTCAAGTGATCCTCCTGCCTTGGCCTCCCAAAATGCTGGGATTACAAGCATGACCCATGACAACTGGCCTGTTTTCTGGCTTCATATGAAATTTTAGAATACTTTTTTCTAATTCTGTGAAAAATGATGTTGGTAGTGTGAGAGGAATATCATTGAATCTATAAACTGCTTTGGGCAGTGTGGCGCCCAATCTATGAGGATGGGATGTTTTTCCATTTATTTATGTGATCTCTGATTTATTTCAGCAGTGTTTTGTAGTTCTCCTTGTAGAGATCTTTCACCTCCTTTAGTTAGCTATATTCCTAGGTATTTCAATTCTTTTGTGGCTATTGTAAATGGGATTGTGTTCTTGATTTGACTCTCAGCTTGAATGTTTTTGGTGTATAGAAATGCTACTGATTTTTGTACATTGATTTGATATCCTGAAACTTTACTAAAGTCATTTATCAGTTTTGGGAGCTTTTGGTTAGTCTTTAGGGTTTTCCAGACATAAAATCATATTTTCAGTGAAGGGAGATAGTTGGACTTCCTTTTCTATTTGGATGACTTTTATTTCTTTCTCTTGCCTGATTGCTCTGGCTAGGACTTCCAGTACTATGTTGAATAGGAGTGGTGAGAGTGGCCATCATTCCCCTCAAGGGGAATGATTCCATCTTTTGCTCATTCAGTGTGATGTTGGCTGTGGGCTTGTTATAGATGGCTCTTATTATTTTGAAGTATATTCCTTTGATGCCTCGTCTGTTGAGGGTTTTTATCATGAAGGGATATTGGGTTTTATTGAAGGCTTTTTCTGTGACTACTGAGGTGATAATATGGTTTTTGCTTTGAATTCTGCTTAAGTAGTGAATCACGTTTATTGATTTGCATATGTTGAACCTGCCTTGCATCCCAGGATTAAAGCCTAGGTGCCCATCAATGGTGGATTGGATAAGGAAAATGTGGTACATATACACCACAGAATACTATACAGCCATACAAAATGAAATCACGTCCCTTGCAGTGAAATGGATGAAGCTAGAGGCCATAATTCTAAGCCAAATAAAGCAGGAAATGGAAAACCAAATACTGCATATTCTCACAAGTGGGAGCTAAACATTGGGTACCATGGACATAAAGATGGGGACAATGGAAACAACAGACACTGTGGAGTACTTGGTTGAGAAACTACCTATTGGGTACTATGTTCACTACCTGGATGATGGAATCCATACCACAAACCTCAGCATCATGTAATATACCCATGTAACAAACCTGCACATGTAGCCCCAGTATCTAAGATAAAAGTTGAAATTAAAAAATAAAAAAGTACATTTCTAGGAAGCTCAACAAAGTTGGAAAGGAATAGGAAAGAGCAAGGGAAACTTCTGGCTTGGTTTGATAAGGGCCCTGGCTTGACTTCAATACATTTGGTAAGTATATTTTAAGCCAATGTTGCTTTGGCCTCTAATGCAGTCCAGGGACTATTTCAGACAAAATAAGTGGTCAGCTTTCCAATGTTTTTTTTTCTTTTTTTAAATTATATTTTAAGTTTAGGGTACATGTACACAACGTGCAGGTTAGTTACATACGTATACATGTGCCATGTTGGTGTGCTGCACCCATTAATTCATCATTTAACATTAGGTATATCTCCTAATGCTATCCCTCCCCCCTTCCCCTACCCCACAAAAGGCCCCGGTGTGTGATGTTCCCCTTCCTGTGTCCATGTGTTCTCATTGTTCAATTCCCACCTATGGTCAGCTTTCCAATGTTAAAGGTGTTCAATGTTTCCAAAGGAATTCTCCTCAATTCTCTCCATATATGTCAGTCCTTGTTAGACATGCGAATCCTCCTGAATTCCATAGAGAAATGAATCCCCATTAAAAAACAGACTTTGAAGTATGAAACAAAAGACAGATAATCCATTTCCCAGGGTTCAAGGGCTGCTTTTGGAAAGCCCAAGAAATCCATTAAAAGCTAGAGGTATCAGAGGTGTGCCTTTGAAGCTCACAGGCTTTGTCACTACCTAGGGTACCTCTGTCCCTCCAAGAGGGTCTGTGACAGTTTTCTCCAAGATGTACCCTCCATATCTGAGAACAGGGTGCACCCAAGAAGTCAAAATTGCAAATGAAGAACAAAGTGTCAAGGTAAAAATTTCTCTTATGGATGAGAATTTATATTGATTTCCCACATTTAGGATTCATTTAAAACAGCCATCCCTCCTCCCCAAGCAATAGTGCTTTCAAAGGTATGATCAAAACAGCCCAAATGCGGGGGCATGCTGGAAACAGAAGTTATGAATTAACGAATTTGGGACAAATAGACAACGTAAATTATTTGGATCAAACCCTAAGCTTCAGTTTTGCATGGCTGTATCGTTCTGGTCATGGAGCTAATTTTAAATGATTAGCTGCTATCATCTTTTAAATAGGTTCCTAAATAAAACACTTAATTTTGATCTATGATTACACAGATTACACATGCAAAACAAGGAGAGGGCATTGAAATATTCAGTGTATAATTAAAACTGAAGATGATTTATATTTCAAATATCTTAGTGGCAAAACTTGGTTTTCTGAATTTGATGTTCAGGTAATTTCTCATATTCTCTACTATCCTGCTAAACTGGATGAGTTAGGATCTGGAGGCTTAATTACTCAGTTTTATTGTGCATACGAAACAGGTAAATTAGATAATTTTTTTATTTTCACTTGATTTTGTATTATTTTATTAGTTTTCTATTATCTACAGAGTAAAATTCAACAAAAATTTAGGGTGGCCACTATATTCTAGGTGTAAGGGATTAGACAAAATTAATAAGGTGTGGTCTCAGTCACACTATAGGGGCATGCACAGGAAAGATCAAGGCAATTTCCTACATTGTAATGATGGAATAAAAAAAGTTCCATCTGGAATTGTCTAGAATCTAGAAAATGCATTTATGTTACATAAGTCTATGCATTTGCAAGCACAACCCTAGTCTGTATTTTCCATAAGACTATTCCAATTTACTAGTTCATAACAACAACAACAACAAAAAGCAATTCAAAAATGCTCTTTTGGGGTACATAGATATTGACAATGAGAGTGAAAATAAAGTTTCTGATTTTGATGTCTTTTGATGTCTTTGTTAGGCTTGAAGATATGAATGACTCATTTCTTGACTTTTTCTTCCTAGTGACAGAGCCTAGATGTAGAAGAACCCTCCATTAAGATGGTATATGAAAATCAGTCATTTTGAAAAAGCACAGTGAGAAAGGGAATTTCTGAGTTTTAAATACAATGTTTTTTTTGAAATATCTTCTGGATCATTGAAATTAGTGTATTTGATCTAACAATTTAGCACTAAGAAGCCTGATATTTGCTGCTGGCAAAATTAGATATATTAGGATAACCTTTGTATATTTACACAGACACATATCTGCACAAATGTTTAAATGCAGTAGTTTCTCACATAAGCATAAAGATTCATACATAATTATGAATCTGAAAAGGAGACTTTGCTCAACCTTTCTGCTATAATTTGAACGTTTCATTTACTAATTCATGAAATATCATTTAGTGTTGGCCTTATGAAAGATACTGTGCTCATAGCCATGTGGAAACAAAGGTGAAAGGTACATGTTGCATTTGCCCAAAGGAAGGAGAAAATTTAGAGAGGGACAAATGCCAAATCCACAATAATTCCCAGTGTAAGGAAACCAGGTGATGGTATCCTCCTCTAACTTATATAACAGATAAACAGTGACCTTGTGGACTTTCTGGAAGAGGGACTGGCTGAAACTTGTCATTAGAGTTAAGCTTATTAAATATCAATAGCCACTTGAGAGGATTTCCTGAGCTAACTTTCTTTTAGTCTGGAACATTCAGCAAAACAAAACTCTGCCAGAGTATAGATAATGCTTCATCATAACTCCTCTCAAAGTTTACAGAAACTTATTTTGGAAACTTGAAAAAAATAAAGGCTCAAGGATATTATGCCTTGCAAATTTTATGAGCTGTAAATAACAACTTAAATAGTTATAAAATATAGACTTTTAAAATTAGGAACAAAATCTATCCCTAATCAGTAGTCATATTAATTAACCTAAATATTTTTTAATTTCTACAGAAATCAATCAAAAACATCCCTGTACCCTGTACTAATTTAGTCAGGCTGCTGGTCTTGAATATTGGTCTTAAAAGCGTTAAGAGTTTTGTTTTGTCTTACCCTCTGCAGAAGGTAAGGTGTTCTATCACAGGTTTTATGGACAAAGATTTGCCTCTTTTATGAAACCCTGAGCCTGTGACTTTATGTTCGTCTCTCATCCTCACCTCTTGCACTTTCTAATTTACTCCATGACATGCAACTTTATTCTGTTGCATTTGTTCCCTATTGCTGCTGTAACAAATTATCACTAATGTAGTGACTTACACAGCACAGATTTATTATCTGGCAGTTCTGTAGCTGAAAAGTCTGACATGGATCTCACTGAGCTAAAACTAAGGCATCCTGACAAGGCTGTGTTCCTTTTAGGAGGCTCTAGGAGACAATCCATTTCCTTGCTCTTTCCAGCTTACTTAGGTCATGCTCCCCTTCTTCCACCTTCAAAGGCAGCAACACTGCATTGCTCTATGCCTTTCTTCCATAACTCCATCTTTCTACAGCTGTCTGCTGACTCTCTCTCCCACTTTCAAGCACCCTTGTGATTACCTGGGGCCCACCTGGATAATCCAGGATAATCTCCCTATTTTAAGGTCAGCTAATCAGCACCTTAATTCCCTTCACAATCATAATTCCTTTCTGCCATATGACATAACCTATTGACATGTCCTGGGAATTAGGATATGGACATCTTTAGGGGAACATCATTCTGCCTCTCTCATCTGTCATTATAGATGCCTAATAAGTATCATTCTGTTGTGTTCACTGATTGTTTTGTGACTGTTGATCCATTTTCCCAACCATTTTCTAAGGGCCTTAGGGGGAGGGTCCAGTGGATCACAGGAATATTTATGATCTCAGTCCCTGCACTTAAGGGATCTAGGGAAACAACATGAAAATTCTCACCTGATTACTTAACAATACTTTTCAAACATCCCTCCCTTCCATCTGGGGTCTATCTATCCCCATCATGTCTGTGTTCTCACTGAATGTCCAGATGGTCTAAAATATGCAATGCAAACCTATTGTAAAGTGAAATTACAATTCCCGAAAAGAGGCAGGATTTTATGAACTTATGGAAGGTGATGGAGAACTGCTTAAATCACATGTAAAGCTATTGGGAAATGGAGTTTAGACCAGTCAACATCCAAACAGGATGAATTGGGAAGGATGTTGCTGCCCTGGACACCTCACAAGAGAGGCCTTGGAAAGATTGATGAAGGTTTCAAATGTGGGTCACGCTGCAAGGGGAAAAGTGAAGCCAGGAGGTGATATGATGTCATGCAATCTAATGTAATCAACACACAATTCATTGTCTTTATTCTAAGAATTAATGCATAGTTATGATTCTAACTTAAACTTTTAAAACTTAAAGAATATATAAATTGAATCGCATCCCTCATCTTAAAACCCTCCAAGGGCTTCCTCTCACATTTAGAATAAAATGCAAATCCTTTGTTCTGGCCTGTAAAGCCCCACATGGCCTTGTGCCTCCACCCTCTCTGACCTCATCTCCTTCCCCCTCCACCTTGACCAGTGATCACCAGCTACACAGCCCTCCTGCTGAGCTCCACCCTTAGGGCCTTTGCACTACTCCACCTTTACGGTCTTTGTATTAGTTTGTCCCTACACCTGCAATGTTCTTCCTGCACACTGTTGCATTGCTGGCTCCTCCTTGTCATTTGGATCTCAGGTTACATGCTCAAGTGAGACCTTCATCATTCACCTACCCCAATCCCTTACTTGAATTCCTGGCATAGTATTTATCACTTTGAGACTTTTCTTGTAACTAGGTAATTTGCTCCAAAAGAGCAAAGAAAGTATCACTGTGGCTCACTGTTGTGTCCTCTGTGCCCAGAACAGTGCTTGGCAGAGGGTAGGGGCTCAATAATTAGGGATGGCATGAAAGAATGGACAACTGGATTTACACATGACTTTATTATTGTGTTATTTTTGATGGCACACCCCTGGGTTCAAACCTAATTTTACATTGTCATGAAATTTGCTCTGTTCTCTGTGAACATTTCTGTTCACTGGCTATGTAGCAAATCAATTCAATCAAAACATTTGGCTTTTAAGTTTGGATAACAACAAACATCTGTGTTGAAAAAAGAAACTGGCTAGTCATTTTGGTGTGTATAGATACTATCTAAGCCTCAACATTTTTTCTTGTGTTATCTGCTAAGGGGCCAAAAAAAGATGGGATAATAGTAATGAGTTGTTTTAATCTTAGTTGCTTCAACTAATTTTGATAAGCACTATACATGGAGATTGAATATGGTGATGCACATATAAAAATACTTCACACAGCTCATTTAGTGCTATTATTTTGTGGAAGGTATTATGGTTAAATTTTAGCTCTTAATTTTGCTTACTAAACATGGAAGTTTTTTTTATTAAAATAGGTAGAAGTCCCAGAAATGCAAATACAATAACTAAAAGTAAGAAATGCATAAAATCTAAGTTATAAAATACTTGACAGAGTTGGAAAGAACAAATCAAAAATATAGTTTTTGCCCCATGTTGAAATAAAAAATAATAAATTTACTGTAATAGGACTTGGGACATGAAATGTATTTATCATGCCCAGAGAGCAAACTGACGAGTGTGATTTTTTTTTAATAAGCAGAATAAATATCAGGGCAGGTAACTCTATCACAAAAGCAAACAAAATCTCTTCATAAATAGCAAATCATATACCATGCCATGGCCATCTAGTTTTTTTTTTTTTTTAATCAACTTGCATCAACCTCCTTCCTTTTACCAGTCCTCAGATCTAAATCACACATATTCACTATCCTAAGGTCAAAGCAAATTTTCTCACTGTGCAGTAGTCCAGGACAAAATCATTAAATATTCCCAAGGGTTGATCAGCTGACACTGCAAAGCTCATAGTTTCTGAAGTGAAATGTTATCATGGCCATTTCCTTAAGTACATTTGCTGCTTTTAGAAATAATTTTGCATACTTATTTGAACAATAATTTAATTTACAACCTAATGGCTGTATGTCCAGAGCTATAGGATGGTGGAAAATTTTCCCTGGGTAACAGTTTTCATAGAGGATTTAGAAAAAAATAAACAAGAATTAAGGTATGGAATTTAGGATAAGAAGTAGTATAGGAGAAGGAAACGGGCTTAAGCTTGGGAGTCTCATAGATGGGTTTGAATTCTGGTCGTGCCAGTTTGCAGGGACATAAACTTTGAGCAAGCTGTGTAAACTTCAGGAGCCTCAGTTTCCTCATCTACAAAATATGGATGGTCTGTAAACTTTTCAGGCTGCTGAGGGTTCAAGGAAGTGATTTCCATGAAACATGTGGCATGTGCCGGATGCCTAGCAAATTACCCTGGATTAACTGAGAAGAGCCAGTTTTCCCATGTCAAAAATGGGAAAAAAGGATGAAGTAGGCTTAGATGTTTTAATTTACCGAAGAGGTCATTTTTGACTTTCTGTGGGTAGTGGCCCAACTGGAAGCTCCTTCCTGCCACATTTCGTGACTTGGAACCCTTCCTAAGGTCACTGCTTCTGGGGCTGCCTTCCACACACACAGACCTTGTTATCTCCCCCTTCTTACATGGGTAGTGAGATCACTACCCCTCAGGAATCAAATAGTGAGAGCCCAGTATGGGGAATATACTAATTTTGAACCAATCCTCAGTGGGAGAGGGGTTTAAAATGAAGAACCTAATACAGCTCAGGGAGAAACTTCAGATTTCCTCTCCTGCTGTTTTGTGTGCGCATTAACAATGAAATGGAGCAAAACTGAGGGTGTTGAAACAATATCTTCGGCTTCCCTCCATCCTTTAACCCACTTTCCTTCAAGCTGCTCTGGCTTCTCAGACCTGTGACCACCTGCCAGGCTCCCAAATTCTCTCCCCTCCACTTGGAGCCTATCAAAATCCCATGTGACCAGTCATCCATCAAAAGGATGACATTTGATTAAATTATTCACACCAAGGAATAATGGTTGGTAGAAAGTGGGATGTGTTAATTCCTGAGGGATTATTTTTCTAATTTAAAAGGAAAAAAAATCTCTAGGTACTTTTGGCCAAAGCATCCCTTTAGATTAGCCTGAAGCATCATCCCCTCTATCTGGATGATAACCAGCTTTGGTTAAGTCTCAGAAAATGTTCTATAATACAAAGATTTATGAACTATGAGTGAATGAAGTCATCCATTTAGTAATTTCTTCATCGAAGTTCTGTCTGCAGTTTAGGTGTTGTACTTAAGTGCCAAAATGGATCACAAGACACCAGGGTGCCTAAATTTTTGGTGTTGGCTTTCTTGATACTACATTGGAAAGGATGTGATTCTTTTGTAATTTAAGCTGAATGGTTACCATTTCAGAGAACTGCCTCATATGACCCTGGTCCATTCCTAATTGTATAAGCATGTCCTTTTGCTATTAATCCCTCCTAAGTCTTGCTACATAAGCATGTAAAATAATTTTGAAGACAGTGGTGGAGCTTTATGGAACGCATCCTGCATAACCCACAACTATACTGTACATTGAAGTGGTAAATGTTACCATCTCCAGCTCTAATCTGGGCTGCTTCTACCATTGCTGCCTCCTGATGATATATGACCACAATCTTTACAGTGCCAAGAAAACATATTTATTTTACATTAAAAATATGTAAGCAGCATGTGGTTTTAGAACCATTAATATTTTTCTAACAAAACACAAAACTGGTGTTCCATCTCAATCGTTTTCAGAAATGACACTGTACCCTGGCACAATCTGAATGGAGAGGCAATGATCTTGGCCACTACCGCTGTTGAACTATGTGTCATTTGGATTCAGTCTTCGCTTATGTAACTTTACTGGTTCTAAGGACGATGGGGTTTGTGTTGAGGTTCTCACATGAGAGAACTACACTTGGTATTCCTTAGGATTCTCTAAGGCAGTCTTAAAATTTATGTAATAAGCCACCATTGTTGACAGTTTTCTGCCATGAATTGCAATCTACACTAAAGAGTCTCAATTTAAGTAGACAGTAACAGAACTACATCTATCGTTGTTTACAGTTACTAACGGGCAAAAGCAGTGGAACCAGTGAAACATAATGGACTTTGAGGTCTGGGGTGGCTCCTTCACTTCTTCCTGATGTTAGTACTACCTGACTTCTCTGAGCCTCAGTGATTTCATCTGGAAAACGGGGTTATAGTGGGGATTCAATAAAATAATGCCCCCTGTAGGCAATAAGAGTTCAAAGTTTATGCACATTTACTTTTTCCTCCATAAGGCAGGGTGCTGCTGGTTCTTGTGGTGACCACTGGGAACAGGTGAGGCAGTGTGATGGGACCGGGGAAGGGACCTGAGCCTCACAGGTCTGAAGAGCACTGTCTGAAGGCAGCTGCAGCTGATGTGCCATAGTCTTACTAAGACGGCATAGTATAAGCCTCTATTACTGAGGAACAAGGGGCTAATGTTGTTTTGTTCGGGGCTGAGACTTACTTGTATTGTGTCTGCAAAGCAGCAGAGTTCAATCTCCGCCTCTGCCACACCCTTTGTACTGCCACTCCCCACCCTCAACTAGACTTGAAAAGCTCCTTCAGTGCATGTCTTTTCATCTTTGTAGTTTTGGTGCCTGGTATTATTGGAAGAATATATGGAATGACTTCTAGATATTTGTATTTAGGTAGATGAATCATCTGCGGTCACTTTGTTATAGAGAATGTTATAGAACTGTAGAATCTGAATCAGATCCTTTGTCAGATGATTAAAGAACATGTTCTCCATCCTTCTTTTTTCTTTCCAAGCCCAGAAATAAAGATGAAAAAATAAGGCCGTGCATGTTGGCTCACGCCTGTAATCCTAGCACTTTGGGAGGCTAAGGTGGGTGGATCATTTGAGGTCAGGAGTTCAAGACCAGCCTGATGAAGCCCTGTCTCTACTAAAAATACAAAAATTTGCTGGGCATGCTGGCACATGCCTGTAATCCCAGCTACTTGGGAGGCAGAGGCAGGAGAATTGCTTGAACCCAGGAGATGGAGGTTGCAATGAGCCAAGATTGTACCACTGCACTCCAGATGGGCAACAAAGTGAGACTCCATATATATATATAAATGGAGTTTGGGTGCCAAGAGTTTTACATTTATTACTCCATTTTATTGATTGTTCAAGTGCATGTGTTCTTTTTTTCTTTTGAGACAGGGTCTCTGTCTTGCCCGGGCTGGAGTGCAGTAGTACGATCTTGGCTCACTGCAGCCTCCACCTCCCAGGCTCAAGTGATCCTTCTGCCTCAGCCTCCAGAGTGGCTGGGATTACAGGCATGCAGCACCATGCCTGGTGAAATTTTTATTTTTTGTAGAGTCAGGGTGTTATCATGTTGCCCAACCTGGTCTTGAACTCCTGGATGCAAGCAGTCCTCCCGCCTAAGCCTCCCAAAGTGCTGGCATTACAGGTATGAGCTACCGCATGTGGCTGTTGATATGTTTTGTTTGTTTTTGTTTTCATTAGGGAAATGTCTGTTTTCCTCATTGAGTGAGGCTGTGTGAAAACGTGCCTCTAGTTTAAATTCCTACCTTATCCTTTAATGCCCTGGGATCATAAGTTATTTAGCCTCAGTAAGTATGTCTTTTTAGCTGTAAAATGAAGATTTCTACATCCAGTGATGCTGGGAATAGTAACAGTGATGTGTTGCAAAGGGGTTTTCCAACCATGCAATGTGGTGCAATACCTGGTACCATGCAGCTATCACACTCCCTCTCCCCTAAGAAGCATGGGGTAATGCTTGTCACATGTTGGGAAAGTCCTTCAGAGAGTGTGCTCTCTACTGTGCCGAGCAGCTTCCAGGAGTAATCCAGAACATTTCCTTCAGGTGACAGATCCTGCAGTAGATTTTCCGAGTCCCAGAGTTAGTGTTATACAAACTGCAATTTGTGAATCCCAAATTTCATAAGAGCAGTAGCAGCAGCAGATGGCAAAAATACATTTCTAATTCATTTAAAATCTGCTCCAAGAAATGAGTTCTCCCTGTACTCTTTATACTGTTATTTTTCTATATGTCTCTTCTATGCCTTCTAAATAAAATAATTATGAAGGAGAGAGACTGGCTTATGTTCCCCTCTACTGAGAGGCAGCAGCAGTCTATATCCCATAGTTTTACTGGAGAATTGTGACATAAGCCTTTATTACTGAGAAACAAGGAGCTTAATTTTGCTGTTTTTCAAGTCAGGCTTTAATGATGGCAAAGTACTGAATATAATTTACCTTTATGTTTATGGAATGTTTTCTTATTTTAAAATGCATAGCTGTGTCAAAAACAATAGTCAGCCTGAGCCAAGGGCTTAAGAAATTTACTTCAGTCTTGTTTCTCCGAGAATTTTATGTACTAAAAGCAAAATTTTAATAGCTGCTTAAAAGTATCTTTTATAATTATGACTGTGATTATAGGGAGATTAGAAAATTAACTGACTGTGGCCATGTGCGGTGACTAACGTCTGTAATCCTAGCACTTTGGGAAGCTGCGGTGGGTGGATCTCTTGAGCCCAGGAGTTCGAGACCAGCCTGAGCAACATGGTGAAACCCTGTCTCTATAAAAAGAAAAAAGTACAAAAATTAACCCAGGGTGTGGTGGTGTGTGCTTGTAGTCCCACTACTCAAGAGGCTGTGGTGGGAGAATCACCTGAGGCCAGGAGGTCGAGGCTTCAGTAAGCTATGATTGCACCACTGCACTCCAGCCTGGGGGACAGAGTGAGAACCTGTCTCAAACAACAACAACAACAACAACAACAAACTGGCAATCAATCAAGAAATATTTATCAAGAGATGATTATGTGCAAAACACGATTAAAGCAGTAAGGCTCTTGCCTAAGGAGCTTAAAATCTTGGGGAGACAAGACACACAGGTGGTATAAGGCAGACTGTGTTTATTGGGTGTATCTTCCAAGTAACACCCTTTGGGGAGCCAGGGAATAGGCTGAAGAGGATTGCAATGGTGTGTTCACACCATCAGGCCTGTTCACATTCCAAGCTCCTTTCTGGGCAGAGAGAAAGTGTAGGGCCCTGGCTTCCATCTGGGGGTTTCAGAGCTGGAGTTGACTGAATGAGAAGAGTTGGGACAAGGTTGGGTTGGATCCCACCTGGGAATGGCAGGAACAAAAATCCGAGAGGCATAACTAGTTAGGTCAGAGAAATAAAGCACTTAGGAAAGTAGAGGCTTGAAATATCTCTGGGAACAAGAGTTTGCCTTGGAAGGAAGCCTTCTCCTGAGAAACTGTAGCTCCTCCTGTGTGTAGGGGGCCAGGATAAATCCATTGAGCCAGTTTACACAGTGGCTTTTGGTCAGAAGCCCTCTTCCTGTCTTCCTGTTCCTGGCTAGAGACTGGGCCCATCTTCTGATGAGCTCGTACAGAGTTTATCTGAAATTGGGCCATCCAAGAAAATCAGGAACCATGTCAGCTCCTCTCCTGTATAACTGGTTGGTACACTAAGTTTATTATGCATTTTGGTAAAGTTCCCTCTCTCTGTGCTTTTAGGTAATATTTTCCATCTTGCTTTAGTTTTTGGAAGGTTGGTCACTAAGTAGTCAAGATCCATTGCCCTCATGACCAACTTTCAGATGTAGAAAACTGTACAAGGTGTGATGTGGACTGCATTTGTATTAGACAAATAGGCCATTCTGGGATGGAATGAGGCATTTCTAATGCTGCGGCTTTATTTTAAGGTCTATACTCAGGATCTAACTCAGCTCCCTTACTTTATGGCTCAGAAAGCAGTTATAGAAAGTTCTCACTAAGCTGGCTTAAGGTGTCCTTAATTATCCCCTTTCACTAATACAGATCAACCATAAACAGAATATATCCTTTGTCCTAGAGAGTTTGGCACCCAGAAGCAAAATCCTTTTGGCATTGGGCAAATTCTCCTGGCCT
This sequence comes from Homo sapiens, assembly GCF_000001405.40. NCBI lineage: Eukaryota > Metazoa > Chordata > Mammalia > Primates > Hominidae > Homo > Homo sapiens. Next base: position 72,886,957 of record NC_000008.11, on the reverse strand, counting down.
GTGTCTCTCTAGCTGAGGGAACATGTGCCATCCCTTGAAAATTAGGGCCCAGCGATTGTTTAATGTGACCTTGGTTAAGCCTTCAGATTATTCTTTCGTCTCTCTTCAGTGCCACTGGATAGCTATTGATTAATATTTACTGAATGTTCACAATGTGCCAGCTGCCACTGCGATGCAAGAAGCTGATGATCTGTTTAAATCGCTACTATTTTGTTTGGCTGAAAGAGTCTGGACTGTGAACGTCATTGCCAGGGCAGCATCAGGGGAAATTACGTAGTGTCGAGGCCAGCTCTAGGCTTTGTGGGGATAAGCTGAATGAGCTCAGGGGTGCAAGTAGCTCTGTTCTCTTCCCCAAGGAACATGACTTGGAGAAAATATCTCTTTCTGAGCAGAGTGTAGATGGTGAGGACTGATGTTTCCCAGATAGAAAGATGCTTTATGTCTAACTCCTTGGGGGAGACAGAATGTCTAGGAAAGAAAGAGGAAATCTTTCTAAGTAGAACTTTTGGCTAGGAGCCAGAGGACTGTCACAAGAATGCCATGTTCTTTGTTCCCCTTTTTCTGTGTGGCTTGGCTTTCTTTTTAGTGTTTGGTAAAGAGAGAGAGACTGAGAGAGAACAGGTTTTAGGATAACAGAAATGTGATACGGGCTTTGAGAGAAACAAATCAACAGATTCTACAAGGTGACAATGCAGATCGGAGTAACAGGGAGGTGGGGAAGGCTGCAGGGTGCCCAGGTCAAGAGATGAGTGAAGAGGCTCACAGGCTGCCGTTGAAGTGAAGCACAGTAGTAGGTACACAGGATATCTAAAAAGCAATATGTTTTTAAACTGAGTTTGATCTAAACATCATCTTTAAATATATAAAGTTGAACAATTAAAATTATTTCTGATATAGGGAAAGATAATTTATGGGATACGAAGGTAGGGAATAACATGTTTTTTTCTTTTTTCTTCCAGAGCAGTTAGTTTAGAAGTCCTGGGGTTGAGGGATGGGGTTTGATGGCACTCAAAGCTGCAACATTGATATCTTTAGTCAGAATTAGAAAAATATCTTGGGAAACAGTAGAGTAAAATACCAGGAGACAGTCTTTATCGTAGCATATTCTACTTAAAATCATGAGTATTTAGAAATAGCCCTACATGCTATCTCAAAAATAAATTATAATTTCAAAATTGTAGCAGAAGAAATTACTATTCAGAGTTCAGCTTTGTGATGTCTAAATGAAAAAGGAAAAAGGCAGGAGAAAGAGGGAGGGAAGAGAGGTGGAGAAGTAGACACAGTAATAGAAATAATATAGAAATTAAAAGTGGATATAACTACTAATACTGTAGAAATTTAAAAAGTCCATAATATATTTTGATGCATACCCTTCTGCCAATGTTTAATACTAATATGAAATGTATAATTTCCTAGAAAATGATGACTTAAAAAATGACTTAAGGAGAAGTTAGGAATCTAAATATACCAACAACCATTAAATAAACTGAATCAGTAATCAAAAGGCTAAGCTTACCCAAAATACATAAAACTCAGATGCTTTTATATGTGATGCTTAACAAATCTTCAAGCAATAAGTAATCTCTTTATTGCATAATGTGTTTTAGAGGATAGAAAAAGAGAAAGCTACCTAACTCATCTGGCTAGTAGCTAAAAGTGAACAAGAAAGTACAATAAAGTTACAGACTATTCTCACTAATGAATATAATGAGATATTCCCAAGTAAAATATTAGTCAATTAGGTCAGTAGTATGTATGACCTAGGAATATTTAGTTAAGAATGCAAGCATAGTTTAATATTTTAAAATCTATTAATGAATATACTATAAAGGAGATTATGTCATAAACCATATATGATCATATCAATAGACACCAAAAATTTTGATAAAATTCAACACTCATTTAGGATTAAGAATTCTAACCAAAGTACAAATAAGAACTTCCTAATTTGCTAAAAGATATCTTTTTAAAATAAAATTGCATATTAATCTATAACTGTAATTCCAATTGAAATCCCAATAGAGATTCTTATGACACATGACAAGCTTATCTTAAAAGTCATTGGGAGGAGCAAAAGGTTAAAAAGAGCTAAGATACTTTGAAATACAAAAGATAGTGGGACTTGTCATTATTATGAAGTCTTGGTGACTAAGACATGTGATCTTGGTGTGGGATAGATTAAAAAGGACGAATGAAACAGAATAGAGTGCCTAAAACCAGTCGCAAACATACATGAAAATACATATAGGATAGAGGTGTTATTGCAGATAAGCATGGAAAAGATAAAGTCTTCAATAAAGATGGAAAATTATAAAGCCCTATTTCCCAACACACACAAATTCCAGAGGGATCAATGATTTAAATGTGAGAAGTGAAATTTGAAAACTTTTAGAAAATAATGCAGGAAAATATATTTATGACCTCAAAGTAGGGAGATGTTTCTTAAACAAGACATAAAAAGCATAAGCCATAAAGCAAGGTATTAACAAACTGGACTCCATTAAAATCAAAACTTCTGTAAAACAAAAGCTCCCACAACACATACACACACGTGCACACGCATACACAACCCACTCCCCTCCCCCGGCTAACACACACACACTGGGAGAAGTTATTTGTGATGCACAAAACCTTCAAATGATTGTTACTAGAATTAAAAAGCATGCTTACAAGTCAACATAAAGAAGACAACCCAAGAGAAAAAAAAAGGGGAAAATAAAGGAATAGACAATCTATGGTGTGAGAAATGCCCGTGGTCCACAAATACATGGAAAGATGCTCAAGCTCACTAGAAATCAAAAAACAAAAATTTAAACAATGACAAGATGTCATTTTATCCTCATATTGTCCCAAATTAGAAGCCTCGACAATGCCAAGTACTAGAAAAGAGAAAGAGGAATGAAAGCTTTCATATATTGCTGCTCAAAGAGCTAAAACAATACAATTATTTTGGAGAAGAATTGGCAACAAAATAAAGGTAAAAAAGTGCTGCAATTGTGATTTGCAATTCCACTTCTGGGTGTGTAAAGAGACCCGTACACATGTGTGTAGGGAGACAGATGTAGTAACATGCATCGCAGTGTTGTTGGTAACAGCAAAAAGTCAGAAACAATTTATATGTCCATCAAGAAAAGAAATATTAAAATCAGTCATGATGTGTTTCACAGTGGAACACTACGTAACGTTTCAAAATGGGCCTGTCAAATGGTTAAATCTAAAAAGTATATTTAAAATAATGCACAAAAAAGATAATTTAGGCTGCTGCTAACCTCTGGAAAGTTAAAGAGAATGGGATTGGGGAGGGATACTGGGGGGAGCTTCAGCTATCCTTATACACTACTGTTTTATTCCTTAGAAAAAAACAACCTAGAGCCATATGGCAAAGTGTTAGCTTCCAATAAAGCTGGGAAGTGGTTGGGTTATGCTATTCTCAGTTCTCTTCTATAGATCTGGAATAACTCCTAATAAATTGAAGTAAAGGGACAGCAACAAATGAGTTGCTTTTATACAACTGAAGTGAAATGCAGCAACAAATCCAGCAACAATGGGTCACTGAGTCAGCTGAGAGACTAAGACCATCCTTCCAGCCAGGTCAGTGGATAACTGAGGACAGCAGGAACCTCTGCAGAGACTGTAGTTACGCCGGGATAAGATGCTTGTTGGTGGCTGGCACACTATTAAATAACTGCCTCTAAGTTTCACCACATAGTTGTTTCATCTTCTTTTCAGGGCTTTCCTATTTTTAAAATCTGATGTTCTGAGATAAAGAAACATTTTTGTGCTTTGTAAACCTAGTGAAGTGGACCCTCCCCCAGCCATGTTCTCAACCATCTGGCCTTGCAGAGACTGGGAACCTGGCTTCGCATCATATTGTAAAAGCGTTGAGAACGTAAATGACTTCTGGGACCAGGAGGGTAAATAATCAGGATCCAGACATGGGCAGGTGTAGCCCCGGGAATGGAGGGGAAGTGGAAAGGGCCTGGAGAAGGCAGATAAAGAGGGAAGTGGCCACAACTTTAGCTGATTGTGGGCACATGGAAATGAGGCTGTGTCATCAGATTTTCCAATTCAGAGGGAGCCAGAAATTTGAATTCTTTTTAAAAATGTGAAATCTCCTGATTTTTAAATGCTTCAAGTAATTTGAACATATCTTAAAATAATATGTAGCACAAAACAACAACAAGAGCAACATGAAGCAAGCCTCTCCTGGATTTTTTTTTTCTTTTTCTTTTTCCTATTCATTCTATTTCTAGAGCTCCTTGAGGATTTCTGCTAGCAGACCATCATCTTGTTTCTCTGGCAGAGAAAGCACCAGCTGCTGGAATCCCACGACCGACTGGGTCTCACTACTGGCCCAGTTGCTAGGAACTTCAAGTGCAGAGCCGTAATGAAGACACACATTCTCTCTCTCTCTCTCTCTCTCTCTCTCTCTCTCTCAACTGTCAGCAGTTGGCATGGTCAAAAATAAAGCACAGACCTGACATGTCAGCTTTGTGAAATCCAAACGGGACCACTGAATGAGCTGGAAAGAGCCATGGCACTCACCGCGTGATGAACTGTGACCTCAATGTACACTCTCCCTTTTCTTCACAGTCTCCTCCCACTTCCTCACTTACTTGCATTCCAAGGGTAGCCCCTGAAGGCAGGTGAGTTTTTCCAGTTCCTTTATAACAGCTTACTGCAGATGGGGAAACCAAGGGCCAGAGTGGTATAGGCGGCCCATGAGTCACAACACTGCACTGTTTCACCCGAAAAACCACCCCCGTGTGGAGGTGCTGGTGGTATCTCAGGAATCTGATGAGTGCTTTGTCGGGCACAGGTGTGCCCTGAGGGTCTAAATAACACCTGATCACTTCAGTACATTTTTTTTTTTCCTGCTAAGGAGAGAAGATTGCAGAATCAGAAGAAAAAAATTAGAATTGGTACAGAACTGCTCTTATTTGCAGTTATAAAAAGGAACTGTACATTTTCCCAGCCTACCAAAATGATAACGCTGGGTTTTATTTTTGGAAAAAGTACTTTTCATCTTGTAAAAATTTAATGGCCTTTCAGTGACAGGGAAGTTCTGAGTGGTTTTCACTGGCTCTTTTCTGGCCGCAGCAGAAGGTGGATGCTACGGCTAGGACCTCCCCCTGCTTGAAGGGACAGCCAGGGAGAGGAAACACGCCCTCTGCATTGTCTGGGTGCTGCTGCTTCACAGATTGTGCCTGTACAACATTTTTTCTCTTCTTCCCTCTCTGAGCTAGAGGCAGGGCAGAGGTAGCCAGACCTTTAGAAAAGATTGCCAATATTAACATCTAACTTCTGATAGTACTTTTCTGTCTACAGATGTTTGAGTGCCTTAATTCCTTTATCTTTTAAGATTTGCAGGAGGAGCCAAGATGGCCGAATAGGAACAGCTCCGGTCTACAGCTCCCAGCGTGAGCGACGCAGAAGACGGTGATTTCTGCATTTCCATCTGAGGTACCGGGTTCATCTCACTAGGGAGTGCCAGACAGTGGGCGCAGGCCAGTGTGTGTGCGCACCGTGCGCGAGCCGAAGCAGGGCGAGGCATTGCCTCACCTGGGAAGCGCAAGGGGTCAGGGAGTTCCCTTTCTGAGTCAAAGAAAGGGGTGACGGTCGCACCTGGAAAATCGGGTCACTCCCACCCGAATATTGCGCTTTTCAGACCGGCTTAAGAAACGGCGCACCACGAGACTATATCCCACACCTGGCTCGGAGGGTCCTACGCCCACGGAATCTCGCTGATTGCTAGCACAGCAGTCTGAGATCAAACTGCAAGGCGGCAACGAGGCTGGGGGAGGGGCGCCCGCCATTGCCCAGGCTTGCTTAGGTAAACAAAGCAGCCGGGAAGCTTGAACTGGGTGGAGCCCACCACAGCTCAAGGAGGCCTGCCTGCCTCTGTAGGCTCCACCTCTGGGGGCAGGGCACAGACAAACAAAAAGACAGCAGTAACCTCTGCAGACTTAAGTGTCCCTGTCTGACAGCTTTGAAGAGAGCAGTGGTTCTCCCAGCACGCAGCTGGAGATCTGAGAACGGGCAGACAGACTGCCTCCTCAAGTGGGTCCCTGACTCCTGACCCCCGAGCAGCCTAACTGGGAGGCACCCCCCAGCAGGGGCACACTGACACCTCACACGGCAGGGTATTCCAACAGACCTGCAGCTGAGGGTCCTGTCTGTTAGAAGGAAAACTAACAACCAGAAAGGACATCTACACCGAAAACCCATCTGTACATCACCATCATCAAAGACCAAAAGTAGATAAAACCACAAAGATGGGGAAAAAACAGAACAGAAAAACTGGAAACTCTAAAACGCAGAGCGCCTCTCCTCCTCCAAAGGAACGCAGTTCCTCACCAGCAACAGAACAAAGCTGGATGGAGAATGATTTTGACGAGCTGAGAGAAGAAGGCTTCAGACGATCAAATTACTCTGAGCTACGGGAGGACATTCAAACCAAAGGCAAAGAAGTTGAAAACTTTGAAAAAAATTTAGAAGAATGTATAACTAGAATAACCAATACAGAGAAGTGCTTAAAGGAGCTGATGGAGCTGAAAACCAAGGCTCGAGAACTACGTGAAGAATGCAGAAGCCTCAGGAGCCGATGCGATCAACTGGAAGAAAGGGTATCAGCAATGGAAGATGAAATGAATGAAATGAAGCGAGAAGGGAAGTTTAGAGAAAAAAGAATAAAAAGAAATGAGCAAAGCCTCCAAGAAATATGGGACTATGTGAAAAGACCAAATCTACGTCTGATTGGTGTACCTGAAAGTGATGTGGAGAATGGAACCAAGTTGGAAAACACTCTGCAGGATATTATCCAGGAGAACTTCCCCAATCTAGCAAGGCAGGCCAACGTTCAGATTCAGGAAATACAGAGAACGCCACAAAGATACTCCTCGAGAAGAGCAACTCCAAGACACATAATTGTCAGATTCACCAAAGTTGAAATGAAGGAAAAAATGTTAAGGGCAGCCAGAGAGAAAGGTCGGGTTACCCTCAAAGGAAAGCCCATCAGACTAACAGTGGATCTCTCGGCAGAAACCCTACAAGCCAGAAGAGAGTGGGGGCCAATATTCAACATTCTTAAAGAAAAGAATTTTCAACCCAGAATTTCATATCCAGCCAAACTAAGCTTCATAAGTGAAGGAGAAATAAAATACTTTATAGACAAGCAAATGTTGAGAGATTTTGTCACCACCAGGCCTGCCCTAAAAGAGCTCCTGAAGGAAGCGCTAAACATGGAAAGGAACAACCGGTACCAGCCGCTGCAAAATCATGCCAAAATGTAAAGACCATCGAGACTAGGAAGAAACTGCATCAACTAATGAGCAAAATCACCAGCTAACATCATAATGACAGGATCAAATTCACACATAACAATATTAACTTTAAATATAAATGGACTAAATTCTGCAATTAAAAGACACAGACTGGCAAGTTGGATAAAGAGTCAAGACCCATCAGTGTGCTGTATTCAGGAAACCCATCTCACGTGCAGAGACACACATAGGCTCAAAATAAAAGGATGGAGGAAGATCTACCAAGCCAATGGAAAACAAAAAAAGGCAGGGGTTGCAATCCTAGTCTCTGATAAAACAGACTTTAAACCAACAAAGATCAAAAGAGACAAAGAAGGCCATTACATAATGGTAAAGGGATCAATTCAACAAGAGGAGCTAACTATCCTAAATATTTATGCACCCAATACAGGAGCACCCAGATTCATAAAGCAAGTCCTCAGTGACCTACAAAGAGACTTAGACTCCCACACATTAATAATGGGAGACTTTAACACCCCACTGTCAACATTAGACAGATCAACGAGACAGAAAGTCAACAAGGATACCCAGGAATTGAACTCAGCTCTGCACCAAGCAGACCTAATAGACATCTACAGAACTCTCCACCCCAAATCAACAGAATATACCTTTTTTTCAGCACCACACCACACCTATTCCAAAATTGACCACATAGTTGGAAGTAAAGCTCTCCTCAGCAAATGTAAAAGAACAGAAATTATAACAAACTATCTCTCAGACCACAGTGCAATCAAACTAGAACTCAGGATTAAGAATCTCACTCAAAGCCGCTCAACTACATGGAAACTGAACAACCTGCTCCTGAATGACTACTGGGTACATAACGAAATGAAGGCAGAAATAAAGATGTTCTTTGAAACCAACGAGAACAAAGACACCACATACCAGAATCTCTGGGACGCATTCAAAGCAGTGTGTAGAGGGAAATTTATAGCACTAAATGCCTACAAGAGAAAGCAGGAAAGATCCAAAATTGACACCCTAACATCACAATTAAAAGAACTAGAAAAGCAAGAGCAAACACATTCAAAAGCTAGCAGAAGGCAAGAAATAACTAAAATCAGAGCAGAACTGAAGGAAATAGAGACACAAAAAACCCTTCAAAAAATCAATGAATCCAGGAGCTGGTTTTTTGAAAGGATCAACAAAATTGATAGACCGCTAGCAAGACTAATAAAGAAAAAAAGAGAGAAGAATCAAATAGACACAATAAAAAATGATAAAGGGGATATCACCACCGATCCCACAGAAATACAAACTACCATCAGAGAATACTACAAACACCTCTACGCAAATAAACTAGAAAATCTAGAAGAAATGGATACATTCCTCGACACATACACTCTCCCAAGACTAAACCAGGAAGAAGTTGAATCTCTGAATAGACCAATAACAGGCTCTGAAATTGTGGCAATAATCAATAGTTTACCAACCAAAAAGAGTCCAGGACCAGATGGATTCACAGCCGAATTCTACCAGAGGTACATGGAGGAACTGGTACCATTCCTTCTGAAACTATTCCAATCAATAGAAAAAGAGGGAATCCTCCCTAACTCATTTTATGAGGCCAGCATCATTCTGATACCAAAGCCGGGCAGAGACACAACCAAAAAAGAGAATTTTAGACCAATATCCTTGATGAACATTGATGCAAAAATCCTCAATAAAATACTGGCAAACCGAATCCAGCAGCACATCAAAAAGCTTATCCACCATGATCAAGTGGGCTTCATCCCTGGGATGCAAGGCTGGTTCAATATACGCAAATCAATAAATGTAATCCAGCATATAAACAGAGCCAAAGACAAAAACCACATGATTATCTCAATAGATGCAGAAAAAGCCTTTGACAAAATTCAACAACCCTTCATGCTAAAAACTCTCAATAAATTAGGTATTGATGGGACGTATTTCAAAATAATAAGAGCTATCTATGACAAACCCACAGCCAATATCATACTGAATGGGCAAAAACTGGAAGCATTCCCTTTGAAAACCGGCACAAGACAGGGATGCCCTCTCTCACCGCTCCTATTCAACATAGTGTTGGAAGTTCTGGCCAGGGCAATCAGGCAGGAGAAGGAAATAAAGGGTATTCAATTAGGAAAAGAGGAAGTCAAATTGTCCCTGTTTGCAGACGACATGATTGTATATCTAGAAAACCCCATCGTCTCAGCCCAAAATCTCCTTAAGCTGATAAGCAACTTCAGCAAAGTCTCAGGATACAAAATCAATGTACAAAAATCACAAGCATTCTTATACACCAACAACAGACAAACAGAGAGCCAAATCATGGGTGAACTCCCATTCGTAATTGCTTCAAAGAGAATAAAATACCTAGGAATCCAACTTACAAGGGATGTGAAGGACCTCTTCAAGGAGAACTACAAACCACTGCTCAAGGAAATAAAAGAGGACACAAACAAATGGAAGAACATTCCATGCTCATGGGTAGGAAGAATCAATATCGTGAAAATGGCCATACTGCCCAAGGTAATTTACAGATTCAATGCCATCCCCATCAAGCTACCAATGACTTTCTTCACAGAATTGGAAAAAACTACTTTAAAGTTCATATGGAACCAAAAAAGAGCCCGCATTGCCAAGTCAATCCTAAGCCAAAAGAACAAAGCTGGAGGCATCACACTACCTGACTTCAAACTATACTACAAGGCTACAGTAACCAAAACAGCATGGTACTGGTACCAAAACAGAGACATAGATCAATGGAACAGAACAGAGCCCTCAGAAATAATGCCGCATATCTACAACTATCTGATCTTTGACAAACCTGAGAAAAACAAGCAATGGGGAAAGGATTCCCTATTTAATAAATGGTGCTGGGAAAACTGGCTAGCCATATGTAGAAAGCTGAAACTGGATCCCTTCCTTACACCTTATACAAAAATCAATTCAAGATGGATTAAAGATTTAAACGTTAAACCTAAAACCATAAAAACCCTAGAAGAAAACCTAGGCATTACCATTCAGGACATAGGCGTGGGCAAGGACTTCATGTCCAAAACACCAAAAGCAATGGCAACAAAAGACAAAATTGACAAATGGGATCTAATTAAACTAAAGAGCTTCTGCACAGCAAAAGAAACTACCATCAGAGTGAACAGGCAACCTACAACATGGGAGAAAATTTTCGCAACCTACTCATCTGACAAAGGGCTAATATCCAGAATCTACAATGAACTCAAACAAATTTACAAGAAAAAAACAAACAACCCCATCAAAAAGTGGGCGAAGGACATGAACAGACACTTCTCAAAAGAAGACATTTATGCAGCCAAAAAACACATGAAGAAATGCTCATCATCACTGGCCATCAGAGAAATGCAAATCAAAACCACTATGAGATATCATCTCACACCAGTTAGAATGGCAATCATTAAAAAGTCAGGAAACAACAGGTGCTGGAGAGGATGCGGAGAAATAGGAACACTTTTACACTGTTGGTGGGACTGTAAACTAGTTCAACCATTGTGGAAGTCAGTGTGGCGATTCCTCAGGGATCTAGAACTAGAAATACCATTTGACCCAGCCATCCCATTACTGGGTATATACCCAAATGAGTATAAATCATGCTGCTATAAAGACACATGCACACGTATGTTTATTGCGGCACTATTCACAATAGCAAAGACTTGGAACCAACCCAAATGTCCAACAATGATAGACTGGATTAAGAAAATGTGGCACATATACACCATGGAATACTATGCAGCCATAAAAAATGATGAGTTCATATCCTTTGTAGGGACATGGATGAAATTGGAAACCATCATTCTCAGTAAACTATCGCAAGAACAAAAAACCAAACACCGCATATTCTCACTCATAGGTGGGAATTGAACAATGAGATCACATGGACACAGGAAGGGGAATATCACACTCTGGGGACTGTGGTGGGGTCGGGGGAGGGGGGAGGGATAGCATTGGGAGATATACTAATGCTAGATGACACATTAGTGGGTGCAGCGCACCAGCATGGCACATGTATACATATGTAACTAACCTGCACAATGTGCACATGTACCCTAAAACTTAGAGTATAATAAAAAAAAAAAAAAAAAAAAAAAAAAAAAAAAGATTTGCAATGAGCAGAGATTTCCTTCCACTTGGTGTTAATATAAAATGATCATACATCTGATCATTAATATAAGACTTGGACCAGGGCTTCTAAAGGTTGAATATGCATCTGAATCACCTGGGGGATCTTGTTAAAAGGTAGATTCTGATCCTGTGTTTGTGGAGCGGGCTGCCAGGCTGCTATGGCTCCCAGGTGGTTCTGATGTTGCTGGCTCATGGACAGCACCTGCAGGAGCAAGGGAGGGTTCAGGATAACAGTAGAGGAGGGTGAGAAGGAGAAGATGCAGGTTCCCTCTTTTTGTTCTGAGGGTGTGTCTGTTCTCTTCTCACCCAGGATAATCATCCATCATCCAAGCCTACGTCCTTGGGAGGAAGCCTCCGCTACCAGCAAAGGCCCAGGAGGAGGCTGGGGGTGTGTGTTTCTTTGTGAAAAAAGATCACAGGGCTAGCAGTCATTGTTCTGAGAACAGCAGCTCTGGTTCTTCAGCTCCCCTGACAAATATTCTCCAGGATTCCAGAGCAGCAGCTGAGGCTGGAGGAGGTGAGCCTGCCATCAGAGGGTGTTAGTGGAAAGAAGCTCTGTGGACTCTTGAAAGCAACAAATTATCAGTTGTATTTGTTTTGAGGTTGTAGCAGACTAGGTAATTGAAAGAGAGGGTGAGGATGCTATTAGTCTGCTCCAAGATTTTTCCTTGTCGCAGACTGGATGGAGTGAAATTAAGCTCTCAAGTGCCAGGCCTTTTGGCCCGAGTCCCTGGCACACAGATGGTGTCACAGTTAGGCCAGCCCTCCTCCTGCTCCTGACACAAAGGTGATGAGGGCCTTTGGGCCTTGTAGGACTGCAACAGATGTTGTTTGGTTCCGGCAGCTGAGCAGGAGCCTCGGCTGCAATGTAAACATTTCATTGGCTCAGCCAGTTATTTTGCTGCTCTGCCTTTGAACAACTCCTTTCCTAGAGGTGTCTGTGTCCACCTGTCCAGGCTTTGGCTGGTTAGTTACCGAAGGGCAGGGGCTGTGATGCATTTCCAAAGCTTGCCCTGCTTGTCACTTAGCTTTATTGCAGAAGGCCTTAGATACAGACTTAGGGGGAAAGCAGACTCACTGACTGTCCAGATGCTGCAGCTGGTGAATCCCACTCACCACCTCTCTCATACACCCTGATAGAGGTGCTGGCTCGTCAGTGTTCATCATGGCTGGAGTAAAATAAAGCCGGCAGCCCTCAGTGTACAATGTCTTCAAAATTTTTAGAATATCTCCAACTAATTCGGATCAGTCCCTAGGACAAAGTTACAGCTAAGATTTTTCCAAAATAATTTTGGTAATGGTAAAGATTTTTTAAAAAATTAGAATGATGTCTTACTCAAATTAAGAAAAATGAGTTAAAGTAAAAGAATAGTCTCCAACTGATACGAGAGCAAATAATCCCAATTCATTTTAAATTGAAGATCTGAACTAGCAGGAGAATGTAAGTCCACAGTTGCCTACTGATATTTCTTTCAGAAGTAAGGAAAATACTGCTTATATTTCATGGAATGCCAAATCATGTCAAAACTGTAAATGACACTCTATCTGCTATCAGAAAATGAGTTTCAGGACATGCTATTTCTACATACAAGGGAGAAGTTGAAGTCCATAGGAGGAGCTCTGTTCACCTAAAGGTAAATGGGCTAATAGGTGGATGCTGCTGCTTGCTGCGAGTCACCCAATCCCAGTGGAACTGCAAGGCGACTTATAGCAGAAGATGTGAATTACCCTTTGTTCTCAATGGAAAGACTCTTCAGGACAGGCATGCCCACTACATTGTGTAGGACCATGGGTCTGTGTCATTCTCTTTGTCCCCAGTGCTGTCACACAAATACAGAAGACCAGATTATGTATGTCTTACTCTCTTGCCACACTCTCAACAACTATAGTATGGGTTCTTGTTCACCTGTTGGTCAGCTTGGCCCCGCCAGAGGCCCTTATGGATAGCAAATGACATTCATTGAGAAGCTACTTTGCACCAGGCACTTTCATGTACATCACCAAATCCCACCCCAGTGGGGTAAGGAACACTGCTTTCACTATTCTAATTATGAAAAATCCCAAACTTAAAGAGGTTTTCTATTGCTGTTTTTAAAGTCAAAGGCCACATGGCTTGTGTCTGAGCCAGGTTTCAAAGTCATGTTGACTCTCAGACTCTGTCCTTTCTGTTGGCCCTGCTAAACAGTGAAAGGGTGGGGACTTGCATTTGTGTACTGCCTTGCCGTTCACCAATGAAGCAGCCTTAATCCATGTGACATGTGGTCTCCTCTCTGCGGCACAAGAGGAAATGACTACAGTGGAGGCTGGCCATTCTGGCTTACTCTCAAGTTTGGATTTTAATGAATGAGGGATTTGAAGACAAAAAGTCACCACTGAGATGCTCAGTTGTGCCATGATGGGACAAGGAAGTGGCTGGGAGTCTGGGAGAAGAACCTGACTTTGTACTGTGCTAAGCATGGGTGCTGCTGCATCGGTGCACACAGTGGAGTCTAGGTGATTCACCTCATCAATAAACATCTACTGAGTTCCTTCTCTGTGCCAGCCATGGAGAGGCACTGGGAATTCAACGAGGAATATTCCGACACAGTCTTTATTTGGGGGAGACACCGTTCTTTGAGGAGATTCAGGATAGTAGGACAGAGCTGGCCCACACAGAGAAATGTAAAAGTTGTGCTAGGCAGATAAGCTAACCCCTCAGGATATTTTAGACTTGTTCTAGAACTTACTTTTCTTCTTGATGGCTGTACTCTTTATCCTAATGAGAGCAGCTTAGACAAAGAATGGAGACCATGTTTCTAACTCCATGCTCTTCGTTTATAGAAAGGTGCATTTCTGTTTTGAAAAACTGTTCTCTCTTCCGTGTAGAATATCTTGCTCTCATTAACTGTTATGTACCACTCGTGACAATTCACTGGTGATTTTTAGGACAGAAATTAGAGTCACAGAAACCTCTTCAACTTGTAAGAGAAATCTACAAGCTTCCTTCTGGGGGAAGTTTCTTCCCAGAACTAAAGCTGATTAACAACCAAACAACTATCCAGGGACTCTTGCAATGCACAAACCACCACCACATTAGAAGTGATGGGGAAGGGAGAAAACTGCAGAAGACCACATCAAAGAAAGCCGGTTTATGAGATTTAACTTTGAAAGGCTGACTGGGAAATGTTGGGGATGAAGCTTTTCTGACAGAGCTATTTGCCTGAGAAAGATGGTCAGAGCTCTTTCTGCTGAGAACTTTAGTCAATTACAATCACAGCTGCACTGCTGAGATGCCAATTTATACTCAGATGCTGCCAAATGGAGCAATTTCCATAAAATGCACCACATGCTTATTCTCCAAAGTCACTCTCTATTTTAACAAGCAAATGGTCACTACTTCAAGGATTCAACAGGCTGTGTGAAACTGACAAGCTGCTTAAGATTTCACATTTGAGCACATTGTTCTTGGACATGGAAGGGCCACTCTCTAAGGCTGAGAAAAGAGCATGAAGAACTGGTCCCATCAGTGAGAAACTCCTAGATTTGGTCATGATTATGCTCCAAGGTGTAATGGACTTGCATGATGGAAGCCATTCATACTAGCAAGAATCACTAGTGAATTTCTGAAGTTTGATTTGGGTAAGATACCATATGAGTTGAAACTATTCTACTGGATCTCCTATAATACAAAGTATGTTTTCTCAAGCACTTTTTAGCTGTAAAGGTAACAACGTAAATTTAAAATAGAAGTGCAGTTGGCAATTTATCCATTTAAATCATATACCTTGAAAGCCCTTTTTAATTTCAGAGTTTTACTGACACAGAGAACAAGGGAGAGTTTGGAGGAAATAAGAGAATTAAGAATGATTCATTATGAAGAGATATTATTGTAAGATTGGTTACAAGAGCAAGGGTTATTGGATAAGTTCAATTTGTAAGTACCTGCTGGGTGCCTATTGCATGTCAACACTGGGATGGGAAATGCTGGGGATACAAAACTACAAGTAATGTGTATCTTGCAGAAGCCTGCAATCTAAGACACTTAAATGCTGGCAAAAGTTATATTTATGGATTATTAGTTGTGATCTCCTTCTCATGAAATTTGATATTATTTTCTAGGGATGTCTTTATAATGCTTTTCACAATGAAGTATACCAATCAAGATTTTGGTATTTTGAGTGTTGGGAACTTTGTGAGGTATGCATTCATTTGTTAATTCATTCAATAAACATCTACTGAATAGCTTTTGTGTGCCAGACACTATATACTTCCCTTCTCTACAAAATTTTTCAATTTCTTTGGTAATAATTCCTGTTGTATGATACTTTCAGTTATAATACATGTGTTTCTACATCTGTTATTTCATTCCTTTCAGCAATCCTGTGAGGTTGGCAGGTGGATATTATTACAGATGATGAAACTAAGATTCAGAAAATTTAATTGTCTGGCTCAAGGTCACATAGCTAGTACGTTGGTGGGGGGAACAGAACTAGAAGCCATCTATTTTGACTCCACTTCAATAATTTTTCTTTCTTTTCTTTTCTCTATTTTCCCCCTTGAGAAAAGGTCTTACTCTGTCACTCAGGCTGGAGTGCAGTGGCGTGATCTTGGCTCACTGCAACCTCTGCCTTCCAGGCTCAAGTGATCCTCTCACCTCAGCCTCCTGAGTAGCTGGGACCACAGGTGCATGGCACCACACCTGGCAAATTTTTGTATTTTTATAGAGATGGAGTTTTGCTATGTTGTCCAGGCTGGTAGTTTTTCTATATGTCACAAAATTGCTATCCTTATTAAGAGCCACCATTTTTGTAGTGCTTTGTCACAGGCAGTAGGCAAAGTATTTTGTATACATTACCTCACTTAAATCCTCAAAATTACAACTTATGGGGAAGCCAAAACTCACATATATTAATTTGCTTAAGCTCATACATAGGTGGAAAAAAGTGACATTTGAACCCTTACCCTATACTGTTTCCCATTATGGGACACACTGTTTCCTTTCAGATGAGAACATAACATGAGGAATGTTCCAGTTCTGCATTATTGAACTCAAGTTCAGTTAGAATTAGAAGAAAAATGACTATGATACAAGTAATATACAGTAATGAATCCAGCCTGAATTATATTCATATTTTTCTCAATGCAATTATACAATTTTAATATGTTTTTTTAAAATGTATTTTTACTGCAGTAAGAACACTTGAGATCTACCCTCTTAACAAAATAAGTGCACAATACAGTATTGTTAAGTATAGGCACCACGTTGTACACAGATCTCTAGAACTTATTCATCTTATGTAACTGAAACTTTATGCTCATTGAACAGCAACCCCCCATTTCTCTCCCCTCTAGCCCCTGGCAACCAGCATTCTACTTTCTGGCTCTATGAATGTGACTACTCTAGGAACTTCATATAAATGGAATCATTCAGTATTTGTCCTTCTGTGACTGGCTTATCTCAGTTAGCATAATGCTCTCCGGGTTCATCCATATGGTTGTTGCATATGGTAAGATTTCCTTTTTTAAGGCTGGTAATATTCCATTGTATGTATATAGCATGTTTTCTTTATACATTCATCTGCTGCTGGACATTTAGGTGGTTTCCATGCCTTGGCTATTGTGAATAATACCGCAGTGAATAGGGGGGTGCAGATACCACCTTGAAATCCTGATTTTAATTCTTTTGGATATCAACTCAGAAGTGGGGTTGCCTGATCAGATGGTAGTTCTACTTTCAGTTTTTTGAGGAACTTCCACACTATTTTCTATAGTGGCTATACTCATTTACATTTCAACCAATAGTGTACAAGGATTACAATTCCTCCACATCCTTGCCAACACTTGTCTTTTTGATAACAGCCAATCTGTTAGGTGTGAAGCGATATTTCATTGTGGTTTTGATTTGCATTTCCCTGATGATTAGTGATGTTGAGCATCTTTAATATACCTGTTGGCCATTTGTGTGTCTTCTTTGGAGAACTGTCTGTTTAATTCTTTTGTCCGTTTTTAAATTGGGTTATTTTATTTTATTTTTTGCTATTGAGTTGTAGGAGTTCCTTACATATTTTGGATATTAATCCTTTATCAGGTATATGCCTTGCAAATATTTTCTCCTATTCTTTTAATATGGTTTTAATAAAGGAAGGATCCCACAAAAGCAAAAGTGCCTGAGGCCCATGAAAGTAAATATGCAGCTTTATTCCCTTGTCCCCTTCCTAATGTATCTAAACCCTTGAGGAGGGTCTGTGAGTTTAGTTTTCCTTGTGTTTGCTTCTCCCTTCAAACCCCTCTATCTGGTCTGGATGCACTCATCTACTTTTCTCTGCCTCTCAAGGCCACTTAAACCTGTTGCTGTCATCAAGCTCAAGGCAGGTAACTCAACCATACCCCAGTTCTTATCTCTGTGCAGCTTCCTGAGCTAGATGCGTTTCCTCTTTATGTTAGTGAAAGAACTGGTGCTGGCTTTGTATGGAGTGGTCATCTTCTTGGGGTCTGGCACCAATTTCTCTTACCAACAACTATCCCCTACCTTGCCCCCAATTTATAGTCATCTGCCTAGTTCTGATTTTGATAAATGAGGACTTTGGTGGAAAAAAGGAAGAGACTTTCCTGTTGAAGGGTCATTTGCTTTGTGATGGGTGGTGGTGATATTGGGATATGGAGAGGTCCTGGTTAGAGCCTTTCATGGACAAAGATGTGCACCTATGGCCCACACGTGCCCTTCTGATACTCAGCCATTTTTCTCTATTTTGAGTATTTCTACTTTTATGAACAAATCAATTTAGAACAACACATTTTATGTCTTGCTGCCTAAGCTATAACTCAGGCAACTAAGGTAGCATTATAAAAATGTTCACTTAAAGTAGACAATTAAACTTTGGAGTTGCTTTTAATAATGGGGTCCTTTTTTGGGTTTTTTTTGGTTTGTTTTGGGGTTTTTTTTGTTTGTTTTGTTTTTGAGACAGTGTCTTGCTTTGTTGCCAGGCTGGAGTGCAGTGGCATTATCTCGGCTCACTGCAACCTCTACTTCCCTGGTTCAAGCGATTCTCCTGTCTCAGCCTCCCGAGTAGCTGGGACTACAGGTGTGTGCCACCACGCCTGGCTAATTTTTGTATTTTTAGTAGAGACGGGGTTTCACCATGTTGGTCAGGATGGTCTTGATCTCTTGACCTCGTGATCCGCCTGCCTCAGCCTCCCAAAGTGCTGGGATTACAGGTGTGAGCCACTGCGCCCGGCCAGTAACGGGGTCCTTATTAGAATTGGAAAGCATGAATGTGTGATGATTAAAGAGCAAGAATAGGCTGGGTGCAGTGGCTTATGTCTGTAATCAAGCACTTTGGGAGGCTGAGGCAGGCGGATTCCTTGAGCCCAGGAGTCTGAGGCTACAGTGAGCTATGATTGCACCATTGAACTCTAGCCTGCGCAATGGAGTGAGACCCTGTCTCTAAAAAAAAAAAAATAAATAATAAAAAAAAAAACCCAAAATCAACCTCCACTGGCTTGTAGACTATTATTTCATTGGCCAATGAAATGAGTATCTGCCATGTTTACCAATCATTTCAAAGAACTGGATACAATTTTTCCTGTGAATCCTCATGTCATCCTTATGAGGTAAAACGCAGAAAGAAGATAACAGCCAAATAATGTTGGAATCTATCTACAGCGAGTGGCCATTGCTCCACCGCCCTAGTCTAGAAAGTGATAGTAGTGATGTCATCTTCATCTGACATAAAAGAAAAAAAGATTTTGAAATAGGGCTGCTGTCACTGGATGAATGGTTCAGGTCATACCATGTCTAGTATGTGCTAATAACTAACCTGAAGTGTGAGTGGATTTGTTGGGCATGCCTTCTCGAAACCTCAACAAGCAGGAGCAAAAAATGTCTCAACTCACTAGTTATATTCATGACAAATGTAGCTTGTGTCATTGTGGACTACTTTTTACATAGGTCTATAGATCACACACTCATTTGACTAAATTTAAACAAGAGCCATTGTTTATTATCAACAAGGTAATCTCTGGCCCACTGCTTTGTTTTGTTTTGTTTTTGGTGGAGAAAGGGTCTCCCTTTGTTGTCCAGGCTGGCTTTGAACTCCTGGGCTTAAGCAATCCACCCGCCTCTGCTCCCAAAGTGCAGGGCTTATAGGCGTGAGCCACCACTCCCGGCCTCTGGCCCACTGTTTTAAGACATGCTCAACACGGTACTTATTGTACAATATAGGTAACAACTTTTTTTATAAATGAGTAAATATTCACATCTGGAGCTACCTGATTTCTCATATCAAGCCATATGCTTCACAATATGGTATTTGGTGACATATTAATTAGGTGTTACTTGTGTAGATACTGTCTAAAATACAGGAAAATTAAGAAGGTTATAAAGGGATGGACAGTTGACCCATATCTCCAAGTCATTGGCTAATTATTCATTTATCATTATTTATTAAACTCCTACTATATGCCAGGCAAAGTGCAAGATATAGTTTGGGATTTAGAAATTCCTTGGGACTCAGAGCTGAAAGACATAGTCCCTGTCCTCAAGGGGGCAAGTCCTTTGGGACAGTGTGCAATACTGAGATGTGTAGGATGCTGTGAGAGCACAGAAAAGGGCCACAGGCACACACTGGGGGTTCTGGGATACCTCCCTGGAGAGGCTGACACTTCCACCTGAATTAATTTCAAAGCCTGTGATTAATTTAATTGGGAGTCCCTAACTTAAAAAAAATACCTACCTTCCTGTGCTAAAGCATTAAAATAAATGAGATGAGAATTTTGATTTTCTTTTAAAAAATAGTAAAATGAGAGGTGCCCATAGCAGTTGTTGGGTTGCTTGTAGGAAGCACACCCACTTCTCTGAATGCTCCTGCAAGTGGGTCCTGAGAGGTTCAAGAATGTTACCTTGACAAACGTGTATTCCCAAAAGGATTGTTCTGAAATGTGTTCAAACAGAGCAACTGCAATAACAAGAATTTTAAGCTTAACTCTCAAAATCAAGTACTTTTGGAGTGGAAAACTTGATAATTTTGGGATCCTGTGTGTGCCTATCTTGTACCTGTTAGGCAAAGGTGTTCAGTAGAAACTTAAGTTGGGTAATTGAAGCTGAGGTCGAAATAAATCTGTGCAAACACACTTAAAGGACAGTTTCCTATTTTCTCAGCTTGCTCCATTGACTGTCCCTATGGGCACTTTACTGAATTCAGATATCACCAATGTTTGAAGCAGATAATGTTTCTGTTTTCCAGTAGAATGCTCTCAGTATTGAGTGGAACTGGGAAGGATGGCTTGTCAAGTCACACACACATTGGGAAGAGCAATGCGAGTGTGTTCCAGGAGTAACACAGCAGAAGTTTCACAATGAGAACAGTTTTTCTCCAAAGTCAGAATGCTCAGCATACTCAGATGTTTTTGTTGGCCTTTTCCATTACTGATAGCTCTTTGTGGTCCTCATTTCCAACATCTGAATGACAATGTGCAAAGAGTTGAAATGGGTCATTAATTCAACAAATATTTATGGAGTGACCACAATGGGGCAGGTCTTGTGCCAGGAGCTGGGATACATCACGGCCTCTGCCTTTGTGGACCTCATAGTATAGGGTGAGAGACAGATGGTATCACACAAACAGATTACTGCAAACACATAGATGATTACAAGTAGCACTGAACACCAAAAGGAAAGGGACAAAGTGAAGTTAGAGTGGATGGGGGTCAGGGTGTTTCCTTAGGATGGTCAGGGGATGTTTTGCTGAGGAGGTGACATTCAGAAGAGACCAGAAGGATAAGTAAGAGGCAGTGAGTTGAAGAGCAGGAAGACAAGAATACAGAAGGCATGAAAGAGTTTAGTGTGTTGGCAACTCTGAAAGTCAAAAGCTTTTAAGAAGTAAAGCTTTTATAATTTCGGAGTTCTGCGAATGGCTCTTATGTAAGCAACGAAGGAGGGGTGAAGACTAATATTAAGCAATTGTTATGGGACTATTCTAAGTGATTTTATAATGATTATCATCACCATTGTTAATTATTTAGTGAGTGTCAAGTACTGTGCTATATGTATTCAAAATACATTTTCTCATGAAATCGGCCAAACAAAATATGTCCTTGGAGTTCCAGGGGACTTTTTTCAGAGAGAGAAAGAACGGAAAAGAACAATAAGATGGGGCAGACAGGAAACTGAGGCATAGGCCTGGGCACTAGATGCTTTGGGGCAGAGTATTTCTATAGTTAGCAGAGGGGTATCTGGTCCTGGTGGAGGGAATAGAATCCCAAGCCTTTGGGGGCCAAGCAAAGGACAATAGTAAGCGATGGGGAATGAAAACAGGAGTGGCAAGGGACCCTCAGGCGTTTCTGAGCAGAGGCCAGGCATGCTTAATTTATGGCTACAACTCAGCCAACAGCAGGATGAAGTAAAGGGAAAGGCCCAGAATAATCCTCAGAGGTCAGCCAGGAGCCTGTTGCAATAATTCTGGGAAGAGACCAAAGGCCTCTCCCAGGAGAGTGGCCACAGGCAGATGAGAGAGACACAGGTGAGACAGGTGGGAGGTGAATGAGGCCCAGCAGGAGGTTGGGGGAGAAGATGAAACCTGTTAGGTGTCAGCAGGACAAACATATAAGTATCTAATGCTGGTTCTGATTCCTTCTCGCACCCACTTCATTAAACCAAACAGAATCCCTTCTGAGAGATTTAATTAACCAGGGCTCTAATAGAGCCTGGCCGGCAGCAATTCCTATTCCTTCACAAATGCTCTTGAAGAAACATCAGATGGCTAATCAAGCCGTGCAAGGAAAGAGGAGAAAGTGCTGGAATGCACTCTATATAACATGCTGTCTGTAGAATCCTATTACAGTCACCTTCGTCTTTCTGCTACTTTCCATATCTCTATTGGCAAATTACATGTCAGCACACATCGGTATTCACAGAATGCATCAGAAACCTCACCTATCTTGATCCTTAATCATTAGCTCAGAGCTCATACTCCTCTGACACATGTACACTGTAGGTTGACCTTAATGGAAATGCAATAAATTATTTATACCTCCTCTACCACAGGCAGAAGTGTGTCTACTAAGGGAACTCACAGGTTTTTTGCTTTGGTTTTTGTTTCAAAGAACCAGGATAAAAGAGAATAGCTTTAGAATAAATGACCCACCTTAAAGACATAAAAGATAGACTTTAGAATGAAACAATTTTGCATTTTCATAGATCTATTTAGTGGATATTTTCCTTGATAGGGAGCATGAAAGGGCCACCATTGTCTTCTGGGTGGACACTGGGGGCACTGGACTCTTCAACCTGATGTTTATTACTCATTTAATGACTTTTGTGTCCTTTAAGCTCTGATCCTTTGCCTTGGCCACCACACAGTCATTCTATCCAGGAAGTACAATTGGTTTGAATCAGGATTAGGGAATCAGTTGAGACAACTGAGGCAATTGTGAGGCAGTCTGGAGTTTGGTTTGAGAAATCAGTGGTTTTTCCCTCCTCTGTCACGTGGGTAAGTGTGCAAAAAGCGACTATTCCCCCACCTCCCCTCTTTTTCTTTGGAGACAGTTTCTCTGTCACTCAGGCTGAAGTGCAGTGATGCCATCTTGGTTTACTGCAACCTCTGCCTCCTGGGCTCAAGTGATCCTCCCACCTCAGCCTCTCAAGTAGCTGGGACCATAGGCACATGCCACCACACCTGGCTATTTTTTTTTGTAGAGACGAGGTTTCGCCATGTTGCCCAGGCTGGTCCTGAACTCCATGGCTCAAGCCATCTGCCTGCCTTGGCCTCCTAAGTTGCTGGAATTATAGGCATAAGCCACCATGTCCAGCAGTGGCTATGGCCTTTTTACATACCTTGTCACATTTTCACAAGTTGGCGGGCTGCCATGGGGGCTCTGTTACTGTCTCAGAGGCTGGAGGCCTGTAAAGGAATGTCCTGTGTATGTACAGACACCAACTCTTAGATCACTGACCACTAATGATGACACAATGGTGAAGGCCCAGGTGGGAAGACAGCTCAAACAGCACTGCTGATAGGGATGCTGATACAAATATATACCTGTTTTTTTCTTTTCCTTTAAAGGATTTTTTAGTTGACCTGGGTTTTTGCATAATAATCTGGTGTGAATTCTGAAATCCACTAAAATATACAAAAACCTAATAAAAATTCCACGAATTCAAAATTTATTATCATTTTGATAGGCTCAAGCTGTGTTGGCTTATTTTTGCTTGGTAAATGCTTTCTTAATAGTGTAAAATTAATAGTGCAAACCAGATTGCAGAGGGAATGTTTAAAATACTTACAGGACAAATTGTTTTCAGCTCTGACAAGCCCTGTAGGAGTGCTGTTTACATAGAAACAAATGACATGCTGCTTCTAAACCATTAGAATTTATTAATTAAATCAGATCTTCCCTACTAGGCAGAACTGAATTGGATTATTTTGAGTTATTGTATGGTTTTTTGAGAGAATGAAACTGTACTTCTTAACATTATATTGTAATTAAAAAGAATACTTGGAATAGGGCAAAAAACATGGGCTTTGAAATCAGAAAAGTCTGAATTTGTATCACAGGTTTTTAATTTAACCATCTTTGTAACTTTGGTTGGGTGGCTTAATGTCTCCGAACTTTAGTTTTCTCATAGATAAAGTGAAGAGTGTATGCTGACCTTTGTGAGTCTCTATGAAGATACCACAGTTACCTGTAAAGCTGCCAGAACCACTCCTAGCACATAATAAGGGCTCATTAGTGTTTCTACCTAGACAGCCTTCGGATTGAGAAGTAAAAATGAAAGTCCCACAGAAATACAATATGGGCCCACAAACTGGAACATGAACAAGAGTGGAGACCTGAGTAATGATAGTAACAGTAAAAATAACAGCTTCATTTACTGAGTGCCAGCTATTATTGAATCCCCCTTTTCATAGGTGAGGAAACTGGAAACTCCTGTCCTTTATAATTTTAGTGTTAAATCCAATGACCTAGATTTACAAAAGGAAAAGATTCTCAATAAAAGTGATCTTAGAAACCATAAAATCTCTTTAATATAAATATCTTGAAAAACTTCATGTTTAGTAACTACTAAAAATTTTGTAATTCTTAGGTTTTGTGTAAAAAAAAATTGTAGAAAGGAATGGACTATACAGTTAGTGGCCACTTTTAACTAATAGCCACAGCTGGCAAAAATACTAGTGCGTTCATGACTTTTACTTCTCTTTACATCTGTATTTATATCTGAAAACTAATTATTTGTTTAACTAATTAAAAAGATTAAATTTGCCTTGTCTCTAGACTTGCAAAAATTAAAAATGGTGGCCATTTTTTTTACAAGTTTCTTTGAGTTTCAAATTGCTAGTGTTTCTCAATGAAATGAAGATGCAACCAAATATTTCTTAAGTTGGTAACAACTCTTTTTGTTTGATTTTTTGAGACAGTCTTGCTCTGTCCATCAGCCTGGAGTGCAGTGGCGCAATTCTCATGTCTCACCCTCCAGAGTAGCTGGGACTACAGTTGTGCACCACTATGCCTAGCTAATTTTTACATTTTTAGTACAGATGGAGTTTCACCATGTTGGCCAGGCTGCTCCTGAACTCCTGACCTCAAGTAATCTGCCTGCCTTGGCCTCCAAGAGTGTTGAGATTACAGGTGTGCGCCACTGCACCTGGCCTTGGTAACAACTCTGATAAAGAAAGTCTTTGGCCACAGGAGACGTAAACTATCCCTATTTTACAGAGGATTCATGGGACATTAGGAGGCCACCATAATTAACAGTAAGTAAACTTTAAGCCCATCATTAATTTTAACAAGATCAATGAACTTTTTTGAATTAGTCTTTCATTTGCTTTGTTTTTCTGGTCAGGCAGGCCGATTGAGAATTTCCTTTTGGCAGGGAACGTTTATTCCAGTCCTGCTGCAGGCAGGCTGGGTGAGCGGCCCACCAGGAAGGGTCAATGCCAAAACCAGCTCGGGCCTCCTCCTACATTCTGCTGCACAAAGGAAGCCTTGGTACTCAACAGCTGAGTCTCAGGAGTTTGCTTCTGCCTGTACTTTACAGCAGGTGCTGCTGCCCACCCTTGAACCATCAGGCTTCTTTCGTGAGCTTTTATCTCTCAAGACCAGCCTCGGGAAATGGTGCTGTAATTACCTCTGAAAGACTGTCAGGTAAGAGGAACTAGACAGCATTCCTTGGCTTTTAAATTGTGTGGATATGATCAAATTCTTATTTTTGCCAAAATTGCATTATAACAAATGACATAATGGTTTTGAGGTTGGAAATACACAGAAAAATCACAATTTGCAAATTTGATCATTTTGATTTCTTTCCATTGGGGACATTAGCAAATGTGTAGGAGCTCAACATTTATAAATGGACTTTGTTCAGACACTTAAGCTGAAAAGCAAGAAAAATCACTCTCATTATGGATCTTACTATCTTGAGAACATATAAATGAATGTACACAGAAAAGAAACTTCCGGTGTCCTCCTAGCTTACTGAGGCTTAAGGTGTGGATTCTTCTAAGCCAGATAATTCAGTTAGTAATGTACTAATTTGTGAGAAGCTACAGTATGCTTTATATTTTGTAAAGAACTTTAGTGGTATTAAAGAGATGACACAGCTCTTGATATGAAGTGGTTTATAATACAGTATACACACACATTAAAAACAACTTGTAAATATTTTCTGTGTAAATTGGAAACTTTTCCTTCAAAAGTCTTTTTGGTTCATCCTTCAAGAAGATGCATCATGCATTTGAGAAATATCTGAAGGGATACTCATCTGTTCTTGTGACCATTTAAATATAGTTTGAAAAAAGGACAGTGGAATGCATTTTGCCTCTTGATTTCCTTATGCTAGGGGTAGAAATGACTTCTTTTAAGTGCATTTCCTCAGATAGTAGTAAAGGGCCTGCTTGCTATGAGATGCTCCTTCTCCATTCAAATGGAGCTGCAGCTTTATAGATGTGAGCAGAAACAGGAAAGGCCAAAAAGCCAATGGTTTATTTGAAGGACTCTGCCCATTACCTGGTATTCAACTGGTGTTACTTTTAAAAGTCAGCAGAGAAACTTTCTTTTAAACAGGCTTTAATACAAATGACTAGTAAGCACATTAAAAGATGCCCAACATTGTTAGCCATTAGAGAAATGCAAATCAAAACCACAATAAGATACCATTTCACATCTACTAGGATGACAAGAAACAAAAAGATAACAAGTGTTGATGGGAATGTGGAGAAATTGAGACTCTTCATATACTACTTACTGGTAGGAATGTAAAATGATGGAGCCTCATTGGAAAAAAGTCTGATGGTTCCTCAAAAGGTGAAACAGAAGGTGCCATATGACCTAACAATTCTACCTCGTATACTGAAGGAAAATGAAAACATATGTCCAGACAAAAACTTGTACGTAAATGTTGACCTCAGTATCCTTAATAGCCAAAAGATGGAATCAACATAAATGCCCATCAGCTAATGAATAAATAAATAAAATATCCTATATCTATGCAATGGCATATTGCTTGCAATAAAAAGAAATGAAGGCCGGGCACAGTGGCTCACACCTGTAATCCTAGCACTTTGGGAGGCCAAGGCGGGTGGATCACCTGAGGTCGGGAGTTTGAGACCAGGCTGACGAACATGGAGAAACCCTGACTCTACTAAAAATACAAAATTAGCCAGGCATAGTGGCACATGCCTGTAATCCCAGCTACTCTGGAGGATGAGGCAGGAGAATCGCTTGAACCCAGGGGGCGGAGGTTGCGGTGAGCTGAGATCATGCCATTGTACTCCAGCCTGGGCAACAAGAGCGAAACTCCATCTCAAAAAAAAAAAAAAAAAAAAAAAAAAAAACGAAATGAAGTACTGATCCATGCTACAATGTGGATGAATCTTGAAATCATTATGCTACATGAAAGAAGCCAATCCAAGAGGACCATATACTGTACTGTGAATATATATGAAATGCCGAGAATAGGCAAATCTAGAGAGACAAAAAGTAGATTAGTGGCTTGCTTAGGGTTGGGAAAGTGTAGAGGTGGGATGACAAGGTGATGGCTAAGGGATACAGAGTTCCTTTCTCGGGGTAAAGAAAATGTGCTAAAATGGATTGTGGTGATGAATGCAGGCCTCTGTATACATTGAAAACCATTGACTTGTACTTTTAAATGGGTGGATTGTATGGGATGTGAATTATATTTCAATAATGATGTTATTTGAAATAGGCATCAATGTATTGATAACTTATAGGACACTGCTGCTTGGTAATATTCCATACTACACTTCCCCACTTTGTTTGCTATACGTGAGGAATCTCAAGTCAACTCCTTCTTATGTTTCCCCATCTGTGAGATGCCAATAACCACAGCAGACCACTTCATCCTTTTTCTTCCTCATAGGGGCCCAGAGAGACCAAACATTTGTGTCCCAGATTCACACTGAGAGGTACTACTCTCTCTGAGACTGATGCTTTAAAAATTGGAGGCATTAATTGTGAAAACTGAAGGTTCGTAGGGTCAACCTATGAGGACATTTTGCAGGAGCAATCATCTTAGAATTTGTGTAATCCTATATTTGTGATGGGGGCAAACAAAATTAGAAGCTCCATTCTTGAAGCCAAGACTAATTTACATGACATAAATGGCACAGCAAACAGAGAACATTATTACCCTTGGAGAATTACACTTATTCAGAGAAAGTTACCAGGAAGAGGAGCAACCCTTATTGTATAAGACAACATGTATTGAGGAAGAGAGAAGGCAACAATAAAAGCTGTACTTTCAGATGGTCCCATTCCATAGTCAATTGCAAGGCCACTGGCAATGATGGCAGGTTCTATTACAGATTTATAGCGACAACTATCTTGAAACTTCATGTATTGCCCTCCTCATTTCCAGATCTTTTCTTGATATTCTTCATTGTATGAGAGGGTCATGACTACAGCGTCAAGCTGTAGAGAAAAGCAAGTTTGTGCTGCCAGTTTAGCTCTGCAAAGCAGGAAAACTGCTTAGTGCCTTAATACAAAACAAAGCAGGTATGAAAAAATTATTTAACAAACTTCAGTAGAAAATGGCTAAGTTGTACATTATAGCAGAGAGTCAAAGTTACTCCTTGATCTAAGCATACATATATCTTTTTTTCTTGTAAAACCACACATCTTTTTTTTAAAAAAAGTTACAATAGTGCTGTTAATGGACTTGATTATGGTTTCCTCTAAAGACATATCTTGAAATTATGTAAATCTCATAAAATATTATTGGACCAAAGCAATTTAATTTAGTTAAACTTTTTAATGATTTTAAAATATTATACTTTAAAAAATGTTATCTATCTGAACTAGAATGTAATAAATGTGGATTTTTATGTGTTACCATTCTGTCTGCTAGTTCAAAGTACTGAAATATATCATCTTATGACTACCTATGCATGTAGAAAGGTAATGAAACTAGAAAATGCTCAGTTTTAACATTTAAGGCCAAGCAGATAAGGTTTAACAACTTTTCCAATATAACTTTTAATGTCAGAGACTAACTCTATTTTAACTCTAAAGTTACTCTTAAACATCAGCTAAGTAAAATTCCCTTTTTTCTTGGCCTAGTGGAAAGAGTGTAGACATTGCAGCTTGACAGATCATATTTTATATTCCTGTGCACCCACTTGTTAAGAAATAATCGTGGGAAAGTTACAAAACTGCTCAGAGCTTCAGTTTCTCTATTGCAAAATACATTGTCGGGAGAATGAAATAAGACAATATATGCACAGAGCCTGAAAATAATAGGTTTTTGATGAGTGGATCGCCTTTCCAAGGTTATTGCATCATGATCATTGGTTCAAATGCAGTTTTGATCTATTGTGTTTAATGAAGTCCTCTAATTTTTTTTCTGACTCTTCATTCTTCTTCTCCACTCTTGTCTGCCACCTTGCCCCATTGCTTCCACTTCATCTACCAACCTCCATCTCCAGGCAGGCACTCTGCCACT
Organism: Homo sapiens; assembly: GCF_000001405.40. Taxonomy (NCBI): domain Eukaryota; kingdom Metazoa; phylum Chordata; class Mammalia; order Primates; family Hominidae; genus Homo; species Homo sapiens. The sequence goes on along the minus strand of NC_000008.11, from coordinate 72,857,581 downwards.
CTTTTTAACCCATTGCAAACAACATCTCGTAGGCACCTGGGGTTTTATCATTTTCAGCTCTTTGTGAACTTGACCTCCAACCTACTTCTCCAGCCTCACTAACTGCCATTTTAGTCCTTAAGTTCTACCCTGCACTCTTCATGAGCTTCTTCTCACTCCTAGAAGGGCTAGCTTCTGGAAGCCAAGATAACTATATGCAATCTTAAATCTGTGTCTTCCATATGCTCATTCCTCTACCTGGAATGCTCTGCCCCTTTCCATTCAACTAGTCAACTCTTGCTTCCCCTTCAGTTCTCACCTCAATGACTCTTCCTTAATGAACCTCTGGTCCAGGCTCCATCCTGCTTCTAAAAGCTCTCATACCTTTCACTGTGCATATTGTTCAAGTCTGACTCCCTCAAGAGGCTCATGTACCTGAAAGACAGTGATTGTATGGCTGTGGGGCCTAGCACAAGGTCTGGCATATAATAAATGCTCAATAAATATTCATTGAACAAGTGACTAAAAGAATGAATGAAGTAAGATTATATTTCTCAAGAAATAACTGCTAGTCCTTGAACTAGATGCAAAGGCTGAATAGTCATACTAAGGAGGATTATGGTCTTTCCGCCCATATACTTTACTTCTGCATTTCCATATGTTTCTGTGGTGGGGGAAGGGGGGCAGGATACTTTGTTGATTCTCACTCACTCTGTGATATTAACAAATTGACCAATCGAGAAAAGCTAAAATACTGATTCTGGGGCAAGAGGAGAAATGTTCCTAGGCAACAGTATTCCAGTTGTTGGCTTTTTTCTTCCGTAATACAGTATTTTCCAGAATTTAAAATATCATCTCACAATGTTCTTTAACCCACTGCATCCAACTACCTCAAATGAATCTGAGGTTTTAGAACCAAGAACAGGGATTCATAAAAAACAGAGGAAACGCTGATTTGACTTATTTTTTCAGGTAATAATGATACAATACTTAAACTATCTACAGATATTATGTAGAAACAAGTAGAGATATTTCATCCCATCAACATAGAAAACCAAATCAGATTACATAAGCGTCTAAATTATCATTTGACTTCTTCAAGGTCTTTTCGATGAGGCCCCTATTGATTCTGTTCAATTTAGTTTCAGGTTTTTTCTTTTTTTGTGGTTGCTGACCTTACCTGGATGCCAACTATCTTAGATTTGCACTGTCCAATATGGCAGCCACTAGCAACATGTGACTCTTGAGAATTTTAGAGGTGATCAGTCCAAATGGACATCTGCTGTAAGTGTAAAATATGCACTAGATTTATGATATGTAGTATAAAAATGTATATATTAATTTTCATATTGATTATATGTTGAAATGATATGTTGGCTATATGGCATTATATAAAATATATTATTAATGTTAATTTCACCTATTTATTTTTACTTTTTAAATATGGCTACTAGTAAATTTAAAATGTGACTTGCATTATATTATATAGTCAGCACTCTCTATTCATGAGTTCTGTATCTGTTCATTCAACCACCTGCAGATTAAAACTGTTCAAAAAAATTGCATTTGTACTGAATATGCACAGACTTGTTTTCTTGTTATTCTCTAAACGATTCACTGTAACAACTATCTTCAGAGCATTTACATTGTATTAGGTATTATAAGAAATCTAGAGATGATTTAAAGTATATGGGAGGGTGTGCATAGGTTATATGCAAATACTATACCACGTTATATAAAGGACTTGAACATCCACCAATTGTGGTATCCGTGGGAGGTCCTGGAACCATTCCCCAAAGATACTGAGGGGCAACTGTATTTCCATTTTACAGTGCTGGTCTAGATTCCTGGACAGTTGACTTAAAGGGTCTGGAAGGCAAACTGACCTGCCACCAGCTCAGTTAGTCTAATAATCTTTTTTGTTTACCAGAAGCTATACTAGTCCTTGGAGATATAGAAAAAAAATCATGTATTTGCCTTTGTGGAACTCATAGTTTAGTGGGGGCTATTGATCGACACATAATTGAATAAGCTTAATAATATGGAAAATATAACAAAGAATATGGAGAGATGATACTGGGTCACAGCAGAGGACAGATAACTTGTTTGGGAGGGGGCAATGGGAAGTGAGAAAAAGCTTCCTTGAGGAGGGGTTGTTTGAGCTGAGCACTGAAACAGAAGAAAGGCCAGAAGACTGAAACATTATGGTATGCACCAACTTTGCTGAAAACTTGATATCAAAAGCTGTCTGGAATTTCTCAGATTTAATGATACAGGAAAAAATGTGAGATGGGGGTGAAGAGAGTGCAGTCTTGAAGATCTCTCTATGCAAAACCAATTTTATTCTACAAGCAAGGATAAACTTCTGGAGGGTTTAAAGCACATCCATGTTGGGCATATAACCCAGGAAGCTACTGTGGACGATGGATTCAGACTTAATAAATATAACTGTATGATAAGGATCTCACTGCTTTTAGTAGCCTTTGTGTGAGAGCCAGCCATTCAGGGCTAAGGAAGGATGATTTTTCAGAGGCAGGTGTGTGGAGGACAGAGTGCAATAGTGCTGAAAGGTGTTGGTGGGGTCCCCACTGGGAAGGCCTCCTAGAACTAACGTGGGCACAGTCGCTTGATGTGGAAGACACAAAATACATTTTCACTGGACTGAGATGGATCTTAGCTAGGGACCTTCCCTTTTCAATTCTGCTCATAGCTTGTCTGGATTATTGCTCTTAGTTTAAATGCTTGTCTTATTATCTTAAGCCTTCTAACCTGACCTGTAACATTTGACCATGTCCCCTCCTGCCACGGTGCCTTTGCACATGCTACTATTTCTGCTTGGAATGCTCTTTCCCCCTCTACTTCCTCCCACTTTTTCTCCAATGTCAGCTTAACGATTACTTTTTTGGGAAGCTTCCTCTGACAACTTGGAGTTGCTCAACTTTCACTATTTTTATAGCACCTAGCACAAGTTAGCTACATTTGCTCATTCTTTGATTAAAGTCAGTCTCATTATCTACACTGCACCTGAAGAGGGCAGGTGTCGTATATGTTTCTCCTCACCATTGTACCCACAGATTCTTGGCACAGTGTTCTGCACTTAGCAGATACTTGGTAAACATTTGTTAAGTGAATGAATGAGTTTTTATTCTTCTAGGCATTTTGAAAAATCTGAAAAAGTATGGCCCAGTGTTAGCATTATGAAACATGACAGTCCCTAGGATAAAAACGAACATCAAAAGCTAAATTTTAAATAGTCTTTTCCTAACACTTAAAAAATATATAACTGATACCTGTGTATTATCTCAGATGTATATGCCCAGTGTGTATGTAAGAACGTGAGGTTTTACTCATTCCAATTTATTTTGCCTGCTTAGAAAAAATGCATAATATTTAAAAGGTAGCAAGATCCAGTTTAGGGAATGCCATAATAGCTTTCTTGACTAGGTTTGACTAGTCCAGGAAGCAATTAGATGCTCTAAATAAAAAGTAAATAATATCCCATAAATAAGTAAATAAATACCTCATAGGATTTGAAGCAAAATAGCCCTAAATGGTTCTAATTTAATTGAGGGAAATGTTTCAGATTTACAGATGAGTTTCTGTCACTTTTTAAAAATTATTTTAAGACAACATCTCATGGATAGTGAGGAGGGTAGATAAGAAAGCTGAATATTGCGGAAATATCTATCTACTTGTATGGAAAAACACTACTTAAAATTTTAACATAAGCAGAATTTGGAAGAAACTGGGAAAATCTTCATTCAAGTCACGTGACGGTGCAGAGAAAAGGGTTGTCACTTTAGATGCATCCAAAAAGGGCATTTATAGCACACTTTGAGGGAGTGGAAACATCAACTCTCAGAGAATTACAAGAGTCACTTTATTAGCATTGGTTTTAGTAATAACATTGAAGATGGCTAACATTTGTTTAATTCTTTTCAGGTTACAAAAGCACTTTCACCTAATGATGCATTGCTTAATTCTCACAATAATATCATGGATCAGTGATTACTCTTATTTTACAGATAAAGAAATTGAGGCCTAGACATTAGGTTAAAGTATCTTGGGTCAGGTTCCCTAGAGCCAGAGCCTGAGACAGGGATTCTTGTTCAATGATATATTGGATGAGTGCTTTCAGCAGAAGGGGAGTGAGGAAAGTAGGATGGTGCAAGGGGAAAAAGCGATGAAGGAATATGGTCTCAGCTGGAGGTCAGATTGAGCTTGATCCCTCCTGGAGCTTTGGAGCATGCTGAACCACATAGCTGGTCCCACCTGGAGGCAAGGGAACTAGCCTTTGTGTGCCATGTCAGCTCAGCCACAGGCTCCTGAATTTCCTGGGCAGCTCCTCTTTGGCCTTCCATGAGCTTCCATGCCTGGAGAAGCAAAGAGCTCTGTTCTGTTGGAGCCAACACTCTGAGCAGTTGAGGGAGTGGGACACTAACCTGGTAAAGGGGATTGGGAGGAGGAGCTAACAATATTTACTATAAGTGGCTGTCCAAGATAACACAAATAAGTATCAACTATGCTTTGGAGTCAAACCTACTGATTGCAAATCTAGTGCTCTTTTCAACACAATTGAATAGAAACCAATGATTTCACTCCCTCTCCCCTCCAGAAAAAGAGGCTATTGCCACATGAAGGGGTAGAATTTATTACCCATATGCTAGTGCAAACACTCTCCAAATAGTCACTATTTTGATGCTACTGATTACATTGTATTAATGAGAAAGTGTTATGATCACAGATTTATTTTCTGAATTCTATGTATGAGAAATCCAGAAGTGAAAAATCCACATTACGAAAAAGTTACCTGATCAACTTTATAAACTTCTAAAATGATGGACAATTAAAACTTTTCAGTACTTGCTCACTGTTACACATTCATTTATAAAATACCTTTACATAGAGAAATAAGACTGAGAAATTAACCATCAGATTCTATTGGAGTATCCCTGCCATCCTGTGCAAAAAATGATTACATTTGAACGTATTCAGTTGTAGATTATCCACTGTCGAATACAGCTATTGATGGCTTTTGCATCTCACATAAATATTTAATAATATATTCTGCTATAAAACCAAGATTAATGTAATAGAACTACGGGCCCTGCAATATTTCAACTGTGGTTTGTATCATAGTGGTATAAGCATACACAAAAAAGTAAATAAAATATGAAATACTGCTGATGAGTAATATAAATCTCTCTTTTGATTAGTGGAAAAGTAGTAGAAATGGTAATGAAAAACATGGTACAATAGTGAAAAGAGGATAATATTGTTTCTAAAAGTTATATCTGGGAAGAAGAACCTTAGAAATACATTCAAAATGGTCTTTTCTTTTTCCAGGCAGGGTCTCTCTCTGTCACCCAGGCTAAAGTGCAGTAATGCAATCACAGCTCACTGCAGCCTTGACCTCCCAGGCTCAAGTGATTCTCCTGCCTCAGCCTTCTGAGTAGCTGGGACTACAGATGTGCGCCACCAAGCCTGGCTAATTGTTTCTGAATTTTTTATTTTTTATTTTTTAAATTTTTTTAGAAACAGGGTCTCCCTCTGCTGGCCAGGCTGGTCCTGAATTCCTGGGCTCAAGTGATCACCTCCCTTGCTCTCCCAAAATGCTGGAATTACAGGCACGGGGCACCACGCCCAGCCTCTATGTGCCCTTTTATCTTTTACACATAACACACCAGATTTTCTTATATCTAATCAGGAACCTGTAATGACAGTAGGGAAAATCCTGGAACTCAGCAGTACGTGTTTTTTTTTTTTTTTTTTTTTTCCTACAGCTTCTACATTAAAAAAAAAAAGGAAGAAGAAAGAACGCTTTGCTCAATTCAGGTAAACATCAGCTCTCCCCTCCAAAGGAGTGGCAGCATCCTTGCTTAAACAAATCATGCCAATGGTAGTACTGGAATCTTCCCTTCCTTTACATGGAGCCATCGGACAGTTTAGAGCAGTGGAACCTGACTAAATGCTCAGTGAGAGGTCCGGGGTGGAAGTCAACTTGCCTGTTCTCGAAGGGTTCGTGCTACTATGAGAAAGTGATGGAAGTTCAGTTGAGAGGTACACTGCATTTAGTTTTTGGAGGAGAGCTCTGGCTCTGGTACCCATGTCCAATTCTTTAGAAAGACTTAAGGTCATTTCAAATTCTCCACATCAAAATTCATTTTGAACCTCAAATTATAGAATAATGCAAAATGAATGTGAAAATGTAATACAGTGCTAAATAGTACAGTGCAGTCACTTTATCATGTATTGTTCTGTCACCGATTGTCTCAGATGCTACAACTCGTCTCTCCTAACTAGACTTTATTGTCACCCAGTTGTTCCCAGGCCTCAGGCTCAGCACACAGAAGTTTCACACGTACTTGAGATTTAAGGCAGTGACGTGGAAGCAGAAATAAGGAGAGGTGGAGTTTTCTGCAGTTCACCTTTGGAGAGATTCTAGTTCATTCCATAGAAAGAGCCAGTTTGATCATAATCTTTATAGACTTTGCTGCATTAGCTTTAGCTTCTAGGAAGATAATGAAGTTTGGTGATCATCAACTCTTTTTATGGGATATGCTTTAGTGCCTGTGTCTGGATGCCTTGGTTTATGCCATGCCAATCACAGTGGAGAGTTATTCATTGTAGACATATATTAGAGGATGATAAGAGGAGCTCTATGGAATACCGAATTAGACACAGCCACAAATTTGGATTCCCAATCAAATTGACTATAAAAGAAGAAATTTTTAAGATTGATACTCATACAGAAGTCTGTCTTATTTGACAATCACATACATGCACACATATAAATGGCAAGAGGTTAGAATAATTAGCCTATCCAATTTATGCCATGTCTTAACTTTCTGCATCTCATTCAGCCAGGGTTATAAAACTATTCCATTAAATTTTCTTTTCTGGTATTCTACACACTAGCTGGATTATGGAATTTATAGGAATGTGTGGAGAGTACCACACCCCATAAAAGTCTCCATCAAATAATTTCTTTCTGTAAAACAGAATCTGAGTTGTTCACCATAATTACTCATTTGGCTATCATGGGTAAAGAGGCTTTTTGCAATTTATTAAACGTAAATGGTGGCTGGGTGCAGTGGCTCACACCTGTAATTTCAATTCTTTAGAAGGCCAAGGCAGGAGGATCACTTAAGCCCAGGAGTTCAGGGCCAGCCTGGGCAACATGGTGAAACCCCATCTCTACAAAAAATACAAAAACTTAGCTAGGCATTGTGTCAGGCACCTGTGGTTCCAGTTACTCGGGATGCTGATATGGGAAGATGGCTTGAACCTGGGAGGTGGAGGTTGCAGTGAGCCAAGATCGTACCCCAGCATTCCAGCCTGGGTGACAGAGTGAGACTCTATTTACACACACACACACACATACACACACACACACACACACACACACACACTTACATACACTCACACACCCAAATATCTAAATGGCAAGAGCAATCCTAAATACCTTTAATTATGCAAAATTAGATCTATATACAAACATCCCTGAAAATTTCCTGTTATTGTGTTTAATATTCACTCAACAAACATTTGTTGGGTGTCCACTACTAGATGTCAAAACAGTGCTAGGTTTGGGATACAAAGACAGACTAGATATGGTCCCAGCCCTCACAATGCACATGATTCTGTTTGACAAATGGTGGGTGTTGTAGATAACTGACCCTCGATGTACCTTGATGGCAAGACTTTGATTACCTGGATGCACATAATTGTTAGATGTTAGGTTTTGGAGTCAAAGTCTTAGAAGGATTCCAGACTGCCTCCCAAGCCTTATGTTTCAGAGCAATGATAATAGGATGACACAGATACCTTGCACTGTTGAAGAATGACTGAAAAGAAAAGTGGATACCAGGAGAGCTCCTGCTTTTAAAGCATATCTTTGGCTAGCTCTTCTCCAAAGCAATAAAGACACTTAACTTTCTCACTTTAAAAGTCTATAAATTTTCAAAGGAGGGAAGATTTTTTTAAAAGTAAGCAAGAATGCTGGTTTATATTCTCTTTTTTAAGTGATGATTGGCAGATTAAAAGAGTTTATATTTAGGAAAAATGAGTTTTATATTCATACAATATGTGTGCTTAGCATTAGAAAGATTGGTAGAACTCATTCCAATGTCTCAGGAACAGTGAGAGAAGATGAAAACTGCTAGACAGGAGGAATAAGTTCTAGTGTTCTTTACACTATAGGGTGACTATAGTTATCATGTATAGTTTCAAATAGCTAGAAGGAGGACCTTGAATATTCCCAACACAAATAAATGATAATGTTTGAGATGATGGATATGATAATTATGTTGATCTGATCATCACATATTTTATCTATTGAAACAGCACCATGTACCCTATATGTACAATTATTGTTAATTTAAAAAAATTTAAAAAGAACATGAAACCAAAGGGAATTATGATTTAGATATTGTAAAATAAAAAAAATTACAAGGCTGATGATGGAAAAACCTCTTTTTGTGGCTAAGAAAATGAGTCATAAATACTTAGCTGGGCCTTAGAAGAAATACTATATACTTATATAATACATTAATACTATATTAATATAGCATATATACATTATATAATGTTAAAGATGATGAAAATACTTAAAAATAAAAAGAATATTAGATATAAAAGTTTAAAAAGTGTAATAACTTTATGTTAAATTTTTAATTTCATTTTTTTGAGATATTCTAGTGAAAACATTTCCAATAGCTTGTAAGCTCCTTGACGGTAGAAGGTGAGTTCTTTTCATTACTGTATACCTAGCATTTAACAGTGCCTGAATCTTAATAAGTTATCTATAAATATTTGTTGAATAAATAGATGGATGAATGAATTAATCAATGAATTTAATATTGAATTTTAGGAGAAAGGAAATGAAACTAGCATTATTTAGACCTATTATATGTTATGCCTTGCCTTGTTTTACACAGGAAGTCACAGATCAGTCCTCTAAGGCAATGTTACTCAAAATGTGGTCCATGGACTGGACCCATCTGCAAACTGTCATTAATACAAGACAAGAAAAGTAACAGAATTGAGAGTAAGCATTTAGAGTTTCCTTTACAGCAATTGTGACATTGCCCAAATAGTCAAGAACATGACTATGTTTATCTCGATTTATTTATTATTATTCTTTACAAATAATAAATTTATTATTATTCTTTACAAATAATAAATTGAAACAAAACAAAACAAAGAAAAAAGTAGAAACTGTTCCTTCACCAGAGAGTTTTAAAAACACTGCTGTAAAGTATGTCCTAAAATCCCCACTTTGGAAACCAAAGCCAACAATTCAAGTAGCTACTAAAGGCTGGGGTGGTTGGAGCCAAAGCTCCAAGCCCTTTCATATCTGGAAAACAGATAAATCTTGTAGTTAAGGGCTAAACTTTATGACCTATTATGATTGATAGAGTGAAAATAGAAAGCAGTTGTTTTTCTATATTCCAAATGCAAATTGGGCCTCACTGGTGTAAATAACAGCCTCCTAGCAGCATTAATATTTAGGATTCATGCCAGAAACAATGCAATGCAGGAAGAAACACACATGAAATAACAGAAAGTGAAAGCTTTATGCAATAGGGCAGGCCTGGCTTGTGATCTACTGTGAGGAGAATGAGTGTTTAGGGGGAGAGAATTTAAAATACTTCCCACAGAGATTTCTGTTCTACCCTAGCTTTCCTACTGTAGCAAATATTGCTCTGGGAGGGGCTATTTATAATGAGTTGGGGAACTGAGATGACTATCTGGGTTACATGTAGAAAACATTCATCTAGTGAGTCTCTCAACCATTTGCCTGGAATATCTGGGATATTATGGTGAATATATTTGGTGTTTTGTGCCTTACTTTATTTGGACAATCACTGTTTTTTTTATTTTTTGCATTTTCTTCAGTTTGAGCATAGAGAAATTCTAATGACGTCTCAGAAAACCAGGGCCTCCTAGGTTGGTAGCAACAGATGAGTCCATCAAATGAAATTAAAATCCTTTACACATTTAAAGTGATTTCCCATCCTTGGTTGGTGGTAAAGATGCAAAACAAATTACAGTCTTGACATAAGAATACTTGAACTTATAAATGAGTTAACGAATATCTGGGAAACCAAACAGCTAAAGTAGCAATGAAGGGCTGGAAGATGTAAAGAGACTTGTTTGTAGAAGCACTGTTTGCAATCCTAGTAATTAAGATTTGAAAAGCCTGCAAGGTTGGCCTTCTGGGAGGTCCCATGTTGAAGTGGAGATGGGAAGACCACAAGGGGGCGATGTTGTAAAGGGCACCAGTTGGGTGCTTGGTTTTCCTAAGGGAACATTGAAGTTTGCTTCTGACCCCAACCTCTTCCTGAGAAAGTGTCCTTTTATTCTGTTTCTTGAGTGAAATCCTGACCCAACTCATGAAATCATTTCACATTTTAAAGGAGCCATTGCCCCCAGTCTGGCAAGGTGGCTGAATAGGAACAGCTCCGGTCTGCAGGTCCCAGTGAGATCAATGCAGAAGGTGGGTGATTTCTGCATTTCCAACTGAGTGCATAGTATTCCATGGTGTATGTGTGCCACATTTTCTTAATCCAGTCTATCATTGATGGACATTTGGGTTGGTTCCAAGTCTTTGCTATTGTGAATAGTGCTGCAATAAACATACATGTGCATGTGTTTTATAGCAGCATGATTTATAATCCTTTGGGTATATACCTAGTAATGGGATGGCTGGGTCAAATGGTATTTCTAGTTCTAGATCCTTGAGGAATTGCCACACTGTCTTCCACAATGGTTGAACTAGTTTACAGTCCCACCAACAGTGTAAAAGCATTCCTATTTCTCCACATCCTCTCCAGCACCTGTTGTTTCTTGACTTTTTAATGATCACCATTCTAATTGGTGTGGGATGGTATCTCATTGTCATTTTGATTTGCATTTCTCTGATGGCCAGTGATGATAAGCATTTTTTCATGTGTCTGTTGGCTGCATAAATGTCTTCTTTTGAGAAGTGTGTCTTCATATTCTTTGCCCACTTTTTGATGGTTTTTTTTTTCTTTTTTTTTGTAAATTTGTTTATTTGTTGATTCTGGATATTAGCCCTTTGTCAGATGGGTAGATTGTAAAAAATTTCTCCCACTCTATAGGTTGCCTGTTCACTCTGATGGTAGTTTCTTTTGCTGTGCAGAAGCTCTTTAGTTTAATTAGATCCCATTTGTCAATTTTGGCTTTTGTTACCATTGCTTTCGGTATTTTAGTCATGAAGTCCTTGCCCATGCCTATGTCCTGGGTGGTGTTGCCTAGGTGTTCTTACCCAGTTCATCTCATTGGGAGTGGTTAGACAGTGGGTGCAGCCCATGGAGGGTGAGCCAAAGCAGGGTGGGGTGTCGCCTTACCTGGGAAGCACAAGGGGTGGAGGAACTCCTTCTCCTAGCCAAGGGAAGCTGTGAGGGACTGTGACGTGAGGAACAGTGCATTCCGGTCCAGATACTACGCTTTTCCCACGGTCTTCACAACCCGCAGACCAGGAGATTCCCTCAGGTGCCTACACCACCAAGGTCCTGGGTTTCAAGCACAAAACTGGGCGGCTGATTGTGCAGACACCAAGCTAGCTGCCAGAGTTTTTTTTTTTTTTCATACCCCAGTGGTGCCTGGAATGCCAGAAAGACAGAACTGTTCACTCCTCTGGAAAGGTGGCTGAAGCCAGCGAACCAAGTGGTTTAGCTCAGTGGATCCTACCCCCACAGAGCCCAGCAAGCTAAGATCCACTGGCTTGAGATTGTCGCTGCCAGCACAGCAGTCTGAAGTCTACCTGGGATGCTGGAGTTTGATGGGGGGGAGGGGCATCTGCCATTACTGAGGCTTGAGTAGGTGATTTTCCCCTCACGGTGTAATCAAAGCTGCCTGGAAGTTCGAACCGGGCGAAGCCCACTGCAGCTCGGCAAAGCTGCTATAGCCAGACTGCCTCTCTAGATTCCTCCTCTCTGGGCCAGGCATCTCTGAAAGAAAGGCAGCAGCCCCAGTCGGGGACTTATAGATAAAATGCCCATCTCCCTGGGACAGAGCACCTGGGGGAAGGGGCAGCTGTGGACACAGCTTCAGCAGACTTAAATATTCCTGCCTGCCAGCTCTAAAGAGAGCAGTGGATGTCCCAGCACAGTGCTCGAGCTCTGCTAAGGGTCAGACTGTCTCCTCACATGGGTCCCTGACCCTCATGCCTCCTGACTGAGAGACACCTCCCAGCAGGGGTTGACAGACATCTCATACAAAAGAGCTCCAGCTGGCATCTGGCGGGTACCCCTCTGGGACGAAGCTTCTGGAGGAAGGAACAGGCAGCAATCTTTGCTGTTCTGCAGCCTCCGCTGGTGATACCCAGGCAAATGGGGTCTGGAGTGGACCTCCTGTAAACTACAGCAGACCTGCAGCAGAGGGGCATGATGGTTAGAAGGAAAACTAACAGAAAGGAATAGCATCAACATCAACAAAAGGGACATCCACACAAAAACCCCATCCAAAGGTCACCGGCATCAAAGACCTAAGGTAGATAAATCCAAGAAGATGAGGAAAAACCAGCACAAAAAGGCTGAAAATCCCAAAAAACAGAACACCTCTTTTCCTTCAAAAGATCACAACTCCTCACCAGCAACGGAACAAAACTGGATGGAGAATGAGTTTGACGAGTTGACAGATGTAGGCTTCAGAAGGTGGGTAATAACAAACTCCTCTGAGCTAAAGGAGCATGTTCTAACTCAATGCAAGGATGCTAAGAACCTTAAAAAAGGTTGGAGAAATTGCTAACTAGAATAACCAGTTTAGAGAAGAACATAAATGACCTGATGGAGCTGAAAAACACAGCACAAGAACTTCATGAAGCATACACAAGCATCAATAGCCGAATTGATTAAGCGGAAGAAAGGATATCAGACATTGAAGATCAACTTAATGAAATAAAGCATGAAGACAAGATTAGAGAAAAAGAATGAAAAGGAATGAACAAAGCCTCCAAGAAATATGGGATTATGTGAAAAGACCAAACCTACATTTGATTGGTATACCTGAAAGTGACAAGGAGAATGGAACCAAGTTGGAAAACACTCTTCAGGATATTATTCAGGAGAACTTCCCCAACCTAGCAAGATAGGGCAACATTCAAATTCAGGAAATATAGAGAACACTACAAAGATACTCCTCGAGAAGAGAAACCCCAAGACACATAATCATCAGATTCACCAAGGTTGAAATGAAGGAAAAAATGTTAAGGGCAGCCAGAGAGAAAGGTCAGGTTACCCACAAAGGGAAACCCATCAGACTAACAGCGGATCTCTCAGCAGAAACCCTACAAGTCAGAAGAGAGTGGGGGCCAATATTCAACATCCTTAAAGAAAAGAATTTTCAACCCAGAATTTCATATCCAGCCAAACTAAGCTTCATAAGCGAAGGAGAAATAAAGTCCCTTACAGACAAGCAAATGCTGAGAGATTTTGTCACCACCAGGCCTGCCTTAACAAGAGCTCCTGAAGGAAGCACTAAACGTGGAAAGGAAAAACCAGTACCAGCCACTGCAAAAACATACCAAATTGTAAAGACCATCAACACTATGAAGAAACCGCATCAACTAATGGGCAAAATAACTAGCTAGCATCATAATGACAAGATCAAATTCACACATAACAGTATTAACCTTAAATATAAATGGGCTAAATGCCCCAGTTAAAAGACACAGACTGGCAAATTGGATAAAGAGTCAAGACCCATTGGTGTGCTGTATTCAGGAGACCCATCTCACGTTCAAAGACATACATAGGCTCAAAATAAAGGGATGGAGGAATATTTACCAAGCAAATGGAAAGCAAAAAAAAGCAGGGGTTGCAATCCCAGTCTCTGATAAAACAGACATTAAACCAACAAAGATCAAGAAAGACAAAGAAGGGCATTATATAATGGTAAAGGGATCAATGCAACAGGAAGAGCCAACTATCCTAAATATATATGTGCCCAATACAGGAGCAACCAGATTCATAAAGCAAGTTCTTAGAGACCTACAAAGAGACTTAGACTTGCACACAATAAGAGTGGGAGACTTTAACACCCTACTGTCAACATTAGACAGATCAATGAGACAGAAAATTAACAAGGATATTCAGGACTTGAACTCAGCTCTGGACCAAGCAGACCTAATAGACATCTACAGAACTCTCCACCCCAAATCAACAGAATATACATTCTTCTCAGCACCACATCACACTTATTCAAAAATTGACCACATAGTTGGAAGTAAAACACGCCTCAGCAAATGCAGAAGAATGGAAATCATAACAAACAGTCTCTCAGACCACAGTACAATCAAATTAGAACTCAGGATTATGAAACTCACTCAAAAGCTCACAGCTACATGGAAACTGAACAACCTGCTCCTGGATGATTACTGGGTAAATAACGAAATTAAGGCAGAAATAAATAAGTTATTTGAAACCAATGAGAACAAAGACAAAGTGTACTGGAATCTCTGGGACACAGCTAAAGCAGTGTTTAGAGGGAAATTTACAGCACTAAATGCCCACAGGAGAAAGAGGGAAAGATCTAAAATTGACACCCTAATGTCACAATTAAAAGAACTAGAGAAGCAAGAGCAAATAAATTCAAAGGCTAGGAGAAGGCAAATAATAACTAAGATCAGAGCAGAAATGAAGCAGATAGAGACACAAAAAACTCTTCAAAAAATCAACGGATCCAGGAGCTGTTTTTCTGAAAAGATCAACAAAATAGATGGACTGCTAGCCAGACTAATAAAGAAGAAAAGAGAGAAGAATCAAATAGACACAATAAAAAATGATAAAGGGGGATATCACCACTGATCCCACAGAAGTACAAACTACCATGAGAGAATACTATAAACACCTCTACAGAAATAAACTAGAAAATCTAGAAGAAATGGATAAATTCCTGGACAGATACACCCTCCCAGGACCAAGCCAGGAAGAAGTCAAATCTTTGAATAGACCAATAACATGCTCTGAAATTGAAGCATTAATTAATAGCCTACCAACCAAACAAAGGCCAGGACCAGGAAGATTCACAGCCGAATTCTACCACAGGTACAAAGAGGAGCTGGTACCATTCCTTCTGAAACTATTCCAAACAATAGAAAAAGAGGGAATCCTCCCTAACTCATTTTATGAGGCCAGCATCATCCTGATACCAAAACCTGGCAGAGACACAACAAAAAAAGAAAATTTCAGGGCAATATCCCTGATGAACATTGATGAGAAAATCCTCAATAAAATATTGGCAAACTGAATCCAATAGCACATCAAAAAGCTTATCCACCATGTTCAAGATGGCTTCATCCCAGGGATGCAAGCCTGATTCAACATACACAAATCAATAAATGTAATCCATCACATAAACAGAACCAATGATAAAAACCACATGATTATCTCAATAGATGCAGAAAAGGCCTTTGACAAAATTCAACACCCCTTCAAGCTAAAAACTCTCAACTCTCAATAAACTAGGTATTGGTGAAACATATATCAAAATAATAAGAGCTATTTGTGACAAACCCACAGCCAATATCATACTGAATGGGCAAAAGCTAGGCGCGTTCCCTTTGAAAACTGGCTGAAGACAAGGATGCCCTCTCTCACTTCTATTCGGCATAGTGTTGGAAGTTCTGGCCAGGGCAATCAGGCAAGTGAAAGAAATAAAGCGTATTCAAATAGGAAGAGAAGAAGTCATATTGTCTCTGTTTGCAGATGACATGATTGTATATTGAGAAAACCCCATTGTCTCAGCCCCAAATCTCCTTAAGCTGATAAGCAACTTCAGCAAAGTCTCAGGATACAAAATCAATGTGCAAAAATCACAAGCATTCCTATTCAACAATAATAGACAGACAGCCAAATCATGAGTGAACTCCCATTCACAATTGCTACAAAGAGAATAAAATACCTAGGAATACAACTTACGAGGGATGTGAAGGACCTCTTCAAGGAGAACTACAAACCACTGCCCAAGGAAATAAGAGAGGACACAAACAAATGGAAAAACATTCCATGCTCATGGATAGGAAGAATCAATATCGTGAAAATGGCCATACTGCCTGAAGTAATTTATAGATTCAATGCTATCCCCATCAAGCTACCATTGACCTTCTTCAGAGAATTGGAAAAAACTGCTTTAAATTTCATGTGGAACCAAAACAGAGCCTGCATAGCCAAGACAATCCTAAGCAAAAAAAAAAAAAAAAAAGAAAAAAAAAAGAAAAGAAAACAAAGTTGGAGGTATCATGCTACCTGACTCAAACTATACTACAGGGCTATAGTAACCAAAAGAGCATGGTACTGGTACCAAAACAGATATACAGACCAATGGAACAGAACAGAGCCTCATAAATAATGCCACACATCTACAACCATCTGATCTTTGACAAACCTGACAAAAACAAGCAATGGGGAAAAGATTCCCCATTTAATAAATGGTGTTGGGAAAACTGGCCAGCCATATGCAGAAAACAGAAGCTAGACCCTTTCCTTACACCTTATACAAAAATTAACTCAAGATGGATTAAAGACTTAAATGTAAGACCTGAAACCATAAAAACCCTAGAAGAAAACCTAGGCAATACCATTCAGGACATAGGCATGGGCAAAGATTTCATGACTAACACACCAAAAGCAATGGCAACACAAGCCAAAATTGACAAATGGGACCTAATTAAACTAAAGAGCTTCCGTACAGCAAAATAATGTATCATCAGAGTGAACAGGCAACCTACAGAATAGGAGAAAATTTTTGCAATCTATCCATCTGACAAAGGGCAAATATCCAGAATCTACAAGGAACTTAAACAAATTTACAAGAAAAAAAAATGCCATCAAAAAGTGCGCAAAGGATATGAACAGACACTTCTCAAAAGAAGACATTTATGTGGCCAATAAACATATGGAAAAAAGCTCATCATCACTGGTCATTAGAGAAATGCAAATCAAAACCACAATGAGATACCATCTCACACCAGTTAGAATGGCGATCATTAAAAAGTCAGGAAACAACAGATACTGGAGAGGACGTGGAGAAATAGGAACGCTTTTACACTGTTGGTGGGAGAGTAAATTCGTTCAACCATTGTGGAAGACAGTGTGCTTCCACAAGGATCTAGAACCAGAAATACCATTTGACCCAGCAATCCCATTGCTGGGTATATACCTGAAGGATTATAAATCATTCTACTATAAAGACACATGCACATGTATGTTTATTGCAGCACTATTCACAATAGCAAAGACTTGGAACCAATCCAAATACCTATCAATGATAGACTGGATAAAGAAAATGTGGCACATATACACCATGGAATACTATGCAACCACAAAAAAGGATGAGTTCATGTCCTTTGCAGGGACATGAATGAAGGTGGAAACCATCGTTCTCAGCAAAGTAACACAGGAACAGAAAACCAAACATGGCATGTTCTCACTCATAAGTGGGAGTTGAACAATGAGAACACATGGACACAGGGAGGGGAACATCACACACCTGAGCCTGTTGCAGGGTGGGGGGCTAGGGGAGGGAGACCATTAGGAGAAATACCTAATGTAGATGATGGGTTGATGAGTGCAGCAAACAACCATGGCAAGTGTATAACTATGTAACAAACCTGCACGTTCTGCACATGTATCCCAGAACTTAAAGTATTAAAAAAAAAAAAAGGCTGGGCACGGTGGCTCACGCCTGTAATCCCAGCACTTTGGGAGGCGGAGGCGGGTGGATCACGAGGTCAGGAGATCAAGACCATCCTGGCTAACACGGTGAAACCCCGTCTCTACTAAAAAATAGAAAAAATTAGCCGGGCGTGGTGGCGGGCGCCTGTAGTCCCAGCTACTCAGGAGGCTGAGGCAGAAGAATGGTGTGAACCCGGGAGGCGGAGCTTGCAGCGAGCCGAGATCGCGCCACTGCACTCCAGCCTGGGCGACAGAGCGAGACTCCGTCACAAAAAAAAAAAAAAAAAAAAAAAAAAAAAAAGAAGCCTTTCAAAGTTTAGCTCAAGGGGCACTCCTCTTTACTTTTTCTAGCCTTCCCCCGCTGGAGTGAAATGCATATTCTATAGCACCTGTAGGAATTATTGAACATATTTTGTGTGTGGTTTTGCTGTTTCGTTATTAGACTCTGCTTTCATTGGGGATGAGATGGTGTCTTATTCATCTTTCTATTGCTATGCCTAACACATTACATGGCAAGGCATACAATTGGTGTTCAAAAGATATTGGCTGAATGGAAGTTGAATCTGAGATTTTCTAAAAAACAGAAGACACACCTCTTGTAAATTTGTGTTCTTTCTTGCCACTTAAATAATGACTAATCATTTAATATTAAAAATAAGACTACATAGAAATGTAGAAAATATTTATTACAGAATTCAGAGAAAAGAACATAAAATATTATGTGCACCATGATTTAACTAGAAAAGGTATACGTTTGGTAATGAGAAAAGCAGAAGAAATTGTAAAATGGAAAATAATTGT
Source organism: Homo sapiens (assembly GCF_000001405.40). Lineage (NCBI taxonomy): Eukaryota > Metazoa > Chordata > Mammalia > Primates > Hominidae > Homo > Homo sapiens. Next base: position 72,839,099 of record NC_000008.11, on the reverse strand, counting down.
ATTTGGATAATGAGCGTCTTATTCTAATGGGGTGATTTTTACTATTATTATAATTGTTTAAAATAGTGTATGTTAGATTACCTTGTGAATTAAAATTTTAAAAATTTCTAAAATAACAGAAAATAAGTTCAATTACTTTGAAAATTATTCGTGGCTAATGTTATTTTAGAAAAGAAATTACAATAAGCAAATAAAAAAGTAGAGTGAGGATTGTCTTGCTCATTCAATACCCCAAACACTTATTGGCTTCAAACACCTAGAAATTTCATATGAATCAAGGATTTTTATATTCTTTAACCAAGATTTCAGAAAAACTACATGTATAAAATTTTCTTTATTTTACATGTTATTATCCATTTTATTGCACACATAGACCTGTATATACTACAATTTAGATCCAGTAACTGTAATGTGAACCTACCATATCAGGATCTAGAACTACAAATACCATTTGACGCAGCAATCCCATTACTGGGTAAATACCCAAAGGATTATAAATCATGCTGCTATAAAGACACATGCACACGTATGTTTATTGCGGCACTATTCACAATAGCAAAGACTTGGAACCAACGCAAATGCCCATCAGTGATAGACTGGATAAAGAAAATGTGGCACATATATACCATGGAATACTATGCAGCCAAAAAAAGGATGAGTTCATGTCCTTTGCAGGGACATGGATGAAGCTAGAAACCATCATTCTCAGCAAACTATCACAAGGACAGAAAACCAAACACCACGTTCTCACTCATAGGTGGGAGCTGAACAATGAGAACACATGGACACAGGGAGGGGAACATCACATACCAGGGCCTGTCGGCTGGTGGGGGGCTGGGGGAAGGATAGCATTAGGAGAAATACCTAATGTAAATGACGAGTTGATGGGTGCAGCAAACCAACATGGCACATATACAGCTATGTAACAAACCTGCACATTGTGCATGTGTAACCTATAACTTAAAGTATAATAAAAAATAAAAGAAAATAGCTATAATACCTATAGAATTTACTCTAAAATACTTTGTTAATGAATATTTTAAGAGAATATGAATGATGAGTACTTTCCTAAAAATAATGTTAATGGCACAAAACCTAATTAATATAAAAAGGTAATACCAGTATGAATATGTAAATAAAACTCCATAAATAATTATCTAGAAATATATCTGTGTTGTTTAAATATGCATGCAGGCCTAACTTTTGCTAACATATTTCATAGACTTTGTTGGTTAATAAATTAGTTAGTAAATAATTTTTTTTTAAAAAAAGGATTGAAGTTAGCATAGGAAGTACTTTAAAGTGCCTGAAAAATTTCATTTTTAAAAGTCTGTAACATTTCCCGTTGCTGTGGTTTCATTGCTATGGGGTTGATTATTATGGGATTAACAGATCTTGCTATGCTATTAATTGGCTCAACAATATTTTATTGACTAATGAGACAATAAATTTTAAACTTATTTTCTTTATTTCCTAAAAACCATGGATTCCTAATTGGTGGGATTTTGAAGTAAACAGATTTCACTGTATGTAATTAATAGCTTTTGCTCAAATAACCTAAGTCCAGAGAAGATTGAGAAGTAATCTGATCGATGAAAATGTCATGGCACAACTAAGGATGGTGCCTGTCTATCTGATTTAGGAACTTTTAAAGTATCAGAGCGTTTTAATGTGAAAAGCTGTTGGTAATTGTTAAAAATCCAGGTTTCTAAGAAGTATCTCTGGAGAGCAAGAGGGCTCAAATTCCCCCAGCAGCCATCATGGACATAATGGTAGTTCAGTCAATGAACAGAGGCACAAGAGCTTCTAACTGTAGGTGGCACCTCTGGAGACCTCCAGGTAGTGTGAAGGATGTGGCTGCTCTGAGAAGGAACTACAGACATAGTGTGGTGCTTTTGATTGTGAATAAAGGGCAATTATGAGAACACTAGACAGTATCCCAGATAGTAGTTATCAGTAAAGATTTCTCTTGTTCCAGGAACAGTATGTCTAATTCTAAATATATTGAATTGAAAAAGTAGGGCTTAAACACATTTTTATAGAATTAGATGCCATCATCTGGAGAAATGTTCAGACCTTAAGTGGAGGTACCCACTGGGAAGTGTTTTATTGAAGTCCACCTTTAATTTGAAGTACCTGCACAAAAGGAGAAAGCTGTTGATAATATTTTGTTTGTTTGTTTGTTATTTTGAGACAAAGTCCCACTCTTTCACCCAGGCTGGAGTGTAGTGGCACAAACATGGCTCATTGCAGTTTCAACTTCCTGGGTTCCAGGATTCTCCTACCACATCCCCCTAAGTAGCTGGGACTACAGGTATGTGCCACCATGCCCAGCTATTTTTTATATTTTTTATAGAGACAGGGTCTCACCATGTTGCTGAGGCTGGTCTCGAACTCCTGAGCTCAGGCAATCCACCTGCTTCTGCTTCCCAAATTGCTGGGATTACAAGTGTGAGCCACTATGCCCATCCTCTTGACAGTGTTTTGGGTAATGAAAGTAGAATAAGAAGGTACAAAGATAAAAAGTAATATGGAGCAACCTTCTACTCTTTGGCATGGGGTAGCCATTTGTTAAAGGAACACATTATCTTGTTACATTTCTAGGAAACCATGAAAACTCCAAGAGGAGTCAACCCAGGCTGGCACCATGACTTGCAACAAGCATCTGTCTGCTGTTGCCAGTAAAGGCATGTCACAGGTCTTGAAAAATACTTCCATTTTCTATTCAGTCGATTGGAGACTTGTTTCAAAGAAACATATCTGACTTTTCATTTTAATTGTTGTTTCATTTACCATAAGTTGATGAGAAAATAGCCTTCTTTGAAAAGAAATTTACTTTTAAATGTAGCCAGTTTAAAATAAAACCAAAGTTATAGCTGTGATGGGAACACTTTGAGTAACATCTCTGCAGTGAACCTTTTACTGAACGCTGGTTTCTGTTAATCCTGTGATAGGCACTTGGCAAATTCAAGAAAAGAGAAACAAGGGCAGGTGAACAGAAGTGGAATAGATGTGGCATTGACATTTTAACTTAAAATCTAGAGAATTCTTTGAGCAAAACATCCCAATTGAAAATTTTGCTGTTACATTCCAAAATTAGTAAAGGACGAAATGTTAAATATGAATTATTACAAAAAGACAAGGAAAAAGGCAGTGAGAGCAAGACTGACATATGTTGGGAAAGTCAAATGTTGAGGCCTGTGTACTCTGAAGTCTGTTCAGGTTCACAGCTAGCGCAGCACCTGTTGAATGTAATGAGCATCAGTAGGATTGCGGAAGGAGAGAATGGGAGTGTGAATGAATGAATATTTTCTATAAGTGAATTTGCAATGGTTAGGGAAAGAGGTAGATTTTCAATCTGATTTACTCAGTTTGGCTCTCCATACTATCCCATTAATCAGATAATTGTGAATTTTCAACTTGTGCCATATGTGATTTGTACTTTCTAGTTTGCTTACACCCCTGGGGTCCTTACAAATTACACATCTGGGAGCTTTTTGCACACAAAACTTCAGAATAAGTGCAGATTTTTATTTTGAAGTACAGTAAGTATTGTCAAGTCCAGTTCCCGTAGCTCTCAGTGCCAACCTTAAAAGATAGAGGCGATTCACTTATAGGTTATCCTGCCAGAGTTGTAATAAAGAAAACATGATTCCCAGAACTCTGCCTTGAGAACTCTCCATCTTTCATTTGGCATCTTGGAGCTTATGCTTAGCTTGTTACCTTCCTGTTGTCTATTGCTTTCTCTTTCCTGATAAGGCAAAGTGACCATATCCCATAAAACTACAGCTGGTTTTAGTTTAATTTTGAGGGTGGTGAGGTATATTATTTCTTTCTAAAATAAAAATCATTATTTGTAGATGAAATTAAAATGCTTGAAAACACAACTACATTCTGCATTAATGTGAAGTCTCAGGAACATCCTCAGGATCTGAAATACTCTGACAAAGTGGTTTTGGTCAGAATTTGTCCTGATGAGCTTCTGTTCCACATGCATGCTCCATTTGCTTAATTTCCACCCCCTCAGTAATGTATAAGCTGAGTTACTCTACAAAGGTAAAATTGTTGTTGGAACAGGAGGAATGAGCCTCACTAGAGGAATATTCACTAAAGGAATCACCCTATCCCCTTCCTCCTGCTGGTTTTCCAATCATTAGCACTGGCACTATTTGGAGAAATCATTTGCCTTATTTGCCTGGTTCCACACAGAGTGACAAAAACAAGAAGGCGATACTATATACATTTCAGGCATGACTTCCGAAATTATACTCAAAGATGGTGATTGGCTTTTTTTCTGTATCTTCGTAGTAATTATTTCCCTGAAATGTCACTGGGACAAGCAGAATATCACTTCATTTCTTTTACAGAAAGGTATGCCCAGGTTGGGTGCATCCTTTCTATCAATTAATACTAGTATGGACACCAAGATCACTCCCCTACTCTTGTGCCAAACAGGAGACTGAAGTTGCCTCAGGAAAGTTCTAGTTCCTTGGAAGCCTGCTCTAGGCCTGGCTCAGGTTTGTGGCTCAGGACTTCCAGCAAGGAATTTTGGTTTGGTTCCACTCCATGTCAAAGATTTGAAATTATTTGAGTTCCTGTCAGTTGGACTAGAGAAGGAGTCCTTGGGAATGGTGTCTCCTGGGAGGCTTAAGTGAAGGCTGATGCTCACATCGCTCCAGAACTGACCCAAGTTCATGCCCTGTCTGCTTCAGCTATTATTTTCTCCTATGAATTGCTTTCCTCCCCCTGTAGCAACGGTTCTCCAAATATATCGAAACTCTAGAGTCATCTCATAGCTTGTAATCTGCAGGGTCAGATGTTTCTTCCTTCAGTGTTTCCTTATTAGTATAATGAGATATTTTTGCCACCAAGAGACTTGATAGAGGGAGGAAGTTAAGGACACTAAGGAAACAATGCAAAGTTTAAAATGTGAGATACTTGATTCCTGTGTAGGTTAAATAATGTCTCACACAGATGCATAAATAAGTAGATAATTAGAAATAATTAATTTATGTGAAAAACAGAATGAATATATTTCTCAGTGTACTATTATTTTAAAAATCCTGTGGGAAGAAAAATGCTTTTGTGGAGAAAACAGTATCTGGTTTGTATCAACATATCACTGCTGTCACTTGGGCAAAATCACATTTGCTGATGTAAGAAAATGCAAGAGCCAAATGCAAGTCTACAAAAAGAAACAAAATTAACAGGAAGGGTGGTGGACCCCTTGGTTGTCCATGCTGTCTTCTTCTGCCTTCATTCTGAGTCAATTGATTGACAGGCCTTCTTATGACTTCTAACTTTTCTTCCTCTCAACTCTGAAGGCCCTTCTTCATTTAGAAATGCTCCTCTGTGGAACTGCATTCTCCCTCTGCAACTGTAACATCTGTACTTCCCAGCTATCAGCCACACTTCTGCTGGACAGCTCCTTGCTTTCCACACTTTTTGATTTAATGATTAACTTTCCTTTTTCTCCTAAAGATGCCATTAGTTTAGAATTCCTCACCCCCTAGGCCTTCTGCTATCTCCCACCCTAAATAATTCCTATCATTTGATTCCCCTCTTTCAATTTTCATAGAGCAGAGAGTTACTGGTCAAAGTCACAAAACTGGTCTGATCTGCCTGATTATGAAGTCACACAATCTACCTCTCCTATGCTAGAACCTCACTATTTCCTGCAGTCTTTTTATCTGTTCCTTGTTGACATTGTGTCACATTTTTCATAGTAGGTATCTAAAACTTTAGAAAATTTTTCCTGTCTTCTCCATCTTACCTTTCCCTACTCCCAGCCTTGAACCATCCTGGTAGATCTTCACAGTTGGCCTCATCTCTTCATGCTGATCAAAGTTCCTGAAGCTTCCTATTTTTATTCTTTAAAATTTTATTGTAACATACTCATTACTTGCTTGATCTCTCCTTTTCTAGATAGAAACAGTTCCTTCTGCTTTCCAAAACCAACGTTACCTTCAATGCTCTTGATTCTAGCTCTTTTAACGCCTTGTCAAACCTTATGCATTAAATTATCTGATAATATTTTATCATCTTCAATATTTCCCCCTCCAAATCTCTTTTACTTACTATTGGGAAACAGTTCTCCATAGGTCTCCTATGTATCTTTCTGTCTTTGAGCAGAGGCATGGCTGCCTTTGTTCTGGACTAGTATCCTAAGGATGTTTATATAGCAAATAGCCTTGGAAGACAGAGAGTATCTCGCTCTCTGTCTCACTTATAAAAGATTTGGGATCTCTAAACCCAGCATTTCTCTCCTATAAAGAAACCCACTGTGTATATAGGTGTCACTTGGCCTTCTCTCTGTTGCCCTGTGGGACGGGGACATACGGGAAATAGCACGAGAAAACACTTATTCTCTGGTTACTGCTATTGCAGTAATAAAGTCCTTTGTCTCTGACTCAGGGGCTCCGTCTTCTGCCAGCATCTGTGGAACTGTGGCATGCTAACTTGATAGCTTGGAAGCGGGTTAAGTCTCAGACCCTTTACAGCTCTTGACACTTACAAATAATGTAGGTCTCCAAACCCTTAAATAATCTTCCCTCAGCTCTGGTACTGCTTTAATTTTAGTCCTATTTTCCCTGGCATCCACTGTGCAACTTCTCAAAAGTAATGTCTATGTTGTTTCTCAAATTTCCCTTACTATGTACTCATTATTACCTTGAACTAGACTTTTGCCTCCAATCCTTCTAAAACTGTTCCCCAAGAGTCACCCATAATTTTCTAATTACTAAGTTCAGGGAATTATCTTTTATTGGTCCTCATTATATGAAAATATAACCCTGACCATATTATATCCTGCTAGGATGCTTTCATAACTCATTTTCTGCAAAATAAAGTCCAAAGAGTTTAGGCTGACATTCCAGGCCATCCTTTTATAATGTAATTTTCCAAGTTTCTCTCACATGTACACCTTTTCCCTGACAACTTGGATTATATCCTTCACTCCTACAGCATACATTATACATTCCTGTAAAAATATGTTTCCATGTTAGTTCTTCTGATTCAAATTCTGTCTTTCCTATCTCTCTTAAGCCTTTAAGGATCAGCCAAATAATGTTTATATTTGAAGATTTCCCCAATTCTTTTTCCTAACCTTTATGGCATTACTAGAAGATAGTTTCAAAATCTGACTCTTAAAAGGGTGAAGACAATGTTCTAAAATGACCACTTAAAATATAATCTGATTGCTTCTTAGCCTTTTGGCTAAGATCAAGTATAATATGATCTGATTGTGTGAAGGATAGTCTCTTCAAATACCTCATGTAATATATAAGGTCTAATTCCTTGCATCTTTTCTCAGACAAAGTATTGAACAGTTATTCACTCCAATTTCATATCTTTGTTATGGGTTCTTGAAGTATTTCCACATAGTTGGGACCAAAAATTGGTTCAACAACTTGGGAAAGCATAAAAGTTGACATGAACATATTTGCAATGTTTTATTTTAATTGAAAACATATAAATGTACATTAGTTTGATAACCTTTTGATATAGGCAAAGGCCTCATAAATATGCATGTATGTCTGCCAATTTATGTTCCGTGTCCACTGTTTGAATCACACCCACAAAGTGTAATCTTCAGTGTCCCATTTAACTTTCCCTAAAGTGGCTTAAAACTTTGCAAACAATCTACAGTCCTTCTAGAGTTTTACACTCTCTTTTCTTAATCTTTTATAACCCATATCTGGTTTGTTGGTGATTTTTTAAAACTTGCTTTGATCGTGTCTTTCTAAGGCATTCATTTTAGTTTCAATAGAAACAACTCTTTCTCTTTGGGCATTCATATTTTATTGGCAGATGTAATATTTACTTAAATAACATAATTATAATACAAGTATAAATGAGGTAAATGAATGTAATGGGATTTTGGTGAGCACAGAGCTCTTGCTGTGGGGGTAAAAGTGCAAGACCATCCTGGGGTAGCCCGCAGCCTAAGCCTGTGGCTTGGGAGGAGGCCCAGTCAGCATGACTACCCACGGCATGAGGCGCAAGGCCAATCTGAGTAGTTGTTAAAGCAGAAGGTTAAGAGGGCTTCTAATGTACTTAAAATTAATTCCTATTTTATGGCATTGGTATATCAGCAGGATAACAAAACAGAAATTGCTCAAAATTCAAACATAAGTGGCTTAAGACTTGAGCTAAAGCTTTGGTAAACCTGGGATTTTTTGTGAAGCCACAGACTATCTCAATCTCCTCCTCATTCCAAATGAAGATTAAATGATCAGGCATGAGCCTCGTGTCACTCAAAGTTTTATTGCTTTCTTTTGCCCAGTGCCACAAAGCAGAGATAAAAGATGTCACCTGGGTGAGGTTAAAATGGCATTCAAAACCAAGAGACCAGGTGTTGATTACTAGTTCTGGTGTGCCTATGGAAGGACAGGCATGCATGTCTGCCTGCTGATGAGCCAGAAGCATGATCAAGTACACAGATGGACTGAAAAGCATTCCATAAACCATGAAAGATAATCCAATCCATAGATATTAAAATGGAATGTTACCATGCACTATGGTTAGGAGGGTAAATGAAACATGAAACAAGTTACTTCTGGGATGGGTGGGATGGATAGTAATGAGAACTCGACAAGCAGTTCTTACATGAATAAGGAGTGGGTTGACTTGTTCTATTTAGTATATGATGTCCAAGGGTTCCTTCTTTAAGTGTGAATTAGCACTAGGATGGGTTTTGAATAGCCCTGAATCTTTGAATGGGTCCATCTTGGTTGAGCAGGACCTGTGGGTAAGTGAGCACATTTCCACAGGTGAGGATAATCGTCTGGATAGAAAAGCTGAGGTCTCCTTCTCTCCTTCTCTCACTCTATTTTCCCCTCCCTCCCTGCTTTTTTTTTTTTTTTTTTTTTTTGGAAAATATGAAGACATTTTTCAGCTCCAAGAATTTCTGCTGTTACAGCAACATATGTGGGAGTATGTCATTTGAAGGCAAGGAGATTATGATGAAGTGGGCTGTGTTACACTAAAAGCTGAAGGCATAGTGAAGAGGAGAAGAAATACGATTTTGAAGAAGACTGGATATTCTCAGTTGACAAATAGTAGCAATTTTTAGCGACCAATTATGGAAAACCTAGTTGGCTTTTTTTTTTTTTTTTGAAGCAGCAGCTTTTTTCCTCCATTTCTTTTTCCCTTCTTACTACCCTTTTATCCTCACAGAGAATAATAATTTCGGATACAATTTTTCACTTTGTCTCCCAGTATTCATATATTGATGGTTATGAAGGCCGAGCACATAATAAAAAGAATCAGTAAGACATTTTAATTTCAGACACATTTTTTTTGGCTTATTTCAAATGATCCAGTCCTAGAAAAGGGTTGACAAAGCCAAATAGAACAATATGTTAAAGGGTAATATTGGAATGTACCATGGTAAAAAGAAAGTGCAATTTAGAAGCACCAAACCCAGGCTGCAGTTCCAACCCATCATTTAGTAGTAATGTGACCTGAAGCAATATCACCTCATTTCTGCAATTTTCACTTTCCCCATCTGTGAGGTAGTAAAAACAGGATCCTCCTTATACAGCTGTGGTGAGAACTTACGAGAAAATATTTCTAAAAAATTCTTTGGGAACTATGAACGCCTGTGCAAATATTAATTCCCCCTCATTGTTATCCCATCTACTCTTTATACAGAAGCTGTCTTATCACTGAATCAAAGAACAACTTTCTGACAATATTAGTAGATTTCCATTCATTCTGAAGATTTCAATTGGGTCCAGTGTATCTACCATTTACTGATAAAGTAGTTTCATTAATCTAGGCTGCTCTTCTAGAGTGATGTGGCAAGTTGGATGATGACTGAATTCAGTTAAATGTGGAGTATTTCATGTACATAAGTCCTGTAAGACAGTGTCTTCAGGAATCATAATTCAGGCCTCCAACATCCATAAATTTTGGGGAATTGTTTTAGGCAGTAATATCTAAAATAAATTACTGACTCAACTCTTCATTTCACTTTTCAAAAGATATAATTTTGGCTTTGGGGGCAGATATTTAGAATCTTCTCTGGTCAGAGCCATGACAAGGGAAATGAAATTACAATGAATCACGGGAGGAGGGATCCAAAAAGCACCTCCAAGTTAGGGCCCAACAGAGAAGCCTAACGTTAATCTGGAGATCATAAATGCACACAGGTCAACATACATTTAATAATATTTTATTATGATACTTTGAATAAGGCTGAATCAGAAATACAAGGCGGTATTTGCAAACTGTCAAAAATGTTAAGCTTTCTTTGAGTGCTAGAAGGGAAATGCACTAGCCTTACTACTAGTGTGTGTTTTACTTTGGGACTTTTAGGTAAGTAGTGTAAAGGACTTTCTAGGCTTAAAGAATTAAAGAACGCGTGATTATAGCATCCTCATTCTTAGACGGCTTGGAAAATGAATGATCTTAGCTTGGTTTGAAAACTATAGAATAGAATATATTTTTAGCATAATAAATCTTTCAATCCTTTCAAAAAACAGATCCATAGAAAGAGCAAACAGATGGAAGCCCATGTGCTGTTTTGTAACATGTCCAGGGTTTTCAAATTGGATAAACACTGAAACCCTGCAGCGGCAAATCTGTCCTTTCTCAGACAAAATCCTATGAGATTAGGAGAGCTGCTGTAATAAAATGTGCACATTAAAAAAAATCCAGGTACCCCTGCCAACTTCTCTGCTAGGGCCATATGATGAATGGCCTCATAGCATGAACATTAACCCATTTTTTATTAATGGAAATATGTATAAGTACTTATGGGATGCTTATTACTTTAACAATCCAAGCACTCAGGACATTAGATGAAACAGAATCATATTGAAATTCCATAAAAACTAAGCTATTTTCTCATAGGCGCTCAGCCCATTACTTAACAATATACTATAGTAATTTAAGACCATGTTTACAATTTGATTATTATTTTTTTGATTATTAATACTTAAGCTGGGTCCTCATGAGAGAAGTGGTTAGAAATCAACTTATAGGCCAGTTGTGGTGGCTCACGCCTATAATCCCAGCAGTTTGGGAGGCTGAGGCAAGTGGATCACTTGAGGTCAGGAGTTTGAGGCCAACCTGGCCAACATGGTGAAACCCCGTCTCTACTAAAAATACAAAAATTAGCTGGGCATGGTGGCAGGCACCTGTAATCCCAGCTACTCAGGAGGATGAGGCAGGAGAATCATTTGAACCCCGGAGGTGGAGGTTGCAGTGAGCCGTGATCACGCCATTGGAGTCTAGCCTGGGCGGCAGAGTGAGACTCCATCTCAAAAAAAAAAAAAAGAAAGAAACTTGTATTATTTAACCTTGTTCTCCTCTCATATATTTCATATTATCCCTTACATCAACCTTTCTCTTTTTCTATATGATTGCAATTAGAAAGATATTTTGTTGTAGAAAGAACAATATTCATTAAAATTGAAGGCACAGAACAGAAAGGGAGCCCAGCTACAGAAAAAAATGAGGCCTTTCTGAGGCTTGTACCTCCAATATTTGGCCTGTGACCTATTTAGAGAGTGGACATTCATAAAGGTTTGTTAAATGACTATGTAAATGAGTGAATAAAAGTTGGAGTTTAGGATCTGTCTACAACTCTTGGGTCCCGATGTAGCAATTAAAGCATTTTTCTCATTTGTCCTTTATTGTTCAGTTTTTTTTTAAAGGTCATGGCTAAGGAAATGTTTTGGTTGGAATTTTTCACCATGGCAGAGTATATTGGTTTAAAAAATATCTCTGATATATTTTAAAGGATAGATTTGGTTTCCCTCACACATCAAGGATCTATTTAATGGATTTCTTGTGGGAAAAAAATCTCAATGTCATATTGACTTCCTAGCATACATCCAAGTTACTTCTCCCCTTTCTTTTCTTCTTCTGAGCAGCTGGTAGATGCTCAGAGGGTGAAAACTAGTTTTACTAATAGCCAGCTTCCCCAGCCCTCAGCCATCATATGAAGGTCAATCTCTCCCTGCTAAGTCACATGATATATTCTAAAACTAAACATAAATAATTATTGAATTATCTAATATTACAGAAATTCAAGCCAGGACCCTCTTCAATACACTGGCCAGTCAAAAGATGACGATAATAGCAAAGAAATGTTTACCACTGTTTGATCCTTTCTCTGCAGCATTCAAATTAAAACAAATATGGCAGAAAACTTAGAAGCAAAAGCAATACAAAGATGCTATGTAGCTATTCCTGCTGCTTACATTTAGCCATCATAAATGGCACAGAAATTGTGCAAAGGCAATAGACAGCAACATATTTGGAAGTTATACCTGAGAGTGCTTTGGATTTTAATCCTTTGTGTTCAAAATTACTGACTAGTGAAGAAATTAGTTCTTTTCAAAATATGGATTTTCTTCTGCAATATCATGTCCCAATAGGGAAGACTCTAAGGAGTCAATTACTTCATCCCCGCCTCCATTCAACCTCACTTTTATTTTCTTTAAAAAGATAAATCTCTAAAGGAAAAGATTTACCATCCTTGGTAACCTAGATACACACTCTCAGGAAATATCTAAATTAATCTTCCATGCTGCAATTTAAACCTATTTCCTTTTATTCTTTCCTCCGTGAGGTACGGGAACAGCTGTCCACAACCCCTGTCATATGCTTGCAAACTATTCTTATCCCCCGCAGCCTTCTCTTCTTCCAGTTGAATACTCCTCTTCCCCTTCCTTATTGTTCATAGGCATAAAAAATTCCACTCCTAATGCACTTTCATTAGGATGCAAAACACCAACATGTAGACCTGCTACTGCAGTAGGATTTGTGTTCTATGGGATCCTACGGGAAGACTGTTGATAATCGGCAGTTCCTACTTCCTGTAGATACTTCCCATCAACAGATGTTAGAATTAGACTCTTCCAGCCTCAGCTATGACTGAGGTACTGATATGATACGTAATGGATACCAAAGTAAGTATAAGAGAAAGTTGCATATGAGATTTCCAATGAAAATCCATGATGCTAGGATCCACAGCAGATTAAGACCTTAAAAAGGATGTCAGATACGTTATACCATTTATAAAGATTAACTCAAAATAGACCAAAACCTGAACATAAGCAAATGTTATAAAGCTCTTAAAAGAAAAGGTAATGGAAACCCTTTATGACATTGGATTTGGTAATGATTTCTTTAATATGACACCAAAAGCACAGGCAACAAAATGAAAAATAGATACATTGGACTATATCAAAATTAAAAGCTTATGTGTCAAAGGACACTATCAAAAGAGTGAAAAGAGAACCCATGGAGCAGGAGAATATATTAGCAAATCATGTGTGTGATAAGGGACCGATATCCAGAATATATGAAGAACTCTATAACTCGACAATTAAAAAAACCAAACAATGCAATTACAAAATGGGCAAAGAAATTAGACAGACATTTCTCCAAAGAAGATATACAAATGGCCAGTAAGCACATGAAAAGATGCTTGCCATCATTAGCCATCAGGGAAATGCAAATCAAAACCACAGTGAGATACCACTTCACACCCATTGAAATGACTATTATCAAAACAACAGAAAATAACAAGCATCAGGGAGGACGTAGAGAAATTGGAGCCCTGTGTACTACTGGGGTGAACATAACATGGTGTAGCCACTGTGGAAAATGGTACAGTGATTCCTCAAATAATCAAACATAGAACTACCATATGATGCAGCATTTCCCCTTCTGGATAAATACCCAAAAGAACTGAAAACAGGGATTCAAAGAGTTATTTGTACACCCATGTTCATAGCAGCATTACTTACACATACAAAAAGGTGAAAGCAACCCAAATGCCATAGATGGAAGAATGGGTAGACAAAATGTGATCTCTCTCTCTCTCTGGAATATTATTTAGCCTTAAAAAGGAAGGAAATCTGATGTATACTCCAACATGGATGAAACTTGAAGATATTATGCTAAGCTAAATAACTCCTTCACAAAAGGACAAATACTGTATGATTCCACTTAGATGTAGTGCCTAGAGTAGTCAAATTCATAGAAAGTAGAGCAGTGGTTGCCAGGGGCTGGGAGAAGAGAGAGGAAAGACGAATTAGTGTTTAGTGGGTTCAGACTTTCAGTTTGGGAAGATAAAAAAATTCTGGAGGTGGATGATGGTGATGGTTGCACAATAATGTGAATGTACTTAATGCCAAAAACTGTACACTTGAAAATGGGTAAAGTGGTAGATTTTATGTTATGTATATTTTACCACCATTTTTTCAAAAAGGAGCCAGAGTGCAGAGTAGAGAGTGGGGGACTGTGAGGAGGTCTACGGAGGAAGCCTTGCAAGGGATCCCATCCACTCTCTCTCTTCCCAGAGGGCAGCTCCCTCCTTCATTGCAGGTCTAGTGATGGGGAATGGGGGCAGCTGTGGGACACTCAGCTTTGTCTCTGCAACTGGGACATCATTAACCAGTATCTATAGAGAAGGGCGGACTCATTGCTTTGGTTTCATTACATTAAAATTGCTTCTTTGGGATGGGCCTGCATTTGCAGTTTCGGGAGATGAGGAACATGAGTGTGCCTAGGGTGAAGCAGGAGAGAGTCATCAGATTTCCTTAGATACCACCCAAGAGGCTTGTTTTAGAGGTAAGAGGGTCTCAGCAGCAGCGGTCTGGTGGCACACCTCGAGATGCCTGGGAGGTGAGGGAAGCCTGGGAAGTGACACCTGGCCACTACAGGGGGGCTGGGGAACTGTAGGGGGCAGAACCCAGCAGGGATCCTCCAGAGTACAGAGACACATGGCACAGAGTCAGCTTCCAAACCCCTGCTGGGCTGAGGAGCAGGAAGCCAGCTTACAGGGATGCTAGTTCACATAAGAGCAGTCTTACTCCCTTGCGTCTCACCCTACTCCTGCAGAACGGATACAGGAAGGGGGTGGCATGAAGGTGGCCTAAAGTGAGCCAAGCTGAGAAGGCAGAGATTTGATATTTGGTCAAGTTCCAAGTTTTGACTAATACTTTGAATTGCACAGCTAAGACTGTGTTTGCCACATGAAATAGCTCCCTCTGAGTGAGAAGAAAAATTATGGGGTCTGTGGACAAGAACAATATTACTCATACTGTATAGAGTTCAAAGGGGTGGGAGAAATTTAAAAAAGGCTTATTGTGATTGTCAACCACCTCCCATGCTTGTTGGGTATACCAGCTACAAGATGGGGCTCCCAGGGTCCTTGAAGAACTGGTATAGGCTTTCATGGAAAGCCCTTAGAGGTGTAAGTAAAGCCTGTGGCCCTCGGGGTGACAGGACACCTGGGCTTTGGTCTGCTCTCAGCTCCAACACTTAGCTTGCTTTGCATTTCCTGTGTCACCTGAGACCATTTACTTAACCTCTTCGAGCCTCGGCTTTTTCATTTGTAAAATGGAGCTAATTATAGTATCTGCTAGCTAGATGGTTCTTAGAATTCATGAGACAATGAAAGTAAATGCTTAATAAATGTGAGCTATAATTATTGTTATGGGTAGAAAAATTACAGGTGTTTGCCTCTTGAGAATTTAGTTTCAACAACTTGAACATCATGAATCTTCTATCTGAAATCCTGGAAACTTGCATTTGACAAGGAGCTTGGAAGTAGAGTATGACAGGTATCAAATCCCAGTTTGACTGAACTCAGATCACGATTAATGAAGGACCTTCCATGAACAACACCCTTGGCTGGGTCCAGGGTCCTTTTGGGAGACAGTGTCTGTGCACAGACTCCAGTGCTTGATAACCTGCTTCCCCAGGCTGGATTTGCTTCATAAAACCTTTACCATGGCAACAGGGAAGCACTTACAGAGCACTGCAGCTGACACTGTGAAAAATATCACCTGTTCTCAAGGTACTCAAAATTGCACAGCATGACTCATGGTGGCTTTCTCTTTCTGGCTTCTGCTGGGTCATAAATGCTTAGCAAACATACGCTATTCAAGAGGTTCCTAAGTTACAGAGATCCCAGATGAGGCAGAGAGCATGTTGATAAAAGCAGAGATGAAGGATTTGCAAAATGACCTGCTCAGAACATGAGGGAGTGCTCATTAATTTGACAAACATTCCCTTCCTCCTTCTTAGGAGCCAGGGAAGGCTGGGCACTAGGAAAATAGTGGTGAGCCACGTGGATGGGTGCCTTTTGCTCAGGGAGCTGCTGGGGTTGGGTGGGGAGGGGTCACAGTGAGAGAGAGATCATGCACACAAATAAATGATCCCACAGTGACACCTGTCATGGACAGTCTTTAGGAGGTCAAGGAAATGAGGTGGTGTACCTAAGCTGAGATGTGAAAGAAAGGAAAGATCTCCATCTTGGGAAGATCCTGGCAAAGATTCCAGCCAGAGGTCAGAGAACTAGGAAGGTCTCTGAATTTGGAGAACCCTATCCTAAGTTTAGATTTTATTCTAAATTTAGTAGAAAACCATTAAAGAGTTATAAACAGGGGAGTGAGGTAAGCTGATTTATAGTCACTTAAAAAAGATCATTGTGGCTGCTATTGGAGATTAAACTGGCTAGGAGGTGGGGGCCAGGGTGGCGAGAGGTAAGCAGAAAGAGAATGAATGATGAATCATGGCACCTGGACTAGGGTGGTGGAGGTGGAGAGACAGTGAGTGAGAGATGCTGACTGTGCTTGCTTCTTTCTATGAAAGATCAGAACACCTCACTCAACACTTAAGCGTAGAGCCTGTGGCACATGATGACTGGATGTTGTCTCAAATGCATTCTCCACTCTTTCCTATCTGTGTCTTGTCTTTGCAACTAGACTGTCACGTCATTCGATACATAGATACCAATCACTGGCCCTGTGTGTGACACTGGCCCTCCCCATCTAGGAACTTTCCAGAAGGGAGGAAACATAAAGCAAATATACAATTAACCAGCAAACACTACAGCATCTGGCAGGTACCATAAAGGCAAAAATATCAGTCTTGTTGAAGGAGAGGGCAGCAGCCACAGGAACACACAGCTAATTCCTGAAGAAAGGTTATTTAAAATGACTGGGAGGTCACCAAAGGGTTTTAAGCAAGACAGTGACATGATCAGATTAGCAAATGGATTGGAGTGAGCCTACACTGGTTTGCAGGCAGTTGCAAGTAGCACGGGATGAGCTGTTGGTGGTGGTAGTGGGGAAGAGGATGGAGGAAAGGGGATGAGGGTAAGATATATTGAGGTGGCGGAATCCACTGGACTTGGTAACTGACTGGATGTGTGTGGGGAGTGGTAGGCTAAGGGAGAGGCAGGAAGAAAGGATGACTTGCAGATTCCCTTTGTCTCTCTGTCTCCGTCCTTCCCTCCCTCCCTCCATCCTTCCCTTCACCTTTGTTATAAAAACACAAACTAAACAAAGCAAACCCTTTCATTCGTTACCTGTGACTGCTTATAGAAGGTAAATTGAATGGTACCACATTTAATTAAGGACTGTCTGTTTTTTCCAGTTCCACACACTGTGGGGGCTTGGTGTGTGTGTGTTTTTTTTTTTTTTTTTTTGTTTTTTTTTGTGTGTGTGTGTAGGAACTTACTTTGAATGAGTATACCAGAAAACAGATCACTAGCTTCAAATTCTTTAACAAATTCTATGATGATATTTCACACTTTGCAAAACTTGTAACAACTCCATTACATAGCTATTATTATCCCTACTTCATAGTGGAAACGGAGGTTTAGAGCAGCTAAGCATCATCCAAGGCCATCTGGCTACAAGAGGTTGCAGCTGGTACTTGAACTTAGGTCTTTACACCTGAGCTTAGTGCTGCCCCAACCCCTGCAAATGTTGTACAGATCTTCTTTAGTCATGCGTTAGCACATTAGCAGACTAACTTTCTAATAATCAGGCATATTAATAATAAACACTATATATTTAACAGTTTTAAAAAGCAGATCAGACTCCCCTGGGCCAGCAAAATGGTCCTTGATGCCTGATGGGCATATGAACAAGAGGGTTCAGTGAAAGGTTAGGAGCAAAAGAAAGTCGCAGTGGGACAAATTCCCCAACCTCTTCTGTGTTTTTGTCTATTGGATAATATCGCCTTTTGAGATATGAAAATTGAAGAAGAAAATATAATCTTAATTCAGCATTTTGAAGTATTTAAATCTGTATGAAAAGAATACCAGAACATGTTACAGAATACTGTAAAAAAAACTTTAGCAGATTACAGTTCTTTTGAAGGAGACTAGGAAAAATGTGTTTGGTTTGTATGAAAATATGCCCTGGACTTTGTAGCAGGAAATCCTCAAAGGAAAGAAAGAATGTTCAGAAGACACTAGCAGAACCAGTGAACTTATGGAAATAGGATGATTCTGTCTGAATGAATCAGAATCAAAATGAAAGTTTATTATAAAATGATCTGACAGAGAGGATCAGAAGTGGGATAAGAAATTTAGAGAGGATAAGTTTAGTTTTGAAAAATTCAAGAGGCAAAGAAAGTAATATTAAATTAATTTAGAGGGAAAGAATTGAGGTAGAAATAATCATAAGATTCACTACAATCTATTTCACAAAGTAAGAAAATGAAAAATTTAAAGGAGAACTGTCACAGAGCAAAAAAAAAAGTCATAGGTTAGATACAGGGAAGTATATCTAGATACAATTTTATGAAAGACAGATAAAGGCAATGTAACTATGTGCAAATTATCTATCTGTTTTGCAGTTGGGAATTGAAAATCCCACTCTGAACATGATTGAGGAGGCCACCCTGACAGCCCTGCATGCTTAGAGAAATTCATTGTGCAAATTAATTGGAAAGTTCATTGGAATAAATATACTATTTAGGAAAATGGAAAGGTTGATTTGTGAAGCTCTTTATTCAAGGGATATCATTTATTTATGATAAAATTATTTGTGATGACAAGAGGTATGTGATCCAGTACTTGTTGGTGGGCTTACTGTCTAGATAAAAATGTGTTTGTGGCAAAAGTAGCCATGCAAAGAAGGATATGATTTTGTGCTTTTGTGCTAAGTCAGTGGAATAAACCTCAGGCTTGGTGCTGCTCAAAGGGGATGAGCGGTTGATGAGGGTACTTTCTGGAGGAGGAAGGCTTTGCAGTAAGCTGAAGGATGGGTATCTGGAGAGATGGGAAGGAAGTCAGGGGGCCTACAAGATGGGAGTTTGTCTTGAGTAGAAGCACACAGACCATGTGTAACCCGTGCTTTGGGAGCCAGGAAAAAACCAGCCAACTAGAGTGGAGGCATCTGGTAGGAGAATATGAAGACACAGGTACTTGGTGTCAACAGAACAGGTGTTAGATTTTAGACAGTTTGCACTTTATTTGATAGCAGTGGAGAATCTGCTGAGTTTCAGATAGTGGAATACATAGATGAGAATAACATGAAGTCCCATGCAGAGTGACTTGGGAGGGAAGAGATTGGAAGCATATATCAATAAGGAAGGTGTTAGAATGATAATGATTATGATGATAACAACAAAAATAAAAATAGCAGCTAGTATTTATTGAGGGCTTACTATGTGCCACCTAGCATTCTAAGTGCTGCATATATATTATCTCATAGAATTCTCTCAGCATCCTTAAGGGAATTATATTATTATAATTCCCTATAATTATCACATTCCTATTGATTCCTATTCCTATTGATATTATCTCATGCAACAGAGACAATAAGAAACACACCTGTAGTCCCAGAAGGATTATTCAACTTGCTACAACAAAGGTGAGCCTACACTAATGAGAACTTGTCAAGTGTCTTGGTAAGAATAAGTAGGCAGGGGCTTTTTGTAGGTTTTGGGATTGGCTGAATATTTCTAAGGGGGTGCTGAGGTGAATGGGGATCACCTCTGGATTGGGTGCTATTTCTGAATTTGGATTAGCAGAAATGGGCATTAGCTCTGGGCCGGTTGCTGCCATGAAGTGGGGGTAGCTTAGTGACTGGGTAGTGCTGTAATGTTTTTTTTTTAGAAAGCAGAGCAACAAAATGGGTCTTGGGAAGTCATTGATAAAAAAGCAGTACTTGTTCAAAAGAAAGGGTGTAAGATGTTTTGTGGTTGTGGCGTGACCTTGGAAGAATCATTATTTTGTGTTGGCTTTGTCTCTGAATTTACCTACCTGCTATCACAGCCTGATTGCTAGCAGGATGAGCTTACTTTCTCAGTTCTAGGTTTTACTATCTCACTATTCTACAAATAAATAATGGTGAATCTGAGACACGAAAGAATGGTTTTACACAACTGGTAAGCAGTAGAACCAAGATGCAACCCTGCAGTTGTTTAGGTGTGAGATTGGGAGAGTCTAAACTCAGACAGAATGGAAAAGAAAGGTGCTGTGAACAAAAGAATTGGAAAAACTTGGTGATTAATTAAATATGAGAAATGAGAGAGAAGTCAGTGAATACAGTGTATCTTGGCATCCTGTAGGTGTACCAAGGAGGGCATCAGGAGGAGTAGAAGAGGAAGAATTTTATTTTAGGCTACTGAAGGGAAATACAGAGCCTAAAAATTAGCAGATGAATAAGAAAATAAAACTAGATGGTCTCTTAACTAGCATCATAAAATATATTCATTCAATATGAATTAATTTTAAGATTTACATCATTATTACCTAGAAGATTCTCCAACCCACCTGGCATGGCACTGTGTTAGTTCATATTACTTAGTTCTTAAAATAGCAGTGTATGAAGGAGGTACGACTGTGCATTTTCCAGGGGAGCCCTAGGAAGTTAAAGTGACAGTCTCAAGGTCACAGATCAAGTTAATGGTGGAACTAAGGTTGTATTGGTCTTCTTTGCTGCCTATTACATAATTACTCCAAATCAAGTTCTCTCCTAAGGTACAAACAATATTGGATTTGGATGCATTGTAATAGGAGTAATAGATTTGAATTTATCTAGTTGTCTGAATATCAGAAAATAATATCTTGACATTACTAAATAAGTTATATAATATTTTTGTTACATACTAGGGTGATAGGCCATAATTTTTTTCTTTAAAGATTTTGTTGTTGTTGTTGTTGTTGGAGGATAAATTTCCCTTGCCTAGAAATAGAACCATTGCAGGATTTTTTTCCATTTTGTGGTAGAATTAGTAGCACATTTTAAGAATGAAATCCTATTGGGTAAATCTGTATATATCCATCAAATGCCTCTTTCCATAATTCTTTACTTGTGAAATGACAGTATTGTTAGCTAATCCTTCCTCCCCAACTCAGATTTCCCATTTGATGACAGACATCCATGAAGATATTTATAAAACACTTTATTGGTTTGAAGTGTAGTAGAAATTATTTATTTAATGTTATTAGTTTAGATTTTAGAACGACTGAGAATGAGCATAAAAACATTTACAGGTACTATTCTGAGAAAATGGAAGATTTCTGTGAGGAGAGAATTGCAAGCCATTGCCTTCACTTGTTTCAGTCACTAAGGAATCCCCTAAAAATTGCTAACAATAAATCCAGCAGGTTAGGCAACTCACCCATAAATTCCTAGGAGAAATAATTTATTGGGTTTCTGTTGAGAAAGTTACTGAAAGAAATGTTAAATTCTGTGGAATGAAACTGACTACTGCAGAGTTTAATGAGGAAAGGTGAAAAACAAAGGTCTTAGAAATCTGATCAGTCACCCTCAAAGAAGTTGAGAAATGATGACATTTGGCTTTTCATAAGAGCAAAAACTCTTCACACCAAAATCCGAGATAATATTGAGTCAAACATTTGATTATTTTGCTTGCTCCAAAGCCATTACAGAAAAATCAATGACTATCTGGGCTGTTTTGCTATGTCTCTTTCTGATTACAGTGACATCCGAAGTAGGCAGTAGGCAGTGTCTATTCTTCAGTCCTACAGGGGAGGCCTTGGATGAACCTGCTCGGTGAGGGGGTGTACGGCGAGAAGGGGACAAGATTTTTTTCAGCACCACTTGCCACAACCCTAATTAAGGCTTTGCCCTGTGAATCACAATTTCCTCTTTCAGAAATGTAAAACCATTGATAAGTTGTCATAAGCAGACACTCTTTGATTCATTCAAAACCCTTTAAAGTATTTTCTAAGGACAATGTTGCCCCCCTACCCTCCTGGCCTTGAAAGAGTATTTTTCTAAAGGCTGTTTTCTTTTCCAGTACCTAACACATCAGGGTGTACAAAAAATTGGATTTCAGAGTTCTCTAACTTCAGATATTTGCAGAATTCAATGATCTTTTCATTGCAGCCATATTTGGGAGTAGAAAAACTCCCCACAGACACAGAAAGACCTGGACGTTTTCTGAGCTATCAAAGAACAGTTTCTTCCAATTGGCTTTGGAAGTTCCACATCTGGAGGCCTCGGGATGAGTCACAGTGTGCAAGAAACGGCAGTGGAGGCCCACCATTGATCTGGTTTGCTTACAACAGGGAAAGGAGCAATTAACATTTAATTCCATTTCTTCTTTAACAGATGCTTCAAAAATGAAGACGCTCCTAGAATCCTTAAGGGAAGAACTGCACTACGACAGGTCAAGAGTTGAGGTTTTAGGGTAAGCTTGGTAGGGCATTCTTTAAGGAAAAGACATTATTCATGAATTCATACCACAAAAATATCAAAATGTTCAGCACATCTACATAGTCTGATTAAACTGTTTCAGAGACATATTACCATTGAATTCATCTGCTGCCAGGCTACTTGAGAAATTGCTGTATTTTGTGCATATTTTGGACTAACTGCTTCAAAACCTTGACAATATGTTTAGTTTGCATAAATCAGGCAAAACATATTTTGTTTTGTTCAGCATGCTCTGAACTTTCACAGTTATTTCATTATCTGTTCAGATGGTCCCTCAGCCTTGCTTCAACTGAAAGGGAAATTGTAAATGTTGTTAAAATAAAACCTGGCTGATGCATTGGCAGCTGTGTGAGTTGCAAAGGACCCAGGTTCAGGGATCTAGCTTAAATTTGAGAGGCTTATCTTCACTAACGTCTCATGGTGATGAGCATTACTATTCATCACATTTTGCAGAAATCTGTTCAATCTTCCCTCTTTAAGGAAATCTATTTTCATTTTAGTACGATCCATGCTACCCCAGCTTCCCTTCTTGGTCTTGAGCATTGCTGACTTCAAGTTTTTTTCTCTTTATAAAATACAGTATTCTAAAATTTGTCCTACTTACAGTGGTGTGATTTAGAATCACTTAATTACAAAAACCTTAATCTTTCTTGTTTTCTCTCCTCTCTCATTGCTATCATTTGTTGTTATTTCAAAACAATTACACTTGAATATTTTTTCTTTTATATTATGTCACCATTTCTTCATACCCTCATGTAGTTCTCACAAGCTTTTCATAGTAAGGTTTCAATTTTTGGGTTTGCTCTCAGAGTTCTAGGGAATGCTTCATGCCCTCTCCTGACCTTCCTCAAGGACAAAATTGGTCTTCTCATTCTCTCTCTTGCTGTAGAATCCTGCATGCAAAACTTTTCTTTTAGTAAAGAAATTCAGTGTAATGGATTAGATTCAACTCCCTGCCCTTTGTTTTAAGATGTAAGGTATGAAAGATGAGATTTGGGAGTTAGTCAGTGAAGGACTAAGGAAAGTATTAACCTAGTCTCGGTCCCTGTTTGTTCATTCATTCATTTATTCAGCAAATATTTATTGAGTGGTTTAGATGATATGATAAGCAATGGAGATACAATAGAGAAAAATGGTCAAAGGTCTCTGACTTTCCTGAGTGCATAGTCTATGGGGAATGAAGACAAACAGTCAGTTGTAACACTGATAAGTGCTACTACAGGAGAAAGCACATGTTATGTATATTTAAAAATTTATACTTAAGAATGAATAGAAAGGTATAAAATAGGCTTTCCTTATTTTTTTTTAGCACTTATGTCTGAGTACATTCTGGATAGAGTTTGCAGTAAAAAATTAAAATATCCGTATCTCATGAAAGTAACTTCCCAGAAACCGTTTCAGAATATTCCCACTTCTCTGTTTTACTCCTTCCATTTCCATTTCCTTTCTTCCTTAATATTAAAAGGAGGATGCGCTTAGTATTTGCATTAATGGGTACAATTGCCTGCCACTTTTACCTGGGTAGCTTTTGTTAAAGAGCTCATGAATCATGGTGGAGAAAACATCCTAAAAATTAAAAAGCATATTTTTGCAACTTCTTCTTCATGACCTTTAACTCATCATTTTACAAGGAATTATACAACCTCAGTAGAAAAATATCTCTTTGCTTGGCTCTGCTTTGTTTCTCTTTAATAACTGTATTGACCTTCTGATTGACTTCTTTAATTTTTCTAGTTATTATCATAGCTCAGCCCACTGTTTTCTCTGTAATTCAAAACACTATTCTTTGGCTCATTATCTTGCATTATTTATTCAAAGCAATTATTATTACACACACTTGGCAATGTCATTTATTAGAGCTATGGTGTGCAGAATAAAGTAGCAATATTAGAATGGAAACATTTAAAAGGGCAAGTCCTCAATGTTAGAACTTTGCCTAGTATCAATCTAAATGAAAATTAATTTAAATAGCGGACTTTTATCATCTGAATAATGAAGTCTTTGCCTACTTAAAAACTTTCTGTTATTTTTCTTTTTTTAAAAAATTATTCCTTTAATCAAAATTAGCCAAAGTTTTACAAAGCACTAAACTAACTTTCATTTGTGGATTGCACAGCATGGCTAAAACGATAAAGATGGGAATCAACAAATACCATTGAAGATATGGAGCAAAGAGAACTCTCACATACTGCTGGAGGGAATATAAATTAGTATAACCACTTTGGAAAACTGGTCGTACCTGTAAAAGCTGAACATTTGCCTATTCAGTGACGTGTCAATTTCACTTTTTATGGATATACCCTAAAGGAAGGATAACAAAAAATCATGAACAAGAATGCTTATAAGCGGTACAAGATATTCACAATAGCTCCAAACTGGAAGCTGTTTAAATGCTCATCAGTATTGGAATGGATAAATTGTGATATATTCATACAAGGCAATACTTATACAGCAATGATAATTAAATTAATATGTATTCACAAGGCTGGAATGTACAAAAATAACATCAAACAAAAGAAACTAGATACAAAAAAAGCATGCACTCTTGTTCTCACTCATAGGAGGGAATTGAACAATAAGAACACTTGGACACAGGGTGGGGAACATCACACACAGGAGCCTGTCATGGGGTGGGTTGTAGGGGGAGGGATAGCATTAGGAGAAATACCTAATGTAAATGATGAGTTAATGGGTGCAGCAAACCAGCATGGCACACGTATACCTATGTAACAAACCTGCACGTTGTGCACATGTACCCTAGAAATTAAAGTATAATAAAAAAGAAGAAGAAAAAAGCATGCACTCATGACTTCATTTACATAAAGTTCAAAAACAGGCAATCTAATTTATGATGATAGAAGTGAGGAGAATACCCCTTGGGGGTGGTTAAAGGGGCTGATGTTTCTATGGGAATGCTTAATTTGTGAGAATTAATTAAGCTATCCACTTTATATTTGTGTATTTTTGTGTATGTGTATAATTCTTCAATAAAACTTTCTGGGGGCAGAGAAAGGGAGAGACACTTGTGAAGAGACAAGCTAATCTACTCATTGATTGCATCCTGGGTAGACTCAGGTAAATGAGTAAATTTGACAAAGTTTACCTTTGACGGCCCTTTCTTCCCCTTTTAGAACTTCCTCATTAGTCTCACTTTCATGCTGGGGACCTTACAATCTTTACTGTTTCTGTACCAAAATCATCTTCGGGAGATGTCTGTAAGTTATTTTTTTTGGGTGTAAACTTAAGTGGCAGTTTCATATCTCCCAGGGGCAGCTGCGTTTTAAGTCTTACGATGTTTCTAATTGAAAAAAAAAAGTCTTCAGACTACAACAGGAACTTCAGCAGCAGAGGCAGGTTTGTGGAACAGAGCTTCTGAAATAACTTCATTTGGGCTTTTGCTTGCCCTTCTCATGAGAATCACCAACACTGGTTGGGCACGGTTTCCTACTCTCTTTATGAAACCATTCTTCGTATTCTCCTAGCACTTCCTACATACTTTCACTGTAGAAACCAATACCCCATTTTGTAATATATTATTGTTTCCATTAGATGGTGAGTTCCTTGAAGATAGGGACCATCCCTCACTCATCTCTGTATCTCTAGCAACCAAGTACAGTGTTTGGCTCAGAGCAGGCAATCAATCAAGTTTGCTGGGAATTTTACCATATAGTTAAAGAGCATCTAGTTCCCCACAATTTATTCTTCTCTAAGGCACAGAAGAATAAGGAAAGCTTCCAAATTTCTTTATGATGTCTGCACAACATTGATACCAAAAGCTGAAAAGCACTGCACAAAAAAGAAAACTACAGCCTCAAAGAACTTATGCATATCAATGTAAAAATACTACATAAAATAGTAGCTACCAAGATCTAGCAACACACATTATAATAACACTTTATGACCAAGTAGAGATTATTTCAGAAATACAAGGATGGATTGATATTAGACTATTTATTAATATAATTTATTATATTTACAGACTTAGGTAAAACATATAGTCATCTCCATAGACCCAGAAAAGGTAGTTGCCTAAATCCAGCAACTATTTCTATTTAAAAAAACATGATTTAAAGTAAGAATTGATAAATATTTCCTTGATGTAATAAATATATATCTATATTTTTATCTATCCATTTGTCATCTGTGTTAGTCAAAAACTGGCATCAAAATTACTGGAGAAACAAAAAAGTATTCCTGCTGTTACAAATGAGACAAGGATACCCACCACTACCACTAATATTTAACAAAATTAGACCAGAAAAAGAAATTACAAGTGTAAAAACTGGAAAGAAGAAAGTAAATCTGGTACTATTTTTAGATAAGAAAGAATACCCAAAGTGTCCTCTGCTTCACTTTTCTTTCTTTCTTTTTTTTTTTTGAGACAGAGTCTCACTCTGTAGCCCAGGCTGGAGGGCAGTGGTGCGATCTCTGCTCACTGTAACCTCCGCCTCCCAGGTCCCGGTTTAAGCAATTCTCCTCCCTCAGCCTCGCGAGTAGCTGGGATTACAGGCACGAGCTGCTATGCCCAGCTAATTTTTGTATTTTTAGTAGAGACGGGATTTCACCATGTTGGGCAGGCTGGTCTTGAACTCCTGGCCTCAAGTGATCCACCCACCTTGCCCTCCCAAAGTGCTGGGATTACAGGCGTGAGCCATGGTGCCCAGCCTGCTTCACCTTTTGACATCAGAGGGCTGGAAGCTCTACCTTCAGATCATGCTAATGCTACAATTTTTTGTACGTGGGACCCGTGAAGGTGCATAAATCTCAATTGCGCATGCACATGTTTCTCTTCTCATAAATATTCATGACTCCTCCTATACCTTATTGAATATATACATTTGGCCACCCTGTTCAGCATTAATTCCTGTTCCCTTTGTCCCTCCCTTGAAGTGTTTCTTTCTGGCTTTGGACAGGAGGCTGTGCTTCCCAGCCTGTTGGAATGGCCACACTGCAGGCTGCAACCCTTTATGAGAAAGAAAGATTTCCTTTCCAAACTAAAAAAAGGAAATGTTTACCTGGAAAACCCAAGAGAATCAGCAGAAATGCATAAAAACAATGAGAGAATTCAGTAAGACATCAATTAATAGAAATCAATAGTCTCTGTATACATAAATACATGTTAGAAGACATAATCGAAGAAAAGACTCCATTTAGGATAGTATTCTCAAAGATAAAACAATGAGAATGTGGAAGTAACAACCTTAAGCCATCTTGGAAGAATAAAAAGTAAGACTTGGACACGTGAAAAGATGTCCCATATTTTTAGATCAAAATATGTGGCAACAGAAAGCTATCAATTCTCCCTCTCAAAATTTATTATGTTAAATTTTTGGAGATAAACTTCAAATGAACCAGAGATTTACATGTTTTAAAAAAATGAAACCATATATGTTGTAGAAGAAAAGGATAAAATACTTTTAGAATCTCAGAATGGGAAAAGCCATTTAAAAATTTGACTTAATTTCAAGAAGGTTAAAAAAAAAAAAAAAAGAAATCCCTTCCATATCTGGTATCTGGCATTGTGTGACTTGTTCCAGGTAACTGAAACATTCTATGTAAGATATCAGCTAAAAAAGAAATGATCGAGAAGGTAGGATAAAAGATAACATAAATATGGTTTGGACAGTTGTCTTTTCATGAAGTGATGCTTGTTTCTCTTTGCTTTTATGTTCTAGCTTGATAACTGTGACTTGTACAATAAATTCAGCCATGATTCATATGACCATAACTGACATAACAGATGCCCTGCCCTTCTGACTGATTTGATTGCATTTTAGATAAGAATGTCCATCCCAAAACATGTGGATTTTAGGTTGGGATGTTAAGGATGCTTTTCCTCTGCCAAACATCAAGATTGCTTGATGCCAAACACTAAAACTTTGAAAAATACCTCTTTTTAAACAGAAGTCCTTCTAATGAATATAGGAAATGTTTGGAAGTAACTAAAGGAGGGTGGAGGAACTCCTTCAAAAACTTGAGAATAAAGGACATAAGTCTGTCCTCCTCTAATAGCTATACTATAAAATTAACACATAATTGGTCCCATTAGGGACATCCAGGCATATCACCTTAAGGACACTGGCAGTGAAAGACAAGACTTGCCATATCTGATGGATGGTATTTCCTTATCTAAACAAAGGAAGAAATTCATATGCCCATCAGAGGAGGGCTGGTCAGCAATGGACACTTGGACAAAGAAGGACAGAGACAAAGCCTCCACCACAGCAGAGCCTGCAGGATTGTTTTGGATTCCTTTCCCATTCTGATGACAGTGATCACAAATCTCTGTTTATCAGCGACAGTCCAGGTTTCTGCCTCTTATTATTTATAGTGCCTTTCATTCTCAAAATAAAATGGATGATAAATTAGATGAGCCTCCTGCTCCTAACCTTGCAGCCTTTCTGTCCCACCTGTTTTCTCACCTCTGTCCACTTGGTGCTGAACCCTCTGCGGTAAGTTCCTTCAGCCTGACTGGATGATTTGTTCTGATTTTTGACTGGCATTTTCTCAAGACATTCCTCTTTCCCCATGGCATCTTAAGTACAAGTGATGCACCCACCACACCCACCTACATTCTAGGCAGGAGGCCTCTTGGTTGTACAGGTAAAAACCATTCTAGGAGGAGCAAAGGTGAGAGGGATATTAAGCCAATGGGGTTTTAGTGTTCTGGTCCCATTGACAGTATGTAGAAGTGTGAGGTAATTATAGTTAGAGTGATGGGTATTAAGACTGAAAACTAAGAGATACAAATAAAATAATAAGAAACAAAGGCTAATAAGAAAAGGCTAAAAATGAAGTACCTTTGCAAAAGGCATTAAGCAATTATTTCTTTAAAAAGAGGACAGGATAGGATTTCAGTTTGGTATTTGTTTCTAAATTTTAAGGTGGAAGGTCTGATTCCATCCATGGTATACTGAATCTACTGGAGAACTGAGAGCATTTGGGATCTTTGGGGCTTCCATAGTAAGAGGCATTCTTACAAACTGATTACCCTTGCCAGAGAAGTAATAGAAGTCATATTTGGGGGGAATATTAACACTATGGATTCGTTTTAAAGATGTATTTCTCTAATAAAGTTGAAAGCAGAAGTCTTTCTTTATCTCAGAGACCAATGTCCCTGAGCTAATCAAATTTACTTCTCTTTAATTCTCCAGGGTAATGATAGTTGCTGCAAGGAGTTCCAGGGAGAAGAGCTGTAACTACTCCAAGTTCAACATTGTCTCTTTTGTGTGTTTTAATTAAAGTTTAATTTTAATTTGTAAATGTCATATATGCCATTGGGAGAAAATGAGATTTATAGGAGGAAGGACAGCTGATTTTCAGATATTAGAAGATAAACTGGTTAGGGAAACTGGTTAAAGTGTTTGTCTTAGAAAAGAGAAAGAATACATGATGTTTGAACTTTATCTTCAGGTGGAATGAAGTACTATCCCTACTTAGATCTGGGCATTTAAAGGAAAACACAGGAGAGTACCTTACTAGATCTAAAGGCAGCTTTTCTGATTGCTAAGATAACTTAATGGGCCACACAGGTCCTGCACACAAAACCATGTCATACTTCATATATGAAGTAAACAAATATTTATTGAACACTCTGTTTTGGCCAGGCACCAGGCTAAAATGGCAAGCAACATTTTTCATGATCCTGTCCTCAAGGATCTTATGGTCTAGGGTGCAAAGAGTAATGAACTAAATAGATACAAAATTAGAATTGTGTGAACAATTAAAGGGACCTCATCTTCACAAAACTCCAAGTAGATCCTTAACAAGGCTAGAATTATGAGTGCAATGAATGTGTACTATGGGTGTGTAAAAGATTTGATGCAGATTTAGGGTCAGGAAGGTTCCCTTAGGACATGACCCTGAACTAGATAGATAAGGAGGCATCAACTAGCTGAAGAGCTGGCTTGGGGGTGGGGTGGGGCACTATGTCAAGTACATGGGATCTTTGTCTATTTTCTTACTAAATGATCTAATCCTCAATGGTATTAGAAAAATGTCCGCAAAGACACTAAAAGCTTCATGGCTAATATTTCTAATTGCAAGCATCCTCTGAAACTTTAATCCACTTTATAAATGAAGGATATGGATTCTAGATCACACTTAAGGTTTGTATGGGGGCTAGATTACATTGACTCTTGTTAGAAATAGACTGTGCTGAACAGTTTTCATTCAAGAAACATTTACTGAGTTGTCCATTATATGCCAGGCACTATATTAGGTGCTTTTAAAAACTATGACATGAAACAGATCATTTAGTAGTTCATTCGTATGTTGTCATCTAAAAATCTAAAGCTTTTATTTAGAAATAGTATGAAGCTTCAAAAAATATTCAAAAAATATTATGAGATTATTATATATATTTAGATTGACTTCTGATCAAAGTATAGATTTTAAAATTTATCAGTGATATGCAGGAAATTATTGATAAAATCCATCCTATTTCATGGCATTGGAGCTCATATTAGAAAACCATGTTTCAGGGCAGTACTGATCCCTGTCAGCATAAGATTCAGTGAAATCAAATTGAAGGTCTATTTGGGCAAACCAAGAAACATTGCAACATGAAGATTCTTGGTTCTTGTATAACTTGCATTGAAACTGTTGGCAAGATTAGCATCGGGAGATTGTCATGGTAGGATATTCTGGCAATATTTCAGCTCTTTTCATACCTCACCTTTACTAACTGGCTTTGCCCTTCTGTTTCCTTATCTTTAATTTCTTATTTAAACCAAAGAAATAAGAGTAAGTAAATTAGTATGTCACTTACTAACTCATCAGAGGATTTAGAAAAATGCTCACTTCTTTACATGTGCTCGTTTTTATCTACATTTCTTTCTTTCATTTATTATTATTTATTATCCTGAAGAAATGCGTGACCCAAATGAGACTCTTATTCTGGCTTTTCATTTGTGTGACACAGAAGTAGCTGGCTATCCCCTGCCCAGATGTCATCTAGATGGTGTTTTCTGATTCATGCTGCTGAGCAGTTTTTTGGGACACAGTGAGCAAGTCAAACACAAATCTGTCTGTCTGGATAATGAAAGGTCAGACTTCACCTTTGTGATGCTCTGAGTAGGGTTCCAAGCAAGGTTAGTCTGATACATGCAAAGGCAGATAGAAGCAGGAAAGAACACAGCTGCCCACAGAGCCATTCCGAATGTCTACTTAGGGTGAATGGTGCTTTCAGAAGCCATCAACAAGATCTATATTAGCAGGAAGCACAGTAATAACTTATACCTGCAGGGTGGTCAAGTTTACAAAGGCTTACTCAAGAGCATCTCATATGATTCTCACAAGAACCTTGTATCCCAGAAAACAGCTTGCTTGTATTGGCTTTCACACAGTATATGGTTCATATGCTCATCTCAAGAGCTCTTTTGGGAGGAGACATGTTTTGAGATATAGGACATAACCTACATGGCTGCGTGCTGTGAACCATATCTCTGCAGCTTCCAAAAACAGCCATATATCTTCCACTGGCTGTTAATGTGTGCATACTTAGGCCTGGTAGTTTTGTTAAAAATCCCAATTATTTTCCTTCCTTGGGGTTTTTGTAGTGGGCTGCACCCTCTCTAGGAAACCTCTCCTCCTTTTCCTTCGTGCCATTTCCTTCATGCCAATCTTTATCATTCTAGCCACCATTAAGATGTATCTGCCCCAAAGGGGGTGAGGAGAAGAGGAGAGGGAGGGAAGAAGAAAGAGAGATCTGTGATACATTCTTTAGCTGTGTGAGCCCCCTTCTGCTGTTCTCTCATTCATCACTCACTTATTTCCTTCAGAGCACTTCCAACAATCTGAAATTAGTTTGCTAATTTCTCTGTTTATTGTCTGTTCTGCCCATTAAAATATATGCTCCATTAAAGACCCATCCTTGTCCACTACCTGTCCCATCACTGTACCTGGTTCAGGTGCACACTGGACATTCAATAAATACTTGTTGAATGAAGAAATGAAATAATCTTACAGTTTTCTATTAAGGATTTTATTCAATTACATCTTTGATTAAATTATTCATCTTTTTTTTTTTTGAGACTGATTCTCACTCTGTCGCCCAGGCTGGAGTGCAGTGGTGCAATCTCAGTTCACTGCAACCTCTGCCTCCCGGGTTCAAGTGATTCTCCTGCCTCAGCCTCCTGAGTAGCTGGTACCTGGGACTATAGGCATGTGCCACCATGCCTGGCTAATTTTTTGTATTTTTTAGTAGAGATGGGGTTTTACCATGTTAGCCAGGATGATGGTCTGGATCTCCTGATCCTGGCCAAATTATTCTTTTTTTTTTTTTTTTTTCTTAGAGTCTCGCTCTGTCACCCAGGTTGGAGTGCAGTGGCATGATCTCAGCTCACTGCAACCTCCGCCTTCTGGATTCCAGTGATTCTCCTGCCTCAGCCTCCCAAGTAGCTGGGATTACAGGCACGCACCACCATGCCCGGCTAATTTTTGTGTTTTTAGTAGAGATGGGTTTCCACCATGTTGGCCAGGCTGGTCTTGAACTCCTGACCTCGTGATCCACCCACCTTGGCCTCCCAAAGTGCTAGGATTACAGGCGTGAGCCACCATGTCTGGCCTCATCATTTTTAATGAATTGAGAGCATGAAGTAAAGTAAAACAATAGGGGGTTACAAAGTCTATTGCTGCCCCTTTGCAATGAATAAATTGAAGCTGTAGAAGTTGTGGTTTCTCAAGGTCACAGCCAGGACTAGAGCCAGGTCTCTTTTCCTCATCCAGCCCAATGCCCTTCCTACAACACCTTGACTGCTAATAGAGAAGGACATTATTAATACATGGTTCCAGTAGTCAGGTCTCTTTTTGCACAAAGGTTACCTTTGCAGGTTTTATGCCAACAAACTACAGAGAAGCATTTCATGAAGTGGCCAAAGGGGCATAATGATGTTGGTAGGGTCACATACCTCGAGAACAATTGTAAGCATTTTGGTTGGTTATACCATTTAAAAAACCAGACTGAAAATGAGTTTAGGGGTGAGAGGAGCATGAATCAATCTGGTTAATGAGGGGTAAAAAGGGCTAATTTTAAACATCTTTGGGTCAATAGACTGTGATAACTCTATATTGCTCTTTCCCAAGATCTTTATTTGCAGCAGGAATAATCTTTGAGAACATAGCTGTATGCAGACAGACTTATAGTCTAAGATAATGTTCTTCAACTCCATCTTCTAATTCCCTTAGGGGATCCACACAGCACCATATCACACTTTCCTCAGGAGGAGGCCAGGCAGAATTTTGGAAAGTGAGAGCAACAGTATCTTTTTTGTGGTTGTCTGATTGTAGAAATGATAACTCTCTGATTAGAACCATGGCCAAAGGGAGAAAATATACTTCTGTAGAGGGAGGAGACATTGGGGAAAGATATTTCTTTCCTGACATATTTGATCTTGCTGAAGTTTATTTTATTTTTCCTCTTCATTATTGTAAAGTGTTTGGCTACTGATCTTAATATTAATGGCAATGATAACAGTGTGTGAGGC
Source organism: Homo sapiens (assembly GCF_000001405.40). Taxonomy (NCBI): domain Eukaryota; kingdom Metazoa; phylum Chordata; class Mammalia; order Primates; family Hominidae; genus Homo; species Homo sapiens. The sequence continues at coordinate 72,805,159 of NC_000008.11, read as the reverse complement.
ACGGCTCTGAGCACTTCGTGTGTATGAACGCACATGATCCTCAGAATTATCCTTGTGAGGTGAGGCTCTCCATTTTTCCAGTGAGGAGACTGAGCTGGTAAGTGAGCAACTGGGATTTGAACCTGGCAATCTGACCCCAGTGCCCAGCGGAAGAGTCGCAGCCATGTCTCATCTTTAACCTAATGACTTGAGGTTGATATTCTCATTGCAACATCTACTCAAAGGAGCAAAAGACCCACTCCTCTGTGAAACCTGTGGGGTCCAGGATTTCCTTTTCATTTCTCTCACTCAGTCCAATCCTGACGTACCCATTCCATGCCTCTGCCCCAGCTCTAAGAAGCAGGAATAGCTTTTTCCATCTTGGTAGTGCCAACAGTTAGCATATAAGTCGAATACTACAGACAACAGGTGTTCCAATAGTGTTTGCTCAATGAGGTAATGAATTTTCAGAACTTAATTGCCATTCTTTTCATTTTATTAATTATGTGGCAAAGCCCCACAAGTCATTTTCAAATGCTATGTTTTAATTAGAAGTTAATTTGGCTTAACCTCAGGGGAGTTGGGGTGGTATGGAAAGCCAGGAAGAAACACATTGATTAAAACTTTTGATTTGGAAAACCTTTAATGGAGGTGCAATCAAATACCAATATTAATCTTCATCAGCACAAGATTTAATTTAATTAATTCTTTTTTCTGTTCCTAGGTGTTCAATCTTTCCCCATTGTGATCCTATTTCCAAATGACCATTAGCAGTTTTCATATCCTGATGATACTTTATAATGCAAAATAGACTAGATTTTCTAGGCTCCATATTCCATCACAGCAGTGAGTAAAGAGAAGGATATGTAGTAACACGGAGGTTAAAAAAAAACCGGGAGGAAGGCAGGTATACTTGCTCTTGTTAGCCGTTGCCTTGGACTACTGAAGAAGCTTCCTTATTTTGTTTCTTTTTTGCTTCTCTACAATCTCTCCCCACTTCAGTATATTGGCTGTACTTGTGCTAACAGAAACTGCCCTTTTGTTTAACAGTCCTTTGATTGCTTCCCACTGCCTTGGGGATAGGGGTGACTCTGTACAAGGCCTGCAAGTCCTCACAAGCAGACCCAACTTCCTTTCCAGACCCTCTCCCGCCATGTCCACTCACGTGCGTTCATTCTGGCATGCTGAACCACTTTCTTTTCTGGAACACACCACTTTCTGCTACCCTTGTAAAGTGCCTTCCTGCCTGCACAGATACACTTCTCTACCTGGAATGGAAAGGTAAAGCTATTGCCCAAGGTCAGGCCTACTCACCTCTTCCTTCCTGCTTTCTCTGTTCTTCCAACCCCATTATCCCAGCAGCCCAGAAGAAGCACAGTTTGTAACCCTCGTTCATGCTTCTGGCTTCTCTCTGCCCTTGCCAGACATCTCTTCACTCATTTGCATTTCTCTCAGCATTGCATCCTCCTGCCCTTAGGCCAAAACTAATCTTGGGATACTAAATTCTTATGTCACTTTCTGCAGGTAGTGTTAACTCCCTCTCTTTCAGACCCGTAATCTCACAGGATTATAGAGAGGAGTGAAGGAGGGAACTGATATTTACTACACAGTCTTATACACCAGGACTTCTTTGGGAGTTTGATATGTATTTTAGTTACCATGGGTATGTGAAAGTACTATTGTGTCCAGTGTATAGAGATGTGATGTTGGTGGTCCAGGTAGGAGGCTACTTTGGTGATGTAGTTCCTAGTTTTCTAGAGTGACTATAATGGCTTTTGGAACATTCCTGCCATCAGGGAAGTTTGGGAACATATTGGTGAGATGCTATAAAACAAGACATGGGCATCTGAAACCATTCTGGAGTGGAAGCAGCAGGCAATACAGGGAAAGTTATGGAGGGTGGACTGCTGTGTCCACAACAGACAGAGGACAGGGAGTTGGCTGGCTCTTGGGGGTCCAGCCCGGGTCAGCAATCATCTGCTCTGACTCCCTGATGCTGATGCTGTCTATCTGTGCTGCCCTTGCTCCTTATACACCCCGCAACGTGAAGGAAGTGCTTTCTGCCTTCTTCATTTCCACAGGTCGAGACCATGGACACAGAGCTACAGTTGTCAGCAGTGAGGATGTGTCTCATGGTGGCGATCATTTTTCTAGGTCGCACAACTTTTCAAAGATTTGGGTGGTACATTTTAAGGACATTTAGATAGAAATAAATCTTTCACTGAACACCAGTTTTCAGAGACAGATATTTCAGACATTCCACAGCATTCATCAAAAGAGTGAAGAAAACCTTTTATTGATGTGAAAGAGATGGAGAAGGAAGCTGTTTACATTTCTACTAATTAGGTCATTATTGCTTATCCTGGGCCTGAACTTTAACCAAACATGAAAACCATAATGGATGGCAGAGAATGCTAGTCTCCATTAGGGGTATCAAATAGGGCCCTTAACAACAGTGGCAGCAATAAGGTGGCTCCCTAAGATGATGAATTCATGAACATGCTGAATGAAGTCAGGCTTCAGAGTAGCTTTTAGTTGCAGACTTTCAATATTGTCATCCCCAGTAAGATATAAACAAACAAGTGATGGAAGGAAGAATGGTTACATAGCACATTGCCAAACACATAAATGACCCAAAAAAACTTCCTCTAAGTTGATTAAAAAACAAAATAAGCATCTGTCCTTAGTATACTACAACTTGTATTTAATTAAAACTAATATAATATCAGCAAAGAAAGAACATCAATACTTTTGAGTGTATATCTAAAGACAATATCTAAGGAAACAAGAATTTTTCTGTGCATGTGTGACTTTATAGACTGAAGACAATACTCTGTGTTATTCTAAGAGCAGTGACTATATGGATGGTAACTATTGTTACCAATAATTAATGCCACGTCTATCCATTTAGGGGT